>NC_000019.10:35365874-35990874 GCF_000001405.40 Homo sapiens
TCCTGCCACTCCTGTCAAGGAAGGTGTGACCACTGGGCCCTGGCCTACCTGCCAGCTCTTCTTAAGTGCCATCTACTAGACTTCAGCTTAAATTGCACCACGAAACAAAAATATATTGCTACAACATGCGGCATCTGAGAAAGCAACCGCATGAACCTATCTGCAACCAAGAACTTGTACAGAGCCTTGGCCCTCCGAAAGCATCCAGAAATGAAGCCAGTTGATCATACACAACACACACCATAGTCATACCTTCAACAGAAAAAAAGAATAAAAAAATTAAAAAGCCCCACCCAAATGAAAGCAAATTTTGAAAAAGAAGCATCAGCCCTCTCAGATGAGAAGGAATCAGCACAGGACTCTGGCAGTACAAAAAGCCAGAATGTTTTGTCACCTCCAAAGGATCTCACTAGCTCCCTAGAAATGTATCCTGACCAAATTGAAATGCTGAAAATGACAGATCTAGAATTCAGAATGTGAGTGGCAAGGAAACTCAGCAAGACCCAAGAGAAAGTTGAAATGCAATACTAAGAAGCCGTAAAAATGAGCCAGGATGTGAAAGATATATATATAGGGGGGGAAAAAAACTATATATAGAGAGAAAGAACCAAAACACAAAAAGAATCAAGCAGAACTTCTGGAATTGAAAAATTTACTACAGGAATTTCAAAATACTGTTGGACACCTCAACAATAGACTAGACCAAGTAGAAGAATTTCAGAGGCAGAATGAATTTTTTAAATTAACCTAGTCACACAAAAATAAAGAAAAATAATTTTAAGAAATGAACAAAGGCTTTGAGAAGTATAGGATTATGGGAAATGACCAAACTATGACCCACTGGCATTCCTGACAGAGAAGAAGAAAAAATAAGCAACTTGGAAAATGCATTTTAACGTATAATTCAGGAAAATGTCCCTAATCTTGCTAAAGAGGTCAACATGCAGATATAAGAAATTCAGGGACTGCCTGAGAGGTACTATACAAAATGACCATCCCCAAGGCACATAGTCATGAGACTGCATGAAAGAAAAATATCTTTAAGGAAGCTAGAAAAAAGAGCCAAATTACCTATAAAGGAAGTCCACTCAGAATAACAGTGGATTTCTTAGCAGAAGTCTTACAATTTAGAAGAGATTGGGTGCCTATTTTTGGCTTCTTTTTTTTGATGGAGTCTTACTCTGTTGCCCAGGCTGGAGTGCAGTGGTGCGATCTTGGCTCATGGCAAACTCTGCCTCCCGGGTTCATGCAATTCTCCTGCCTCAGCCTCCCAAGTAGCTGGGATTACAGGCATGTGCCACCATGCCCGGCTAATTTTTTTGTATTTTTAGTAGAGACGGGGTTTCACCATATTGGCCAGGCTGGTCTCAAACTCCTGACCTTGTGATCCACCCACCTCAGCCTCCCAAAGTACTGGGATTACAGGTGTGAGCCACCACGCCCAGCCTTCTAGGCTTCTTAAAGAAAAAATGCCAGCCAAGAATTTCATATCCTACCAAACTAAGTGTCACAAAGGAGAAATAAAATCTTTCCTAGACAATCAAATGGTAAGAGAATTCATCACCACCAGACTGGTCCAACAAGAAATGCTCAAAGAAGCTGTAAGCATGAAAACAAAAGAATGATACTTGCTACCACAAAAGCACACATAAGTACAAAGCCCACAGACCCTATAAAGCAACTACCCAACCAAGACTACAAAGTAATTAACTAACAACACGAAGATAAATCACAACAGGGACAAAACCTCACATATTAACCTTGAATGTAAATGGCCTATACACTCCACTTAAAAGACATAGTGTGGAAAATTGGATAAAAATATGAGACCCAACCTTCTGCTGTCTTAAAGAGACCCATCTCACATATAATGATACCCAAACCCTCAAAGGGTTGGAGAAAGATCTCTCATGCAAATGGAAAACAAAGGGTTGCTATTGTTGTATGAGATAAAACAGACTTTAAACCAACAACAGTAAAAAAGCACAAATAAGGGCACTTCCTAATGATAAAGGGTTCGATTAAACAAGAAGATTTAACATCCTATATATATAAACACCCAACGCTGGAGTACCTAGATTTATAAAACAATTACTACGATACCTAAGAAAAGAGATGGACAGCCACACAATAATAGTGGGGTTCTTCAACAGCCCATTGACAGCATTAGACAGATCATTGAGGCAGAAAACTAACAAAGAAATTCTGGACTTAAATTGGACACATGATCAAATGGACCTAATAGACATCTACAGAATACTCTACCCAACAACCACAAAATATACGTTCTTCTCATCTGCACACAGAAGATACTCTAAGATTGACCCAATGCTTAGTCATGAAGCAAATCTCCATAAATTTAAAGAAATGAAAATTATACCAACCTTCTTCTCAGACCACAGTGGAATAAAAATAGAATTCTCAAAATCACACAAATACATGGAAACTAAACAACTATTTCCTGAATGACTTTGGGGTAAGTCATTAAGGAAGAAGTCAAAAAATTAAGGCAGAAGTCAAAAACTTCTTTGAAACAACTGAAAATAGAGGCACAACATACCAAAACCTCTGGGATACAGCAAAAGCAGTTTTAAGAGGAAATTTTATATCACTAAATGCCTACATCAAGAAGTTAGAAAGATCTCAAATTAATAACCTAACATTACACCTGAAGGAACTAGAAAAACAAGAGCAAACTAAATCCAAAGCTAGCAGAAGAAAAGAAATAACTAAAATCAGAGTAGAGCTAAACGAAATTGTGACAAATAAGCCATTCAAAGGATCAATGAAATGAAAAATTGGTTCTTTGAAAGAATAAACAAGATTTATAGGCTGCAAGCTAGATTAACAAAGGAAAAAAAAAAACCTCCAAAAAAGCACAATCAGAAATAACACAGACAAGATTACAACTAATTCCACAGAAATACAAAAGATCCTCAGAGACTGCGATGAACATCTATATTCACATGAATCAGAAAATCTAGAGGAAACAAATAAATTTCTGGAAACATACAACCAAGATTGAACCAGAAAGAAATTGAAACTCTGAGCAGACCAATAATGAGTTACAAAATTGAATCAGTAATAAAATATCTACCACCTTTAAAAAGCCCTTGACCAGATGGATTCACAGCCAAACTCTACCAGACCTGCAAAGAAGAGATGGTACCAATCCTACTGAAACTTTACCAGAAAATTGAGGAGGAGAGATTCCCTACTCATTCTACAAAAACAGTCTGATTCTGATATCGTAATCTGGCAGGACACAGTGAAAAAAGAAAACTGTAGGCCAATAGCCCGATGAACATAGATCCAAAAATCCTCAATAAAATACTAGCAAACCAAATCCAGCAGCATGACAAAATCATAATTCAGCATGATCAAGTGGGCTTTATTCCTGGGATGCAAAGATGTTTCAATATATGCAAATCAATAAATGTGACTCACCACATAAAATTAAAAACAAAAATTATATGATCATCTCAATAGATGCAGAAAAAAACATATAATAAAATCCAACATCCCTTCATGATAAAAACCCTCAAAAAACTAAACATCGAAGGAACACACCTCAAAATAATAAGAGCCATCCAGGACAAACTCACAGCCAACATCATACTGAATGGGCAAACGTTGGAAGCATTCCCCCTAAGAAATGGAAAAAGACAGGGATGCCTACTCCCACTACTCCTATTCAACATAGTAGTGGAAGTCCTAGCCAGAGCAATCAGGCAAGAAAAAGGAATAAAAGGCATCCAAATAGAAAGGGGAAGTCAAATTATCTCTGTTCACTGATGATATGATTCTATACCTAGAAAACCCTACAGATTCCTCCAAAATACTCCTAGACCTGATAAATGACTGGCAGTTTCAGGATGCAAAATCAGTGTATAAAAATCAGTAGCATTACTATATACCAACAATTGTCAAGCTGTGAGCCAAATAAAGAACAGAATCCCAATTACAATAGCCACACACAAAAATAAAATACCTAGGAATACATCTAACCAAGGAAGTGAAAGTGAAAGATCTCTACAAGGAGAACTAAAAAACACAAATAAATGAAAAACATTCCATGTTCATGGATTAGAAGAATCAATATCATTAAAATGTCCATACTGCTCAAAGCAATCTACAGATTCCACCCAATTCCTACCAAATTATCAATGTCATTTTTCATAAAATGGAATCATTCTACCAAAAAGACACCTGCATGTGTATGTTTGTCACAGCACTATTCACAATGGCAAAGTGATGGAATCAACTTAGGTGCCCATCAATGGTGGACTAGATAAAGAAAAAATGGTACATACACATCACGAAATACTATGCAGCTATAAAAAAGAATGAAATCATGTCCTTTGCTGCAACATAAATGCAGCTGGAGGCCTAAGTGAATGATCCTAAGTGAATTAACACAGAAACAGAAAATCAAATGCTGTATGTTCTCACTTTTAAGTGGGAGGTAAACAATGGGTACACGCAAACATTAAAGATGGAAACCATAGACAGTGGGGACTCCAAAGTGGGGGAGGGAGGGCGGAGGACAAGGGTGGGAAAACTGCCTATTGGGTACTATGTTCACAATTTTGGTAATGGGTTCAATAGAAGCCCAAACCTCAGTATTATGCAATATACCCATGTAACAAACCTGCACATGTGCTCCCGAATCTAAAATAAATATTTTCAAAAAGCAATTGACCTATATTATTAACATTTTAATCTACCTGTATATATGTTTTAATCTGCATGTGTTCATGCTTTGAAATATGGTACAGGTACTATGACAATCCCTGTTCTGTAGGGGAGGAAGAAGAGACACATCTCTTCCCCCACATCACAAAGTCAGGAAGGAACAGACCTCACGGAGTCCAGTCTGTCACTGGCTCATGCTTTGTGCCCTTAAAAGGCAAACTGGATAAGTGCCATTCTAGAGAATCAGACAAAATTCAAGTGGAAGAGAGGGGAGGGGAAGAAGACGTCAGCTGGGGCCTGTTTGGAGCATCCCAGCTGAGGCTGCGCAAGGAGGGAGGCACGCAGTTGTGGAATTTGTTCCCCTTTTTGCATACTGACCAGCCCTGGCAACGGAGCTCAAGGCATCTTTGTGCCACTGCTCAACAGTGAGTGATGTCATGGGCACGGCCAGGTCTTTATCAGTTCTGCCGGATAAATAGCCAACTGCACTAGGTCTGGAGAGACAGCAAGGTGCTGTGCGGCAGAGCATTTGGGGTCTCAAAGAAGCAGGTGAGCCTGGGCCCGAGGGGCTGGGTGGAGGAGCACCTTGGTGCTTCTCTGCTGGGGAAGGGACAGGGGACAGGGCATGCTCAGGAAGACAGGCAGGCTGACCCCGCCTGGAAGGCACCCAGAGACAAGAGGGGTGGGCGTAGTGACCTCGTGCCCTTTTAGGGGAGATGCTGCTGGCCAGAGGCCGTTAGGGCCCCCACTACCAACTCCATGTTACTCTCTCTCACCAGTGGCCACCACCATGGATACAGGCCCCGACCAGTCCTACTTCTCCGGCAATCACTGGTTCGTCTTCTCGGTGTACCTTCTCACTTTCCTGGTGGGGCTCCCCCTCAACCTGCTGGCCCTGGTGGTCTTCGTGGGCAAGCTGCGGTGCCGCCCGGTGGCCGTGGACGTGCTCCTGCTCAACCTGACCGCCTCGGACCTGCTCCTGCTGCTGTTCCTGCCTTTCCGCATGGTGGAGGCAGCCAATGGCATGCACTGGCCCCTGCCCTTCATCCTCTGCCCACTCTCTGGATTCATCTTCTTCACCACCATCTATCTCACCGCCCTCTTCCTGGCAGCTGTGAGCATTGAACGCTTCCTGAGTGTGGCCCACCCACTGTGGTACAAGACCCGGCCGAGGCTGGGGCAGGCAGGTCTGGTGAGTGTGGCCTGCTGGCTGTTGGCCTCTGCTCACTGCAGCGTGGTCTACGTCATAGAATTCTCAGGGGACATCTCCCACAGCCAGGGCACCAATGGGACCTGCTACCTGGAGTTCTGGAAGGACCAGCTAGCCATCCTCCTGCCCGTGCGGCTGGAGATGGCTGTGGTCCTCTTTGTGGTCCCGCTGATCATCACCAGCTACTGCTACAGCCGCCTGGTGTGGATCCTCGGCAGAGGGGGCAGCCACCGCCGGCAGAGGAGGGTGGCGGGGCTGGTGGCGGCCACGCTGCTCAACTTCCTTGTCTGCTTTGGGCCCTACAACGTGTCCCATGTCGTGGGCTATATCTGCGGTGAAAGCCCGGTGTGGAGGATCTACGTGACGCTTCTCAGCACCCTGAACTCCTGTGTCGACCCCTTTGTCTACTACTTCTCCTCCTCCGGGTTCCAAGCCGACTTTCATGAGCTGCTGAGGAGGTTGTGTGGGCTCTGGGGCCAGTGGCAGCAGGAGAGCAGCATGGAGCTGAAGGAGCAGAAGGGAGGGGAGGAGCAGAGAGCGGACCGACCAGCTGAAAGAAAGACCAGTGAACACTCACAGGGCTGTGGAACTGGTGGCCAGGTGGCCTGTGCTGAAAACTAGGTCCTCCGGGGGAGGAGGGTGTAGCTGGCGTGTCATCCTCAGGGCGCTTCCTCGCTCACGCCAGGAGGGACTTGGAGTGGCGAGCTGGGGCCCGATGGGGCTTGGGGGCAGAGTAGACATCTAGCCTCCCTAAGGGTATGCGCGCTAAAGCCCAGCTCTCGATCTCACCTCCATCCCCATCCACCCACACACTATGGATTGGGCTCTGGGAAGGGGTCAGGGTGAGAGGCTGCTCTGGAGAACAATGAGGTCCTCATAGCAGCAGGCAGCTCCTGTGTTTTCTTGAGGGTGGCAGAGGAGCTAAGAGCAGTGCCCAGGTCTGAGGGGGCTGCCCAGTGAGTGGCAGGGGCAGGAGAGGGGAGAACCCCATCCTCAGAGCTGCTCCCAGCCAGCGAGTCAGGAGCGGGGGAGACAGGGCTCCAGGGATGAGGCCGCATTCTGCTCCCACAGTGCCTTTTCCAGAAAGTTCCCATTGCTCAATAAATGTGGATCATCAGAGACATTTATGAACAATGACAGAAGAAAAATTACCCAAATAAATGTGGAAGCAAGCAAAAGAGAACAGTGTTTCCTTCTTCTCCTGTTTTGTTCTGGTGGTGTGCTTGGGCCGGGTGGGACTGGTGGATGGAAGGAGAAAACACCAGACTCTGGAGGAAAAGGGCCAAACACCAGGATGCCTGGATGCTGGGAGAGGATCTGGCTTGCAGGGATGAAAATAACAGCTGCCCTGTCTAAAGGACTTGGCCTGACACATCATCTCCTTCTATCTCTCAATAGCCCTGTGAGAGGTACCAGCATTATCCCCAGTTTCAGATGAAGGAGTGGCCCAGAGAGGTGACATCTCCTACCCGAGATCCCATAGCTGGTGGGCGATTGAAGTGGGACCAGAAGCTGGTGTCAGTTGACTCTGACACCCATGCCCCTAAGCCACTCTGCTGTTCTCCATCTGTGTGTCACCTGTGGTCACCTGGCCCAGTCAGATGAGGCTGTCTGAGCAGGACAAATGCAAACAGGCTGTGATAAGGAACAGAAGTAAATGCAAAGCACAGTGAGTATCTGTGTGAGTGCATCCTCTCCCCAGTAAAGAAGACTTCTTGAAAAGTATAGATTACGATACTTGGAGTCAATGATTGGGCAGGTGACTCACAGTGGGCACCCGATGCTCCTCGATCTTAGCTAATGCAGGATCTCTTCAACTTTTTACATCCTTGTCCCCTTCAGAAGCCTCTTTGGATATACATCTTTCCTACACAGCACATTCCTCTGCCTGCTTATGCAATTTCAGTGCAACCAACACACTGTCGGTTTATGTGTTGTGGCCCTTTACAAAGACAGAAACTGGCTGGGCGCAGTGGCTCATGCCTATAATCCCAGCACTTTGGGATGCCGAGGCAAGAGAATCACTTGAGGTCAGGAGTTTGAGACCAGCCTGGCCAACATGGTGAAACTTTGTCTCTACTAAAAGTACAAATATTAGCCGCATATGGCAGCATGCACCTGTAAACCCAGCTTCTTGGGAGGCTGAGGCAGGACAATCACTTGAGGCCAGGAGGCAGAGGTTGCAGTGAGCCGAGATTACACCACTGCACTCCAGCCTGGGTGACAGAGTGAGACTCTGTCTCAAAAAACAGAAGGAAGGAAGGAAGGAAGGAAGGAAGGAAGGAAGGAAGGAAGGAAGGAAGGAAGGAAGGAAGGAAAAGAAAGAAGGAAGGAAAGAGAGAAAGAAAGAAAGAGAGAAAGAAGGAAAGAAAGAGAGAGAGAGAAAGAAAGAAAGAAGGAAGGAAAGAAAGAAAGAGAGAAAGAAAGAGAGAAAGAAGGAAAGAGAGAGAGAGAGAAAGAAAGAAGGAAGGAAAGAAAGAAAGAAGGAAAGAGAGAGAAAGAAAGAAAGAGAGAAAGAAGGAAAGAAAGAGAGAGAAAGAAAGAAAGAAAGAAAAGAAGGAAAAGAAAGCCACAAACCATTGTGAGATTTTTTGTTGTTGTTGTTCCCCAAGAACTAGTTTTCACCTATTTGGGATCAACATTGCTGCTGCTGAGAATGTCTGAGCTGCAGAAATGGTCCCATCTAATATACTGATAGAGCCTGTCTCACAGAACTGTAGCCCAACAAAATTAGGCTGAGGACCTTGCTGCAGGAATGGAGATCACACTACGGAAGAAGTGTGAGGTCTCGTACAAGAGAAGAGACCCAGTTATCATCGAATTTGAGCTAAGAGTAGCGTGAATTTAGATGAAGAGGTGTGTGATAGGCTCAACACAAAGCAGGGATGTGTGGAAAGAGGCCAGTGTTAGATGGAGGCCAGGAAGATTACTCAAGGTCCTGTTTCTCTGGAAAATACCAAGCAAAGATAAAGGTAGAACTTCGTATTGGAAAACTCCTTATCTGAAGCTCTGGTGGGTTGAAAATCAAGGTTGCATCTCTGTGTCAGAGACTCTGATCCTCTAAGCAGAAGTATATGTTCCTTTCTTACTCATGATCTCATGCAGCTAAGTTTCTGACTATCTTTGACTTTTGAGAACAAGGTTTCTTAGCAATATCCTTTTGTTAATTAGCAAAACAAGTTTTTAAAGGTTTACAAGAGAAACTTTTTTAGAAGGAGAGATCCTCCTTCACCGAAACCAAGGGCAGGTCAACCCAGAAGGACAAGAGGAAGGGAAGATTCAACCCATCTCGGCTACAGCTTCCTGAGGCCATAGGTCAAGTCTCAGCTTACAGGGGAGTGAGAGGAAACAAGAAATTTTAAATCACCCAGTGTTGGTTGGGTGCGATGACTCACGCCTGTAATCTCAGTGCCTTGAGAGGCTGAAGTGGGAGGACTGCTTGAAGCAAGACTCCGTAATCTAAGAAAAAAAGTTAGTCGGGCATAGTGGCATGTGCCCATAGTCCCAGCTGCTCATGAGGCTGAGGCAGGAAGATCGCTTGAACCCAGGAGGTCGAGGCTACAGTGAGCCGTGATTGTACCACTGCACTCCAGCCTGGGTAACAGAGCAAGACCCTGAAAAAAAAAAAAAAAGGAAAGAAGAAAGGAAGAAAGAAAGAGAGAAAGAAAGAAAAGGAAAGAAGGAAAGAAAGAAAGAAAGAAAGAAAGAAAGAAAGAAAGAAAGAAAGAAAGAAAGAGAAAGAAAGAAAGAGGAAAGAAAGGAAAGGAAAGGAAGAAAAGAAAAGAAAAGAAATGAGTAAATCACCAAGAGTGCGGGAAGATCGCTTGAGCCCAGGAGGAGGTCGAGGCTACAGTGAGCCGTGATTGTACCACTGCACTCCAGCCTGGGTAACAGAGCAAGACCCTGAAAGAAAAAAAAGAAAAAGGAAAGAGAGGAAAGAAAAAAGAAAGAAAGGAAGGAAGGAAGGAAGGGAAAGAGAGAGAAAGAAAGAGAGAAAGAAAGGAAAAGAAAAGAAAGAAATGTATAAATCACCAAGCGTGACCAGAAACCTTTGGAAGCCACCTAAGAAACTGACAAAGATGGTTCAATCCATCCCATGGAAGGCAGTGAGACCATTGCAGGCTTGAGCCCAGTACGCTCAGACTACTCAGTAAACCAGTGGCAGTGGCAGACAGGAGAGAGAGCAGGAATTCCCCACTGGGAGACAGGATGCCAGTGCCTTTTTATGAGTTAAACATGTATCCACTAGAGAGTGCAGTAAGTGGCCTCTCAGGCTGTGCATATGCCTGGTGGGGCATGGGAAGCTGTGCTGCAAGACAGGATCCGTCAGCCGGCTTCAACTGGGTTCAGCTGGGAGGGGGCAGACATAGACCTGGTCAGGGCCGGCGGAGGTGGAAGGGAGGTAGGAGGCTGGACTTGACTTTGGAGGTGGGGCTCAGACACTGGACCAAATTGAGGACTAGCTAAAACAGGGAAACAAGGACGGAGCTTAAGCGACTTCCCATAGGACATGCCCACCAGTGTCCCCTGTCAGTTTACCATGGTCATAGCAACAGCTGGTAATTACCACCCTTTTTCTAAAACTTTGGGCATTAACCGCCCCTTAATCTGCATGTAATGAAAAATAGATATAAATATGAATGCAAAACTGCCCTAAGCGGCTACTCTTAGCACATTGCTATGGGGTAGCCCTGCTCTGCAGGGGCAGTCACAGAGCTGTTGCACTGCCAGAACTATACCACCATCACTTTAATAAAACCACTTTCTTCTACCACTGGCTAGCCTTTAAATTCTTTCCTGGGTGAGCTGGGTGCAGTGGCTCACACCTGTAATCCCAGCACTTTGGGAGGCTGAGGCAGGCAGATCATTTGTGATCAGGAGTTCGAGACCAGCCTGGGCAACTTGGTGAAACCCAGTCCCTACTAAAAAATACAAAATTTAGCCAGGCGTAGTGGCCCGCACGTGTAATCCCAGCTACTCAGGAGGCTGAGGCAGGATAATTGCTTGAACCCAGGAGGCGGAGGTTGTAGTGAGCTAAAATTACACCACTGCGCTCCAGTCTGGGTGACAGAGTGACACACCATCTCAAAAAAAAAATAAAAATTTAAAAATTAAATAAATAAATTCTGGGTTCTGGGCAAAGCCAAGAACCTTCCCAGGCTAAACCCCTATTTAGGGCTCATCTGCCCTACATCAGAAGGGAAACAAAGACCAGACAAGGAGAGCAAGAAGCCTGGGAGTCTACAAAATAAGTTGCGGGACTCTTCCAAAAAAATGAAGCTGAGCATCGATAAAAGCTCAAAGACACCTGGAAGAAAAGTGAGACCACCGTTTCTGGGAATTACAAGTAGGAGACAGAGGTTTTTATTGGGGGAGAATAGTGTGAGAAGGTGCTCAACTTTTGACCTTCCTCTCTGAGGACATGACTCTTCTGGTTTAGAAAACAACAGTAAAAAGTCCCCAAGAGATACTGGTGGTTGTGGTTCCCAAAACTTCATTAACATCTGTGGGAAGCCTTCTGACTTTCCTCTGAGGCCAGTTCTGAAAAGCCATTCATATGGAGGCAAATCAAAATATCAAAGCAGCAGCCTGTGTTCTGGGAAAATGTTGCTGGGATCACATTCCAGAGAAAAGATGGGATAGAAGGAATGAAAGCTGATCAACATGGCTGGGTGCGGTGGCTCACACCTGTAATCCCAGCACTTTGGGAGGCTGAGGCAGGCAGATCACCTGAGGTCAGAAGCTCAAGACCAGCCTGGCCAGCATGGTGAAACCCCGTCTCTACTAAAAATACAAAAATTAGCCGGGCATGGTGGCGTGTGCCTGTAATCCCAGCTACTCAGGAGGCTGAGGCAGGAGAATCGCTTGAACCTGGTAAGCAGAGGTTGTGAGGTTGCAAAGTTACAGTGAGCTGAGATTGCAGCACTGCTCTCCAGCCTGGGCAACAAGAGAGAAAACTCCATCTCAAAAAAAAAAAAAAAAAAAAAAGAAGAAGAAGAAGAAGAAAGCTGATCAACACTGGTAGAAGTGGGGAAGGGCAGAGCTCACCTCCCATGGGAGCCAGGGTGGAGCTAGCAGAGAGAAAATGTTGTGAAAGAGGAAATGGGATACGGAAATATTTTTTGAGGAGAGGGTGCTTTTAATGGATTTAGAAGAATATAGTGGCTGGATATGGTGGCTCATGCCCATAATGCCAGCACTTTGGGAGTCTGAGGCAGGTGGATAGCTTGAGCCCAGGAGTTCCAGACCAGCCTGGGCAACATGGCTAAACCCTGTCTCTACTAAAAATACAAAAATTAGAGGAGTATGTTGGTGCATACCTGTAGTCCCAGCTACTTGGGGGGCTGAGGTAGGAGGATCACCTGAACTTTGGGAGGTCGAGGCTGCAGTGAGCCATGATCAGGCCACTGCACTCCAGCCTGAGTGATAAAGTGAGACACTTTCTCAAAGAAAATTAAAATTAAAATTAAAATTAAAAGAAGAGTATAGTGAGATAACCCAATCAATCATCCCCTGTTGCAGATCCCCCAGTCTCAAGGGTCAAATTGTGATTGGCACTAATCATGATGCTGTTGACCGCCTTTACTGGTGACTGGTCCTAAGATGGAAGTGTGACCCAATTCCAGCCAACAAAGGGAAATAAGTCTGCTGGGGGCCTCTGGGAAAGATTTTTCTCTATCTCATTAAAAAAATAGATGTGTAAGGAGCTGCGCTCCTACTTCTAATCTGGAACTTTCTATGGAAGGATGTGATACTTGGAGCTACAGCAGCCATATTGGGGCCATGAGGTTACAAACTTGAGGAAGAAAGCAAACAAGCTAAGGACAGCAGAGCAGCAGGATGTAAAGGGCCTGCGTCCTTGACCCTGTTGAGGTGGGACCACCAACCTCCAAAGTCACTGTAGTAAATGTTCCTTTTGTTGACTCACTATTGGCCAGATACCCTCTAACTTGCAGCTTAACATAATAGATCAGCTTATATCCTACTAGAACCTACCCATTGACATCTTCTCTCACGTTAAAATATTTTAGGTTCCTGGAGTTTCTAAACTCTGCCTATTTGCCTTATAGGAGCTATGTGATGTTAGCATTTGCCTTATTTGTTACAGCTGAACTCAGGAGATGTCTTACAGTTCTAGACACTAGCTCTAGCACCAAGATGTCTGGACTCTCCTCATTCAGAAGAAGGCTTTTGAGAGCTGACTGGCTGGGGCTGCATGAACATTGCTTTCCAAGACAAAAAAACACACGTGCTAGATGGGACCTTTTTAAGGTAAAATGTTCATCTGACTGACAATCTTAATTGCAAGCCTGCACTTTTATTAATAAAAATTCTCATACTTGAGCAGATCACCTGAGGTCAGGAGATCGAGACCAGCCTAGCCAACATGGCAAAAACCTGTCTCTACTAAAAATACAAAAATTAGCTGGGTGTGGTGGCACAGGCCTGTAATCCCAGCTACTTGGGAGGCTGAGGCAGGAGAATTGCTTGAACCCAAGAGATGGAGGTTGCAGTGAGCCAAGATCATGCCACTGCCTTCCAGCCTGGGCAACAGAGTGAGACTATTTCAAAAAAAAAAAAATTCTCATACTTACTAAGGGCTCTTGGATGCCATGGAAACAAGAGAGGGCTGAAAGACCTCTCTTTCTTGATGTGGACCATGAGCGATGTTATCCTGTGGAAAAGTACTTGTCTCTGTTCAGTGTTCTTGGGCACAGGACAGCTACCCAGTCCTTGTGCCTGTGGAGTCACTCAAACACACACAATGCCCACATGAAGATGGGGATATGCGGTCTTGGATGCCTAATTTACTACTTAAAATTAACACACACAATTAGATGATTCCCTTTTCCCTCCCCTCCCCTTTTTTTTTTTTTTTTGTTTCTTTTTTTTTTTTTCTGTGACAGGGTCTGGCTCTGTCACCCAGGCTGGAGTGCAGTTACGCAATCATGGCTGACTGCAGCCTCAACTTCTCAGGCTCAAGCAATCCTCCCGCCTCAGCCTCCCAAGTAGCTGAGACTATAGGTGCATGCCACCATGCCTGGCTAATTAAAAAAAAAAAAAAACTGTAGAGATGGGGTCTCGCTATGTGGCCCAGACTGGTCTGGAACTCCTGGGCTCAAGCGATCCTCCCACCTTGGCCTCCCAAAGTGCTGGCATGACAGGGATGAGCCAGTGCACCTAGCCTTGATAATTTCCAGTGGTTCTCTATGCTTAGAGCATTACTCTCATCTTTTTTTTAAACAGTCTAGAATGCTCTCTTAAAGCCTCCATAAAAATAACTCCTTGTTTGTGTATCCTTTGGTGAACAATCCAATGACTTGCAGGAGCACTTCCAGGCATCCCCAGCCGTTGCAGGCCTGCAGACTTCTTCCCTGGCCCACACTTGCTGGTCTGTTTGTTCACTCTGCAGTGAACCCTTCTGCTTACAGCTTTTCCAGCTAACCTTTTGACTCACAATGTAGCCTCTGACAAAAAGCAGACCAGTAGTTACCAGGGGCTGGGGATGGGAGAGAGGAGGGTGTTGACTGGGAAGATAACAGAGGGACATTTTCAGGTGATGGAAATGTTAGATCACTTGATTGCAGTGAGGGTCACACAAGAAGTCAAAACTTATTGAACTCTCTCCGTCCAGTGGGTGCATTTCATGGTGTGTCAATGAAGCCTCAATAATGTTGTTTTTAAAAAATGGTGTCACCTCACCTCCTGGCTTGTAGTGTTTGTGTACCTAATATCAATCTTGCTAAGTTTCCTCCAGCCAAGCAAGTCTCTGCTTTTGCTGGGCTGCTCTGCAGAGGCTGTGACTGCTGGATGATAACCCAGGTTACATAAAAGTGTAGAAACCATGTGCAAACAAATGATACGTGGCAACCAGCTTTTATCTTGGTGCTGGAGATCTGCAGGGCGTGGTGGAAAGGGCGGCAACTGGACAGTGCAATGGTTCATTTCACCTCCTGTCACCACATGGGGCTGTGGGGGCAGCTCTGTCATACCTTCCAATTTTCCAAGCTGAAAATCCAATTGTCATTGCTGTTTTTGAAATCTTACATTTTTAAAAAACTGATAACAAATTCAAAATGTTTAAGTATCTATGTGGGGAAAGTGAATCAGGCCTGAGGGTTGTGGACTGCTTTCTAGGTTTCCAGCCTGTGACCTCTGCAGCAGTGGAGGCAGAGGAGGGCTCAGAGGTCGGGAGGGAAGGGGAAGGAGCATGAAGAAGTGTGATTCTGCACGTAAGCACGGCCCATACTTTTACTCAGAACCCAAGACAGGCAGTTGACAAGAACGTCGGAAGATGTTCTTCCTCATCCCTCGTTCTTATTTTGCAGTCCCTCCCTGCCCCTACAGCTGTTCTCTGAAAGCTGTCACCCTCATCCACAAAAAGATCTTGGAGGCCACAGGCAAGGCAGGGAGGGAAGCTCCGAGGACTGATGCTGGCTCTCCTTCCTTCTCCTCCCAACTCCCCCTCCCAACTGGCACTGAAGGCAGGTGTTCCTCAGGCTCGGACCCTGCCTGCCTTTGTTCGTTTTCTCTCTCCTGTCTGCAGGCATTCTGATCCATCACAATGGCTGTTAACATTCATGACTCCCACATCTCCAGCACCAGACCCTTGTGTATCCAACTGTATAGAGAGACATCTCAACTTCTAGACTTTCAAGACCAAACCTAACTCCTTACTTCGTCTTCCTAATCTGGCCCCACCACCCAGCCTACTCCACCTCTATAAATGGCAATACCACCCACGGTCTGCCCACATCAGAAACCCAGATGTCATTCATTAATTCATTCATTCATTCCTTTTTTTTTTTTAAACAGAGTCACTCTGTCACCCAGGCTGGAGGGCAGTGGCACAATCTCAGCTCACTGCAACCTCCACCTCCTGTGTTCAAGCGATTTTCCTGCCTCAGCCTCCTGAGTAGCTGTGATTACAGGCATGCACCACTATGCCTGGCTAACTTTTGTATTTTTACTAGAGATGGGGCTTCGCCATGTTGTCCAGGCTGGTCTTGAACTCCTGGGCTAAAGCAATCTGCCAGCCTCAGCCTCCCAAATTGCTGGGATTACAGGCATGAGCCACCATGCCCAGCCCATTCTTTCTTTTTTTAGAGATTTGATTCTTTTTTTAATTTTTAAAATGATCATACAATAAAATGAATGTTTTCAGGAAAAGGTGTACAGTTCTGTGAATCAAACAGACAGAGAGATTCCCGTAACCACCAACAAAATCAAGATAAAGAGCAACGATAGTCACATCTTCCCTTCACCCCTAGCCACTACGAAACACAGATCTGCTATCATTAGGGTTTTATCTTCTCAAGAATGTCACATAGCTTTTCGCAACAGGTTTGCAACAGAACACAGGTGTCATGGAAACTACCCCTAAAAGCCAAAATGGGAAAGGAGAAGACTCATATCAACATTGTCGTCAATGGACACATAGATTCGGGCAAGTCCACCTCTACTGGCCATCTGATCTACAAATGTGGTGGCATCAACAAAAGAAGCATTAAGAAATTTGAGAAGAAGGCTGCTGAGATGGGAAAGGGCTCCTTCAAGTAAGCCTGGGTCTTGGATAAACTGAAAGCTGAGCGTGAATGTGGTATCACCATTGATACCTCCTTGTGGAAATTTGAGACCAGCAAGTACTGAATGACTATCATTAATGCCCCTAAGGAATGAGACCACCACTTCTCCTGTTGTCCTTCCCAGCTTCTACCCAACCTTCCCTTTTCCCTAGTTTATAAGACAGGAGAAAAGGGAGAAAGCAAAAAGTTGGAAAGAAACAAAAGTAAGATAAATAGCTAGACGACTTTGGTGCCACCACCTGGCCCTGGTGGTTAAAATAATAATAATAATATTAACCCCTGACCAAAACTACTGGTGTTATCTGTAAATTCCAGACATTGTATGAGAAAGCACTGTAAAACTTTTTGTTCTGTTAGCTGATGTATGTAGCCCCCAGTCACGTTCCTCATGCTTACTTGATCTATTATGACCCTTTCACATGGACCCCTTAGAGTTGTAAGCCCTTAAAAGGGCTAGGAATTTCTTTTTTGGGGAGTTTGGCTCTTAAGACGCGAGTCTGCCGACGCTCCCGGCCGAATAAAAACTTCTTCCTTCTTTAATCCGGTGTCTGAGGAGTTTTGTCTGTGACTCGTCCTGGTATATCCCAGGACACAGAGACTTCATCACAAACATCTTTACAGGGACATCTCAGGCTGACTGTGCTGTCCTGGTTGTTGCTGCTGGTGTTGGTGAATTTGAAGCTGGTATCTCCAAGAACTGGCAGACCTGAGAGCATGCCCTTCTGGCTTACACATTGGGTGTGAAATAACTAATCACTGGTGTTAACAAAATGGATTTTATTGAGCCACCCTACAACCAGAAGAGATATGAGGAAATCATTAAGGAAGTCAGCACTATATTAAGAAAATTGGCTACAACCCTGACACAGTAGCATTTGTGCCAATTTCTGGTTGGAATAGTGACAACATGCTGGAGCCAAGTGCTAACATGCCTTGGTTCAAGGGATGGAAAGTCACCCGTAAGGATGGCAATGCCAGTGGAACCATACTGCTTGAGGCTCTGGACTGCATCCTACCACCAACTCGTCCAACTGACAAGCCCTGCTTCTCCAGGATGTCTACAAAATTGGTGGTATTGGTACTGTTCCTGATGGCCAAGTGGAGACTGTTGCTCTCAAACCTGGTGTGGTGATCACCTTTGCTCCAGTCAACACTACAACTGAAGTAAAATCTGTCAAAATGCACCATGAAGCTTTGAGTGAAGCTTTTTCTGGGGACAATGTGGGCTTCCATGTCAAGAATGTGTCTGTCAAGGATATTCATTGTAGTAACAATGCTGGTAACTGCAAAAATGACCCACCAATGGAAGCAGCTGGATTCACTGCTCAGGTGATCTATCCTGAACCATCCAGGCCAAGTCAGTGCTGGCTATGCCCCTGTACTAGATTGCCACATGGCTCACATTGCATGCAAGTTTGCTGAGCTGAAGGAAAAGATTGATCGCTCTTCTGGTAAAAAGCTGGAAGACGGCCCTAAATTCTTGAAATCTGGTGATGTTGCCATCATTGATATGGTTCCTGGTAAGCCCATGTGTGTTGAGAGCTTCTCAGACTATCCACCTCTGGGTTGCTTTGCTGCTTGTGATATGAGACAGACAGTTGCACTGGGTGTCATCAAAGCAGCGGACAAGAAGGCAGCTGGAGCTGGCAAGGTCACCAAGTATCCCCAGAAAGCTCAGAAGGCTAAATGAATATTATCCCTAATACCTGCCACCCTGGTATTAAGCAGTGGTGGAAGAATGGTCTTAGAACTGTTTGTTTCAGTTGGCTATTTAAGTTTAGTAGTAAAAGACTGGTTAATGATAACAATGCATAGTAAAACTTTCAGAAGGAAAGGAGAATGTTTTGTGGACCACTTTGGTTTTCTCTTTTGCATGTGGCAGTTTTAATTTATTAGTGTTTAAAATCAGTGCTTTTTAATGGAAGCAACTTGACCAAAAATTTGTCACAGAATTTTGAGACCCATTAAAAAAGTTTAATGAGAAAAAAAAAAAAAGAAAGTCACATAAACAGAATCCTACAGTGTGTAACCTTTTGAGCTGGCTTCTTTTTATTTATTTTATTTATTTATTTATTTTTTTGAGACAGAATCTCACTGCAATGCCCAGGCTGGAGTGCAATGGTGCAATCTCAGCTCACTGCAACCTCTGCCTCCCAGGTTCAAGCAATTCTTCTGCCTCAGCCTCCCGAGTAACTGGAATTATAGGCATGCGCCATCATGCCTGGCTAATTTTTGTATTTTTAGTAGAGACAGGGTTTCACCATGTTGGCCAGGCTGGTCTCAAACTCCTGACCTCAGGTGATATGCCCACCTCAGCCTCCCAAAGTGCTGGGATTACAGGCATGAGCCACCGCACCCGGCTAGCTGACTTCTTTCATTCAGCACAATGTAACTGAGCTTCATCCATGTCACCATGCCTGGCTAATTTTTAAATTTTTTGTAGAGACAGGATGTCACTATGTTGCAGAGGCTGATCTCAAACTCTTAGGCTCAACTGATCCTCCCATCTCAGCCTCCAAAAGTACTGTAATTACAAGCATGAGCCACCACACTCGACCTCCTATTTACTTCACCTTGGAAGCTACAGTGTTACCCAGAGCCTATAAACAAACAAACAAAAACACCATGGATATTTTGTTCCTGGTACACAAATTAATGTCTTTAAATCCACCAACACCACTATACATTCTATGCAATTAAAAAATTAACTTGAGGCCGGGTGTAGTGGCTCACACTTGTAATCCCAGCACTTTGGGAGGCTGAGGAGGGCAGATCACTTGAGGCCAGGAGTTTGAGACCAGCCTGGCCAACATGGCAAAACCCCATCTCTACTAAAAATATAAAAATTAGCTGGGCATGGTGGTGTGCACCTATAATCCCAGCTACTCTGGAGGCTGAGGCAGGAGAATCACTTGAACCCAGGAGGCAGAGGTAGCAGTGAGCCAAGATCATGCCACTGCACTCCAGCCTGGGTGACAGAGTGAAACTGTGTCTCTAAAAAACAAAAAGAAAAAGAAATTCACCTAAGGCACATGACCAGTAAGTCCCTTAGTGCTAGTACCGTCTATGCAAAATAGCAAATACAGAGTGAAACAAACCAATGCAAGCATTTATGTGAAATTGGGCTGCATGCGAAATCTGGCTTCATGCTTAACTACATTAAAAACAATTGCCAAACTGTCAATGTATTTCTTCACAATATTTCTTATTTTAACTTCATCACAACTAAGAGCTTTAACTATGAACAATGTTAACTAGTCAAATTTCTGTAATTTTCCACCATGTTTTAAATAATATTTTATTTTTATTTTATTTTATTTTTTTGAGACAGAGTCTTGCTCTATCATCCAGGCTGGAGTGCAGCAGCATGATCTTGGCTCACTGCAACCTCTGCCTCCCAGGTTCAAGCGATTCTCCTGCCTCAGCCTCCCTCAAGTAGCTGGGACTACAGGTGCCCACCATCACGCCCTGCTAATTTTTGTATTTTTAGTAGAGATGGGTTTTTACCATGTTGGCCAGGCTGGCCTTGAACTCCTGACCTCAGGTGATCCCCTTGCCTCAGCCTCCCAAATTGCTGGGATTACAGGCCTGAGCCACTGCGTCCAGTCAAAAATATCTTATTAACTAAACTTTTTCAACTTCCTGTTTTTTCTGTATGTTCATGAACACAGACACTTAGAGAAACAGAAAAAAATAAAAAACTGTGTATGACTTACATAGACCATCTATGACATGCTTGGACTTCCTGTTGTGTCCTAATTTTATTTATTTATTTATTTATTTATTTATTTATTTATTTATTTATTTTTTGAGACAGAGTCTTGCTCTGTTGCCCAGGCTGGAATGCAGTGGCATGATCTTGGCTCACTGCAATCTCTGCCTCCCGGATTCAAGCAATTCTCCTGCCTCAGCCTCCCAAAGAGCTGACATTGCAGGTGTGTGCCACTTCGCCCAGCTAATTTTTGTATTTTTAGTAGAGACGGGGTTTCACCATGTTGGCCAGGCTGGTCTCGAACTCCTGACCTCAGGTGATCTGCCTGCCTTAGCCTCCCAAAGTGCTGGAATTACAGGCATGAGCCACTGGGCCCCACCTGTCCTAAATTTTTTATATTTTAAATAACCCCTCATTTTACTTTAGGACAGAAATTTACAATGCAAGATCCTTTCTCCTACAAAAGTATTTTCTTTATAACCTTCCTTACCAAAAACACATCTTTATATCCATAACTGTCTTCACATCTCTCTCCCCTTTGCTTTCTACCTTGTTTCATAAATAACTTTCCCAAGCCCATAATGTGAATCAACCTCTAGATAACTTCTGAATTAGACAAAATTTTTCTTATTCTCAATAAGAACGCATCTTCTTTGGCACATTTTACATACAGAATTATATGTTAACTAGAATTCTTATTCTTAGTAATCTTAAATTTTAGTGAAAACCTAGGAAGCAAGAAATCCTGAACTGCCAAACAGATGTTAGCATTGGCAAGACAATTCTACAATTTTTAAAAACATGTTTGCCTACATCATAACCCTTTCTGAATTGGAAATGTCCCAGACATCCAATAAACACCCAATATAATTTCAAGATTTTAAATTACATGAAAAATTTCCCTACTGCATTTATCCCATTTACATTTCATTCATTTTTAGCAATTTATCCTACTAATGAAAATTGGGATATTAAACAAAGCTAGTCATTATTTCTTCATTAACCATTTTTATAACCTGTGAATATCAGGTGTTCACCTAAGTAAGAAATTTCGAGTTAAACACATGGGTATTTTCACCCGTAACTCAGAAGATTCCTCTGCCTTTTTTAAACTAACAACATTAAATTAGTCTTACCTATCAAAAAATCACACAAAGATCATTTTGTTCTTGGCTAGATTTACAATCTTATAATCTTTTGTGCCAAACTCTGACACCTTAAAATATCTAGCAGAGACAAAGATAAAACCCAGACAAAAATGTATGCTGACAATTCAGAAGACATTTCTATTTTTATTTTACCGATTATCTTAAAGCCAGCTTATTTATTAAACATTTACCTAAGTCACGTAAACTTGAAAAATGCTTGGACCCATACACTTAATTTATGAGTGCTCCTTTATTTACTGGCCAATTTTGGTACCCTGCAAAAACAACATATAACATCCAGGAACATATGTACTTGAAAAGATCCAATAGCTTTTCCTAGGGATTCTTGCTGTGAGATAGCAATACAAATTCACCAGTTTATAAACATACTCACACAGGTAAACTTTGTTTTCCCTGATAGGTAATTCAATGAAGGCTATGAACCAAAATTTTGAGTAAAGCACTTTCTATGATAGTTTTATTTTTATTTTATTTTTATTTTTTGAGACAGGGTCTTGCTCTGCTGCCCAGGCTGGAGTGCAGTAGTGCAATCACAGCCACAGCCCACTGCAGCCCTGACCTCCCAAGCTCAAGCTATCCTCCCACCTCAGCCTCCTGTATATCTGGGACTACAAGCGCATGCCACCTTGCCCAGCTAATATTTTAATTTTTTTTGTACAGAAAGGATCTTCCTATGTCGTCTAGCCTGGCTGCAAACTCCTAAGCTCAAGTTATCCTCCTGCTTTGGCCTCTCAAAACGCTGAGATTATAGGCATGAACCACTGTGCATGACCTATAGTTTTATTTTTATTTATTTATTTATTGAGATGGAGTCTCACTTTGTTGCCCAGGCTGAAGTGCAGTGGCATGATCTCGGCTCACTGAAACCTCCACCTCCCAGATTCAAACAATTCTCATGCGTTAGCCTCCCAAGTAGCTGGGATTACAGGCGCCTGCCACCACATCCAGCTAATTTTTGTATTTGTAATAGAGACAGGGTTTCACCATGTTGGCCAGGCTGGTCTCAAATTCCTGACCTCAAGTGATCTGCCCACCTCAGCCTCCCAGAGTGCTGGGATTACAGGCATGAGCCACCACGCCCAGCCTATAGTTTGATTTTTAAAGGCCCAACCTCCCCAGACTCCAAAGAACACTGAGGCCAAACAGTACCACAGAAGAACATCATGTACTAATAAGGCCTTGAAACCACCTTTGCAAAGATGATGACAGTGAGAGAAGTCTAGCATGACTGACTCCGTCTTGCTTCTAGCCTTACAGGCTGGCTGTCCTCATTATTCCTGGGCATAAGCCAAGCTAACCATTGGAGGAATTTATAGTTTAACTTTGAAGCAAGGATGATAACAATCTTTCCCTAAAACTATACCCTCCTTGCTCAGTGACTGAAGCCACATTTATAAAACTAATGAAAGGCCACAACATTAGGATTATGGGAGGGGCCTGGATTCTGTTAAAATGTAGGCATAGTTTCAATAATCTCTTACTGCTCAGGAGTTTGTGGCCAGAGATCACAAGATTCGTGACTTCCCCGATTGCTCCTATAGACAACATTGCTATTGTAGAACGTGATCGGTCTTTTGAGATGTTTTTCAGACTTTGGCACTCTGGCAACCAACTGACCCCACCTGAACCCATGACTCATGACTCAACTGGTCCTGTGGATCCCACCCAGAGGCAGACTCAGTGCACAAGAACAATTTTCTACACCCTTACAGTTTTATCCCCAGCTAATCAGCAGCACCCATCTCCTAGACCTCTGCCACCAAATAATCCATAAAAACCCTAGCTTCTGAATCCTCAGGGAGACTGATTTGAGTGATAACTCCAGTCTTTCTGTTTGGCTAGCTCTGTGTTAATTAAATTCTTTCTCTACTGCAGTATCATGGTCTCAGTGAATTGTTTTTTTCTGTGCAGTGGGCAAGAAAAATCCTTCAGGCAATTATAGCCCAACCTGGCTTTGAACAGCAACATAAAAACCTGGATACATGGAACTCCATCCCACTTTCCCATTCAACAGCAAAATGAGACCCATGGAGGGGCCAGAGCGTTGCAAAAGAATATCCATTGATCAAATTCTCGTTTCTCACAACTATATTGACACACACACACATAAACAAACAATTATCAAAAGCAATTCAACTGCTACAGCAACAAACAAGCCCCAAGTGTGTCCATACTAAAACAGCTGGGGTGCCTTCCTCTCTCAGTTGGTTTTTAAAGGCCAAACCAAACCTTTGGTGGGCAGAAGCCTAGGGAGTGGGTTCTGCTAATTGGTTGGGGGTAAAACTGTAGGGGTGTGGAAAATGGTCCTCGTGCACTGAGTCTGCCTCTGGGTGGGAACCACAGAACCAGTTGAGTCATGAGTCATGGGTTCGGGTGGGGTCAGTGCGTTATCAGAGTGCAAAAGTTGATCTTGTTCCATCTGCAAACAGAAATATCTTCTGAGTTTCCCAAATCAAGAGAAGCCCTCTGGTACCCACCAGAAATCACTCACATGTCCAGACGCAGTTGTGCACACACACAATTACTAATGTCAACAAAAAGAGTCAAACTCTGTAAAATATTTGAAGAGATTTATTCTGAGCCAAATATGAGTGACCATGGCCCATGACACAGTCCCCAGGAGGTCCTGAGAACATGTGCCCAAGGTCGTTGGGGTGCAGCTTGGTTTTATACATTTTAAGGAGGCATGAGACATCAATCAAATACATTTAAGATATACATTTGTTTGGCCCAGAAAGGCGATACAACTCAAAGCAGGGTGGGGCTTCCAGGCTATAGGTAAATTTAAACATCTTCTGGTTGACAATTGGTTGAGTTTGTCTAAAGACCTGGGATCATAGAAAGGAAATGTTCAGGTTAAAAGATTGTGGAGACCAAGGTTCTTTTGAAGTCTTACAGTGGCTGCCCTTAGAAACAATAGTTGACAAATGTTTCCTATTCAGACCTTTAAAAGGTGCTAGACTCTTAGTTAATCTCTTCAGGATTGGGAGGGCCTGAAAGAAAAAGATCTAGCTATGTTAATAGAGATTCTTTACAGATGCACATTTCCCCCCCACAAAGGACAACTTTGCAGGGCCATTTCAAAATATGGCAAAGAAACATGTTTTGGGGTAAAATATTATGACTTTCTTCTTTGTCGTGTAATGTTATACCAGAGTAAGATTGGAAAGTAAGTCACAATATGTAAGTTAAATAAAACCCATCTGGGCTGGGCATGGTGGCTCACGCTTGTAATCCCTGCACTTTTGGAGGCTGAGGCAGGCAGATCACCTGAGGTCAGGAGTTCGAGAACAGCCTGGCCATTATGGTGAAACCCCATCTCTACGAAAAATACAAAAATTGGCAGGGCGTAGTGGCAGGCACCTGTAATTCCAGCTACTCGTGAGGCTGAGGCAGGAGAATTGCTTGAACCCAGGAGGCAGAGGTTGCAGTGAGCTGAGATCGCACCATTGCACTCCAGCCTGGGCAACAGAGTAAGACTGTCTCAACAACAACAACAAAAATCTGATGAGAATTTATGGTTTGTAGAGCATGACTTCTCTAGACCCCTTAGATAGGAATTTGGGCAAGATTTTAAAAATCAGAGCTTAGTTCTCACTAACAAGCCCCAAGAGTGTCCAAACTGAAACAGTCATGGTGCTTTCCTCCCTCCATCATTTGGGCTTATTCAACCTGCAAATGGAAATTCCTTAGAAAATTCCCAAATTGAGAGGAGCCCTTCCTGCTGTCTGGAACCCAGAAAAGACACTCATCCATCCAGACACAGATATCAAATTTCAAAGTCTGTTCTTCCTAGGCAATCAGCAATACATTTGGGGCTGGCAGCAGCAGAGCCAAAGAGAAAAAGATGGAAACCCACCTCCAGCCAAAAAAAGGTCAGACAGCTGTACAGGGGGCTTCTGAAAGTCCCAGTCTGCAGCAGCTGAGCCACAAGCAATGTGTTCCCAGGTAGGGAACCAAAATCTGTTACTGAAATGCCAGGGCTCCAGTCTAGGTCCCGTTGCTCACTGCACAGAAAGCCAATCACCAAGACAATGAGTACTGCCTGGGAAGAAGGCTTTAATTGAGTGCTTTAGCCAAGGAAAATGGGGATCAGTCTCAAATCCATCTCCCTAGTCAACTAAAATCAGGGGGTTATACAGCAGGGAAGAAATGTAACTACATGTGGGAAAACCAGAGTTAGGGAGAGGTAAGGAAGAGGAGTTGGTCAAAGGAATTAGGGAGGGATAAGGAAATCAGGAGGGATGAGGGGTCTGGCATCTCATTGTCTGGATGCAGTGATCTGGTGAGTTTCAATTCGTTGATTTCCTGTGGCAAGAACTCAGATAAGACAAATGCAGGCTTCAAACTTTAAGACCAGGAGGGGGCCAGGCACAGTGGCTCATGCCTGTAATCCCAGCACTTTGGGAGCCCGAGGTGGGTGGATCACGAGGTCAGGAGATCAAGGCCATCCTGGCTAACACAGTGAAACCCTGTCTCTACTAAAAATACAAAAAATTAGCCGGGTTTGGTGGCATGTGCCTGTAGTCCCAGCTACTCAGGAGACTGAGGCAGGAGAATTGCTTGAACCTGGGAAGCAGAGGTTGTAGTGAGCCAAGATCGCACCACTGCACTCCAGCCTGGGCAACAGAGAAAGACTCCATCTAAAAAAAAAAAAAAAAAAAAAAAAAGAAGGGTGAATTTCTACGTTGATCCAAAAGAAGCATCTATGGGACAATCAGGCCAGTTTCATGAGGAATATAAATTGGATCCTGTCATTGCCCTGAATAAAACTTTTCAATGGCTTTCCATTCTGGCCTCCTCCTCACAGCCTTTGAGGCCCTGCCTCTCTCTCCAAGCTTCTCTGGGGCCATCCCCAGAGAAGTGTCACTGACATCGCTCTTCTGGCCTGGACTTCTCTCTGTCCCTTGAGCAGGCCAAGCTCTGAATGTCTGCATGCACCATGCCTTCCACTCTTTACCTGGCTAGTTCCCCACTTCTTCCAAGTTTCTGTCCAATGTCACGCCTTAGAGAGGCTTTCCCTGATCATCCAATATCAAGTAGCCCCCTTCTGATATTATCTCACACTGCGCTCTCATGGTTTGATGTTTGTATGTGTGTGTTCATTTGTTTAACGTGACTCCTACTAGACTGAGAAGCCCATGACAGCAGTCACCACGTCAGTTTTCTTTGTCACTATATACCCAGTGGGTGCCTAAAACCGTGCCTAGCACAGACTGGGCATTTGATGGTGAATAAATGAATGAATGATTTTTTAAAAATATCTCTAATTTTCTACTATTATAAATAATGCTATGAGAACATCCTTTTACATAAAGGCACGTGCACTGTGCATTTCCTACAAGTCGTACTGTTGAATTAAATGATATGTACATGTAAAGCTTTGATAAATATCGATGAATTACCTTCCCCGGCTGAGTCAACCCTTTCTTCCCCAACAGTCTGTAAGAGACCCCATAACTCTGCTGACAAGAGAAAATATTGTATTTTAATTTTTTGAGATGATATTTAGAATTTAGAAACTTAAGTATTAGTCTGGGATTTCCAGAGAAACAGAACCAATAGAGTGTGTGTATGTGTGTCTGTGGGTGTGTCTGTGTGTCTGTGTCTCTGTGCATGTGTCTGTGTGTGTATGTGTGTCTCTGCGGTGTGTGTGTGTCTGTGTGTGTGTCTGTGTATGTATCTGTGTGTGTGTCTCTGTGCATGTCTGTGTGTGTCTCTGTGTGTGTGTACCTCTGTGTGTCTCTGTATGTTTTTGTATGTGTGTCTCTGTCTGTGTCTCTATGTGTGTCTCTGTGTGCATGTCTGTGTGTGTGTTTCTCTCTGTGTGTGTTTTTGTGTGTGTCTGTATATGTGTCTCCATGTGTGTGTCTGTATGTCTCTGTGTGCGTCTGTGTGCATGTATGTTTGTGGCTCTGTGTGTTAATGTGTGTCTCTGTGTATGTGTTTCTGTGTGCATGTTTGTATGTGTTTCTGTGTGTCTCTGTGTGTTTTTGTGGGTCTGTGTGTCTCTCTGTGTGTGTGTATATCTCTCTGTGTCTGTGTGTGTCTCTGTGTTTCTGTGTGCATGTCTGTGTGTGTGTCCATGTGTGTGTCTGTGTGTTACTGTGTGTCTCCGTGTGTGTGTCTGTGTGTTTCTGTGTGTGTGTTTGTGTGTGTGTGTGTGTGTGTCTGCATGTCTGCATGTGTGTATAAAGAGATTTATTTAAGGAATTGGCTCATGTGATTGTGAATGCTTGATGAGCCCAAAATCTGACGGAGGAAGCTGGCTGACTCGAGGCTCAGGAAGAAGTTGTGGTTGAGTCTAAAGAGAGCCTGCTGGTGAGCCAGGAAGACCCACTGCTGCAGACAAAGTCTGAATCCAGCATGCAGGAGAATTCTCTTTTGCATGTGGAGGTCAGCCTTTTGTGCTGTTCAGGCCTTCAGTGACTGGAGGAGTCCCCCACATTTTGGAGGGCAATCTGCTTTGCTCAGAGTCCACCAATGTAAATGTCAATCTCATCCAAAAACACCCTCACAGCAACACCCAGAATAACGTTTCACCAAATATCTGGGCACTGTGGCGTGGCCAAGCCAACACATAAAATTAACCGTCATACTCTGTATTATTTTCATATTAATCTCCCAGATTAAAAATGAGATAGACAATATTTACATATTGTGTAGAGTCATTTGTGTTTCTCCCAATACTTGCTTTGTTCTTATTTGACTTACAGGAGTTCTTTGAATATTGGCTTACAAACCTCATATCAGGTGTATAAGTAGAAGGATAGTGGCCTTTTACTTTGTTGATTGTAATGTTTTTCATAGGTTATCTCTTTTTATGTGCTCAAATTTCTCATCATTTTTTGATGACTTCTACATTATGTCATACTGGGAAAAAGCCTCCTTATTTATAAGACTTTTAAAATTACACAATACCTACACAACATTTATTATTTTTAAAAACATTTTTGATCTTGAATGCACCTGCCTTTTATTCTTGTTACCTGGCTGTAATTCTTCCCAGTGGATAGGCAGCTATCCCAACATAATTTACTGAATAGTCCATCCTTTCCTACAGTGGTTTGAAATGAACCTGGATCACTTAAGTAGGAAGAATCCTCTAAATGTAATCTAAAACAACAAGATTTCATCATTTTTACCCATCCTTACCCATAATGAGGAAAAACATTAAAGATTCAAACATCCAGTGTTGGAGAAGGTGCAGGGGAAGGGATTCTGCCATGTACAGCTGGTGGAAATGTAAATTACCAAACACTATCAGGAAGGTAATATGCAAATATCTATCAACAATTTCAAGGCATACCTCTTTGAACTAGCAATTACATAAATTATAGATCTAAAGATTCATCTAACCAAAATACTCACACCTGTTCAGATAGCTAGCTAGCTAGCTAGATAGAAAGATGATAGATAGATAGATAGATAGGTAATAGATAAATTTGCAGAGGCACTGTTTGTTATACCAAGAGAACTGTAAACTATGTAAATTAATCCTAAATGGTTACATAAATTATAAGACAGTCCTAAAATGAAATACCATGTAGCCATTAGAAAGACTCTAGATTGGTATAGGCTGCCATGAAAAGATCACTAAAGCATATTGTAAGGTGAAAAATAAAATTTCAAAAAAAATATGGAGTATGATTCCATTTATGCTTTTTCTTTTCTTTTTTTGAGATGGAGTCTTGCTCTGTCACCCAGGCTGGAGTGCAGTGGTGCCATCTCGGCCCACTGCAACCTCCGCCTCCTGGGTTCAAGTGATTCTCCTGCCTCAGCCTCACGAGTAGCTGGGACTACAGACGCCTGCCACCATGCCTGGCTTATTTTTGTATTTTTAGTAGAGACAGGGTTTCACCATCTTGGCCAGGCTGGTCTCGAACTCCTGACCTCAGGTGATCCGCCTGCCTCAGCCTCCCAGAGTGCTGGGATTACAGGCGCGAGTCACCGGGCCCAGCCCCAGTTATGCTTTTTTTTTTTTTGAAACGGAGTCTCACTCTGTCGCCCAGGCGGGAGTGCAATGGCGCGATCTCGGCTTACTACAACCTCTGCCTCCTGGGTTCAAGCAATTCTCCTGCCTCAGACTCCCGAGTAGCTGGGATTATGGGTGCACACCACCACACTGGCTAATTTTTTGTATTTTTAGTAGAGACGGGGTTTCACTATATTGCCCAGGCTGGTCTCGAACTCCTGGGCTCAAGTGATCTGCCTGCCTTGGCCTCCCAAAGTGCTAGGATTACAAGTGTGAGGCACTACACCCGGCCCCGTGTATGCATTTTTAAACCAAATATTTGTATACGCACATATATGGACATAAACAAAATAGAGGTTTCCTCTGGGAATGGAGAAGTGTCAGGGAGAAGTGAAACGGCATTTCACATTTTACTTTTGTACCGTTGGGTTTTTTTAAAGGCTATATTCACACATTATAATGCAACTTTTTAAAATTAGAGAAATAATAATGGGAAACCATTCAGCACCTTGATTCTGACCAAGTGAGAGCAGATAAGGCAGCACAGGGATTCAAGCTGCCTGGAGACCTCCAGGGTCACTGTGAGGGTGGCTGGAATCATGGGAATAAATAAATGATTTAACATGCTCAGGCTTCTAAGTGCCCATCCCCGGGGCTGCGGAGGAGCGAGGTGCTTAAACCGTTCCCAAGCCTCAGGCATTGAAAGCAGGAGTGTTTTCTCTAAGAAGGAGGGTGCTGTGCTGTAATTGACCTCTTTGGCATTCAGCGTCTGCACGACATCCAGTGCAGCTCTGGGCCGGCGGAAGAGACCAGGCTGCTTGTGCTGGGAGGGGCCGCTGCCCAAGGACAAGTCCTGTACTCACAGCAACGCTGAATCGCAGTCCTGGGCCATCTGGCCCCGGCCTCATAATCACTCTTCTGTCATGAATACTGAATGAAGGTAAACATACAGTCACAGGGCTGTCTTGGCAGCACCCAACTTTAAACCTGTGGCCTATTTCTAGCTCTCCACTGTGCTGAATTCTGTCAAAAACAAACAAATAACATGCTAAAACTATTTTGTGAACATTACTTATTTCACATTAAGAATGTTGCTCTGTTATTGTTTTTTTTTTTTTTTGAGATGGAGTCCCGCTCTGTCGCCCAGGCTGAAGTGCAGTGGCGCGATCACTGCAACCTCTGCCTCCCGGGTTGAAGCAATTCTCCTGCATCAGCCTCCCGAGTAGCTAAGATTACAGGTGTGAGCCACCACGCCCGGCTAATTGTTGTATTTTTGGTAGAGACAGGGTTTTGCCATCTTGGCTAGGCTGGTCTCGAACTGCTGACCTCAGGTGACCCGCCCACCTCGGCCTCCCAGAGTGCTGGGATTATAGGCGTGAACCACTGCAACCAGCCAACAGCATGGTTTTGGTCACCTCAAATGAGGACACGAATATATAAATCTCACGGTTTTGGTATTGCATCATATTTTTCATACACTGGGAAACAAAAAATGGAAGAGGTGTAGGCTGTCCTGACCTCTGAAAGGCCCTGAGGGGACAGTGGCCATCTTTTGGTTTCCTGGCTTCTGAACCCCTTCTGTGTTTAGGGAACTGGCCAAGTATGAGCCTTGTGAGGAGGCAGAGCCCATCTCCCACTAGAGAAGCTACTGATGCAGGGACCTTGTTTTCCAAGCATCCCTGATGCCTGCGTTTAGCCAATCAGGTGCACCTGCCCCAAATTCTGAATCTGAGGCTAATGGCACAAAGGAGGAAAAGCAGAAAATTATTTCTGGCAGTGGCAGTAGTGGTGGCAGACAGAATGTGGCTCTAGGTCCTAGTGTGCGGTGGCGGGGGGACTCCCACGTCCTTCCTGGACTGAGTTAATGGCATGACTTTTAATGTGGCCCTGGCTGTGCAGCTTCCTTGATTCTAGAAGCCTGGTTTTCCAGCCTTCCTGGCACATCTCTGAGCTACCCAATATCTTATCATTAAATCCCTAAATGAGCCAGAGTTGGTCTCTGTTGCTGCAATTAACAGCGATTGCTGAGACACGAGTCCAGCACAATGATGATGAGCAAGGAAGCCTGCGTTCTGTTGAGAGATGTGCAAACCATTAGTAATCAGAAAAATGAGACTACACTAAAACGGCATGGAGACGCTACTTGATATCCATGTGACTGGCAAAATCTCAGGTGCTGGATAATGCCAAGAGTGGGCAGGGGTGTGGCTCAGAGATCCAGTTGCCTTGCAGCTGGTGGCTATACCCTTTTCCCTTTTAAAAAATTTGTTTTCTCGGCTGGGCGTGGTGGCTCGCGCTTGTAATCCCAGCACTTTGGTAGACCGCGGCAGGTGGATCACTTGAGGTCAGGAGTTCGAGACCAGCCTGGCCAACATAGTGAAACCCTGTCTCTTCTAAAAATACAAAAATTAGCCAGGCATGGTGGCAGCCACCTGTAGGCTCAGCTACTCGGGAGGCTGAGGCAGGAAAATCGCTTAAACCCAGGAGGTGGAGGTTGCAATGAGCCGAGATTGCACCACTGCACTCCAGCCTGGTGAGAGTGACTCTATCAAAGAAAAAAAAAAGGTTTGCTTTTTTACATTTTTTTCTCTTTTTTTAATTTTTAATTTTTATTTTTTGAGACAGTCAGTAGCCTGGGCTGGAGTGCAGTTGTGCAATTGTAGCTCACTGCAGCCTCTACCTCCGGGCTCAAGTGATCCTCCTGCCTCCTCCTCCCAAGTAACTGGGACTACAGGCACATGCCATCACGCCCAGCTTTTTAATTTTTATTTTGTAGAGACAGGGTTCTTGCTGTGTTGCCCAGGCTGGTCTCAAACTCATGGGCTCAAATCATTCTCCCACTTCAGCTTCCCAAAGTGCCAGGATTATAGGTGTGAGCCACAGCACCTGGTCCCTTTTTCTTTTTTATGTCTATTTGGGTCCCATACACTCAACAGCTCAACAGAAGAAAGGGCTGTGGCTGGACAGAGTGGGCCATGCCGCTTGCCTCTTACAGGAACTATCGCCTTAATCACTTTCTTCTTGCTTTTAATTTATTTTTTGAGTAACATTAAACATTCACACACATACTCACATACTTAGAAAATTTCTTCAACAGCAGAAAAGGATATACGGGGAAAGGTGAGTTTCCCTCCCGCGCCAACGCCCAGAGCCCCTTCCCAGAGACAGCCGCGGAGAATAGGTTCATGGGTGACCCTTCCCCAAGTCTTTTCCTCACTCAGCATCCAGATGGGTCCTTCGGAAATGTGACACAGATTACGGCACAACCTCTGCCCTCCAGGGGCTTCCCATCATTCTCCGGATATCATTCTACATCCTACTGTGGCGACAAAGCCCTACGTGAGCTGGACCCAGTCGCCTGCCCCTGCCTCATTCCCACGGCTCTCCCCCACCCTGTCCCCTTGCAGCCTCTCTGGCCTCCCCGGCCTCCTCTGACACCCCATGGCTCATCTCATGACTTGCTGTACCTCTGCCTAGAATGTCCCTAGAGCCTCCGACTCTCCTGCTGGAGTTCTCTCCTTAAATACCACCTCCTCCGAGGGCCTTCCTGGGCTGCCTGCGCCGCCTTCCTTCCTCTGTTCTCCCAATCTGAGGCTTCCTACCCGACTCCAGCCCACAGCCCCAGGCTTTGTGGTAATGTAACTGTTGTAAACTTAAAATTCTGGCCGGGCGTGGTGGCTCATGCCTGTAATCCCAGCACTTTGGGAGTTCGAGGCGGGCAGATCACTTGAGGCCAGGAGTTCAAGACCAGCCTGGCCAACATGGCCAAACCCCGTCTCTACTAAAAATACAAAAATTAGCTGGGCGTGGTGGAGTGCGCCTGTAGTCCCAGTTACTCTGGAGGCTGACGTGGGAGGATGGCTTGAACTCGGGAGGCAGAGGGTGCAGTGAGCTGAGATCACACCACTGCACTCCAGCCTGGGTGACATAGCAAGACTCTGTCTCCCAAAAAAAAAAAAAAAATCCTAAGCCCCCCCAGTGACTGAACAGACTCCCTCTTGGCCAAGGGGACCCCAGAAAAACCTTAAAACTTGAGTTCCTGGCCATGATAGGATGGGAGGTCAGACATGCCTCATTATACGTCTTTACCTTTTACAGTTCAGACACTGACCAGCATTCATGTTAAAATAGAGATCATAAGACTGACAGAACGGACCCTTTATGGAAGTAAGATACCAAATTATAAATAGAACTAAGGTCATGCCAGGCAAGTGGTAAGTCACGCACCTCTACACTTAAAGAATAACTTATGCTCTAACTGCCACGAGGCTTTTCTTTTTCTCTAGCAGATAAACAAGCACTGGCCTCAGGATAAGCAGTGTTGAAACATTTGGAAGCTCCTGCAGATGCTGAATAACTGACCTCCAGCCTCTGTTCCACCAGCCACAACTACAGCTTTGATTGGAGAAGAGACTGATTTCAGCCACTTTCTCCTGGTAAGAAGAACAGGGACTGGTCCTGGCTGGTTTACAGAGGTTGCTCACAGGTTGCCTTCCTGTCTTGAAAATACCTTTTGATATTTAGGGCCTAATTGTAATAACATTTAAATGCTAAGTCTCCACTCCAAGGTGAACATAGGTTGGTTTTTTGTTTATTTGTTTGTTTGTTTTTTGAGACAGAGTCTCATTTTGTCGCCCAGGCTGGAGTGCAGTGGCGTTATCTCTGCTCATTGCGTCCTCTGCCTCCCAAGTTCAAGTGATTCTCATGCCTCAGCCTCCCAAGCAGCTGGGACTACAGGCGCGCCCCTCCGCCTGGCTAAATTTTAGTAGAGACGGGTTTAGCCATGTTGGCCAGGCTGGTCCTAAACTCCTGGCCTCAAGTGATTTGCCCGCCTTGGCTTCCCAAAGTGCTGGGATTACAGGCGTGAGCTACTACACCTGGCCAACATAGGTTGTATGTTACATGCATATTTGTTCAATATGCATGTGTCATGACTACCTCATGAATATTCATAGCTTCTCCTGTAATCTGTTGAATATGTATGTTTAGCCAACCCATTCAGTATAAAACTCCTACCCCAAACCCTCTTCCTTCGAAGTACCTGTCTCTGGTCTTGGCCGAAGGCACACTTCCCAGCCTGTGGGACAGCCACCTTGCAGGCTGTAACCCTTTATAAGAAATAAAGTTTTCGTCAGGCATGGTGCTGTGTACCTGTAGTCTCAGCTACTCAGGAGGCTGAGGTGGGAGGACCACCTGAGCCTAGGAGGTTGTGGCTGCAGTGAGCTATGATTATGCCACTGTACTCCAGCCTGGGCAACACAGTGAGATCCTGTGAAACAAAGGAAAGAAAAAAGAAGGAAGGAGGGAAGGAAGGAAGGAAGAGAAAGAGAGAGAGAAAAGAAAAGAAAGAGAGAGACAGAAAGAAGAAGGAAAAGAAAGAGAGAAAGGAAGGAAGGAAGAAAGAAAGAGAGAGAGAAAGAAAAAGAAAGAAAGAGAAAGAAAGGGAGAGAAAGGAAAGAAGGAAGGGAAGGAGGGAGGGAGGAAGGGAGGGAGGGACGGGAAAGAAAAGAGAGGAAGGAAGGAAGAAAGGAAGGAAGAAGGGGAGGGAGAGAGAAAGAAAGAAGGGGAGAACAGAAGAGAAAGAAAGAAAGAGAAAAAGAAAATCAGAGTCTCCTCCCCTTTTCTACATGTATAAATTCTGTGAGTTTTAAGTAATCACTATTCATCAATCTCTGGCCCATCTTGCTGCAATGGTCAGCTCCATGGAGCCAGGCCTTGTCTACCGCTGAATCCCCAGCACCGGCGAGTGCTGTGATGGGGGCTACTCAGGAAGTCCTCGCTGAATGGGTGTGGAGACGCATGGCCATCCTCATGCCTTGCTTTTTTCCGCTGAACAGTACATGTCAGGGCCTGATCTACATTGGCATACGTGGACCTGCCTCGTTCTTTGTAACAGGTGTGTGGGATTCCTACCATGTGGATGCTCCATGATCTTTATTTAACCAGAGCCTTTACTGATAGACAGGTTGCTCCCAATTTTTTATTATCACAAAACAAACAACAAACAAAAAAAAACCAGAAAAGTATATCCATACAGTAAATCTGTAGATATCAGCTTCTTGGATCAAATAATATGGAATGTTTCATTTTGGTTTTTTTGTTTTCTTTTGTTTTGTTTTGTTTCCTTTTTTTTCTCTATTTTTTTGACACGGAGTCTCTCTCTGTCACTCAGGCTGGAATGCAGTGGTGGAATCTCAGCTCACTTCAACTTCCTCCTCCCAGGTTCCAGCGATTCTCCTGCCTCAGCCTCCTGAGTAGCTGGGATTTCAGGTTTGCCCCACCACGTCTGGCTAATTTTTGTATTTTTAGTAGAGATGAGGTTTTGCCATGTTGGCCAGACTGGTCTTGAACTCCTGACCTCGAGTGATCTGCCCACCTCAGCCTCCCTAAGTTCTGGAATTACAGGCGTGAGCCACCATCCCCGGCCGGGGTGTTTCATTTTGAAAGATGTCATCAAATCGCAGTCCCCAGAGAAATCCCCAGAGAATCGCAGTCCCCAGAGTCACAGGGAGATGGGAGAAAAGAGAAGCAGATGAGGCCAGAGAGTGCTGCAGACAGAAGGCCCGTGGAGCAGAACTTGCAAGTTCTGGGAGGACTCTAGCTTTGATCAGAGAGGTGGGGAGCCTCTGTGGGGTTCTGAGTAGGGAAGAGACGTAGCCTACTTATGTTTTTATTTATTTATCTATTTTGAGACAGGGTCTCACTCTGTCACCCAGGCAGGAGTACAGTGGTGTAATCACGACTCACTGCAGCCTCAATCTCCTGGGCTCAAGTGATCCTCCCACCTTAGCCTCTTCAGTAGCTGGGACTACAGGCATGTGCCACCACACCTGGTTAATTTTTTTATTTTTTGTTGAGACAGGGTTTCACTATGTTGCCCAGGCTGGTCTTGAACTCCTGGGCTCAAGTGATCCTCCCGCCTTGGCCTCCCAAAGTTTTGGGATTACAGGTGTGAGCCACTGCACCCAGCCCTGCTTATGTTTTTATAAGACCATTCTGGCTGCTGCGTGGTGTGAAGTAGGGAACCAGAGAGCAGATGCTGCAGAGACACAGCTGAGAAAGTGCTGAGAGCCTGGACCAGGGCTGTGCTAAAAAGTGGCTGGATTGGGGAGCTATTCTGAAGACAGGGTGGAAAGGATTTGCTGATGGGGTAAAGAGAAGAATCAGAGATTTCTCAGGGCCTGAGCAACTGGAAGGATGGGGTGGCAGAGTCTGTGTAATTGGGGCCCTATTCCCAAGATGTTGGCACCATGGGCCTGTAGGGGCAGCAGCTGGTGGAGGGGAGGCATCTGGGAAACTTCCCTTTCCCACCAGATAGGGTTTCCTGATGTTAGCCTGTCAGGGTGGTTTCAAAACAGGTACAGCTGGGCTGCAGCAGGTTGAACTGTAAGGAAGGGCCAGCCTACAGGCAAATGAGGGCAGTGGCTAACTCAAATCCTGTCCCCCGGCTAGGCCCACACTCTTCCTTTCCCTCCATTTCCCCTGTTGGTGCATGCTGGTGACCAGGTGCCCAGGTGCCCATACAGCTGGAGACATCTGCATTCCCTTGCTTTTTTTTTTTTTCCTTTTTCTTTTTTCTTTTTGAGACTGAGTCGCTCACTCTGTCGCCCAGGCTGGAGTGCAGTGGTGCAATCTCAGCTCACTGCAACCTCCGCCTCCTGGGTTCGAGCAATTCTTCTGCCTCAGCCTGCTGGGTAGATGGGATTACAGGTGCCAGCCATCACACCTGGCTAATCTTTATATTTTTAGCAGACATGGGGTTTCAGCGTGTTGGCAAGGCTGGTCTGGAACTCCTGACCTCAAGTGACCTGCCGCCTCAGCCTCCCAAAGTGCTGGGATTACAGCACTTTGGCATGAGCCACTGGGCCCAGCTTTTTTTTTTTTTTTTTAAAGAAATGGAGTCTGGCTCTGTCGCCCAGGCTGGAGTGCAATGGCGTGATTGCAGCTCACTACAGCCTGGAACTCCTGGGCTTAAGCAGTCCTCCCACTTCAGCTTCCTGAGTAGTTGCAAATACAAGCATGCACCAGCACACTCAGCTAATTTTTTAATTTTTTTAGCGATGGGCTACCGCTATGTTGCCCAGGCTGGTCTCAAACAACTGAATTCAAGCAATCCTTCTGCTTTAGCCTCCCAAAGTGCTGGGATTTCCAGCATGAGCCACCACATCTGGCCCCCTTTCATCTTAAAATGCTTCCCATTCTGTTTTGGGTGCCCCATATCTGACCTTTACCCTATCTGTCATTGCGGGATGCTGACAAGGACAGTGTGGCTCAATGTGGGTTTCTGTTGTCAAGATACCACAAGGGCATGGAACCAGAAGGGGGCTGTCAGTTTCTGACTGGCTGCAGCAGCTTATCAGAACGTATCACAGATCAGGAGAGGACGATATGATCAACGGATGAGGTAACCATCAGCTGAGGGCAAACAGCTCCTAACTAAAGTCAGCACTTTACAGCTGGCTCCAGTGCACTCTCCCTGTGGCTGCAGGCAGAGCAGCCAGGGCCCCTCCTCCAGCCTCCTCCCACCTCAGAGCTTCAGAGCTTCAGACATCCTTGGTGCTGAGGCCTAGGTTCCATGAGGTCAAAGGGAGAATTCAGGCCGGGCACAGTGGCTCACGCCTGTAATTCCAACACTTTGGGAGGCCAAGGTGGGTTGATCACCTGAGCTCAGGAGTTCGAGACCAGCCTGACCAATATGGTGAAACCTCATCTCTACTAAAAATACAAAAATTAGCCAGGTGTGGTGGTGAGTGCCTGTAATCCCAGCTACTCAGGAGGCTGAGTCAGGAGAATGGCGTGAACCCAGGAGAATGGAGGTTGCAGTGAGCCGAGATCGCCTCTGCACTCCAGCCTGGGCAACAGAGTGAGACTCTGTCTCAAAAAAAAAAAAAAAAGGAGAATTCAGACTAAGCTGTTTTGCAGCATCCCAAGGCTGTGTTGACCTCACGTACAGCTGCATCATGGGAGTGGGCGGTGCGACATCTCAAGTCCAACTCAACCGAGCCATGGTTCAGGCTAAGTTCCCGCTGGTGCCCCTACCTGGAACGCTCTTCAGATAGTGGCTCCTTCTCACCCATTCAAATGTCCCAGGCCTTTCCTGACAGGCCCTGCCCATCTCTCTCTCTCTCTCTCTCAATTTCCCTGCTTGCTTTTTGTTGTTGTTGTTGTTGTTGTTTGATTTTTGGTCCTTTTTTTTTTTTTTTTTTGAGGCAGAGTCTTCCTCTGTCGCCCAGGCTGGAGTGCAGTGGCATGATCTCGGCTGACTGCAATCTCTGCCTCCCAGGTTAAGGTGATTCTCCTGCCCCAGTCTCCTGAGTAGCTGGGATTACCAGTGCCCGCCACCATACCTGGCTAATTTTTGTATTTTTAGTAGAGACAGAGTTTCACCATGTTGGCCAGGCTGGTCTCAAACTCCTGACCTCAAGTGATGTGCCCGCCTCAGCTTCCCAAAGTGCTGGGGTTACAGGCATGAACCCCACCACGCCTAGCCGATTTATTTTCTTTCCCTTTTTTTTCCCCCAGACAGGACCACTGGATTGGAGTGGTGCCATCATAGTTCATTTTAATTTCCAACTCCTAGGCTCAAGTGATCCTCCCGCCTCAGCCTCCTGAGTATCTAGGACTACAGGTGTGCACCACCATGCCTGGCTAATTTTTTATTTTTATCCTTTTTTGTAGAGACAGGGGATCTCACTATGTTGCCCAGGCTGGTCTCAAACACCCAGCCTTAAGCAATCCTCCTCCTGCCTCAGCCTCCTAAGTAGCTGGGATTATAGGTGTGAGCCACCATGCCTGACTTTTTATCTCACTTTTTGTAGAGACGGGGTATCGCTATGTTGACCAGGCTGGTTTTGAACTCCTGGCCTCAAGCAGTCCTCCTGCCTGGGCCTCCCAAAGCGTTGAGATCACAGACGTGAGCCACCTTGCCTGGCCTACTTCCTTTCTTCCTGTAAAATTGCCTTGTTGGTTTGTCTACTTGTTTTCTGTTCATCCTGTTCACTCTTGTCTCCAGCTCCTAGAACAGTACCTCACACAGAGTAACGGCTCCATGTGTTTTGTGACAGGGAAGCAGACAGTGTGGCTTGTTGGAGAGGAGCCACATACCCCCGCCCCCCGATTCATACATGGTGTGACTCAGCCCGAACCATTGCTCAGTTGAGTTGGATTTGAGATGATGCACTGCCCACTCCCGTGATACAGCTGTGTGTGAGGTCAGCACAGTCTTGGGGTGCTGCCAGACAACTTAGTTTGAATTCTCCCTTTGACTCATTGGAACCTAGACCTCAGCACCAAAGATGTCCCCATACCAGTAACCCGGGCAACAGAATGCAGATAAAGGACAGGAGACAAAAGGCGCAGGTTCTGACACATTCTTTGCTTGTGTCATCAGCTAGCAAGTATTCACAGGCACATCCAACCTCCATCCTTACATTCCACAAGGATTTGAGTGTCTGTTATAGGCAAGGGACAATGCTAGGTTTTTTTTTCTAAAAACAAACTTGGGGCTGGGCATGGTGGCTCACACTTGTAATCCTAGCACTTTGGGAGGCCAAAGCGGGTGGACTGCCTGAGCTCAAGAGTTCGACAACTCTTGGTAACATGGTGAAACCCCGTCTCTGCCAAAAATACAAAAAATTAGCCAGATGCAGTGGCGTGCACCTGTGGCCCAGCTTCTCGGGAGGCTGAGGTGTGAGGATCACTTGAGCCCGAAAGGTGAAGGCTGCAGTGGGCCGCGATTGCACCACTGAACTCTAGCCTGGGCAACAGAGTGGGACCCTGTCTCAAAACAACAACAACAAAATAAGAAAGAAAGAAAGAAAAAGCGGAAGTGAGAGATGGATGTGCGTGTAGTCGTGTGGGATAATTGCCCATGGGAAGGAAACAGAATTCAACCTCTTGGAATGTAGGGGGAGGAGGAAGCCTGAAAAAACTGTTCAAATTTGGATTCTGGGCTGAGCACAGTGGCTCACGCCTGTAATCCCAGCACTTTGGGAGGCAAGGCAGGCGGATCACTTGAGGTTCGGAGTTCGAGACTAGCCTGGCCAACATGGTGAAACCCTGTCTACAAAAAATACAAAAATTAGTCGGGCGTGGTGTTGCACACCTGTAATCCCACTACTTGGAAGGCTGGGGTAGGAGAATCACTTGAACTAGGGAGGCAGAGGTTGCAGTGAGCTGAGATCGCACCACTAAACTCCAGCCTGGGTGATAGAGCAAGACTCTGCCTCAAAAAAAAAAAAATTGGACTCTGGGTGAAATAAGTCTGTTGGGGACAAAATCTGGTGGGAGACCCAGAAGGTCAAGCTGCTTTAGAAAGAGCTCAACCACTGACTTTCCTCTTTTTGACCACATGACTCTTCCAGGTATAAAAGCCTGCCGTTGGTGGAAAAGGAAAAGGTGGTCCAGTTAGACAAGATGCCACCGGCTTCTGAAACCAGACATCTTTGAAAACCCACCCATCTACCTGCAGGAAAAGGCAAGGGACCTGACCTCGCCTGGGCTCAGGGAAGAGGTTGCTGGGATCATAACCCCAGGAAGAGACGGGATGGAAGGAGAGCATGCAGGGAGCAGAGGACAGGCTACTCTCCAAGGAGGAGAGGGAAGAGGCCACAGAAATGGAAAAGGGGCCAGGACAAGTCAGTGGAGAGATGGTCAGGGCCTGGCGAGGAGGAGCAGGACAAAAGCGGTGGAGCTCAGCCCCGTGGCGGCAGGGCCACTCCCATTCATCTGGTCCTCTACTTCTGAAGTTCTCGAATGCAGAATGAGATGTACAGATGGGCCAGCAGGTGATATGCTATCTGTCATAGGTTAAGGCCTCATTATTTTATTCATTTTTAAACTTTTTTTTTTTTGAGACAGGGTCTTGTTCTGTCGCCCAGGCTGGTTTGCAGTGGTGCCACCATGGTTCACTGTAACCTTGAAGCCCCTGGGCTCAAGTGATCCTCCTGCCTCAGCCTCCAGAGTAACGAGGACTACAGGTGCACACCGCCATGCCCAGCTAATTTCTTAACGTTTTGTAGAGAAAGGCTCTCACTGTGTTGCCCAGGCTGGTCTTGAACTCCTTGACTCAAGCAATCCTCCTGTCTTGGCTTCCCAAAGTGTTGGGATTACAGGTGTGAGCCACTGCTCCCAGCCACAAGTTTTATTTTAAATGTTTACCTTTCAATGATCACTTCGAGGAGATTTAAGCTTACTCTTTCTTTTTTTTTTTTCTTGAGATGGAGTCTTGCTGTGTCGTCCAGGCTGGAGTGCAGTGGTGCTATCTTGGCTCACTGCAACCTCTGCTTCCCAGGTTCAAGTGATTCTCCTACCTCAGCCTCCCGAGTAGCTGAGACTACAGGCATGTGCCACCACTCCCTACTAATTTTTGTATTTTTAGTAGAGTCGGGGTTTCACCATGTTAGCCAGGTTGGTCTCGAACTCCTGACCTAAAGTGATCTGCCTGCCTCAGCCTCCCAAAGTGCTGGGAGGCATGAGCCACCATGCCTGGCTCATTGTCTAGTTTTTACCAAGAAGATGATGAGATATGCCAGAGGGCTCCGTATCTGCTATGAGAACGTCCCCCAAGAGCAGCTGGCCGTGGTGCTGCAGCTGGAGCTGTGCTTGGAGCTCTTCTTCACCCCCATGGCGGTCACCACCTTCTGCCACTGGCACTTTGTGCAGATCATGCTCTCTGGCCCCAAGTGGGGACCTGGAGGTGCTGAAGAGCCAAGAGACTGGCTGCCGTGACCCTCTTCAACTTCCTGGTCTGCTTGGACCCTGTGCTTTGTCTCCCATGGTGGGTTCCCCCAGTGGAAGAGTCAAATTGGTGGGCAGGCGCAGTGTTGTTCAGTGCTCTCGATGCTGCATTGACCCCTTGATTTTCTTTGTTTTTGTTTTTATTTTGTTTTGTTTTGTTTTTGAGATGGAGTCTTGCTCTGTCACCCAGGCTGGAGTGCAGTGGTGTGATGATCTTGGCTCACTGCAACCTCCGCCTCCTGGGTTCTCCTGCCTCAGCCTCCCGGGTAGCTGGGATTACAGGCACCCACCACCACACCCGGCTAATTTTTGTATTTTTAGTAGAGACGAGGTTTCAACCCCTACTCAGGCTGGTGTCAAACTCCTGACCGCAAGTGATCTGCCCACCTTGGCCTCCCAAAGTGTTGCAATTACAGGCGTGAGCCACCATGCCCAGCCTAACCCCTTGATTTTCTGTTTCTCTTCCTCCACCGTGCGCAAAGCCTTTGACAGAGGGCCACGGAGGTGGCAGCACGGCGGGGGTCTCACTGTCTGGGTGGTGGTGAAAGCTCTGGAGAGCCAGCTGCAGAGAGAAGATGTGGATCTTAGGGACGGCCAATGTCACCTTCACAGGAGATTAGAGGCGCCAGCTTGGGGTAACCTTTTGGGGAAGGAGGGCTCAAAAAGAGGAACAATGAAACAGAACTAAGGTGAGTTCTCCTGTGCCCAGTTTCAGAGGTCAAGGAGAGTAGTAGATAGCTCAAACCCAACTCAGCCATTGAGTGAGTGTTTTCATTTTGTTCCTTGGGGTCTATGATATTTTCTATTTTCTTTTCTTTCCTTTTGTTTTGGTTTGTTTGTTTGTTTGGTTGGTTGGTTGGTTGGTTGGTTTTAGAGACAGGGTTTCCCTCTGTCACCCAGGCTGGAATGCAGTAGTGTGATCACATCACACTGCAGCTTCTAACTCATGGGTTCAAGCCATCCTCCTGCCTCAGCCTCCTGAGTAGCTGGGACTCCAGGTGCACGCCACCATGGCCGGCTAATTGTTTATTTTTTATAGAGACAGGGTTTCACTATGTTGGCCAGGATGTTCAACAACTTCTGCCTTCAAGCGATCTTCCCTCCTGGGCCTCCCCAAGTGCTGAGTTTACAAGCATCAGCCACCACACCCAGCCTATGACATTTTCTTCATTATGGCTGGTACTGCCTCATGGTAAGCCACAAGCCTTTTTATCTTGTAATATCAGAGTCTTGGAATTCTTTATCTTCCCTACTCTATATCTAGAAGACAGTAGCACTGACTTATCTGCTGCAGAGCTCTTAATTCTATCCTTGGCCCCGATTCAGAAAAGGGGGTTCCTCATGCTGGATCTGAACAACCCAGCACAGGCAAGTCTGGGGAGCAAGGCAGGAGCCTGCATGTGGACTCAAAGGACCGGCACCCGAAACAAAGCAGTGGCTGGCACAGGTGGACAAACCAGGCAAGAAAAGCAACTGTCCTTCGGAGCAGAGTCCACGTGATGGGAAGAAACAGGTCATGATACTTTTGAGTGGTTACATCCTACTGTGTTTGTGCCTTCTTTTTTCCTTTCTCAGTCTTGCCAAGAGACCCATTAATTTGTCTTTTCAGAAAACCAAGATCCTCTCCAGCATTTATCTTTGTTTTCTTGTTGCATTGATTTCTAATCTTATCTTTATTGTTTCCTTCCTTTTACTTTATTGAGTCTTCTCTGTTGCTCCTTTTCTAACATGTTAACTTGGATGCTCGTTCATTTTAGCCTTTCTTCTTTGCTAATGTAAGCATTTAGTGTGTTGGATAGATTTCCCTCTAAGAACAGCTTTAGTGGGATGTCACAAGTTTTGATTTGCAGCATTCTCATTATTTTGAGTTCTAAATAGGCTCCAAATTCCATGGGATTTTTTTATTTGACTCTTGACTTTGGAAATGTACCTTAATTTTCAAACACAGATGTTTCCCCCCTTTATCCTTTTGTTATTCATTTCTAACTACAGAGTATTGTTTCAATGGTATCAGTTCTTTGAAATTTGCTGAGAATTGTTTTTTGGCTTAGAATATAAACAGTATTCTAGTATTCCAGTAATGAAAAGAAGATAGATTCTGTAATTGTTGGGTGCTATGTTCTCTGTATATACCTTAGATCAAACTTGTTAATTTATGATGTTCAAATCTTCATAACCTTTATATACATTTTCATCTATTTAATCTATCAGTTATATGAAGAGGTGTGTTACATGCTCCTTCTATCATGGTAAATTTGCCTATTTCTCCTTGTAGTTCTGTCTCCCTGGTGAATTGAAACTTTCAAAATTCTTTCTGCCTTAACATTGATTTTGTCTGATATTAACAGAGCCACATCAACTTGGTTTTTGCTTATTATTTGCCAGTCCATCTCTGTCCATCCTTCTACATTCAACCTTGCTATATCTTTATGTTTTAAATGTGCTTTTCCTAAGCAGTGTATAGAGTGGTTGGATTTTTTTGTAATCTGGTCTGACAACTGGACAATATTTGTCTTTTAACTGTACCATTTTGTCCATTTATAGTTATAAAATAATAATTTCCAATATATTTGAATTTATCTCTGTCATCTTATTTTAAATACTTTTAGTGAAGTATGTGCACATATATTGAAATATACATGCATACCGTGTGTATTAGTCCATTCTCACGCTGCTAGTAAAGACATACCCGAGACTGGGTAATTTACAAAGAAGAGAGGTTTAATTGACTCACAGTTCCACGGGGCTGGGCAAGCCTCAGAAAACATAGAATCATGGTGGAAGGGAAAGCAAACAGGTCCTTCTTCACATGGCAGCAGCAAGAAGTGCAGAGCAAAATGGGAGAAGCCATCTGATAAAACCATTAGATCTCGTGAGAACTCACTCACTATCAGGAGAACAGCATGAGGGTAACCCACCCCATGATTCAATTACCTCCCACCTGGTTCCTCCCATGACACTTGGGATTATGGGAACTGCAATTCAAGATGAGATTTAGGTGGGGACACAGCCAAACCATATCACCATGCATGGCCAAATAATAAGTGTACAGGCCAAATAAACTATCACAAATATCACAGAGTGAACACACCTATTTAAGAAAAAGCAAAAAGTCTACCATATTATTTTGTGCTTTTTATTTCCCTCATCTTTTATTTTATTTTATTTTATTTTATTTTATTCTATTTTATTTTATTTTCAGACACAGTCTCACTCTGTTGCCCAGGCTGAAGTCAACGGCATGATCTCAGCTCACTGCAACCTCCACCTCCTGGGTTCAAGCAATTCTCGTGCCTCAGCCTCCCAAGTAGCTTGGATTACAGGTGTGTGCCACTATGCCTGGCTAATTTTGGCATTTTTATTAAAGACGGGGTTTCACCATGTTGACCAAGCTGGTCTTGAACTGCTGACCTTAGGTGATCCAACCACCTCGGCCTCCCAAAGTGCTGGTATTACAGGTGTGAGCCACCTTGCCAAGCCATCCCTCACCTTTTAATATTTCTTTTTTTCTTCTCTCTAGCCTTCTTTTGAGATTCAGTTCGTTTATTTCTTTTCTTTCTCATTTCATTTATTCCTCCACTGACTTGGAAACTGTATGTTCTGTTTCCATTATTTAGTGGTTATTTTAAACACTGTAAGATGGTAGGAGTTCCTCAATGAGTTACTCCCTCCCTCCCTTCCTTCTTCCCTTTAATACCACACATCAAGGAAAACCCAACCCAAGTAGCTTCGAACTATGTGAATCTAGGGCAGCAGTTTTCAAAGCACTGTCTGTGAGGTCAAAACTATTCATAATGCTATTAAAATGCTGATTGCTCTCTTCACCTTCATTATCTCACAAATAATGTGCACAGTGGAGGTTTTGAGAGCTACGTGACGTGATATCATGACGGAATGAATGCAGACCAGATAGGAAAATACAGCTGTCTTCTATTAAGCCAGGCATTAAAGAGATCTGCAAAAATGTAAAACAATGCCACTGTCACGAATTTTTTGAAGATATAGTTGTTTTTTCTAGGAACGTGTCATTTATATTAACATGTAATGGTTTTATGGTTATTATTATTATAAGATAAGTTAATACACATTTTTAAATTTTTCTGTTTTAACTTTGTTTTTTTTTTGTTTTTTTTTTTTGTTTTTTTTGATACGCAGTTTCACTCTTGTTGCCAAGGCTGGAGTACAGTGGTGTGATCTCGGCTCACCGCAACCTCTGCCTCCTGGCTTCAAGCGATTCTCCTGCCTCAGCCTCCCAAGTAGCTGAGATTACAGGCACAAGCCACCATGCCCGGCTAATTTTTGTATTTTTAGTAGAGACAGGGTTTCACCATGTTGGTCAGGCTGGTCTCGCACTCCTGACCTCATGATCTGCCCACCTCAGTCTCCCAAGGTCCTAGGATTATAGATATGAGCCACCACGCCTGGCAGGAATTTTCATTTTTGCTTTTCTTTCCTTTTTTTTCTTTTTTCTTTTTTTTTTCGAGACAGTGTCTCACTCTGCCACCCAGGGTGAGTGCAGTGGCATGAACACAACTCACTGCAGCCTCGTCTTCCCAGGCTCAAGCAACCCTCCCACCTCAGCCTCCCAAGTAGCTGGAACTACAGGTGCACGCCACCATGCTCAGCTAATTCTTGTATTTTTTGTGGAGATGGGGTTTTGCCATGTTGCCCGGGTTGGTCTCAAACTCCTAAGCTTAAAGCAATCCACCTGCCTCAGCCTCCCAAAGTGTTGGGATTAGAGGGGTGAGCCACCACACCCATCCCTTCAGTAATTTTCAAGAGTATAAACCGACCTTGAGATCCACAAGTTTGAGAATTGCTGACCTGGTGAGATGACAGACAGGATTACTCTGCTAAGTGCAATTGTGCACATATAAAACCTTCTGCTACCTGATGTGTCTTTAATGATTCGAAATTTCATAAAGTCTAATGCCACTTAACCTCTCAAAGTGAGTTTAAAGTTTGCCTGATAAAATGCAAAGCTTGTTGAGATATTAAATATGATACTTAACAATCAGAACTATTCCATGAGGAGATAAAGAAGTAACAAAGCCGGCTCAGATGGATGGGATGTAATTGCGCCGCACAGACCTGTATTCACCATGTTATGTTAGTTCCTGTTCTAAAGATGCTTTTTTTTTTTTTTTTTTTTTTTTTTTGAGACAGAGTCTCGCTCTGTAACCCAGACTGCTGCAGTGCAGTGGCATGAGCTTGGCTCACTGCAACCTCCGCCTCCCAGGCTCAAGCAATTCTTATGCCTCAGCTTCCCGAGTTGCTGGGATTACAGGCATGCGCCACCACACCTGGCAAATGTTTGTATTTTTAGTAGAGATGGGGTTTCACCATGTTGGCCAGGCTGGTCTTGAACTCCTGGCCTCAAGTGATTCATCAACCTCAGCCTCTCAAAGTGCTAGAATTACAGGTTTGAGCCACCGCGCCTGGCCTAAGGATTGTTTAAATTGGAGTTTTTCTTCTTGTTTTATGGGGAAGGATTACTTCATCTACAATTAGGTGGAATATTAACCCAAACTATATGTAGGATTTCCAATCTTAGAGGCTATAGGAACTGGGGGAGAAGGAAAGCATAATACTAATTATATTTGTCCTATGTCATCCTAGGGAAAGTGCATATTTAATTCCTGTCAGCAAAGATTAAAGAAAGATTTTCAGGGCAAAAGTTATAAACAGGCTTAGTGTGTTTTATTTTGAACGGGGGAATTCACAAAGCCTTTGTGAAAGCCTCAATTTTACTGTTAGACTACTTGATAGCACCTAGTTAATATAAGCTAGGGCGATTCAACTAGTTCCATTGCACCTCCCGGTAAATAAATGGTTCCTGAGGCATTGTGTTAAGCGAGGAATGGAAGTTTGAAGGTTACCGGCAAGGCTCCTTCAGCCCTCTCCGGTTTTCAGGTTAATGGTGGGGAGAGTGAGTGTCCACCAGAAAGGGACTGTGATGTGACGTTAGGTCACTTGATTTCTGTAAACTTATGGGAGACCTTTCTCCTAAAGATGGGCTCAAGATGCCACCATTTACAATGTTACTCTCAATGACCTTGGGGAAGTCCTGCTCCTAGGGGTGGGACACAGTGATAAGAGGGAGGGGTGTGCCGGGCATGGTGGCTCATGCCTGTAATTCCAGCACTTTGGGAGGCTGAGGCAGGCAGATCACCTGAGGCCAGGAGTTCAAGACCAGCCTGGCCAACATGGCAAAACCCCATCTCTACTAACAATATAAAAATTAGCTGGGCGTGGTGGTGTGCAGCTGTAATCCCAGCTACTTGAGAGGCTGAGACAGGAGAATCACTTGAATCCAAGAGGCAGAGGCTGTAGTGAGCCAAAATCATGCCATTGCACTCCAACCTGGGCAACAAGAGCAGACACTCCGTCTAAAGCAAACAACAACCAAAAAAAAAAAAAAAAAACACAAGAGGAAGGGGTGGAAGAGTGTACTGATTGTTGGACCCTGAGGATTGCAATTTTATCATAACATTCTCTACAGTCTCTTTTCAAAAATGAACCAGCAATCAGAGATGGCACCGATTGGTTTGGCCTTCTTAGCAACATCTCTCCCTTGTCCTCTGCCATGTGGTTTGGTGGAGCTGACTTTACCCCCAGCTCCTGCTCCAGGGGCAGGTGTGAAACCAGGACCCTGCTCATCTACAGTTCATCCTCTGACCACAGTGATGGTTCACACTTGGGTGCATGACTCAATCCAGACCAATGAAAGATGAACCCAGGCTGGGCATGGTGGCTCACATCTGTAATCCCAGCACATGGGAAGGCTGAGGCAGGCGAATCAGTTGAGGTCAGGAGTTTGAGACCAGCCAGGCTAACTTGGCGAAACCCTGTCTCTACTAAAAATACAAAAATGAGCTGGGCGTGGTGGTGCACACCTGTAATCCCAGCTACTTGGGAGGCTGAGGCGGAAGAATCACTTGAACACGGGATGTGGAGGTTGCAGTGAGCCAAGACCATGCCACTGCACACTCCAGCCTGGGTGACAGAGTGCACCCACTGTGGATCCAGCCTTTTTTTTTTTTTTTTTTTTTGAGACAGAGTCTCACCAGGCTTGAGTGCAGTGGCGTTAATCTTGGCTCACTGCAACCTCTGCCTCCCAGGTTCAAGCAATTCTCCTGCCTCAGCCTCCTGAGTAGCTAGGACTAGAGGCGCGCACCACCCCGCCCAGCTAATTTTTGTATTTTTAGTAGAGACGGGGATTCACCATGTTGGCCAGGATGGTCTCGATCTCTTGACCTCATGATCCACCCACCTTGGCCTCCCAAAGTGCTGGGATTATAGGCATGAACCACCGCACCTGGCCAGCCCTTCTCTTTTAACCACCAGGAGAAAGAACCTCTCTTCTACTGATCTTGAACTTGAAGGCTGGTCCCTCTCTTCTGGGGGCCATTGTGAAGAGAGGCTGCCTAAGCCTGAAGTCAACTTAAAGGAAGGTGAAACAGAGAAAAACCACACATTCAGGCATTTGATGTCCTAAAGCAGATCTACTCTGGGGATTTTTAGATTTGAAAACCAAATATTCTCCTTCCTTAGCTTAAAGCAAGTTTGAAGCTGAGATGGACATAATGTAATTGCTCTGCACAAGCCTGTATATTCATTGCTTTATGCTCATCCTTGTTCTAAAGATTAGCCTTTTGCCCATTTTCTAATTGAATTGCTTGATTGTGTTTTGTTTTACTATTGAGTTTTGTGAGACATTTATTTAGAGTGTCTCGCTCTGTTGTCCAGGCTGGGGTGCAGTGGCATGATCTCAGCTCACTGCAACCTCCGCCTCCCGGGTTCAAGTGATCCTCCCTCTTCAACCTCCTGAGTAGCTGGGATTACGAGTGTACACCATCACACCTGGCTAATTTTTGTATTTTTAGTAGAAATGGGGTTTCACCATGTTGGCCAGGCTGGTCTCAAACTCCTGACCTCCTCAAGTTGATCAGCCCACCCCGGCCTCCCGAAGTGTTGGGATTACAGGCGTGAGCCACTGCACCAGCCAACACTGAGTCGTATTTCTTTAGATTTTTGTGATTGATGTTCCCATTATGCTTCTCTCTCACTGAATCTCCTACCTTCTTCATCAGAGGCAGCGTCATACTGGACTTTAAGTGCATCCTTCCTGTCCATGATTTTAAATTGTACCTTGCAAATATACTTTGCACCTAAACACTGTTTAGTATTCTTTTGCGTTTTTTCAAATATCCATAAATACCTATAGTACAAGTCATTCTGCAACTAGCTACTTTCTACCCCAAATCATCCCTTTGCTATCTGGCCTCCATCACTAAACCTTACATATCTCATTGATTTATTTTGTCTGCTCTAGCAGTCCATCATATTAATAAGACGAGTTTTATTTTTTCCATTCTACTATTGATAGACATTTAAATCACTTCCCATTCTTTGCCAGCATGACAATGCTGCTTTGAACATCCCTGTGTGTGTCTCTTCGCGCACACGTGGAAGAGTTCTTCCACTGGTAGGCACAGCATTTGCATTCTCCATTTCAGTAAAAGCTGCCAAGGTCCTCTTCAACGTGATGGCGTAAATCCAGCTCTTTCTGCAAGAAGGCTCACCAGCCTTCCCACCAGCTCTTCTCCCCACCCCAGCCCTGCAGCCCTGCAGCCTGACCCTAGGTAATGAGTGGTGGGGAGTGACCCAGGCATGCACGACCTGCCCAGAGGAAAGGGAGTTCAAAGAAGGACCCGAGACCCTCACAGGAACCTAGCAGATTGGCACAAGTGCCAGATGTATCCAGGACAGACACTTTCCCCAGGACTCCAGGGGTAAAGGAGTGCCCCACCTCTCCACTCCTTGCCTTTCTTAACTGAATTCAGATTGTCGTGAACATTCAAGAAAAGCATTGTGGCTGACTTCCAAGGTTACTACTTGAGTCCATCACTACAGCAGTTACTACTCTTACTGCTCCAGACCGTCATTACAGCAGTTACTACTGTTACCACTTGAGACCATCCTTACAAGACTGAAGGAAGGGAGGAACGTAGAAATGAAAACCAAGGAAAAAAAGAAACTGCTTTAAGTAAAGGCTAGCATGGGGAAGAAGAGAGCTCCCCGCTTCTAGTGAGCAAAGGCAGCCCCCTTATTTATTGGGTAACAAGAGCACGAGGAGGTGGCAACAATTGGTCAGCTGCTTAATTGATCAGAGGTTCATGTTGTTACTGACAGGCTTCTATTATGCCTAATCATAAGAAACATTTGTTCAGCTTCCAACAAAGCTGAAGTTTAAATGATGCAATTACATTCAGCACAGAGGAGTATCTCCCCCAATCCCACCATATAAAGAGAAAGCACATGCATGCAGGAGAGAAACAGTGAATGGAAGGCTAGGAAATCTTGGTCTTGGAGGAGAGTGCAGATTGGAGATAGAGGGAAGGGGAAAATAAGATGCTGGGATCTTGAGGGAGGATGTGGGGTGGTGGCCAAGCTCCCTGGTTCATGGGGATGAGAATGAAGCCTCTGTTGGCTCTGGGTCATGTGACATGGGCCAAGATAAGACATGGTTCCTGCAGAGAGATGGAGCGTGGTCTGTCTGTCTTGTGCTCATGTGTCTGTGTCAAATGGCTTCCGAGGGAACTAGAGCCACTTAGGTCTATGTGGTTTAAGGAAAGCACAAGTGAAAAGAAGCCAGGAATAGTGCAGAGGTAGGGGATGGGACACCAAGACATGAGGCCAGAGTGTGAGACAGAATCAGAGCTCCTGCCTGCAGAGAATGATGGGCTGTGTGAGGAGCCCTGGCCCTCTGCGGACATTTTAATAAGTGGCCCCACTTTCTTAGGTGCTCATGTGTCCGGGGATTCTAGGGAGGTTTTGTGAGGCTGAGCTAAAAAAAATAACCAATTCCAGCTAGGCACAGGGGCTCACGCCTGTAATCCCAGCCCTTTGGGAGGCTGGGGTGTGAGGATTGCTTAAGGCCAGGAGGTCAAGGCTACAGTGAGCCATGATTGTGCCGCTGCACTCCAGCCTGAGCAAGAGGGTGAGACCCTGTCTCAAGAAACAAGCAAACAAAAATAACCTATTCCACTTTGACCCTGAATAGGGAAAACTGACCAAACAAGGAGAGTAGCCAGAGGCAGGGATGGAAGCATAGGAGAAACTGGCAGTGGACAAGCTCCTTTGGAATAATCCACCAAGAGAGGAAATGAAACAGAATGCCTGAATGAATTATGAAAGCAGAACAAAGTCTGAAAGAATAATCAGGGCTTGAGATCTAGAAAGGATCAATGAGATTTGTGGGAACAGACTTTCAGGGGAAACACAGAGGGCTAAGCGGCCTGAGAAACAGCTCAACTCTTGACCTTCCTCTTCCTGACACATAGCAAGCTCAAGTGTAAAAGTTCTTGGTTCCTGGGGGATCCCGAAATGGCAGAGGTGGCTGTATCTATGCACCTTATTCAACAAGTTGGTAAAAGTCCACTTAAGGCTGATCACCAAGAGCTGCCTGCTTAGAAACAGGAGGAAGCTAGATACCTAAAATACTCCCAGCACGTCCTGGGAGATGACACCCTAAGCTCTCACCTGGGAAAGGAAAAGGATGAGAGACCCAGGTGACTGCAGGTTCACCTTGCTGGGGAACAAGGTTTTCTCACCTTCATTTCCAGTGCGGGAGGGAAACCAGAATAGCAAAAGATCAAGAAAACTGAACAAAAACTAGAAGAGAAATTGGTGGAGGGATGACAGAGGTTGAAATGGGAAGGCACCAAGCAGAATCAGGTATCCTCTACAGAGCAGAGAATTGCCCTGAGCACAGAATGCTATATCATTTTCTCAAAGTCACAGAGCTGGGAATTGCCAACAGTGGGACTGGGATCCAGATCTGCTCCCCTCATTACTTATTCTCCCTGGATTTCTCTTCAGAGTGGAGCAATGCCCTGGCATTCAACTCGTCTGTGATATGACAGTCCTCACACTCTGTGTAGTGACCTACTATGAGTGGTACCTGGGCGCTGCCTGCCTAGAATTCATCCCTCCTTCTTCTGGTAGCAGCATCCCAATTTTCCTCTAGTTAACCACTCCCCCTCTACTCTTGGTCTGTGGGATGTGGGGAGGGGGACAGGGGGAGAAGGGGAGGTTGGCCCCATTATCACTGCAGGGCATGCAACCCAGACTTGGCAATCTCAGTCCATCTAGAGTCAATCTTTTCTAGACTCTTCTAGACTAATTCAGAAAGCAGCTTTCTCTTTCCACAGGGTGGTTAGGAAGGTAGAAGGTAATCCTGGAGCTTCCCGCCACCACGCAGGAGGAATTTGCCTGAGAGCAAAGCCAGCATAGAGAAGCAGAGCTGAGTCATGGAGACAGGTGGCTGAAAGTTTCATTTCGGCATATGGATCTCACCATTCCTGAAGCCACTTTCAACTCTTCAATTTCATAGCTAATAAATTCTCATTTTTGCACAATTAGCTGAAGCAAGGTTTTTTGTTACCTGGAAGCAATGAATGCAAATGTTTTTTAGGTAATTTGTTAATAGTAATAAAAGATAAAGAATATAATAATAAAGAATAGGGGCATTTCCAGGGCCGGGCACAGTGGCTCACACCTGTAATCCCAGTACTTTGGGAGGCCGAGGCGGGCAGATCACTTGAGGTCAGGAGTTGGAGAACAGCCTGGCAAAACCCCGTCTCTCCTAAAAATACAAGAATTAGCCAGGCGCAGTGGCACACACCTGTAATCCCAGCTACTTGGGAGGCTGAGGCAGGAGAATCGCTTGAACCCGGGAGGCAGAGGTTGCAGTGAGTCAAGATCACACCACTGCACTCTAGCCTGGGAGATGGAGCAAGACTACATCTCAAAAAAGAAAAAGAATAAAGTCATTTCTGAATTGTATCTTTTATGATTTTAAAAAATGAATCAGAGAAGATTCAAGGCACATTCTGACATGCAAGGGTTACAGTCACAGCCCATGGGCCAGGCATGGCACTTCACCCCAGTATGCTGGCGACGGCCCTCTCTGCACCAATAAATCAGATGCCTGCTTAACAACTATTTCAATCAGAAGTGCATTCTGCAGTTTTGAAAGTTTCCACACGTATTATCACTCCTCAGTCATAAAACAATCTGATGAAGTTAGTTTCTAATGCCTTTTTTTTTTTTTTTTTTGAGACAAAGTCTCGGTCTGTCACCCAGGCCAGAGTGCAATGGCATGATCTTGGCTCACTGCAGCCTCCGCAGTTCAAACAATTCTCCTGCCTGAGCCTCCTGAGTAGCTGGGATTACAGGTGTGCACCACCATGCCCAGCTAATATTTGTATTTTTAGTAGAGACGGGGTTTCACCATGTTGGCCAGGCTGGTCTCGAATTCCTGACCTCAAATGATCTGCCAACCTCGGCCTCCCAAAGTGCTGGTATGACAGGCCTGAGCCACTGCACCTGGCTCTGACCACACGTCTTCCATCAAGGACTTACATCATTCTTTTTGGCCACCCAGAACCTCTGAACTCCCTGCCTGTGAATCTACGCCTGCCCAAGGGAGAAGCAGAAACTTGCTTTCTCAGAGTCGGCTCCCATGTAGGGCACAGGCATGTGACCAAAGTCCAGCCAGTTACCAAGCCCAGGTGGGGGCAGTGCAGCATAGCTGTGACGTTAGGCCCGGAGGCCACTCTAGGGAGCTGGCAGCACACAGCCAGCTGCCAGGGCGGCAGAGAGAGGTGCCGAGGGTGTGGCAGCAGTGCCCAGCGTGTGAACCGCAGAGTGTGCGCCAGTGGTGGAGGTGGTGGTGTCTGCAAGGGTATCATCCAGGCATACCCTCCAAGCCTGGTGTTCTGGCTGGCCTGGAGATTCCACAAGCTACCTAATACCCTTTAAAAACAAAATTCCTAGGCTGGGTGGGATGGCTCACGCCTGTAATCACAGTGTCTGGGGAGGCCGAGATGGGAGGATGGCTCCAAGTGAGAGGATCTCTGGAGGCCAGGAGTTTGAGATCAGCCTGGGCAACATAGTGAGATCCCATCTCTATAAAAATAATTTTAAAATAAAATAAATAGGCCGGGCATGGTAAGCTCACACCTGTGATCCCAGCACTTTGGGAGGCCAAGGCAGGCAGATCACCTGAGGTCAGGAGTTCGAGACCAGCCTGGCCAACATGATGAAACCCTGTCTCTACTAAAAATACAAAAATTAGCCGGGTGTGATGGTGGGCGCCTATAATCCCAGCTACTTGAGAGGCTGAGGTGGGAGAATGCTTGAACCTGGAAGGCAGAGATTGCAGTGAGCCAAGTTCGCACCACTGCTCTCCAGCCTGGGCGATAGAGCAAGACTCCATCTCAAAAAAAGTAAAAAATAAATAAAATAAATAAGAACAAAATTCCTTTTCCGCTTAACCTGACAAGAGGAGAGTCTGCTGTCTGTAGTGGGAAACCTGACAGATACAATCAGGAGAGCATCCAAGGTCTCCAGGCGGACAGTCCTCTGCAGCTGCATCCTGTCTGTGCCATTGGTCCCTCTGCCAGCCTCTTGGCCATGTGTGTAGCCTGGGAAGAATGCTGCCCTGCTCCACCTGCTGTGGCAACTGCCACTATGCGAGATGGCCAGGCTGCTCCAGCTCCCACAGTGGCTCGTGGTCTGTGCCTCCGTCAGTCTGGCTTCTCCTGGGGCAGCGGCTACCGGCTGGACTCTGGCCCAGGAACAGGGCTTTCCCTGTGCTCGCCTGCACCTCGCACCATGGTCCTGGCCCCACGACGACTGAATCTGCCAGTCTCCACTCCCCTGTGCACTTTCTGCACTACAGCAGTGGGATGTGGTGACAGGAACACTAAAGGATTGAATGCCGGGATCCTGGAGGGAAATTGAAGCTGCTGGTGCTTCTGCCTGGGTCCTAGGGGAGCAGGAAACACTGTGGAGTACTTACTGTGGGCTCAGCACAGTTCCATTTTAATTGACAAATAATAATTGTATCTATGTATGGGATACAATATGATGTTTTGATCCATGTTTACAACGTGGAATGATTAAATCAGGCCAATTAAACACATCCATCACCTCACATACTCATCCTTTTCTTGCAGTGTAAACATTTAAAATCTCTTTTCACGGCTTTGAAATATACATTACATTATTATTTATTATAAACACCATTATGTGCAATTGATCACTAAAGCTGACTCCTCCTAACTGAAACTTTGAAGTCTTCAGTCAGCGTCTTCCCTTTCCCCATCCAGCCCCTTCCCCCAGCCTCTGGTAACCAGCATACTTCTCGCCATGAGATCTGCTTCTAGATCGGCTTTTTAAGATTCTCCATGTAAGTGAGATCATGCAGCACTTGCCTTTCTGTGCCTGGCTTATGTCGCTGAGCAGAAGGCCCTCCAGGCTCATCTATGCTGCCACAAATGACAGGGTTTCTTTCTTTTTCAAGGCTGACTAGTATTCCACTGTGTATCTACACCACATTTTCTTTTCTTTTCTCTTTTGAGATGGAGTTTTTGCTCTGTTGCCCAAGCTGGAGTGCAGTGGCACGATCTTGGCTCACTGCAACCTCCACCTCCTGAGTTCAAGTGATTCTACCACCTCAGCCTCCCAAGTACCTGGGATTACAGGTGCCCGCCACCACACCCGTCTAATTTTTGTATTTTTAGTAGAGATGGGGTTTCACCATGTTGGCCAGGCTGGTCTCCAACTCCTGACCTCAAGTGATCTGCCTGCCTCAGCTTCCCAAAGTGCTGGGATTACAGGTGTAAGCCACCGCGCCTGGCCCACATTTTCTTTAGCGATTGACCTGATGATGGATATCTAGGTTGCTTCCTCATCTTGGCCATTGTGAATAACACTGCAATGGACATGGGTGTGCAGGCATCTCTTTGACATACTGATTTCAATTCCTTTGGATTTACACCCAGCAGGGGGATTTCTGGATCATATGGCAGTGCTACTTTTACTTTTCTGAGGAAACTCCGTACTGTTTTCCATAATAACTGTATTAATTTACATTTCCGTCAACAGTTCGGCGCTATTTCAAAGGTTTCCTGTGCTCTAAAGCACTCTATTAGGCTCTCGTTGCAGGGATTTGGGGAAAAAAAGACACTCCCTTGTCCAGAGACATGGACACCTGCTCGCATCCCAATTTGCCTGTCATTCACTCCTTCATCAACTGCTCCCGGCCAGGACTTGTTCAAGCTGCTGAGAATGTTTTGGTGAACAAGACAGGAAGCGGCAGCTCTCGTGAAGTTCGCGTTCTGGAAAAGCACCGGTGTTGGAGGAACAGCGGTTGGACCTTTTCCGGCCTGGAATTTGGGCTCCCCACAAAGGAGATGCACTTTAGATGATTATTACTTGATCAAACTAATAAAAGGCCCGAGATAGTTAATAATAATGAAAGCGTGGCTTCCTCCTCCCTGTTTCTAGGCCAAGAGGTGGCAAGGGGTAGCAAATTAAAAACATACATATTGGTTTAACCTGAAAGTATGTCTATGTGCACAGCTCTTTTTGCTAAAGACAGCAAAAAGTTTTTACTAGAGCAACCTAAAACCAATTCTGTGACCTGAGTAGCACCTCTTACCAGGAATTGTTGACAAAAGATGAATAAATAGAACAATTTCAGATTCTGGTAAAGCACCGTGAAGAAAACAAATTGATTAGTGTAATAAGAAGAGGGGAATTCCTTTTTTATATTTATTTATTTATTTATTTATTTATTTATTTATTTATTTATTTTTGAGACACAGTCTCACTCTGTCGCCCAGGCTAGAGTGCAATGGTGCGATCTCGGCTCACTGCAACCTCCACCTCCCAGGTTCAAGTGATTCTCCTGCCTCAGTCTCCCAAGTAGCTGGGACTCTAAGCACCCGCCACCATGCCCGACTATGCGTATTTTTGTAGAGATGGGGTTTCACCATGTTGGCCAAGCTGGTCTTGAACTCCTGACCTCAGGTGATCTGCCCGCCTCAGCCTCCCAAAGTGCTGGGATTACAGTCATGAGTGAGCCACTGCACCTGACCTATTTTTATTTATTTTTTGATACAGGGTCTCACTCTGTTGCCCATGCTGGAGCGCAGTGGTGCGATCTTGGCTCACTGCAGCCTCGAACTCCTAGGCTCAAGCCTTAGCCACCAGAATAGCTGAGATTCTAAGTGTGCACCACCACCCCTTTTTTTCCTTTTTTATTGTTATAGGCATGGGGGTTTCAGTATGTTGCCCAGGTTGGTCTTGAACCCCTGGCCTCAAGTGATCTTCCCACCTCCGTCTCCCAAAGTTCTGAGATTACAGGTGTGGGCCACCACACCTGGCCCAGGACTCCTTTAGATGGAGTGGCCAGGAAGGGCTCTCTGAGGACAGACATTGGAAAGATGACAGAGAGGCAGCTGTGAGAGGGTGTGGGGCAAGGACGCTCCAGGCAAAGGCAACAGCAGAGACAAAGATTTCCACGCAAGACAAGCTCAGTGTGGGCTGGAGACAGTGTTAGGAGACACGGTGCATCCACAGAGGTCTCCTGCAGGTGCACTGGAGAGACGTGGCCCAGAAGCAGGGCAAGGTGTGCTGGGAAAGAGAACGTGGAGGTCAGCAGGCCATCAATTCCCCTGGAACCACACCTGGATGAAGCCGAACTAGTAAACCTTTTCCAAGCAGAAGAAAAGATCTGGGGTCCAAGCCAAGTGATCCCACTGCCCAAACACATACCTGGTGGGTCTTCACCTGGTGGGTCTGCAGCTGAACCCTGGAGTGCAAATGAAAACCCACTAGGACTCAGGATAGGAGGGAACAAATATGAGAGTAGTCCCAGGTGTGATGAAGGAGTGGACCTACCGGGAGATCAAGGAATCCAGGTTACCATGAGGAAGGACAAACACAAAACACACAGTACTGACTGTGTCCCAGATCCTGACCCAAGACATTTATTTATTTATTTTTGCGACGGAGTCTCGCTCTGTCACCCAGGCTGGAGTGCAGTGGCATGATCTTGGCTCACTGAAGCCTCCGCCTCCCGGGTTCGAGTGATTCTCCTGCCTCAGCCTCCCAAGTAGCTGGAATTAAAGGAGCCGCCCCCACCACGCCCAGCTATTTTTTTTTTTTTTTTTTGAGACGGAGTCTCATTCTGTCGCCAATTTTTGTATTTTTAGTAGAGACAGGGTTTCACCATGTTGGCCGAGCTGGTCTCCAACTCCTGACCTCAGGTGATCTGCCCGCCTTGGCCTCCCAAAGTGCTGGGATTACAGACGTGAGCCACCGCACTCAGCTGCCCAAAAGTTTTAGATACATCAACCCATTCAGTCTTCACAAAAGCCCATGAGGTGGGCACTATCATTTCCTCCATTTAGAGGGAAGGAAACCACAGCCCAGGAGACTACAGGACTTGTCCAAGCACACACAGCTGGAGGGAGCCCAGCAAGGCTGGAATCCAGGCAGTCTGCATCCCAGTCCATGCCCTTGCCTGCCACTCTACATGGCCTCACGAGATGCCTCTCCAGGTACCTAAATGTAGAAGTCAAAGGAATACTGTGGAAGCAGCCAAGGTCTGCATTTGGGAATCCATACGTTAGATTCGTGGAATCAGTTCTGGAGAAAAGGTGGAATTTTTCAGGTTTTTTTTTCATAGAGGTAATCAACTACCAACTTTCCAATGGACACAGCCCATCTCAGTGTGAAAGCCTGTCCCTAGAGCAGAGCCAGAGGAGGTACAGCCAGCTCCGACTCTGCAACTTCAGTAAGGAGCAAGAAGATTTCTGTTTAGAGGTTACCACTCCACTCCCCAACAAAAAATGAGAGTAGAGCAAGGTTTCCAGGCAGCTGCCTATACTCCGGGAAAGGATGTTGGTGGAGAAGGAATCGAGAGAGGGCCACACTGTTGGGGGCAAGGCAAGGGGCTCACTGCCAAGGGACAGACAGAACCAGGGAAGGCAAAGATCACAGAAAGGGAACGGGAGTGCAGAGCTTCTAATGGAGAGACTGCATGATGCTCTCCTGGGCTGGAGCTGGGGAGCTGGGAACAGCTAAGGTATGCCCACAGGCACAGAGGCATCTCTTCTGCCCCTTGGAACTTCTGACTCGGAGGCTGTCAACATTCCCTCTCTTGAGCAGGAGCAGGATGGGAGAAGTTGCAGCTAGATTGCTTTGGAGTCTATCCAGCATTTGGACATAACCTGTCCCTTGTGTGGTCACTGGAAAGAAGTTAAGAACTGCTCCTAGGCTGGACATGGTGGCTCACACCTGTAATCCTAGCACTTTGGGAGGCCGAGGCAAGAGCATCGCTTGAGGTCAGGAGTTCAAGGCCAGCCTGGCCAACATGGTGAAACCCCCTCTCTCCTAAAAATACAAAACTTAGCCAGCCATGGTGGCACATGCCTGTAGTCCCAGCTACTCGGGAGGCTGAGGCAGGAGAATTGCTTGAACCTGAGAGGCAGAGGGTGCAGTGAGCCGAAATCACGCCATTGTACTCCAGCCTGGGCGACAGACTGAGACTCCATCTTAAAAAAAAAGAGAACTGCTCCTGTGTAGAGTTCAGTTGAGGCCAGGCACAATGGCTCATGCCTATAATCCCAGCACTTTGGGAGGCCAAGCCGGGCAGATTGCTTGAGCCCAGGAGTTCAAGAACAGCCTGGGCAACATGGCAAAGCCTCAACTCCGCAAAAAATATAAAACTAAGCCAGGCATAGTGGTGTGCGCCTGTAGTCCCAGCTACTTGGGAGGCTGAGGTGGGAGGATTGCTTGAGCCTGGGAGGTCAAGGCTGTAGTGAGCCGTGATGGAGCCATTGCACACCGGCCTGGATGACAGAGTGAGACCCGGTCTCAAAAAAAAAAAAGAGTTCAGTTGTCTGGTTACAACTGCAGAAAATAACCTATGTGTGGTGGTCCATTTTCAATTCTAAGTGCCTTAATATAGGTTTAAACAGGCTACAAAGAGATAAAGAAGCAGAATGTACTAAGTCACCCCCCCACCCCCACCCCCTCCTGCCCATCCTGCTTCTTGCTTTCCCTTTCATCTAGCTGCCAGGCGCCTATCAGTCAGGACCTCCTTAACCATCCCCTTCCACCCCTCCAAAGAATTTAGTTGGGCCAGGCACAGTGGCTCATGACTGTAATCCCAGCACTTTGGGAGGCCAAGGCAGGCAGATCACCTGTGGTCAGGAGTTCAAGACCAGCCTGGCCAACATGGTGAAACCCCATCTGTGCTAAAAATCCAAAAATTAGCCGGGCACCTGTAATCCCAGCTACTCGGGAGGCTGAGGCAGGTGAATTGCTTGAACCGGGTGGGCAGAGGTTGCAGTGAGCTGATATCACGCCACTTCATTCCAGCCTGGGCAACAAGAGTGAAACTCCGTCTCAAAAAAAAAAAAAAAAAAAGAATTTAGTTTAGGCTAGCTTGCAAAGTAAATAATTGTACTCTTTCTTATCAGCTAAGTCCAGTCACTATGGCCATAACTCAAATGTTTGAAGAGTCCTGAGACAGTTGCAATGCATTATGGGCTGCAATAAAATGCAGCAGAAAGACCCTAAAGAACATACTGAAATCCTTAACCCAAATATCAATAGGTGACATGCAGAAAGATTGTAACCCAATAGTACTCAGCCAGTGAGGAACTAGGGGAGGGACTTGTGCACTTGGGAATAAATTGCTTGTTGAAATCGTTGCAGGTGTGCCCGCATGCCAGACACCCCATCTTGCAAGGCAGCCACTAAGGTCTCGCTTCTGCTGTTCTCCCATCCCTAAGTCCATTCTTTGGTTTGGACAAGTGAGTGTGTTTGTTTTTTCTTTTTCTTTTTCTTTTTCTTTTTTCCCTTTTATCTAGCTGCCAGGCACCTATCAGTCAGGGCTTCCTTAACCACCCCCTCCCACACCACCACCGAGGCTGCAGTGCAGTGGCGTGATCTTGGCTCACTACAGCTTCCACCTACTGGGTTCAAGCGATTCTCCTGCCTCAGCCTCCCGAGTAGATGGGATTACAGGCACCCGCCACCACACCCGGCTAATTTTTGTATTTTTAGTAGAGACGGGTTTCACCATGTTAGTCAGGCTGGTCTCAAATTCCTGACCTCAGGTGATCCACCTGCCTTGGCCTCCCAAAGTGCTGGGATTACAGGTGTGAGCCACGGCACCTGGCAGAGTTTGTTTCTCACACAATTTACAATAGAGGAGTATTCTGCCATTTTGCAAAGTGTTCTCACATATGTTACCTCATTTATTCTGAGAGAGAGGGAGGATTATTGTGGGAATTGGCTCATGTGATTATGGAGGCTGAGAAGTCCCATCTGTCTGCAAGCTGGGGAACCAGGAGAGCTGGTGGTGTAATTCAGTCCAAATCTGAAGGCCTGAGAACTGATGTCTGAGGGCAGGAGAAGATGGACATCCCAACTCAATAGAGAGAGCAGAGACAGAAAACTTGCTCTTCTTCTTTTTTTTTTTTTTTTTTTTTTTTGATATGGAGCGCCTGCCACCACACCCAGCTAATTTTTTGTGTTTTTTTGTGGAGACAGGGTTTCGCCGTGTTGGCCAGGCTAGTCTCGAACTGCTGACCTCAGGTGATGCACTCAGCTCAGCCTCCCAAAGTGCTGGGATTACAGGTGTGAGCCACCACACCTGGCAGAGCCACCACACCTGGCAGAGCCACTGGTTTTTTTTTTTTTAATTGACTTATTTTTCTTACATATAATTTAGCCTTACCCTAAACAAAAATAAATATTAATAACAGTAACAGCCAGCAATTCTAAGTACTTGCTATGTACCAGGCATATACATACATACGTACATATGGGATTTTTTGAGACAGAGTCTGGCTCTGTCGTCCAGGCTGGAGTGCAGTGACACAATCACAGCTCACTTCAGCCTCAACCTCCTGGGTTCAATCAATCCTCCCACCTCAGCCTCAAAAGTGGCTGGAAATATAGGTACATGCCACCACACCCAGCTAATTCGTTTGTATATTTTGTAAAGGCGAGATTTTGCCCTATTGCCCAGGTTGGTCTGGAACTCCTGGGCTCAAGCGATCTGCCCACCTCGGCTTCCCAAAGTGCTGGGATTACAGGCATAAGTCACTGTCCCCAGCCCAGCCCAGTACGTATGTTTATAGACAACTATAAACATATGTATACACACAACATGTGGTTGTGTAAAGATGTGTAATACACATACACACAAACATATACATATTCATTTCAATCCTCACAGCAAACCTACAAGGTAGGTATATTAGTCTCCTCGTTCTACAAATGAGGAAACTGAGGCCCAGAGAAATGAGTGCCCTTGCCCAAGGTGACACAGCCAACAAGTAGCCGCCAGGACTGCAGCCCACAGGGCCAGCTCCAGATTCCACGCTTTTAACCCCTGAAATCATGAGTTTAATGGCTTAGCTACAGGTTAAGTCACTTGCCAGGGAACCCAGAGCTAGCAATGGGATGGGAACTGAGATGTGAATCCCAGTAGTCTAACCTCAAAACCTGCGTGTTTAGCTCCTACATGCGTTCCCACATGGGTTATGGACAGCTCTACTAATGGAAGAGGGCGCTGGACTGGGGTGGAATTGTGAAAGAACTAGCGACGTGGAGAGAGGCTTGAAGCTCAGCCTAAATAAATGTTGGGGACAGCCCCCACTGACAGCTGGACTTGGCCCGCCATCTTCCCTTCTTGGTACCTCTCAATCTTTCGTAAAAATAAACCAAAAGCTGACGTTCACCACTTCATGCCATGCAAACAACTGTTTTTGGTTTTGTTCTTCAAATATAAAATAACATGAAACATGCTTTGTCAATGTACTTACCCCCATCCCATCCCACACTCTCTCTTCCCAAATACCCGCATCACCCTCCACTCTTCAGAGATACTAGACGGGGTGGCTCAGCAGGGCTGGGAACAAACACTGGCCAATGTAAAGGCTTCTGAATACTCCGCAGCACTGGAGAGTCTGTCTTCAGCACGATCCCCTGTTAACCCTAGGAAAGATGTGCACGTGACAGGGGCGGGGTGCGTCATGGAAGCCTGACGTTCCTCATGCCAGATCAGACGGGAAGGCTGTAAAAGGGGGAAGGTGAGGCCAGCTGGCAGAAAGCAGGAGGAACGCAGCCTTGCTCCAGGTTCGTACTCCCATACCTGAAACGCCTCCTCCTTCTCCCGCCTACCCAGGCTGAACACCTGGAGAGGGGCAGGGTAGGAATGCCCCCTAGGTGACCAGAGTGGAGAGGAGGACACTGAAGGGGTCTAAGGATCACGAGACCGCGTGTGGCTTGACTTATTCGCCAAGTGGAGATTCCTCGATCATCCTCAGAGCCTGTGGTCCCTTCCATCTAGTCAAGAATGGGCAGGAGGCCAGGCGAGACAAAACTCAAGGGGAAAGCCGTACTCATTTTTATCAACATCTCCTTGCCAGGAAGCTTGTGGTATTCACTCAAATCCAGGACATGATAAACATTTACAGAAAATAATAAAAGCAGATGATGTGAGGACAGTCAAGAGACGCAAAGTACACTTATGCTCCCCCTCCTCATCTAGAAAGTGGGTCTGCATGGAGTGTAACAGCAGAATCTGACATAGCTGACTCCACCCTGCTTCTAACCTCACAAGCTAATGGTCTTTGTCATTCCTGCACATCAGCCAAGCTAATCATGGGAAGAATTTAGTTTACAGTTTAACTTTAAAGCAAGGATGACAATAATCCCTTCCCAACACTCACCCCCAAGGAGATAAGGAGGGTGTACACACTAGCAGCTACATCATATTAAAGATTTATAGGAACATTGTGACCTCAGCAGGACAAAGAAGTTGCACAGTGCCCCTCCTCGGACACTCACTGCCACCCAGATGTCCGCTATCATCGGTCACCTCTTGATCTTAAACCTCACTCTCTTCCCCCTTCCCTAATGTAAAAGGAGCCCAAAATTCTATTACTTAAGATTGTTCTCAAGACACTAGGTCTGCTATCTCCTCAGTCTGCTGGCTCTCTGAAATAATGTCATTTTTCCTTCCCCCAATATCTCGTCTCTTGATTTATTGGCTGTTGTGCAGAGATTGGTATGAGCTTTGGATTCAACTGCAGGAGGACGGTGAAGCCAGAAGAGATAGAGAGAGAGAGAGAAAGAGAAATGAGCAGCTGCTGAATCATGAGGGCTTCCCTAATGGCAGGGAAAGAAGAAAGTTTTGACAGACAGTGGGGCAAGACACTTGCACAAAACAGGAAGCCAGAGGAATCCTTAAAACCCACACATCATACAAAAATAAAGAAAGAAAATAAAACATGATAAAAGAAATGAAACCCATACATCAGATCACTTACTCCTCTGCCTTATACCCTTCAAGAGTTTCCTATGACTTTGGGAATAAAATCCAAATCCTCACCTTGGACAACAGGGCCCTGCACCATGTGTTTTCCCTCCACCCCCTCCACCCCCAGCTGTCACGTCTCTGACCTGGTTTCCCATCACTTCCCTCATGCTCATTCCCACCCCACCCCCCCAGCCACACTGGCCTCCTTTCGGTTTCTCCATCACACCAAGCTTCGTATCGCCTCAGGGCCTTTGCAAAAAATGTCCCATCTGCCCCGAGTGTTCCTCTCCCAGCTCTTCCATGGAGAGCACCTACAGGCCTCGGCTCAAATGTCACCCCTTCAAGGACATTTCCCTGCTGCCCCCAGCACAGATTACCCTATTCTATCATCCAATTCTATTTCCTTCCGAAAGCGTGCCCCACATTACCTCCTATATTACTGTAGAGACTGTACTAGTGTCTCACCCCTCCCCACAACTACAATGTCAATTTCATGAAGGCAAGAACCATGTCTGCCTTTAAAAAAAAAAAAAATCAGGGTCTCACTCTGTCCCACAGGCTAGAGTGCAGTGGCACAATCTAGGCTCACTGCAGCTTTGATCTCCTGGGCTCAAGTGATCCTCTGACCTCAGCTTCCTGAGTAGCTGGAACTAAAGGCATGCACTACCACATCTGGCTAATTTTTGTATTTTTTTGTAGAGATCAGGTGTCACCATGTTACCCAGGCTGGTCTTGAACTCCTGAGCTCAAGCAATCCACCTGCCTTGGTCTCCCACCAAGTGCTGGGATCATAGGCATGAGCCAACACACCCAGCCACAATGCCTGTCTTGTGATGCTCTATCCCCAACCATCCATGGAGAGATGAAAATGCATGATCTGGTTGTTACCTTGCACTCAGCTGCCTAATCCAAGAGACATGCAGGTGACTTTGAGAAGGCTGGGGCTGTCCTGGGCCCACAGAATTCAGACAGAAGACACTGGGGAAAGGAGAGGAGGTGGGACAGGGACCAGACACAGAGCACTGGAAAGGAGAGGATGTGCAGGAGCAAGAGCTGAGCCGGATTTTCCAGACGGCGGCAGACTCTGGGGGGCTGCCTGGACTTGGGGCATTTTTTCTGGGCTGGCCCTGGACTTAGAGAATATTTTTGTGATTTAGCGGCCCCAATTTTTGTGAAATGTCCTCTGCTGACTGAGAGATTAACCTGCTTTGACTGGGCCATGCTAAAAAATGAACAGGAATTTGATATAGTCCAGTGTGGAGGTGGAGAGGGAGGGAGGTGAAGAAAGAACAGAAGGAAGGGGTAAGACACACTGAGGAGCAGATGGAAGTTACCTGAGGGGATCCTCCAAAGAAGAAAGGGTGGGCTATGCAAACAGTGGATGTAAAAAGACGCCTGGAAGAAGTTAGGACTTGGATTTCTAGGAGAGATTAATTCGACTTGTAGGAGCAGGGATTTGGGGAGAGGCAGAGGGCTCTGCTGCCTCTGAAAGAGCTCACCGAGTGCGCTCCCTCTCTCTGACTAAGGACCCCTGTGGATAAGAAAGCTCTCTGCCCTAGAGAAGAAGAGCAGTCAAGGTGCTTACAGGCTCTTTCCCGAAGACTGAAGACCTTTCCCAGGGTGGACTGTGGTGCCCTTCCCTGTGCAGGCACCCTGACCACTGTGTGTTCAGAGAAGAGGGATGTGGCACACACACCTGAGAAGCACTGGGACTCCTGCGAGACCAAGTGGGAGGTTGCCACTCCTGGGGACCATCTGATGGGAAGCAGCGGTGAAGAAAAGGGAATGGCGTCTGGATGTGGATGGAGGCAGGTGCTTCTACTGCTGCCCGGCCAGAGAGGAGCATCCCCAGAGGGTCCGTCCCTAGCCAGGCTGGAAGCTTGTCTCTGCGCATCTGGTCCCCTCTCGAAGCAGTTCTCAAAAGCCGTTGAGACACACTGCTGGGATGTGGCAACACACCAAGAGGCAAGAAATGTAAGTCCATGGTTCCTGGTAATACTGAAAAAACTAGGCTTTGGAAGTTTAAGTAAACAAAGAAATGAGAGGATATAAGGTAAGCTGTTACAACGTCACTGTCAGTTATGAGTATTCTGTTATGCTTTCTTTTGAGCCAGTCTCGCTCTTTTGCCCAGGCTAGAGTACAGTGGCATGATCTCGGCTCACTGCAACCTTTGCCTCCCGGGTTCAAGCGATTCTCCTGCCTCAGCCTCCTGAGTCACTGGGATTACACATGCCCGCCACCACACCCAGCTAAATTTTTTTGTATTTTAGTACAGACAGGGTTTCACCATGTTGCCCAGGGTGGTCTCAAACTCCTGAGCTCAGGCAATCCGCCCACCTCAGCCTCGCAAAGTGCTAGGATTACAGGTGTGGGCCATCATGCCTGGCCCCCATTACACTTTCTAGAGAGAGGAAGAAGTACTAACCTCACAGTGCAGACTGGAGACTGCACAGCACATGCGCAGATGGTCTTGACAGAGGATGCCTCCCTCTGTGCTGGGGAACTCATCCTTGCCCATTCAGTTTCCGTGGCTCAAGCAGGCTGATGTCAGCCCTTGGCGATGCTGTTGGCGTGTGTGACCCACAAATCATTCAGAGGCAGCAGAGCCAGCCTGGAGATCCGGGCTGTGACTTCAGGACAGGAGACCCTCTCTCTGCACAGGTTATTATCCTAAACTGCCAAAGGTCACTGCGTGAAGCAATTTTACTAAGAGCCACCAAACCCCTCTCTTCCCTCCAACCAAGTTCATTCACCCTTCTCAGAAGAGCCCAAGAGACCTCTGTGAGAGTAAGACAGGAGTTGGCGATGGTGCAATTTGCAGAACGCCATGTTTGTTAGCGCCTTGTCTTCATGTGGCCGGAGGGCACTCCTGAAGCTTCAAACTCCTGTAAAAACGCTTCCTGTCCAGGGAGGGTGGTATGGGAAGTCTGAGGTGGCTGGGAGAGGAACTGGCGAAGTAAGGAGTTGGAGCAGGAGTCAGAGAGACATGGGATGGGGAAACTCACAAGCAGACTCCACCCCAGTCAGGGAACCTCACTCACCGTTCCATTAAGGGCTGGAAAAGGAGGCACCGACAGGTGTCTCACAGAAGCGAATGGTAGCTGTTCAGGAGGCTGGACCCAGGAAAAAGGACATAAAATCGGGGAGGTGCCTCACCCTAATTTTTCTCAACTCCAGCAGAACCTTCTTAGAGAGCCTCACTCAATTCCACATTTCTCCTCCTCTCAGACAAGCCCGGCAGCTCCGTCCACGTCCTTTGCTGAATGGAGCCAGCGTGGTCACTTCTGCCCTATCGAGGAAGCTGAAGGCCCTGGCCCATCTCTGACAGCTCAGGGCACAGGAAAGCCTTGCCTCTGCCTAGTCTGCCCTCTGCTTCCCCACCAGCGTCATCTGTGGCCCACGGCTCTTGGCTGGACCTGCACTGAAGGACACAGCTGCTCCGAGCTACACAACAGGGTGGCTGTCCCTCCGCCCTCCATGTGTGGTGGCTGCTGCAGCAGGATACAGCCAGCCTCCTGGCTGCTATCCCACAGTGCTATGGTTGATTGCGTTCTTACACTGGAAGATAAACAGTGCTTGTGTCAAAGAAAATAGAAACAAGGCCGAGCATGGTGGCTCATGCCTGTAATCCCAGCACTTTGGGAGGCGGAGGTGGGCAGATCACTTGAGGTCAGGAGTTTGAGATCAGCCTGTCCAACATGGCGAAACCCCATCTCTACTAAAAATATAAAAATTAGCTGGGTGTGTTGGCATGCGCCTGTAACCCCAGCTACTCGGGAGGCAGAAGCAGAAGAATTGCTTGAAACCGGGAGGCAGAGGTTGTAGTGAGCCAAGATCGCACCACTGCACTCCAGCCTGGGAGTGCTCATATGAGCACTCACTCTACAGAGACCCTGTCTCACAAAAATAAATAAATAAATAAATAAATAAAATAAATAGATAAAAAAAAGAGGTAGAAGCTGGAAAAGTGGTTATCTTAGGAGTGGAAGGTTTGCTGACTGAGAGGGAATAAAAGGGCCTCTAGGGTGCTGAAAATGGCCTGCATCTCAACCTGGGTGGTCATACACAAATGTACAGATATGTTAACATGCATCCAGCTGTATCCCTAAGTTGAGCTCACCTTTTTGTATGTATGTTACCTGTTAATAACACAATTGATAAAAGCCCCCTCTAAAATCCCACATCTTCCTATGGCTACCATAGATATTTTAGGCTTATAATTGGTTTTGCTCCCCATATTTGCTATTCAAGATCTGTATAATTTTGGAACTCTCCCCTTTTTCCTTGCCAACAGGGTCCCAATTTTGTTAGGTTCGGGAAGTGCCCAATTAATACTCATTTGCCCAAACTCTCTTGCGGCTAGGAATTGCCATGAGATACAATGTCAGCCAGTTGGAAATAAGTACACATCTGCTGGGTAGGGCTTCCAGAAAAGCTATCATTTTCCTTTTTCCTTCTTTAGAGACAAGGTCTCGCTGTGTGGCCCAGGCTGGAGTACAGTGGTGCCATCACAGCTCACTGCAGCCTCCCATTCCCAGGCTCAAGCGATCCTCCCACCTCAGCCTCCCAAGTAGCTGGAACTATAAGAGTGCACCACCACACCCAACTAGATTTTTTTTTTATTTTTTGTAGAGATAGGGGGTCTCACTCTGTTGCCCAGGCAGGTCTCGAACCCTTGGCCTCAAGCGATCCTCTTGCCTCGGCCTCTCAAAGTGCTGGAATTACAGGCGTGAGCCACTGCATCTAGAAAAGTTGTCATTTTCCTGCTTGAAAAAGGGATAGATCCATCTCTCATACGTCTTTTGCTCTCTGTCCTCCCTGCCCCCTGTTTTTCTGCTCAGAATGTAGATGCTTCTTAGGACCATGAAGCGAAAGCCAAGATCTGGGGATAGTGAAACAGATAGCCAGAGGACCCCAGGCTGTGGATGGATGAGTGATCCTGAGCAGCAGCCGTGGACATGGGTTCCCTAATTCCTTCATGTCCCATGAGAAAAATAAACCTCTATGTGTTTAAGTCTCTGTTATTTGGGCATATTTGACAGTCCTCAAATGAGATATAAGGGTTTTATCTTCATAAATGGCAAAGACTTCTAGAGACAGAAGGGAAGGCTTCTGGGTGCTAATTCACTGTGGCTTCATATCATCAAGTAGCAAGGGCTCAAGGAAAAAAAAAAGTGGGGGAAGGAATCCCCAAGACATTCCCAAAATTAAGACTACATTCTCCCCTCCCACCTTCTCCTGAGAGCAGTCTTCCCTGCTTCCTATGGAATCTGAATTCTTCTGGCATTGGAAAAGGCTCAGGGAAGATGGCTCAACGTGAAGAGGATCTCAGTTCACGTAAACTTTACCAAGAGCGGGTCTTAGAGTGTTATGTCCACTGCATCACTGTTTCTCAATCTATTTTTAACCACTTCCCACTTCTGATAAACAGAAACTTTACTTTCTGGTTTGCATTAAGAAAACCAGGGCTTTTCTCTCTCTCTTGGAAAATTTCCAAGCATTTTGAAACGTGCTGCCAACTCCCCGGGTGTGACACCCGGGAGTTTCTGATATCCTCCCTGCACTTCCTGAAAATCTGCCGTCTAATTTAAGTTTCCTAAGATTCTGCAAAGCAGACAGAAACCCTGGTGACTCCAGCGATACCACAACTCTTAGGGGAAGATGAGTCATGTATGTGGCAGAAGCAGGTAATGGAGGAAAACAGAGACAAGGTTGGGCTGGGGAAAGGAACACAGAGCAACTAGTTTTGCCCCCCATCTGGTGTGTCTTTTGCAGGATCAGCCAGCACCTGACTGCAAGTTTCCGCCTCCAGACACTCTGCTGCCTCTCCTCCCTGGCTCAGGGTCAGCACTGAAAATCAGCCCAAGGAAACGACCAGCTGCCTTCTGGCCCTTATCAAGGGTGGTGTGAACCCGCGCTAGCTACCCAGGGGTCTGGCCCGGAAGCGGCAGGGGGAGGGCTTTTTAGTCCTGTGTCTAGTCCAGTGGTCACCTCTGCACGGACAGCAGATGGAGAAGGGGGCTCGGGGAAGGAGGAAAAGGTCAGGCAACCTCTCCAGGATTCCTGGAATAAACATTCCTCCTCCCAAGCTCTTCATTCTGTTTCACAATCAAATCCAGAGTCTTATAAGCATTCATGGAAACCATGAAAGCAAACAACTTGGTAAACGGTAGACAGAAACAGTAAATAGAATCTTCCCTCTACTTCCTGTGTATCCAGAATGTTTAGAGACAGGGAGTGGGGACTGACGACAGATTGCAGCATCTGGGATCTGGGGCTATGGCAGGAACGAGGACATGTGGAAGGCTGGGAGTTGCCTGGGTCTTGGGAGTCTGGGGTTGAAGGTTACTCCTTCATGGTTTCAGGGAAAGAGTGAAGACCACTGGCAAGAAGCCTGGTAACCACACAGACACACCCTGCAGGAAGCAGTTGACACCATCTCACACCCTGACCTGTCCCCCATGTCCTCCTCTGTGGGATGCACAGGACTTCCAGGGGCCACCAAAGAAGTTGGGTCTAACCGGGGCCCTCACAGTACAGTGGCGAGTGTAGTGCGGTGGTAAAGACCATGGACTCCAGCCGGGCGCGGGGGCTCACGCCTGTAATCCCCACACTCTGGAAGGCCAAGGTGTGCAGATCGCTTGAGTCCAAAAGTTCAAGACCAGCCTGGGCACATGGTGAAACCCCGTCTCTACAAAAAATACAAGCATTAGCCGGGCATGGTGGCGCACTGTAATCTTGTAATCCCAGCTACTCGGGAGGCTGAAGTGGGAGGATTTCTGAAGTCGCAGGTTTCAGTGAGCCAAGATAGTGCCACTGTACTCCAGCCTGGGTGACAGAGTGAGACCCTGTCTAAAAAAAAAAAAAAAAAATTAGCCAGGCATGCTGGCGTGCACCTGTAATTCCAGCTACTCCAGAGGCTGAGGCAGGAGAATCACTTGAGCGTGGGAGGCAGAGATTTCAGTAAGCCATGATTGTGCCCCTGCACTCCAGCCTGGGCAACAGAGCGAGACCCTGTCTAAAAAAATAAAAAATAAAAAAAGCCCATGGACTTTTTAGTTCAGAGTTCAGTTCCTCCGTCCACCAGATGCATGACTCCAGGCAAATCACTTCTTTCTCTACATACTTCAGCTTCCTCGTCCGTTAAAGGGGATGAGTGTGTAACTTCCTAGGATGTTTTAAGATTTACATGAGTTCATCTTTGCAAAGCTTTTTGCATGGCACTTGATACACAGTGTCATACAATACAATAAATGTTGGCTGCCATGTCTGCTATGTCCTCTGTCTGTTGTAATGAATTGCCAAAAACTTGGTGGCTTAACATAACAGAAATTTATTCTCTCACAGTACTGAAGACTAGAAGTCCAAAACCAGTGTCACGGGGCTGAAATCAAGGTGCAGGGTCTCCTAATTTTCCCTCCTTTTTCCTCTGTCCTGACCAAGAAACAGAGTGCCTTGACCAACCTGCGACCCAGCCAGCTGCGTGTTTTCTCTGCAGACTTGAACCCAAGCCAGGGCTTGAACATTCCCAGGCACTGATAAAGGTGTTTAGACACTGAAAGAAACCAGCCCTGGCCCTGGGCCAAATTCCTTAAACCCTCATGCAAACCCCTCCCTTGCCCCCTCCCTTTTCTCTCATTGTTCGTCTTGAGGATGCTGCAGCCCACTCTGCAAATTCCCCTCCGAAATGCTTTGCACTAATCACCCTGGCATTTGGTGCTTCTTGCTTTGGGAACCCATCTGGCCCCCTCTTGGGATGGTTTGGGGAACTCCTCGACAGAAACTCCCTTGCCACAGCTTTTCGGGGTGACTCCAGCCAGATCCGGCTGGGATGGAACACAGGTGTTCAGCAGGATTCCATTTCTCCGGAGGCTCTTGAGAAAATCCATTCTTTGCCTCTTCCAGCTTCTGGTGGGCGCTAGCTTGCAGCTACATCACTCCGGTCCTCCAGGATCACAGCATCTTCTCCCCTTCTGTCTGATTTCTCCCTCTACCTCTTTCTTTTTGTGATTACATTTAGGACCATCTCAGATAGTCCAAGATTATCTCCCCATCTAAAGATTCTTTTTTTTTTTTTGAGACGGAGTCTCACTCTGTTGCCAGGCTAGAGTGCAGTGGCACGATCTCTGCTCACTGCAGCCTCCACTTCCCGTATTCAAGTGATTCTCCTGCCTCAGCCTCTGGAGTAGCTGGGATTACAGGATTACAGATGCACACCACCATGCCTGGCTAAGTTTTTGGATTTTTAATAGAGATGAGACGGGGTTTTGCCATATTGGCCAGGCTGGTCTCGAACTCCTGGCCTCAAGTGATCTGCCTGCCTCGGCCTCCCAAAGTGCTGGGAACACAGGTGTGAGCCAATGCGCCCAGTTCTGCCTCCTCCTTTTTGTGATTATGTTTAGGGCCATCTCAGATAGTCCAAGATGACCTCCCCATCTCAAGCTTCTTAATCCCAATGCAAAGTCCCTTTTGGCCGTGGTTCCAGGGATTAGGATATGGGTCTCTTTTGGGGGGACCATCATTTGGCCACCACAGCTGGTGTGATTGGCCAGGAGTGAAGTCTAATAAACAGGACTCAGGTGGACGGAGAGTGGAGGAAGGAGAGGTCTCTGCAGAGAGAGGTTGGGGTATGGCTACCGGCAGTGGGTGGGAACAACCACAGAGGCCCACCACCAAGGCCACAGAGACAGAGTCTGCAGAGTTCTCCCAAGAAGCTAGCCTTGAGACGCTCCTTTTAATTTTCTTCTTCAGCAATGTACCAGCCCGGGGATGGGTTCTGCAGGGACTGTGGAAGTGAAGGACCCCACGACTGGAGTGACAGGGGAGGCTGCATAATAGACAACTAAAAGAGAAGATGCACGGAGGGGGGTGGGCATAAACTGTTACCTTCACAGTGGGTGAGCTCCTCTGGTGAGGCCTCTGCAGGGCTCAAAAAAGGTGATACGCAAATGAACTCAGGGGAACTGCACTGGCACAGGGGCCATTACGTCTCAAAGTCCATCAGCACGTGCTGGTCTAGATTCTCCTTCCCTCTTCATCCCTAGGAGAGTTCCATTTCTCTCTGGCATCCTGTACTTCCTTATTAATTGTCATTTATTTAAAATTGCACACTGGGTGCAATGGCCCACACCTGTAATCCCAGCACTTAGGGAGGCCAAAGCAGGAGAATCGCTTGAGGCCAGGTGTTTGAGACCAGCCTGAGAAACACAGCAAGACCCTGTCTCTACAAAAAATAGCAAATTAGCCAAGTGTGGTGGCCAAGCCCGTAGTCTCAGCTACTTGGGAGGCCGAGGTGGGAGGACCGCTGGAGCCCAGGAGGTCGAGGCTGGAGTGAGCTATGATCACACCACTGCACTCCAGCCTGAAGTGACAGAGCGAGACCCCCACCTCTAAAAATAATAATAATCAGCCCAGACGTGGTGGTTCACACCTGTAATCCCAGCACTTTGGGAAGCCAAGGTGAGAGTATGGCTTGAGGCCAGGAGTTTGAGACCAGCCTGGGCAACATAACAAGACCCCATCTCTACCAAAAATAAAAATAATAAAAACATTTAGAAATAATAATAATAAAACAAAGTTACATATCTCAAATCCTAAGTGATCCTCTCTGCCCCGGGTGCACATTCTCCCTTATCCATGCCATCCTCAATCCCCTCAACCCCTGGCGACTGCAACACCCTCCTAGCGGATCCCTCTGCTTCCAGTTCTGTCCTTCTAGGGAGCATTCTTCACACAGTAGCAGGCTTGATCTTCTAGAATCATATATCACATCACATCATTCCCCTCTTATGGCCCTAAGTGACTTCCCACTGCTCAAAAATGGAGTCTTAAGGCCGGGTGCAGTGGCTCACACCTGTAATCCCAGCATTTGGGAGGCTGGCAATTGTTTCATTCATTCATTCATTTAACAAATATATATCCACCCCCCAGGATGTGCCAGGATCTGTGCCAAGCATTAGAAATATCATGGTTGAAAAATACAGATGGGTCCAGGCGCAGAGGCTGACGCCTGTAATCCCAGCATTTTGGGAGGCCGAGGCAGGCGGTTCACCTGAGGTCAGGAGTTCAAGACCAGCCTGGCCAACATGGTGAAACCCCGTCTCTACTAAAAATACAAAAATTAGCAGGGCATGGTGACAGACACCTGTAATCCCAGCTACTCAAGAGGCTGAGACGGGAAAATCAATTAAACCCAGGAGGCAGAGGTTGCAATGAGCCAAGATCACGCCACTATGCTCCAGCCTGGATGACAGAGCAAGACTCCGTCTCAAAAAAAAAAAAAAAGGTATATAGCCTGGATCATCAGTGCTGACCATGAGGAAAAAGGTCCTGTGGCTTTTGCTGCAAGTCCCTTAAACCACAAGACAGCTCTCAAGTGATTACACGTCCAGGATGTCTTAACAGGTCCCAGAAAAAGATAAATGAGGCATCTGAGGACAAGCGTCCTCTGAGTTTTTGAAATGGACTTATCTCCATTCTGAAGTCACTCTCATCCATCTATCCTCCACTGTCATCCAGGAAATAGTTACTAAGGGCCTAACATGTTCCAGGCTGCACGCCAGGTCCTGAGGATGCAATGGTGAGCAAAGCAGCTGTGTTCCCTGCTTTGTGGACAGTCTCATAAGGGGAGGTAGACTTCACATCCATCTTAATGCAAATCCTCATGCTAATGAACACATTATAATAAATTGAGACGTGGGACATAGGAAGGAATAGTAAAAGATGCTATGAGAGCAACCAACAATGAGAAAATAAACTCTAAAAAAATTAAATTTACAGCTGCCTCCAAAATATTTAGAATCATGCAAAACCTCTATGCTGACAACTAGAAAGCATTGCTGAGAGGAATTAAAGACCTAAATAAATGGAGAGAGATGTCCAGTGTCAATGATCCCAAATTGATCTATGGATTCAGTGTGAGCCCATTCAAAATTCCAGCAGGCTTTTCTGTAGAAATTGATTTTAATATTTATATGAACATGCAAATGACCCAGAATAGCCACAGCAAATTTAGAAAAGAAGAAGGAAGTTGGAGGACTTACTCTATTTCAAGACTTATTATGAAACCACAGTAATCAAGACTGTGTGCAGGCCGGGCACAGTGGTTCGTGCCTGTAATCCCAGCACTTCGGGAGGCCGGGGCACGTGGATCACTTGAGGTCAGGAGTTGAAGACTTGCCTGGCCAACATGGCGAAACCCTGTCTCTAATACAAATACAAAAATTAGCCGGGGGTGGTGGCAAGCATCTGTAATCCCAGCTACTCAGGAGGCTGAGACAGAAGAATTGCTGGAACCCAGGAGGAGGAGGGTTCAGTGAGCTGAGATCACGCCACAACACTGTAGCCTGGGAGACAGAGCAAGACTCCATCTAAAAATAAAAATTTTAAAAAATAATAAAAATAAATAAATTTTAAAAATACCGTGTGCAAATGATGAAAGGCAAGACACAGAGTCTCTCAGAAGAATAGAGCGTCCAGAAATAGTACCACACACACATACAACCAATGGGTTTTTAGTACAGGTGCCGCGGCAATTCAACAGGGAAAGGAAAATCTGGAATAATTGGATAAGGAGGTAAAAGCTTCTTAGGACATAAAAGCACAAACCATAGAAGAAAAACCAGATAAATTAGACCTTGTCAAAATGTAACACTTTTTTGCTTTTCAAGAGACAATTAAGAAAATGAAGACCAGGCACAGTGGCTCATGCCTGTAATCCCAGCACTTTGGGAGGCCGAGGTGGGCAGACTGCTTGAGCTCAGGAGGTCGATGCCAGCTTGGACAAAATGGCAAAACCTCATCAGTACAAAAAATAGAAAAATTAGTCAGGCATGGTGGCAGGTGCCTGCAGTCCCAGCTACTTGGAGGGCTGAGGCGGAAAGGTCACCTGAGCCTGGGAGGTCAAGGCTGCAATGAGCTGTGATGGAGCCACTGCACTCCAGCCTGGGCAACAAAGTGAAACTCTGTCTCAAAAAAAAAAAAAATTAAAAGAAGAGAAAAGTCACAGAATGGCAGAAAATATTGGTAATATATACATCTGACAAATGACTAGTACCAAGAATATAATAAAGAACTCTCAGAACTCAACTATATGAAAATAATCCAATTTTTCTTTTTTTTTTTTTTTTTTTTGAGACAGAGTTTCACTCTGTTGCCCAGGCTGGAGTGCAGTAGTATGATCTTGGCTCACTGCAACCTCTGCCTCCTGGGTTCAAGCGATCCTCCTGCCTCAGCCTCCCTAGTAGCTGGGATTACAGGCGCCCGCCACCACGCCCAGCTAAATTTTGTATTTTTAGTAGAGATGAGGTTTCACTATGTTGGCCAGGCTGGTCTGAAACTCCTGACCTCAAGCAATCCACCCACTTCAGCCTCCAAAAATGCTAGGATTACAGGTGTGAGCCACCATGCCCAGCCTAAAATTTTTTAAATGAGCAAAATATTTAAACAGACATTCCACGAAAGAAGATATACAAATGGCTCATAAGTACTTGAAAAAATGCTTAACACCAATAATCATCAAGAAAGTATAAATTAAGACCACAACAAAGGCCGGGTACGGTGGTCCACGCCTGTAATCCCAGCACTTTGGGCAGCTGAGGCGGGCAGATCACCTGAGGTCAGGAGTTCAAGACCAGTCTGGCCAACATGGCAAAACCCCATCTGTATTAAAAATACAAAAATTAGCCAGGTGTGGTGGCACGTGCCTGTAATCCCAGCTACTCAGGGGGCTGAGGCACGAGAATGGCTTGAACCCAGGAGGTGAAGTTTGCAGTGAGTGGAGATGGCGCCACTGCACTCCAGCCTGGGCGACAGATCGAGACTCTGTCTCACACACACACACAAAAATACCATGGCATACTTATTAGAATGCCCACAATTAAAAACTAACAATTGTCAAGTGTTGGTGAGGATGTGGAGCAACTGAAATGCTCGTAGGCTGCTGGTGGGAATGCAACATGGCACAGCTACTTTGGAAAACTGGTAGTTTCTTAAAAAGTTAATAAAACGTTTTACCATACCACCTGGCCAATACACTGCCAGGTATTTGCCCAACAGCACTGAAAACATTTCCACACAAGAATGTTCTTAACAGCTGTATTCATACTAGACAAAAACTTTTTAAAAAAAACCCAAACCAACCAAATATCCATCAACAGATGAATGGATAAATAAAATAGGAAATATCCTTAAAACAGAATACTATTCAGCAATAGAAAAGATGCTTAACCTGTAAGAGGGGAATCGAAATCTAGGAGGTCAGGGCCTTTTTTTTTTTTTTTTTTTTTTTTGAGACAGAGTCTTGCTCTGTCGCCCAGGCTGGAATGCAGTGGCGCAATCTTGGCTCACTGCAACCTCCGCCTCCTGGGTTCAAGTGATTCTCCTGCTTCAGCCTCCTGACTAGCTGGGATTACAGGCGTGCGCCACTATCCCGGCTAATTTTTGTATATTTAGTAGAGACGGGATTTCGCCATGTTGGCCAGGCTGGTCTCGAACTCCTTACCTCAGGTAATCCACCTGCCTCGGCCTCCCAAAGTGCTGGGATTACAGGTGTGAACCACTGTGCCCAGCCAGACAGGGATTTCTTAAGGAAGTAAATGGTTATCTGAAAGAAAGCTACAAATTAACTGTGAAAGTTGGAATGGGTAACAAGAAATAAAGACATACCAGGCAGGGGCTGGTTCAAGCTCCCCATGGCAGATGGAAAACATGACACATTCACAGAAGTGGAAAATGGCCCTGCCCAGACAGCAAAGAGAGAGAAGAGTGATGTGAGTGGAAGCTGGCAAGGGCCATGCTAGGCAGGCCTTTTTAAGGATGTTGATATTTCTCCTAAAAGCAGTGAGAAGTCTCTGAAAGGACAAGAAGGTCGTATAATTGGATTGACATTTTTAAAATGATTCCACTAATACAGTATGGAGAACTGACTGCCAGGGAAGCAGATGGATGAGAGGAAGTGAGTCAGGGCCCTGCTGAAATCCTGGTAGGGATGATGGCACTGAGATGGGATGATGGAGATGGAGACGGATGGATGGATTCATATTTGGAATCCATAAGTATTTGGGGAGTACATCAGACTGCATTCTAGGGATAAGGAAGAAGATAATATTGAGATTCACTTTAAGACTGACTCTAGTCAGGCTCAGTGGCTCACGCCTATAATCCCAGCACTTTGGGAGGCCAAGGCGGGCGAATCACTTGAGGTCAGGAGTTCGAGACCAGCCTGACCAACATGGTGAAACCCCGTTTCTACTAAAAATACAAAAATTAGCCGAGTGTGGTGGCACATGCCTGTAATCCCAGCTACTCGGGAGGCTGAGGCATGAGAATTGCTTGAATCTGGGAGGCAGAGGTGGCAGTGAGCCGAGACTATGTGCCACTGCACTCCAGCCTGGGCGACAGAGTGAGATTCAGTCTCGAAATTAAAAAGAAAAAAAAAAAAGACTGACTCTAAGATAATGGTGCAGGAGATGTGATGGGAAGAGATCTTACGCCCCAAGACAGGGAAGGGTGGAAGAAGGAAGATCTGAGGCCAGGTCTGGACACATTTGATTTGGTTGATTTGGGACACCTGTGAGACACCCAATGGCAGTGTCAACTAGGCAGTTGAGCGTGTACATGTGAAGCTCACAGAAACCTAGGGTGAAGATTCAAACCAGGGGTGTCATGAAGGTGGTAACTGGAACTACGGAAACAGTTGCAGTCGACTAGAAGGAGAGCACAGGCGAGAACAGGAAAGAACCTGGAGCCAAGCTTGAAGGAAGTCACCATTTCGGGGATGAGTAGGGGAATGGTGAGCTAGCAAAGGGGTACGAGAAGTGACCAAAGGAAAGAGAGGGAAGCTAGCAGCGTAACGTATCAGAATTTGTGAAAAGAGGATGTTTCCAGAAGGGCGTGGAAATTGTGTTGAATGCTAATAAAATAAGAAAAGCGTAAGTCCACTGAATTTAGGAACATGGAGGTCACTGCTAACATCGGGAAGAGAAAATCCCATGGAAAATAGGCACAGAACCCAGATTAGGGTGGACTGAGGGGCGAGTGAGAATTAAGAATGTGGAAGTGATTACACAGAACTTTAGATAAGGGTCCAACTTCCTGTGATGACAGGCTGCATTATAAAGACGATGAGAGAAAACTGAACTTGGAAGGAACTGTGAAGGATATTGCTCTTGTGAAAGTTTACCCCCTTGAACTCGGTCTGAGAGGTTGGGTTTCCTTTTCCTGTGACGTAGGTGGACATCATGAACTGTGAGACTGAAAGCCTCCTTGGTGATGCTCCCTTCATAACTGCGGTGAACATTCATAACTGCTGTGAACCCAGAGAGGGGGTTTCGTTGGGGCGTCTTCCACAGGGGGACTCACGACAGTGACGGCGAAAGGCAGGAGGTGGGGGGAGAAGAACGTGCAGAGACAGAGAGGCAGTCCCACTCCTCAACACTTGTTTTCCAATGAGTTTCCTGGATTCTGCAATTAAATCCAGATCCTCGTGCATGTTTATAGGAAATCATAAAAGCGAAATGACACAAATAAATTTGGTGGCAACAAGAGAGAATGGTCTCTTTCTTAGTTCTCCTGTTGATCTGAGAAGCGACGTGTGCTGGGGGAAGGAAATAAAGAACTAGAACGCCTTCAGAGGAGAGTAGAGTGGACGAGAAAGAAAAGCTAAATATCAAAATGTCTAGACCCTGGGGTTACAGACCACAAAAAGAATAAATGACTGACTGACTGAATGACTGAATGAATGGCAAACAATAGGAAGTAGGTATGTCCTAGGGAAAGAATGGGGATTCTGTGAGCAGGAATCAGGCCACAGATGGCAGAACAGAGACTTCTTTCTGAGACTTCCTCCCTAGTTCAAGAGGAAAACACGTTCCAACGATCCTTGCTGCATTAGGTGTGTATTTCAAAGGGACCTTCAGGAGCTCCTAACCTGGGGCTACCAAGGTCAGAGAGGGGGAAACAGTGAGACTTTATCAGGGAAAGGAATGGAGCCTGAGTGCCACTCCCTGACGAAAAGCCACATGGGCACGTGAACTCGGGCCTCCTGAATTCCTGACACTTTCCCAAGAGGGACAGCACATCCATGCCCTGAGCCTCTGGAGGCTGCACCAAGTGGCTCACTCTCTGTGAAGCTGCGTTACAGGCTTGAGACGAGGCAGCACTTACGGGCATCTGCTAAGTGCTTTATATACACAACCTCACTGAATCCTCGCAGAAGTCCTAGGATGTCAGAATTCGCATGCTCACTTGACTACAGCAAACTAGACTTCAGAAAACGGATCTGCCCCCAAGGTTGTAATGAAGGGACCTGGATTTGAGCCCATATCTGCATGACTATAACTCCCACACCATTTCCATCACAACAAGATGCAGGCCAGGACCAGCCTGTTTCAGCTGAGACGGGCAAAAGAAATGTGTTGGGGGCAGAGGGCAGGAGACCATAGAGAAAGTAAAAAAATTGAAGAAGAAAAGGAAGGAGTGCCGGGTGCAGTGGCTCACGCCTGTAATCGCAGCACTTTGGGAGGCCAAGGCAGGCGGATCACTTGAGGTCAGGAGTGCAAGACCAGCCAACATGGTGAAACCCTGTCTCTACTAAAAATACAGAAATTAGCTGGGCGTGGTGGCAGGTGCCTGTCATCCCAGGGAGGCTGACGCAGGAGAATCGCTTGGACTCGGGAGGCAGAGGTTGCAGTGAGCTGAGATGGCGCCACTGCACTCCAGCCTAGACAACAGAGCAAGATTCAGCCTCGAAAAAAAAAACCAAAAAAAAAGAGGAAAAATAAAAAGGAAGGAGGAAAGCTCATTTCTGAGAATGAGCAGAATGACAGAAGAAACTGCCTAAGAAAGAGAAAAGAAAATAATCTGACTTGGGAAGTAAAAAAAGAAAAATGCCTGGGAATTTTTTTTTTAAATCAGGAATTAAGGACAGAAAAATCTGAATTTGGAAGTCAAGAGTGAGGATTCTCTAGGGAGAGAATAAAGATGCTGGGCCTTTCCTTTGGGTTTGAGAGGAAATAGTGCTTAAAGACTGACCTTCCTTTCTCTGGTCACGTGGCTGGTGCTAGTATAAATGCTTACTACCAGCCAGGTTCCTCACCATTTTTTCCTGCATGGCATGGACAGAAGCAGGGGCTAAAGCTCTGTTCCTCTCTCCTGGAAGCTTGCAGACCTCCCTTCAGAACCAATCCCAAGAAGCCACCTATCCGGAACAACACAAGGCAAGGCAGCTAGTGTAGTGCTTGTGCTCTGGGAAGAGAGGCCAGGATCAGGTTTGAGGGGAAGGTTCTGGGAGACTGGAGGAAGGATGTCAGAACCAAATGGAAGACTCATACCCAGAGACAGGAGCTAGTGTGAGGAGCAAGGAAACAGCCAGGAAATCAAGGCTGGAGAGTGGACAGAGGGACAGGACCTGGGTTGGGGCCAGCAAGGGTGACACCCCAAGTGGAAACTGAGTTACCCCGTGAAGAAGACGAGTTCTATTTATGGTCAGAATGCCACGCTCAAGGGCCAGTGAAGGCCTGTGGGCTTTTCTGAATATTTCTCTAAGGTCTTCTAGGGACAAGCCTTCCTCCTAAGGCTAGTGCTGGTTCATCCTTCTTCCCCTCCACCCTCCTCTAAGCCTCCCAGCTTCCCCTTTTCTTTTCTTTTTTTTTTTTTTTAGACGGAGTTTTTGCTCTTACCGCCCAGGGTGGAGTGCAATGGCGCAATCTTGACTCACTGCAACCTCTGCTTCCCGGTTCAAGCGATTCTCCTGCCTCAGCCTACCAAGTAGCTGGGATTACAGGTGCCCGCCATATCACCCGGCTAATTTTTTTTTTTTTTAGTGGAGATGGGGTTTCACCACGTTGGCCAGGCTTGTTTCGAACTCCTGACTTCAGGTGATCTGCCCGCCTCGGCCTCCCAAAGTGCTGGGATTACAGAAGTGAGCCACTGCGCCCAGCCCCAGCTTCCCCTTTTCTAGAGAGTCCCAGAGTTTGGTGTTGGACAGGAGAGGACAAGGTGGGGGAGAATCTGTGCTCTGCAAAACAGACGAACGGAAGTAGGAAGCTGGGCTGGTGGCTGGGCACTTGGGTCCTTTGGAGAGCTGGCACTGGGTATCCGCGCCTGGGGCGCCACAGCCTCTTTATACTGATAAGCATCTTACAGCTCTCTCCCGGCACTGATGCCTTTCTCTCCTGCAGGTCTCTGTCTGAGAAAGGGACTTGAGTAAAGTTAGAAACTGGCAACAGTAACTTCCTGTATCTGTGAGGACAGGAGGAGAAAGGCTAGGGAAACTGGAGGGGGAATTCCCTTGGGAAGCCACGAGTTGGTCTCCTCCAGAGACACATGATGGCAAACATAATCACTACTGCTTAATATCCCGCCCCAGGCAAAGTCAATAATTGCTCTGGGTAGTTCGAGCAGGTGGTGTGAGCAAGCCGTGGTGGCATCAGAAAGCACAGTCCTGGGAAGGGGACGGTGCCGGGGAGGATGTCCGCATCCTGAAGGAGAGCTGGCTGCGCGGGCTGTGAGTGAGACCTCCCTGACCCCGCCCTTTTTTGTTCCCCTCCAGGATGCTGCCGGACTGGAAGAGCTCCTTGATCCTCATGGCTTACATCATCATCTTCCTCACTGGCCTCCCTGCCAACCTCCTGGCCCTGCGGGCCTTTGTGGGGCGGATCCGCCAGCCCCAGCCTGCACCTGTGCACATCCTCCTGCTGAGCCTGACGCTGGCCGACCTCCTCCTGCTGCTGCTGCTGCCCTTCAAGATCATCGAGGCTGCGTCGAACTTCCGCTGGTACCTGCCCAAGGTCGTCTGCGCCCTCACGAGTTTTGGCTTCTACAGCAGCATCTACTGCAGCACGTGGCTCCTGGCGGGCATCAGCATCGAGCGCTACCTGGGAGTGGCTTTCCCCGTGCAGTACAAGCTCTCCCGCCGGCCTCTGTATGGAGTGATTGCAGCTCTGGTGGCCTGGGTTATGTCCTTTGGTCACTGCACCATCGTGATCATCGTTCAATACTTGAACACGACTGAGCAGGTCAGAAGTGGCAATGAAATTACCTGCTACGAGAACTTCACCGATAACCAGTTGGACGTGGTGCTGCCCGTGCGGCTGGAGCTGTGCCTGGTGCTCTTCTTCATCCCCATGGCAGTCACCATCTTCTGCTACTGGCGTTTTGTGTGGATCATGCTCTCCCAGCCCCTTGTGGGGGCCCAGAGGCGGCGCCGAGCCGTGGGGCTGGCTGTGGTGACGCTGCTCAATTTCCTGGTGTGCTTCGGACCTTACAACGTGTCCCACCTGGTGGGGTATCACCAGAGAAAAAGCCCCTGGTGGCGGTCAATAGCCGTGGTGTTCAGTTCACTCAACGCCAGTCTGGACCCCCTGCTCTTCTATTTCTCTTCTTCAGTGGTGCGCAGGGCATTTGGGAGAGGGCTGCAGGTGCTGCGGAATCAGGGCTCCTCCCTGTTGGGACGCAGAGGCAAAGACACAGCAGAGGGGACAAATGAGGACAGGGGTGTGGGTCAAGGAGAAGGGATGCCAAGTTCGGACTTCACTACAGAGTAGCAGTTTCCCTGGACCTTCAGAGGTCGCCTGGGTTACACAGGAGCTGGGAAGCCTGGGAGAGGCGGAGCAGGAAGGCTCCCATCCAGATTCAGAAATCCTTAGACCCAGCCCAGGACTGCGACTTTGAAAAAAATGCCTTTCACCAGCTTGGTATCCCTTCCTGACTGAATTGTCCTACTCAAAGGAGCATAAGTCAGAGATGCACGAAGAAGTAGTTAGGTATAGAAGCACCTGCCGGGTGTGGTGGCTCATGCCTATAATCCCAGAACTTTGGGAGGCTGAGGCAGGTGGATCACTTGAGGTCGGGAGATTGAGAACATCCTGGTCAACATGGGAAAACCCCGTCTCTACTAAAAATACAAAAAAATTAGCTGGGCATGGTGGCACATGCCTATAATCCCAGCTACTCTGGAGGCTGAGGCAGGAGAATCCTTGAACCCGGGAGTTGGAGGTTGCAGTGAGCTGAGATCACGCCACTGCACTCCAGCCTAGCGACAGAGCAAGACTCCATTTAAAAAAAAAAAAAAAAAAAAAAAGAAGCACCTTCAGGCTGGAGAAGCAGCGTAGCTAACACAAGTCCAGTCCTTGTGATGTGGCTGGTAGTTGGGGATGGCCAGGCTGAAGCAGAGAGTCCTAGAGAAATCTCGATACAAGCTTCAAAGCAACACCTAGACACTGCTCTAGCGGTTGATCCTGGAGATAAACCAACAAGAGAGAGATGGAAGAGAAATACTAAATGAGGTCAAAGAAGACTCAGAAAGGTTCTGAGCCTGGAGATGAGCAGGGAGGCCTCAGGGCTTAGACCTTTAATGATAGGGGTTTCCCTGCATTGGTTTGACCTGTTGCCTTTTTGATGTGCTCTGTTTGTTTTCATGTGTTGTCTTGTCTCCCCTGCTAAACTGGGAGCTGCCAGGGGTCTGGGTCTTATCTCCTTCCTCCATGGTACCCCACACAGGCCAGGATGTGGTTTGGTACCCAGCAATCAGAGATTGGCACTCCCTCATACAGGGGAAAGCAACCTGGTCTAGCAAATTGAAAATAAAGATGATAAAACTCTGAAGTGAATGTCCACAATTTTTGTAACACTGCTGCAAGCACAGGGAGGGCAAAAATAGGAGAGAGAACCAGATTCAGCAGCAAAGGGGAAAAGTGATGCATCTGAAACCACAGAAACATCTTAAGATAAAGAGGTGGTGTGGGCAAAGGAAGTGAGAGCACTGACGGAATCGTCTTTCGAGGGATGAATAGAGAGTCCGGACTTAGAAAGGATGCAGGGTGATTCCGATTCACAGTCATCTGTCTGCCACAGGGCCTTAAAACATGTCACCCTCCTGCTCAGAAACCTGCAGAGCTTTCCTATCATCAAAATGTTTCCTTGGCCAGTTGCAGGGGCTCATGACTGTAATCCCAGCACTTTGGGAGGCTGAGGTGGGAGGATCACTTGAGCCCAGGAGTTGGAGACCCACCTGGGCAACACAGTGAGACCCTGTCTCTCAATTTTAAAAATTTAATTTAAAAAGATGCGTCCGGCTGGGCACAGTGGCTCATGCCTGTAATCCCAGCAGTTTGGGAGGCCAAGGCGGGAGGATCGCCTGAGGTCAGAAGTTCTAGACCAGCCTGGCTAACATGGTAAAACCCCATCTCTACTAAAAAGACAAAAAAAATTAGCCGGGCATGGTGGTGCGTGCCTGTAATCCCAGCTACTGAGGAGGCTGAGGCAGGAGAATCACTTGAACCTGGGAGGCAGAGGTTGCAGTGAGCCGAGATTGCGCCACTGCACTCCAGCCTGGGCAACAGAGCGAGACTCTGTCTCCAAAAAAAAAAAAAAAAGTGCTTCCCCCAAGGAACTCATATTGTACCATTCTTTTCCTTGCTTTGTCCTCTCTCTCCCCTTCCAGTTCTACCTGCCTAGCTCATTTTTCCACAATAAGGACTCCTAGACCATTCTCTCTAGTTAAATGACCTCCAGCCCCTAACCTAGTAGTTTGCAACCCAGGCTGTACATCAGAATTACATGTGGAGGTGTGAAAATAATACAGAGAGCCACCTCCAACCTACTGACAGAATCTCTGCAGGTGGGGCCCCAGCAAGAGAGCTTTTCAAAAAAGCACCCCAGGTGGCCAGCTGGGGTCGCGAATCGCTGTCTTATCTCAGAAGCCAAATCTGTCCAAGAACTTGTTCTTCAAAAACCTTGCCTGCTTATTCATCCCCCCTCACCTCAATCCCACATTCTTCTACCTGTTTTTTTGTTGGTTTGTTTGTTTTTAGAGTTGGGGTCTCACTCTGTTGCCCAAGCTGGAGTGCAGTGGCACAATCATGGCTCACTGCAACCTCGAACTCCTGGGCTCAAGTCACCCTCCCGCCTCAGCCTCCCAAGTAGATGGGACTACAGGTGTACACCACCACACTCAGCTAATTATTTTATTTTATTTTGTGTAGAGATGGGGTGTTGCCCAGACTGGTCTTGAACTCCTGGCCTCAAGTGATTCTCCTGCCTTGGCCTCCCAAAGTGTTGGGATTACAGATGTGAGCCACCACACCTGGCCCTCCCCCATCTTCTGGTGCTTGCCTCTTCTTCACTTACAAAAATCCACTCAATATTCACTTTCTCCAGAAAACCTTTCCTTATTAGTCCCACTGAACTGAAAGCTCATTTTCTATTTTCCTCCTTCAAAAGAAGACTGGACAGGTGCCATAAGAACCCTGAATTCAGTGTCCATTCCACTTACTAAATGGATGGCCTGAAGCAAGCCACCTCCTCCAGCCTCTATTTCTAAATCATAGTGATTAGGATACTACATACCTCCCAAGATTATTCTGTGGATTAAAATAAGACTCTATGAATAAAATTGCTGAGAAATCATAGAATATTAAGTAGTTCTAAGATATAAATCCATGTACACAGATGTACCCTCACTTATTAGAAATATAATAAGTAAACATTAAAAATAGTGGAAATAATGCTGGGCATGGTGGCTCATGCCTGTAATCCCAGCACTTTGGGAGGCCGAGATGGGCAGATCACTTGAGATCAGGAGTTCAAGATCAGCCTAGCCAACATGGTGAAATCCCATCTCTACTAAAAATACAAAAAATTAGCCAGGCACGGTGGCAGGCACCTGTAATCCCAGCTACTCGGGAGGCTGAGGCATGGGAATCGCTTGAACCTGGAAGGCAGAGGTTGCAGTGAGCTGAGAACGTGCCACTGCACTCCAGCCTAGGCAACAGAGAGAGAATGTCTCAAAAAAAAAAAAAAATAGAAATAACATAGTAGGTAGTCAACTACGGATAGCATGGCAGTAATATGTTTTAAAAAATCTGGGATTCTCAGCTGACTGTACATGCACTATGAGTCTGTGATGTATTACAGCTGCCACAAAAGCTAATTTGATTGGATTACATGAAAAGAAATCATGTTGGCCAGGCACAGTGGTTCACGCCTGTAATCCCAGCACTTTGGGAGGCGAAGATGGGCAGGTCATGAGGTCAGGAGTTCGAGACCAGCCTGGCCAGCACGGTGAAACCCCATCTCTACTAAAAATACAAAAAATTAGCTGGGCATGGTGGCGTATGCCTGTAATCCCAGCTGTTTGGGAGGCTGAGGCAGGAGAATTGCTTGAACCCGGGAGGCGGAGGTTGCAGTGAGCCGAGATCACGCCATTGCACTCCAGCCTGGGCGACAAGAGCAAAACTCTGTCTCAAAAATAAAAAGAAAAGAAATAATGTCTAGACAAGTTGATGATACTGAGGCAGAGCAGGTGTGCTAAGTGGGGCTTGGCCCATGAGGGTTCTTGGTTTTGCCCAGGAAAGAATTCAAGGGCTAGCCGGTGGTGAAAGAAAACAGCTTTGTTGAAGCAGCCCTGTTACAGCTCCAGCCCTGTTGCAGCTCCGTGACTGCTCCTGCAGAGCAGGGCTACCCCACAGGCAGAGAGTAGCAGCTCAGGGCAGTTTTGCAGTCATATTTTTGCCTACTTTTAATTGCACACAAATTAAGGGGCAGTTAACACAGAAATTTCTAAGGAAAGGGTAGTAACTTTTGGGTTGTCAGGTCATTGCCATGGAAAGGGGTGGTAATGCCCAGGTGTTGCCATGGCCACAGTAAACATGGCACTCTGGCGGGCATGCTTTATGAAAAGCTGCTTCACCCTTTCCTTGTTTTAGCTAGTCCTCAATTTGGTCCAATGTCCAAACACCACCCCTGGGGTCAAGTCCCTCCTCCTACCTCCATAACCCCCATTCCACTTAGGTCTAATCAGCAGCAGGTTCAGAACTGAGCAACACATTCTCTTGTATTTTTTTTTTTTTTTTTTTTGAGATGGAGTTTCACTCTGTCACCCAGGCTGGAGTGCAGTCGCACAATCTCAGCTCACTGCAACCTCCACTTCCCAGGTTCAAGCAATTCTCCTGCCTCAGCCTCCCGAGTAGCTGGGATTACAGGTGCATGCCACCACGCCTGGCTAATTTTTGTATTTTTAGTAGAGACGGGGTTTCGCTATGTTGTCCAGGCTGGTCTTGAACTCCTGACTTCAAGTGATCCACCCGCCTCGGCCTCCTAAAGTGCTGGGATTACAGGCGTGAGTCACTACATCCAGCCTGAGCAACACATTTCTAAGAAGGACATTAACTCAGCCGGGCGCAGTGGCTCACGCCTGTAATCCCAGCACTTTGGGAGGCTGAGGCAGGTGGACCACCTGAGGTCAGGAGTTCGAGATCAGCCTGCCCAACATGGTGAAACCCCGTCTCTACTAAAAATACAAAAAATTAGCCGGGCGTGGTGGCAGGCGCCTGTAATCCCAGCTACTCGGGAGGCTGAGGCAGGAGAATTGCTTGAACCCGGGAGGCGGAGGTTGCAGTGAGCCGAGATCGTGCCACTGCACTCCAGCCTGGGCGGCAACAAGAGCAAAACTCTGTTTCAAAAAAAAAAAAAAGGACACTAGCTCAATGAATCAAGCCCAGAAAAATTAACCAAAATGTTTTGGAGATTTAAGACTGTATAACAATAGTAATAGCCGTAATAATAGAGCAAATTAAATACCAGGCACTGTGCCAAGAAGGGGCCTGAGAGGGTTAAGGTCACTTTTCAAGGCCAATAGGTGGCAGGGAGTTTGAATCCAGGTCTTTCTGAGCCTAAAGTGCATGCTGTTTTCACTGACACATGAGAAGGAAGTAAGAGAACACTGGCTGGGACAAGATAAGATCTTTTTTTTTTTTTTTTTTTGAGGCAGAGTCTCGCTCTGTTGCCCAGGCTGGAGTACAGTGGTGCAATCTTGGCTCACTGCAACCTCCACTTCCCAGGTTCAAGCAATTCTCATGCCTCAGCCTCCTGAGTAGCTGGGATTACAGGCGTCCACCACCATCCCTGGCTAGAAGATACACTCTATGAGCCACACAGGACAGAACAAAGACCACAGGTGGAAGAGGCACAGAGATACCTTTCAAATAGTTATGGCCATTTCAATGGAACTGACTATCTCAGCAAAGAAGTCACTCCCCAATTTCCAGGAATATTCAAGAAGGTAGCAAACATCTATCCTAGGACACTGAGGAAACTCACACAAATGAGGGCTGAACCAGTTTAATGACCACTTCCAACTCTACGATTCCCAGGTTCTTTTTTCTTTTCCTTTTTTTTTTTTTTTTTTTTTTGAGATGGAGTCTTGCTCTATCACTCAGGCTGGAGTGCAATGGCGGGAGTGCAATGGCACGATCTCGGCTCACTGCAACCTCTACCTCCGAGGTTCAAGCGATTCTCCTGCCTCGGCCTCCTGAGCAGCTGGGACTACAGGTGTGCACCACCAAGCCCAGCTAATTTTTATATTTTCAGTAGAGATGTGGCTCATGCCTGTAATCCCAGCACTTTGGGAGGCCGAGGTGGGCAGATTGTCTGAGGTCAGGAGTTTGAGACAAGCCTGGCCAACATGGTGATTCTCAGGTTCTTTAGGGGCACGACTTCTCTTACTAACCAGGAAAGTACAAAATGAAGTCATTTTGCTGGGCACGGTGGCTCACACCTGTAATCCCAGCACTTTGGGAGTCCAAGGCAGGCAGATCATAAGGTCAGGAGTTCGAGACCAGCCTGACCAACACAGTGAAACCCCATCTCTACTAAAAATACAAAAATTAGCCAGTTGTGGTGGCACGCGCCTGTAATCCCAGCTACTCGGGAGGCTGAGGCAGGAGAATCGCTTGAACCCGGGAGTCGGAGGTTGCAGTGAGCCGAGATTGCACCACTGCACTCCAGCCTGAGTGACAGAGCGAGACTCCGTATAAAAAAAAAAAAGAGTCATTTTGTTGTCATGGGGTTATAAGAAGATCGATCACTGGACCTGGTCTAAGACTTTCAAAGTGAAGCTGTAGCTGCTCACTTACAAGCATTTGACCTTCATCAAGTTACCTGACATAGCAGCCCATTTCTTCACTGGGAAATCAGTCGATCACCTGTTCAACAAATATGTATTCATTACCAACTCCAGGCCAGATACTTTTCTAGGGTCTAGGGATACAGAGCGTACAAAAGACAAGTATCTTCCCTGTTGGGACTTCCATTCTGGTAGGGGAACATAGTTTAAAAACAGGTAAACAAATAGATGAGCAAGGTGATTTCAGAGTGTGGCAAATGGAAAGTAGTTACAAAGGAACTGAAACAAGGTCATGGGAGAAACTATAAGGGGAGGTTGAGGAGGTTTAGAAGATCATTCTACTCTCTTGCTTCAAACCTTCACCTGGCTTCCAGAAGCTCTTAGAAGCTCATTCAAACTCCTTTTAGTGACCTAAAATACTTTGCACGGTCGGTCTTTTCAGGCAGCTGCTAGCCCGATGAAAACCCTGCGTGTTTGCATAGAAGTCTATGGTTTCTTAACTCTCATGCACATGGTCTCCTTGATCCTAACAAACATTCCCCTTCAGGTCCCTTCAGGTAGGCACAGCTGCCAGAATGATATTCTTAAAATGGAAATCAGATCATTCCAATATCTTGCTTCAAATCCTCGAATGACTTCTAGAGGCTCTTAGAATACAAATTCCTTTCTGTGACCTGGAAGCCCCTGCTCAGCTCCTCAACCTCATCTTCTTTCACTCTGTCCCCATTGATAGTATTCCAGCCCAGAGGTTCTCAATATGTGGCCTCTGAGCCAGCAGCTGCTGCATCACCTGGGAACAAGCCACTTGACACATCGGCCTGTTTCTTCATTTGGAAGTTGAATCTCCTAAGTTAGTGATGTTCAGCTGAGCCCTGAACAATGAAAGGGAGTTGACATACAAAGGCCCGCAGGAACATTCTGGAAACAGAAATTGCTGATGCAAAGGCTCTGAGGAGAGAGAAAACCTTAGCATCTCTCAAGGCCAGAGAGAAGGCCAGTGAAGGGCTCAAACAGGGGTTTTAAATGTAAGCAAATATTGGAACTACCTGAAGCGTTTGCTGAACCATAGATGACTGTCCTCACTTCCCCAGGACTTCAGAATCAGTAGGGATATTGGTCAGGGTTCTCCAGAAAACAGAACCGAGAGGACAGACAGATTACATAGACAGATAAGTAGATAGGTAGACAGATAATAGATTAGAGAGATAGAGAAAGAGAGAGAGAGACAGAGACAGAGAGATAAAGATACACAGGTAGGTAGTAGGTAGACAGATAATAGATTAGATAGATAGATAGATAGACAGATAGAGATAGATAGATATACACAGGTAGCTAGTAGGTAGACAGATAATAGATTAGATAGATAGATATGCACAGGTAGGTAGTAGGTAGACAGATAACAGAGTAGATAGATGATAGATAGACAGATAGATAGATGATAGATAGATAGATAGATATACACAGGTAGGTAGTAGGTAGACAGATAATAGATTAGATAGATAGATAGATAGATAGATAGATAGATAGATAGATAGATAGATGATAGATAGATGGGGGAAGGGTAGGAAGCCCTGATCTATTGCATTTGCAAATTTCTGTGGCACATACACTCCCACCAGGAATCATTGCTACCAATATGAAGATCTTGAACATGGGTTTGGCAAGAGATGCTAATAATGGGCTCTTATTATAATGTAATGAGCTCAGACATATCCCTGCATGCAACTCACAGTACATCTGCTCAAATGGCAGCCAGATCACATCTTCCTTGAGAAAACTTTCTCTTTCCCCACCAACGCTTCATGCAAGCCTCTTGCACAGTGCTTCCTATACAGTAAACACTAGTTAAATGTGGCTGGCTGGGCCTGCTCCAAAGCATCCGGGTGGCTGTATGATTGCACAGCTCCTCTGAACCCCCTGCCCCAAAGCAGGATGACAGATGGGTAAACAGAAATATTAGTGCCTGGTTAATGAATAACACAGACGGCAGCCTAGTGCCGCTACCAGGAAACAGGGGTGGAGGGATCTGACCTGGCCCAACCTGGGGGCCTGAGCAGCACGAAAAGGGAACCTGGCATTATTTCACTTCCCCTTTCTGGAAAAGATGCTCCTGGGCCCCTTCCTCAGAACTTCTCATCAGTCCGCACAACCAGAGCTCAGGTGCAGTGTGGCTTGGTGATGAATACTATGGTTGGAAAAGGAGGGATGGGGGCAGTGGGCATGGAGAGGGTCTGGAGGAAACACACAGCCATGATTCCAGCCTCACTCCCTTAAACGTCCTGCCTCTCAGCGCGGGGTCTGTGCTAGTTCTTCTTTTCGCCTTGCCCTGCCTCCTGTGGATAAGTGCTTTTGCCCCACTTTTTTTTTTCCTTTTCATTATTTATCTCTAATCACAGGAAATGAGGACATTTCTCATCTACAAATTGCACATCCCATCAGGAAATTGGGCCAAAGATCTCTAAGCCTTCAGAAGCGGTCATCCAGTAACCCACTTGGCAAAGTTTCAAAGGTCTGGGAAAGTAGATGCGAGGTCAAGCAGTGCGGGAGGGGAGCCAACTCTGCAAACGCTGGCCACGGCCAGCTGGCCACCAGCAGCTTACCCGAGGAGGGGTTGTCCAAGCTACATACTAACCCCGGTTCCCTCTCCCCAAACATTGTCCTCTGCCATCTGTCAGTCCGAGCTACGACCAGCCTCGAGAAAACAGAGTTAGGAAAGTAAACACACTGCTCCCAAATCTAGCTATTTTAAATAAAAAGCTCACCCATGTGGGCTGCAGTTGAGAATTTCTAAAGTGCCATGGCAAACATTACACCATTTGAGTTTCCACGGCGTAGCCTTCATTCATCCGCCAACATTTATGGAGGCCTACCATGTGTCAGGCCCTGTTTTAGGTGCTAAGGATACAGCAGTGAACAAAAAGGGTAAGATTCCTGCCCTCAAGCAGCTCCCATTGCTGGGCAGACAGGGAGAGCAAGACCCATAAGCAGGATCCTTTGCACTGGTGCTACGTGCTGTGAAGACGATAGAACCGAGCTGGGATAGAACATGACTCCCAGGAAGGGAGTAGGTGGTTACTTTTGAACACACAGCTTGAGCTTGAGAAGGCCATGCAAAGGTGATATTTGAGCTGGGACTAGAATGGCAAGGAGGAATCTTGTATGCCAAGAACTGGGGGAATAATGTCCCAAGCAAGGGGCTCCAGGCCTGTGCGAGGCCTGAACAGGCTGAATTTGTGCCGGGAAAAGAAACGCCAGGGTGGCTGCAGCTTAGTGACAGCTGAAAAGCCAGCAAGTGTCAGATCCCAGGGAGTCTCAAAGGCTTTTAAGAAGCACAACAGGCCGGGCGCGGTGGCTCACGCCTGTAATCCCAGCACTTTGGGAGGCTGAGGCGGGCGGATCACGAGGTCAGGAGTTCAAGACCAGCCTGACCAACATGGTAAAACCCCGTCTCTACTAAAAATACAAAAAAATTAGCCAGGCGTGGTGGCACACACCTATAATCCCAGCTACTCAGGGGCAGGAGAATCACTTGAACCCGGGAGGCAGAGGTTGCAGTAAGATGAGATCGCACCACTGTACTCCAGTCTTGCAACAGAGAGAGACTCCAAATCAAAAAAAAAAAAAAAAGAAGAAGCGCAACAGATATCCTCTCCCTACTTAACAACAAGAAAAGCTGAGGCTCAGCGATGCAAAGTGGCAAAGTGGCAAAGTGACACACGCAAGTCCTCAGTGAGATGGTGTTCTGGCCCCTCCTCCACGATTCCCGACTCCCTCTCAAAACCACAGGCACACTCTCTCTCAATCTTTACTTCACTGAGGAAGAGAAAAGAGGGCAGGAATCGTGACTCATGCGGTGTGCAGTTGTTTGGTATAGAAAGTTGGGGAGAGTGATGGAGACTGACCTCCATCGAGGTTCTGAGAAAGGAAAGGCATCGGGGGTGGGGTAAGATGCCTGGTGCTGAGAGCAGAGTAGAGACCAGCAAGAAACCTGGCTTCTAGGAGGAGTCGTGGCTGGGGAGAAGAAGGGGCCTGGGCTCCAAGAAAGTGATGGGAGGCCAAGGAGTCACCAAGAGCCGTCCCATGTTGTCCCGGGTCCACTGGCCTGCAACAGAAATGAAGGTGTGAGGACAGAAGCATAGAGCTCGGGGGATGCGAGCAGGCCTCCAGCCTGCGTCCACTTCTCAACCCTGGCTGCGCTCCAAAGCCACTGGAGGAGTTTCCAAAACTGCCGGTGTGTTTGGGCATTGTATTTTCTAAAGCTCTCCAGTTGCTTGTGAAGTAGAGTGAGGGTTGAGAAGCAGTGAATTTAGTCCTGGTCCTCTAGGGGACAAGCTGAGGGCTCTCCAGGAAGGGGCAGCAGGGTGTACTGAGTTTGAATCCTGTCCTAGCGCTGTGCAACTCAACCTTGCTGCGCTTTCGTTTTCTCACGAGAATTTTTTTTTTTTCTTTGAGACGGAGTCTCGCTCTGTCGCCCAGGCTGGAGTAGAGTGGCATCATCTCAGCTCACTGCAACCTCCGTCTCCCCGGTTCAAGCAATTCTTGTGCCTCGCCCTCCTAAGTAGCTGGGATTACAGGCATGCGCCACCACTCCCAGCTAATTTTTGTATTTTTAGTAGAGACGGGCTTTCACCATGTTGGCCAGGTTGGTCTTGAATTCCTGACCTCAAGTGATCCACCCGCCTCAGCCTCCCAAAGTGCTGGGATTACAGGCGTGAGCCACTGAGCCTGGCCTCTCACAAGATTTAAAAAAAAAAAAAGGCCAGGTGCAGTGGCTCACACCTGTAATCCTAACACCTTGGGAGGCCAAGGTAGAAGGATCACTTGAGACCAGGTGTTTGAGACCAGCCTGGGCAACAGAGTAAGACCCCATCTCTAAATAAATAAATAAATAAATAAATAAATAAATAAATAAATAAATAAATAAATATAGTTGATTTTAAAAAAGAAAAAGAAAAAAATGAAATTATTAAATAAAATAAATTAGCCAGGCATGGTGGCACACACCTGTAGTCCCAGCTACTTGGGAGGCTGAGGAGGGAGGACTGTTGGAACCCAGGAGGTGGAGGCTGCAGTGAGCCACTGTACTCCAGCCTGAATGACAGAGTGAGACCCTGACCCAAAAAATATATAAGTAAGAAATAAAAGAAGAAAAAAATAGGGCTAACAGCACCTACATCATCATGTTATTATGAGGATGAAACGAATTTCATATTGTACCTCCAAAGCACTTAGAAAAGTGTCTCGCACTGGAGATGCCAAATACATGTTTAACCATGGAAATGTTTTAAAACTGTAATTCCATTCTTCTGCTCGAAGGCCTCCAGATACTTCTCATGATCCTCAGAGTAAAATCCCATGCCTTCCCCAAAGCCAGCAAGGCCCCTGATGCATCTAGCACTTGGCTCTCACCCAACCCAGCTCATCCCTACTCCCTTCCTCCAAGCCCTCCTCCAGCTCCCTTCACTCTTCCTTTTTTGTTACCGACAGCTCACTAAGCTCCTTCTCCTTGTGGTTCCCTTTTCGTGGAGCCCTCGTTCCCCAGGTACTCATCCAGCTGAATTTCCCCTCTTTGAGGCTGCCTGTGACTCAAATTTTATTTCCTCAAAGGACTTCCCCCTCCACCACTCCTAAGTGGCTTCCCTTTTGACACATTCACATAATACCTAGTTGCTGACTTCGCTGGGTGTATCATTAGCTGATAGCATCTATTTTTGTCTACTTGTTATTTTTATCCGTTAGACTTGCACATCCCTTAATGCATCAAATGGTTGACTGTGAAAAACAACTTCCTTCCCCTCTCTCTCCACCACAGTCACTTACCGCTTCCTGGAGGCAGCTGCTGCTACCTCTTGTCAGCAAAATATTTATCCCTCCATGCCTTTAAGGGGCTTGCTTATTTTACTGTATTTCTTCATTTCTCAATATAAGGTTTCATCTGTTAAATTATTCTGTGGCAGATGAAGATTATGCTCTTATTCTTTTCCCAATATGTACAACACCCTTCCCGCCCTGTCTTCCCGATCTGCTCCCATTGTCACTATGTTAGAAAATATTCAGTGTTTGCATAATCGTGACTACATCGATGTTAATGACATTGGAGCTCTGTAGTAAATAACAGCTCCTTTTTTTTTTTTTCTTGAGACAGAATCTCACTCTGTCACCCAGGCTGGAGTGCAGTGGCACGATCTCAGCTCACTGCAACTTCCACCTCCCAGGTTCAAGCAATTCTCCCTGCCTAAGCCTCCCGAGTAGCTGGGATTACAGGTGCCCGCCACCTAGCCTGAATAATTTTTATTTTTAGTAGAGACTGAGTTTCACTGTGTTAGCCAGGATGGTCTCGATCTTCTGACCTGGTGATCCGCCTGCCTCGGCCTCCCAAAGTGCTGGGATTACAGGTGTGAGCCACCGCGCCCAGCCAGTTCCTTTTTTATCCTGCACAACTTTCCTCCCAAAACCCCTGGAATTAATAATCACCTTATTTTTTCATGTGTTTAGTCTACATGTTTACCACGAATTCAACCCCAAACTCTTTGTCAATGTTCTTGTCTCCTCTCAAGAACTTCAGGGGTTTTAGGAGGATACAGATTTCATCTCCCTGAAGAAATGTGTCTTGGAACTTTCTGACCTGTTCCAGTCTGCCTGGGTGGTGGTTTATGCCAGGTGTATAGCTCATGCTTGAAGCTCTTTTTTTTTTCTTTTAGATGGAGTCTCGCTCTGTTGCCCAGGCTGGAGTGCAGTGGTTTGATCTTGGCTCACTGCAACCTCTGCCTCCTGGGTTCAAGCAATTCTGTTGCCTCAGCTTCCCGAGTAGCTGGGATTACAGGTGCGTGCCTTCATGCCCAGCTAATTTTTCTTGTATTTTTAGTAGAGACGGGGTTTCACCATGTTGGTCTTGAACTCCTGGCCCCATGTGATCCACCCACCTCGGCCTCCCAAAGTGCTGGGATTACAGGCATTGAGCCACCGTGCCCAGCCAGCTCACACCTGAAGCTCTTAAGTGGAAAGCCTCTTTGCTTCTCTGCTCTTGTCTTCCTCTTCCTTGGTTTACATCCTTAAGCAGCTTCTTTATTTACTGCTGGGAATAACGCTCCAAATCCTAAGGAAACTGAACACTCAAACAAAGGATTCTTAGCCAAGCAATTTTACTTGCGCAGAGGGGTGCTTCTCCTTGGCCAGTTGCCATGAGAGCACACCTGAACAAAGGGGCACGAGAGCCTTTATTCCTAATGCAAGTCCTGCCCCTGTACCCTTTCCCCATTGGCCGGAGTCGGGCCATACAATCTAAACTAGTCCCAGTTGGCTAAACATTTGAACTTTCTTTAGATAAGGTGGGCACGTAAGGGAGAGAGGGGAAAGGGGAAGGGGTGTCTGCAGTGAGCTAGAGAGCTAGTCTTCTTTCCAAATAAGGAAAAGAACGTGAGCTGGTACTAATAACGCCTGGTACTGTGGCGTGTCTGGGCATGGAACAAAGGCAGAAAGGAAAAAGAAGGAGCAAAAGGAAAAGGGGGTGGGGGGATACTATGAATTAAAGAATAAAGGATTGATCGGCTATTTGAAGAGAAACCTCATCATAGCCCACATTTACTTATTTTATTATTTATTAACTTTTTTGGAGACAGAGTCTCGCTCTGTTGCCCAGGCTGGAGTGTGGTGGTACAATCATGGCTCACTGCGGCCTCCATCTCCTGGGCCCAGACAATCCTCCTGCCCAATCCCCTAAAAGCATTGGGATCACAGGTGTCACCACACCTGGCTATTTTGTTTGTTCGTTTATAGAAAGGGGAGGGTCTCACTATCCTGCCCAGGGCTGGTCTCAAACTCCTGGGCTCAAGTCATCCTTCTGCCTCGGCCTCCCAAATTGCTGGGATTACAGGCATGAGCCACCATGCCCAACCCTGACGCAGCTTCTTTAGAAAGTAAATGCTTTGAAATCCCGCATGTCAGAAAATGTCTTTATCCCACTCTCATGTGTAGTTGATATTGGGCTATGTATGGAATATTCTGGGTTGGCAATCATTCTTCTTCAGAACTTGAAAGGCATTGCCGCATTGCCTTCTAGCGTCCAGTCTGGCTGAAAATTCCCAAGACATCCTGACTCCTATCCTTTGTCCATGGCCTGTCTTTTTCTCTCTGGAAGCCTGCAGGATCCTTACCTTTCTCACAAGGTATCTAAAATTCCATCCATTGGGCATTCAATGGACTCTTCCAGTCTACAAAATAATTTCCTTCCATTTGGGAAGATTCTCTTGAAACACTTTGTGATGGTTTCCTTGCCTTCATTTTCTCTCTTCTCTCCTTCTGGAATCCTTGTTATTTGGGGGACACTGCACCTCTTACACGGCCCTCTAATTTTCCCTTTTTTCCCATTTTTTCTCTCCCCATTGTTTTGCTTTACTTTCTGTGAGATTTTCTTATCTTCCAGCCCTTCTATTTTTCATTTTTGCTATCACTTTTCATTTCTGAGCACATTTTTATTCCTTCTTAGCATGCTGACCTTGTTTCATGATTGCAATGTCCACTCTGATTTCTCTGAGGAATCTTCATCTCCCTGCTCTAAGATGCCTTTTTTGGTGTCAGTTGCTATATTTTATGTTAGAAGTTGTCATCATATATATGGTAATTCTTGGTTGTCTGCTCACATTGAAGAGAAGGGAAGGGACTACTTTTTTTTAGATACATAAAACGTATATAAAGGCACTATGACATGATGTCTAAACCAGAAAAGAATGGTTGAGTGCCATGGCTCACACCTGTAATCTCAGCACTTTGGGAGGCCAAAGCTGAAGGATTGCTTGAGCCCAGGAGATCCATACTAGTCTGGGCAACATAGTGAGACCCTGTATCTAAAAAAAAAAAAAAATTTTTTTTTTTTTTGAGAGGGAGTTTTGCTCTTGTTGCCCAGGATGGAGGGCAATGACGACGCGATCTCGGCTCACCGCAACCTCCGCCTCCCGGGTTCAAGCGATCTCCTGCCTTAACCTCCCAAGTAGCTGGGATTACAGGCATGCACCACCATGCCCAGCTAATTTTGTATTTTTAGTAGAGATGGGGTTTCTCCATGTTGGTCAGGCTGGTCTCCAACTCCCAACCTCAGGTGATCTGCCTGCCTCGGCCTCCCAAAGTGCTGGGATTACAGGCGTGAGCCACTGTGCCTGGCCAAAAAAAAAAAAATTTTAAATAGCCTGGCATGGTGGCATAGTGGTGCCTGCCTACTCAGCAGTCCCAGCTACTCGGGAGGCTGAGGCAGGAGGATCACTTAGCCCAGGAGGTCAAGGCTGCAGTGAGCTATGATCACACCACTGCACTCCAGCCTGGGCAACAAAGCAAGATGCTGTCTCTAAGAATAATAAGATTTTCAGCCTATTTTCCTTATGTTAGCTTGTCCTTTGTCCCATTTCCAGAGGAACCTGTTGCCACTAGTTCATGAGCTTTATGTGGATTCTACAGTAGAAACTTCATTGAATCTTGGTTTTTCCCACTATTGGCTTATGATCCAACTTTCACAGGTCTGCTAAGTCAGTCACCAGTTACCATTCATTCATCTGCTGTCCAGCTGGCAAAATTTTGGTGGTATTGTATCCTCTTATGTTCTCCCTGTACTTACGGGGACTCCTTTCTAAAAGATCTCTTTACTGTCACTACAGTGTGATTTCAGGAGGCAGCAAAAGGAGATTCATGGATTTCACCCACCGTTATTAGCCCCAAGTATTTCCTCTTTATTGTTATTGTTTGTTTGCCTGCTAATTGTCTGTCTTCCCCTCTTGAATGTAAGTTCCAGGATAACTCATCTACTTTGGTTATTTTGCTTAGGTTTTTGTTTCTTTTTTTCTTTTTTTCTTTTTTTGAGACGTAGTTTCACTCTTGTCACCCAGGCTGGAGTGCAATGGCATGATCTCGGCTCACTGCAACCTCCGCCTCCTGGGTTCAAGCAATTCTCCTGCCTCAGCCTCCTGAATAGCTGGGATTGCAGGGGTCCGCCACCACACCTGGGTAATTTTTGTATTTTTAATAGAGGCGGGGTTCGCCATGTTGGCCAGGCTGCTCTCAAACTCCTGATCTCAGGTGATTCGCTTGCCTTGGCTCCCAAAGTGCTGGGATTACAGGCGTGAGCCACCGGGCCCGGCATGTTTTTGTTTCTTTTTTGGAGATGAGGTCTTACTCTTTTGCCCAGGCAGGAATGCAATGTCGCAATCACGGCTCACTGCAGCTGCAAACTCCTGGGCTTAAGTGATCCTCCTGCCTGCCTCAACCTCTCAAGTAGCTGGGTCTATTGGTGCACACCATCAAGCCTGGCTTTTTTTTTTTTTTTTTTTTTTTTTTGGTAGAGACAGGGTCATGCTATGTTGCTCAGGCTAGTCTCGAACCCCTGCCTGACCTCAAGTAATCCTTCCATCTCAGCCTCCCAAAGTGCTGGGATCGTAGACCTGAGCCACTATGCCCGGCCCCATTTTGTACACCTATCCATCCCCAGCAGTCAGAACCATGTTTGACACAGAGTCAGTGTTAAACAAATGAATGAACCAATTTGCTAGCAAAAGAAACGTACTACTCGCCATCAGGGAGGTGGTAGCAGACTCAGGTCTCCTAACTTTCCGGGCAGTGTCCTTCCTACCACAGCATGGTTGGGGTATGGGTAATTTTGCTAATTAATGATATCAGACAGATTATAAAGTGCTTCACCTGGTACCAAATGGTTTCAGAAATCTTATCTCATTTGATCCTGACAACAGCCCATGGGCCAGATGGTAAAAGAATTATTATTGGCCCTAATATAGCAATGATCCCTGACAGGAACTATCCTGTACCATAGAAATCACCGTCGCTGCTCCTGACCTCTCACCCATGTCCACTGTCATTTATCTGGGCCCTTCCATCACCTCCTCTGCAGACAGGACTGTTAAGGCTTGTCACCTCTCAAGCACTTGGTCCCCAAGAATCCAGGACTAGCTCCTTCATAAAGAGGGAAACGGGTACAGACAGGGGTAAGTCATATAAGGTCCTTGGAGCAAAGAAGACATCTGAGTTTTGTGATGTTACAGGAGCAGAAAAAAGAAGAAAAGTGGAACTGTCAGATCAGTAGCACCTTAGAGAAGAGCTGGATGGAGAAGGAAGGAGAAGGGGCTTAGATCCTGGAAGGAGAGAGAATAAGTCCCAGAACTAAGAGCGGTATGTATACGGTGGGGAGAGAGGTGGGATGAAAATAACCATTTACCATAACCATAGATTCCCTTTTTTTAAAATGAAATGAAAAATATCCTAGAATATAATCACAAAGCCAGTTAAAAAATATTCTACACAGGCCGGGCGGGATGGCTCATGCCTGTGATCCCAGCACTTTGGGAGGCCGAGGCGGGAGAACCGCCCGAGCTCAGAAGCTTCACATGGCAAAACCCCATCTCTACCAAAAAATACAAAATATTAGCCAGGTGTGGTGGCGAGCCTGTGGTCCCAGCTACTCGGGAGGCTAAGGTGGGAGGATCACTTGAGCCTGGGAGGCGGAGGTTGCAGTGAGCCAAGATTGTGCCACTGCACTCCAACCTGGGTGACAGTGACACCCTGTCTCACCAAAAATAAAAATAAAAAATTCTGGACAGCAGGTTCTGTAAAACCATAACATTAGCTCCTGGGATCTGCTTAGTTTCTGGATAGCCTGAACTCTGCCCTAAGACCCCAGGGAAAAGTGAAAGTAGGATGCATGGCCCCTTCCAGGGAAGCAAGATGTGACTCAAAAGTCACACCAGGTCCCAAGGGTATAGGTCACAGAGATAAAGGCTGTAAAGCACCCCACACTTTCTCATTGTGCTACCTGCCATCCTCCTCAGATTCTGCCTGCCACCTCCTGGGCAGATAAGGCTACTACCCGCCTGCAAACCCTGGCAGGTCCAAGCACCACTCAGGCTGCTGTGCCTCTGTGATCCACACCCAGACACTGGAAATCGCCCAGAAGCAGAAACTTAGGGATGAGGAAGTTGGCAAGGGGGGGTCTTTTAACCTTGCATTAAATCAAGATGAGTCTTTGTTTTTTGTTTTTTTGAGACAGAGTCTTGCTCTGTTGCCCAGGCTGGAGTGCAACGGCACAATCTCGGCTCACTGCAACCTCTGCCTCCCAGGTTCAAGAGATTCTCCTGCCTCAGCCTACCAAGTAGCTAGGATTACAGGTGCCCACCACCACACCCAGCTCATTTTTGTATTTTTAGTAGAGACAGCGTTTCACCATGTTGGCCAGGCTGGTCTCAAACTCCTGAGCTCAAGTGATCCACCCTCCTCTGCCTCCCAAAGTGCTGGAATTACAGGTGTGAGCCACCGTGCCCGGCCTTCAGTATGAGTCTTGGTACGGAAAGAGGTCTGAAACATCTTATGAAGCTACAATAGCAGTTGTAGAAGAGAATAAATAAAACAGTACTGTCTATAATCTTAAAATCAGTATAGTTATGTGTCACTTAACAATGGGGATATGTTCTGACAAATACAGGCAATTTTGTCGTTATGCAAACATCACAGAGTGTACTTACACACACCTAGATGGGATGGCCTACTGCACACCTAGGCTATAATGGTATGGCCTATTGCTCCTATGCTACAAACCATGGTACTGTACTGAATATTGCAGGCAACTGGAGCACAACAGTATTTGTGTATCTCAACATAGAAAAGGTAATGCATTGTGCTATGATGTTACAGCAGCTACAATGTCAGTAGGTGACAGGAATTTTTCAGCTCCATTCTAATCATATGGGACCACCATTGTATATATACGCAGTCTGTCAATGACCAGAACGTTGTTATGTGGTGCATGACTATATATATATATAATAATAGCAGCTGAGTGTTTTTGAGACCTTCATACATGTGAGCACAGAGCTAACCTCTCTGCATGCACCGTTCAATGAATTCTTACCAAAGCACAGGGACATAGGTATTGCCATGACTTTTCTTTTTACAAAAAGGGAAATTGGCCAGGCACATGGCTCATGCCTGTAATCCCAACACTTGGGGAGGATCACTCGAGCCCAGGAGTTCAAGACCAGCTTGGGCAACATGGTGAAACCCTGTCTCTACAAAATATAAAAAAGATTAGCCAGGCATGGTGGCATGTACCTGTGGTCCCAGCTACTCAGAAGACTAAGGTGGGAGGATGGAGGCTACAGCGAGTTGAGATCGAGTCACTGCACTCCAGCCTGGGCAACAGACTGAGACTTTGTCTCCAAAAAACAAAACAAACAAACAAAAAAAAGGAACTGAGACTTAGAGCGATTGTGGAATAACTTGTCCTATATCTCACAGCAAATAAGTGGCAGGGCAGGACTAGAACCTGGATCTGTATGACTCCGGAGTCTGAATTCTCAGCCTCTGCTAGGAAAGCATGGATGTGTACACATGTACGTGAAATTCGCAAAGGCTACGTGACAGTCAACAATGGTTACTTAGGAAATTGGGAGGAGGGAAGGTAGGTCAACTTTCTTTCTTTTTTTTTTCATTAAAAAATTTGTTTTTTAGTGACAGAGTGAGACTGTCACTAAAAAACAGTCTGGAGTGCAGTGGCACAATCATACCTTACTGCAGCCTGGAACTCTTGACCTCAAGCAATTGTTTTGCCTCAGCCTCCCAAAATGCTGGGATTACAGGCATGAGCCACTGCACCCGGCCTCATTTTCTGCTTTACATAATTCTGTACTGTTTACATTTTTCCCATGAGCATATATTATTTCATAATAAACACATAAAGCCTGGTTTTAAGTTGATTCTGCTGAGGACTAAGCTCTGATTTTTTATCCTGCCCAAATTCCTATCTAAGGGGCCCAGAGAATCGTGCCCTAAAAACCATAAATTCTCATCAGTTGGGTTTTATTTAACCCTATATATCGTGACTTACTTTCCAGTCTTACTGTGGCATAACGTTACTTGATAAAGAAGAAAGTCAAAATATTTTACTCCAAAATCATATTTTGAAGTGGCCCTGCAAAGCTGTCCTTTGTGGGGAAAATTTGCATCTGTAAAGAATCTCTATCAACATAGCTAGATCTTTTTCTTCCAGGCCCTCCCAATCCTGAAGAGATTAACTAAGAGTCTAGCACCTTTTAAAGATCTGAATAGGAAACATTTGTCATCTATTGTCTCTAAGGGCAGCCACTGTAAGACTTCAAAAGAACCTTGGTCTCCACAATCTTTTAACCTGAACATATCCTTTCTGTCAATCCCAGGTCTTTAGACAAACTCAATCAATTGTCAACCAGCAAATGTTTAAATTTACCTATAGCCTGGAAGCCCTGCCCCACTTTGAATTGTCCCATCTTTCTGGACCAAACCAATTAATTTCTTAAATGTATTTGAGGCCAGGCATTGTGGCTCACGCCTGTAATCCCAGCACTTTGCGAGGCCAAGGCGGGCAGATCACGAGGTCAGGAGATTGAGATCATCCTGGCTAACATGGCAAAACCCCGTCTCTACTAAAAATACAAAAAAAAAAAATTAGCCAGGTGTGGTGGCGGGCGCCTGTAGTCCCAACTATTCGGGACGCTGGGGCAGGAGAATGGCGTGAACCTAGGAGGCGAGGCTTGCAGTGAGCCGAGATCGCGCCACTGCACTCCAGCCCGGGGGACAGAGCGAGACTCCGTCTCAAAAGAAAAAAAAAATGTATTTGATTGATGTTTCATGCCTACCTAAAATTATAAAACCAAGCTGCACCCTGACCACCTTGGGCAAATGTTCTCAGGACCTCCTGGGGGCTGTGTCACGGGGCCATGGTCACTCATAATAAATCTCTTCAAAATATTTTACAGTTTGACTCTTTTCATCAACACTGTTCACCAAACATACACAGAGAAGAAAACTCAAATTACTCTAGCGTTTAGGTCCTGTTAACTGACCAACTACTGTGAGCTACACTGAGGGCTAAGCACTTCACGTCCAGGACGTCACTGAATCCTCACAACTGGGTCTGGAGGGAGGGTATTTTCATTAACTCCCTTCACAGAGGAGGACCCTGAGGCTCAGGAATGTGAAGTGACCTCCCTAAGGTCACATAACAACTTAGGAACTCAACTTAGGCCTGACTGGTTCCTGAGCCCATGCGTGTAGCTACATCAGTATGTTAGCGGCGCAGGAATGATGACAATGATAATAACAGCAGTTTACGTGCTTGCTATGTGGCAGCCCTGTGCATTTCATGTATAATCTCATCACATCTCCATGGCAATCCCCGTTTTACAGAAGAGGAAACTGAGCGTCAGCAGAGAGAAGTCACTTGTTTGCCCAGGGTCATCCAGCAGAATTGAGACTAGAACCCAAACCACCGGCATCCATCCAGTGGCTCAGGCCAAAATCTCAGTAGCCATCCTTGACTCCTCCTTCTTCTTCCTCCATATCTAATCCATTGGTTCTAGTTGGCTTCAGTTTTCAAAATACATGTTCACTTCTCACTATCTGACTACTGCAGGCCCCATGGAAGCCACCGCCGTCTCTCTTCCAGGCCAGTTTGAAAGACTTCCTACTGAACGCCCTCCCTCCATTCCTGCCTCTTGCCCCCACCCCATCCACTCTCTACATTGCAGTCAGAGTGATCTTTTTCAACTCTTTTGCTAAATATCTCTCCTGCAACCTTTCTTAGGGTTTTGGGAGACAATTAAGCTCTGCAGAGAATGGTTTGAGTGATTGTTTTCTTGATTTTCCCAAGGATGCTACTAGCTAATACCATTACTTACTACAGTAGGAGATAACTTAATTCATTACATGCAATGGATGCCTTAGAGTCTTAGGGCTTAAGTCTACCGGGAACTGGGTGGAGACAGCTGCAAAAGTTTCCTGTCACATTTCAAATACCAGTGACCATGGCCTACAAGGCCCCTGTGACCTGCCACCCACCACACCTTGACCTCTGCAGGTACATTTCCAACTACCCTTTTCCCAAGCACAAGACCTCTTCTCCCTACCTCAATCATAGAAGTCTCATTGCTGCCTTAGAGCTTTTGCAGGGGTTGTTCCCACAACCTTGAGCCCTGCCCAAGCCATCCAGAGCCTGCTCCTTTTGTCAGTCATTCAGGGCTCAGTTCAAAGACCACCAGCTCAGAGGGGCCCTCTCGGCCACCTGAATTAAATGCTGCCAATTCCTGCTGTTTTATTTCCTTTATGGCACTTATTTATCATAATCTGAAAGTACCTTTGCTTGTTCACTCAACTGTTGTGTGTCTCCCAAGTTAAGGCTGAGCTCCATGGGGCAGAAACCTTTTCACAGGGAAGCAATCTGTAAAAATATGTTTAGAGAATCCATCAGATATCTATTATGAGCCAGTCACTGGGTTAGGAGCTTTGCAATGAATCCTTTTTATCAACCCCAACATTGTCCAATAGATATACAATATAAGCCAAGGCCAGGCACAGTGGCTCATGCCTGTAATCCCAGCAATTTGGGAGGTTGAGGCAAGAATGACCCTTGAGGTCACCAGTTCGAGATCAGCCTGGACAACATAGCAAGACTCTGTCTCTACAAAAATTAAAAGGGGCCGGGGGTGGTGGCTCACGCCTGTAATCCCAGCAATCTGGGAGGCCAAAGCAGGTGGATCACCTGAAGTCAGGAGTTTGAGACCAGCCTGACCAACATGGTGAAACCCCATCTTTACTAAAAATACAAACATTAGCTGGGCGTGGTGGCTGGCGCTCGTAATCTCAGCTACTCAGGAGGCTGAGACAGGAGAATCACTTGAACCCAGGAGGTGGAGGTTACAGTGAGCAGAGATGGTACCATTGCACTCCAGCCTGGGTGTCAAGAGCGAAACTCTGTCTCAAAAAAATAAAAAAAAATAAAATAACTTTAAAAAATTAAAAGAAAGAAATGTAATGTAAGCTATTTTTTAAAAAATCCAAGCCTCTTGGATTCAAGCGATTCTCCTGCCTCAGCCTCCCGAGTAGCTCCAGGCACCATTTAAAAATTTTTAATTGTCTAATAATCAAATTAAAAGAAGTAAAAAGAAACAGACGAAATTAATATATTTTATTTAAACCAACATGTTCAGAGGATTATCATCCCAACATGTAATTGGTTAATAAAGATATGAATAGATGACAGATGGATGGATTGGGGTGTGTATGTGTGCATGTGAGCTCCTCCTCTATACCTTTTCTGGGTTCTGAGAAGCTCAGCGGCTTCGTCGCTATTCGGGGACTCACGGGCTTGCCCTTCAAGACCCAGCCTCAAAGCCCCAGACACTGCATCTCTGCTTTCCCGCCTTTTCTGTACCTGTCTCCATGTGGTGCTCCCTTCAGGGCCTGCACACAGGGAAGGGAGGGCCGTCCTCCCGCGAGGCCTCAAGGTGCCTATCGGTGCAGTGGCTCAAACAAAACAGGTGTGACAAAAGGCCAGGAATGCCTCCCAGGGGCTGAGGCACCTCAGGGAGCGTGTTAGAAGAAGTGGACGGTAAAAAGAGAGCGTCCGGGCCAGGAGCGGTGGCTCATGCCTGTAATCCCAACACTTTGGGAGGCCGAGGTGAGTGGATCACTTGAGGTCAGGAGTTCGAGACCAGCCTGACCAACATGGAAAAACCCTGTCTCTACTAAAAATACAAAATTAGCCGGGCATGGTGGTGCATGCCTGTAATCCCAGCTACTCAGGAGGCTGAGGCAGGAGAATCGCTTGAACCCGGGAGTTGAGATTGCACCATTGCACTCCAGCCTGGGCAACAAGAGTGAAATTCCATCTCAAAAAAAAAAAAGAGCGTCCAGAACCAGGACGCATGCGCACATTAGCCCCGACTGGAAGTGCATGAGGACAGAAGGGAAGCAGAAGTTGGGGCTGAGGTGTTCCTGCTGAGAAGAGTGATGGATGTAAATTTTGAAGCTCTGGATCCTGCCCACACCATGGAGCCAAGAGGACCAGAGGAGTCAGCATTGAACTGGAAATCAAGTTGGAACTGAAAATTGACTTATCCACAAATAGTAAGAACTGTGAATTTGGGCCTCAAGGAGAGGAAATTTTATTCCTAGGCAGGGTCTTCTTGGGAAGGCAGCCGGACAAGGCTTCTCTGAAGTCCAGTAAGGTTTTGGGAGGTTTCATTGAGAAACTGAATACTGAGAATGAAATGCTGAGAAATGAACAGATGCAACAGCAAAATTTTTTCCAAAAATTGTGCTGTGTTCTAAATATTTACATTGAATGAATGATACAAAAATATACTCAGGTCAATACAGTTGTGCAGATGATCGGATTTATAAGAAATAACGAGGTGACCTGTTAATGAGAGATAATTTTTTTTTTTTTGAGATGGCGTCTTGCTCTGTCGCCCACACTGGAGTGTAGTGGCACGATCTCGGCTCACTGCAACCTCCGCCTCTTGGATTCAAGCGATTCTCCTATCTCAGCCTCCTGAGTAGCTCCAGGCACGTGCCACCATGCCGAGCTAATTTTTGTGTTTTTAGTAGAGACAGGGTTTCCTCATGTTGGCCAGGCTGGTGTCGAACTCCTGACCTCAGGTGATCCACCCACCTCGGCCTCCCGAAGTGCTGGCATTACAGGTGCGAGCCACTGCACCTGGCCAATGAGACACAGTTTTTAAGTTGTACAGTGAATGACACTTCGTGGTCCCAATCCAGTTAGCCTACCTCTGTGACTCTGAAAAATCTCATCTCGAGATAACTTAAGGAGTGAAAATTGAAAGTCTTCCTAGTTTCTGCCCCTATTGGAGAGGGGCCCCAGATGTTCTGTTAGGAATTAGTAAGCAGGATGACCCTGAGAATAAGCCACAAGAGGAATCTGTGATAACTGGACGTCCTGAGAGATTTTCTCATCAGATCACCAGTGCTGGAGGGACATCCAGGCTCCATCCCTGATGCTACATTGGGAATGAGTGATGAGGGGTGCTCTGTATGGGGAGTGAGGTTTTTCATAATGTGCGAGGGTTTCTGGCTAGAACAACAAATAAAACAAGATTACGTTGAATAATCAGACTGGCAAGGCCTCTTGGAGGAGGTGTCATTGCCACAGAGACCTGGATGAAGTGAGGGAGCAAGGGAAGAAGGGAATGAGTCATGCAGGCAGAGGGAACGTGGCCTTTTGAAGAGCCCTTGAGGAGGCTGGAATGGGGTGCAGAGGGCTGGAGCAAAGTGATCAAGATGGGAGGGGGAGGTAGGAGATGAAGCCCATAGTAAAATCTATGGGGTTTTATTACGAAGTAATGGGAAATCATGGGAGGGTAGAGAGTAGAGAATAGAGGGAGAGCATGAACTGATTTAACATAAAAAGGGCTTTCGGGGAGGGGTGATAGAGGCTCAGTAGGAGGCTAAATACAAAAGCGGTCACTTGCTGTAGGGGGCGCTAAGGAGCATTACCTCAGGTCACCAGCCTGGGAAGTAGACTCAGGTGCAGGTGAGGGAAATGAGGCATCTTTCCATGGGAGAGCCATGGGGATTTTTGTTTGTTTGGGTTGTCATTGATTTAGGGGAGGAGAACCCAGGAATGTTGTGGTCAGTTGGTCTGTTGGGTGTCAGAAAATGTAGTGGGAGGTCTTAATGGGATGATAGTCATCAAGGGCGGGGTGCTGTGTTCATTTCTCAGGAGCATCTGAGGCCATTTCACCCTGTTGAAGTTCTCGGGCCGCCTCCACAGTGCCGCCATTGTTGGGGTTTGTAATGAAGTAAATCAGGCTCTCAGGAGGGACTATGTTTAGGAGGTAACATGAAGAGCACCCCGTCAGCCACCAGAATTCTCAACCTTGTCCCTCACAGCTGAATGGCTTTGGACAGATTGAAGTTAAGGTGTCTTTATTGTGGTTGCCTTAAAATATTATGTTAGGCTGGGCATGGTGGCTCACTACTATAATCCCAACACTTTGGAAGGCTGAGGCAGGAGGATGAGTTGAGCCCAGGAGTTCAGGACCAGCCTGGACAACATAGTGAGACCCCATCTCTACAAAAAATTTTAAAAATTAGTCAGGCGTGTTGGCATGCACTTGAAGTCCCAGCTACACAGAAGGCTGAGGCAGGAGGATTGCTTGAGCCCAGGAGGTCGAAGCTACAGTGAGCTATGTTTGTGTCACTGCACTCTGGCCTGAGTGACAGTGTGAGATTCAGTGTCAAAAATAAATAAAATAAAATGTTATGCTATGAAGTATTTCAAACACACATAAAGATATGAGAAACCATATTAACAAACTCCTGTGTACACATTCCTCAATTGTTTTTTTTTTTTAATTATTTAAGACGGAGCCTTGCTCTGTTGCCCAGACTGGAGTGCAGTGGTGTAATCTCGGCTCACTGAAACCTCCGCCTCCTGGGTTCACACCATTCTCCTACATTAGCCTCCTGAGTAGCTGAGATTACAGACACATGCCACCACGCCTGGCTAATTTTTGTATTTTTAGTAGAGATAGGGTTTTACCATGTTGGTCAGGCTGGTCTTGAACTCCTGACCTCTTGGTCTGCCCACCTCAGCCTCCCAAAGTGCTGGGATTTCAGATGTGAGCCACCACACCCGGACTGCGCTCTTATTTTATTGCTGGACAGCTACCATTCCACCATGTGGTCCACCCTATTTTACACATCCATTGTTTTTTTTTTTTGAGACAGAGTCTCGCTCTATCGCCCAGGCTGGAGTTCAGTAGCATGATCTTGGCTCTCAGCTCACTGCAACCTCCACCGGGTTCAAGCGATTCTCCTGCCTCAGCCTCCTGAGTAGCTGCGATTACAGGTGCCTGCCACTACACCCAGCTAATTTTTTGTATTTTTAGTAGACACAGGGTTTCACTATGTTGGCCAGGCTGGTCTTGGACACCTGACCTCGTGATCCACCTGCCTCAGCCTCCCAAAGTGCTGGGATTACAGGCATGAGCCACCATGCCCACCCCTGCCCCTCCCCCCCGCTTTTTTTTTTTTTTTTTAAGCCAGGGTCTGGTTCAGACTGGAGTGTAGTGTTGCCATCATAGCTCACTGTAGCCTTGAACTCCTTGGGCTAAGTGATCCTCTCACCTCAGCCTCCCAAGTAGCTGGGGCTACAAGCATGCACCACCATGCCTGGCTAATTTTTTCATGATTTTTTGGAGAAACAGGGGTCTCACTATCTTGCAGAGGCTGGTCTTGAACTCTTGGCCTCAAATGATCCACCTGCCTTGGCCTCCCAAAGCACTAGGATTATAGATGTGAACCACTGCACCCAGCCAACACAAGAAACTAAAATAGTTAAAAATTCTAGGGCTCTGAAATCTAATAGAACCTGAGTTGAAAGCCTGGCTCTGCTATTTCTTCTGTGGGTGCTCTTAGGAAAGTCACTTCATCTTTATGGGCCTCAGTTTCCTCATCTGTCAGAAGAGAGCAAGTGAATACAGTTGCAAATATTATTTCTCTAAGTATGACTCTATCTGAGTCATTATCTAAGTGGAGTTTTATAGCATAATAATAACAGCTACCTTTTATTAACATGAAAAAATCTAGGCTAACATTTACTGAGGTTTTCTAAACCCTTGTGAAGTATTGCTATTATTCCCACTTTACAAATGATGAAACTTTGGCCCTGACAGAGTAGCCACCCAGAGGTCACGTAGCTAGTAAAGTGGTAGGAACAGAATTTGAAATCAGGTCTGACTGATTTTATAACTCATATTCTAACCGCTAAGTTGTACCACCTTAAATGCCTCCAGCGGATACTTAGCAGTGGTTTCCAAACATTTTTTAAGGAATGGAAACATTTTTTTTTTCAAGCAAAGTCTTAAATGAAACAGTAGGTTATAAAGCAAGTGAAGGCCAAATTACACCAGTTAAAGCAGGGATAATGCAGGTACGGGTTCAATCCTGGCTCTGCCGGGTCCTGGCTGTGTGAGCTTGAACAGATTACAGTCTCCGTCATCACTTAATGGTGGAGATACGTTTTGAGAAATGAAGAACAGCAGAGTGCACTTACACAAACCTTTATCGTATCGCCTACTCCACACCTAGGCTGTGTGGTATAGCTTATGGCTCTTAGGCTGCAAACCTGCCCAGCATGTCACTGGACTGAATGCTGCAGGCAACTGTAACACAATAAGCATTTGTGTTTCTAAACATAGAAAAGGTACAGTACAAATATGATATAATCTTTTGGGACCACTGTTGTTTATGCCGTCTGTTGTTGACCGAAACGTCATTATACAGAGCATGACTGTACTTATCTCTCTGAGATTCAATTTCTTTGTTTGTAATATGGGGATAATGATGCCAACCTAATAGGTTTGTTTTGCGGATCAACTGAGATAATATATGCAAAGCACTTGGCATAAAGCCTGGCGCGTGATAAGAACCAAATTAAGAATGGCTGCTATTGAATTGTGGCTGTGGCTGTTACCACCTTCGGGACTGTCTTTACTGACGATGGGATTGAGTGGAAATTTTTCAGCCCCCCATCATCTGACCCAACCTGCATTTCCAGGCCTCCACGCCTACGGGATAGCCCGGCTGAATGACAGCGTTCCCAGTCCAGAATCCCGCACTACCAGTTCTTCGTGCTCTGCCCACTGGAGGGCCCTCTTCCCCCCTCCCTCCTCTAAAAGCATACTCTGGAAATTTTTTGAATATTTTAAGAAACTGTTATTGTAGAATATTTCAAAATTTGCAAAAATAAAAAGCTAGTATAATGAACCTCGTTTTTTATTAGGTAATTACCGACCTTATTTCTTGTGTACCCCAACCTGTTCCCCCCACTGGATTATTTTGAAGCAAATCCTAAAGAGTTTATTACTTCAGACATAGATTTATCATTAGGTATCTGCAAGGTAAAGACTCTTTTTTAACATAACTACAATAATATTTTCACATCTAAAAATATAATTTCTTTTTATTTTTTTTATTGTTTCTTTTTTTTAATTTTTTTTTTAGAGACGGAATCTCACTATGTTGACCAGGCTGGTCTTGAACTCTTGGACTCAAGCAATCCACCCACCTCGGCCTCCCAAATCAAAGAGCTGAGATTACAGGCGTGAGCCGCCATGCCCAGACCAAAGATGATAATGTCTTATTATCAATATGTCCGTGTTCAGGTTTCCTTCGTTGTCTCCTAAATCTTTTTCTCTCCCAGTTGGTTTGTTCAAATTAGGATATAGACAAGATTCATATGTTGCATTTAAGTGATGGGTCCCTTCAATCAACTTTTTTTTGAGACTGAGTCTTATTCTGTCACCCAGGCTGGCATGCAGTGGCACAATCTTGGCTCACTGCAACCTCTGGCTCCCAGGTTCAAGACATTCTCCTGCCTCATCCTCCCGAATAGCTGGAAATAACAGGTGTGCACCCCCACGCCCGACTAATTTTTGTATTTTTAGTAGAGACAGGGCTTCACCATGTAGGCCAAGCTGATTTTGAACTCTTGACCTCAGGTGATCCACCCCCCTCGGCCTCCTGAAGTGGTGGGAATACAGGTGTGAGCCACCATGCCCGGCCTCATCAATTTTTATCTTTTTTTCCCCTTTCCCTTTTTTTCTACAGTGGCTTTTTTTTTTTTTGGATGGAGTTTCGCTCTTGTTGCCCAGGCTGGAGTGCAATGGTGCAATCTCGGCTCACTGCAACCTCTGCCTCCTCCTGGGTTCAAGCAATTCTCCTGCCTCAGCCTCCCAAGTAGCTGGAATTACAGGCATGTGCCACCACACCTGGCTAATTTTGTATTTTTAGTAGAGACAGGGTTGCTCCATGTGGGTCAGGCTGGTCTCGAACTCCTGACCTCAGGTGATCTGCCCACCTCAGCCTCCCAAAGTGCTGGGATTATAGGCGTGAGTCACCGTGCCCGACTCTTCTACAGTGTTTTTGTTGAAGAAGCTGGATTATCAGTTTTCTAGAATTTCTCACAGGAAATGCCAAGGTTGGGGGGAGTTATTAACATCTTTCCTGTAGAATCCTTTACTGTGTTCCTCTGTGCCTTTTCATCCCCCTGCAAACTGGTAGTTAGATCTAGAGTCTAGAGTTTTAATCAGGTTTGGAGTTGATTTTTGGCAAGAATGCTTCCTATGTGGGGCCCTGTGCTTTCTGTTGCATCAGGTCTGCAGAAGCTTGTCTCTTCTCTCTCTGGGTGTTGGATAGATACATGGGTTCACTGGTTGTGAGCCTGATCCACCACCATAAATTTCCCCATCAGCATTTCACCTGCCGGGTTTGGCAGTCATTAATGTGAAGGGATTAGCATGTGCTACTCCAAAGTATGCTGCTTTAGCATAAGGATTATTTTGAGTAGAAGGCAATTAAGAAGCAGCAGACAGAAGAGGAACTCTCTGTCCTCTCCCTTTCTGCCTAAAGCAGGGTATACATTTCCCATCAGGTAGAGGAGATAACTCAACGCTGGAGACTTGAATCTGCATAAGCAAATCTTGCTAAATAACCCTTTATCTTCCATTAATTTCCCCTGTATATTTTACTTACCTTCCCACAATTTACATCACCTGGATGTCCAAATCCCTTTTTCACCGTTTTGTCACTTTTCCACAATTTTTTTTTTTTTTTTTTTTAGACAGAGTCTCACTCTGTCGCCCATGCTGGAGTACAGTGGTGTGATCTGGGCTCACTGCAACCTCTACCTCCCAGGTTCAAGGGATTTTCATGCCTCAGCTCCTGGGTAGTTGGGATTACAGGTGTGCACCACCACACCTGGCTAATGTTTTTGTATTTTTAGTAGAGATGGGGTTTCACCATGTTGGCCAGGCTGGTCTCGAACTCCTGACCTCAAGTGATCCGCTTTCCTCAGCCTCCCAAAGTGCTGGGATTACAGGCATGAGCCACCATGCCCAGCTTACTTTTCCACGATTTATCACCCTTTGTTAAAACGGTATATGAGCCTCAAGCCTGGCCACTTCTTTAGGTTTTCACTTCTTTTCTGTGAAGCTCCTGGATGCATGCATAATAAGCCTTTTCTCCTGCTAATCTATCTTTTGTTAATTTTTTTTTTTAAGATGGAGTCTCACTCTGTCGCCCAGGCTGGAGTACAGTTGTGTGATCTCGGCTTACTGCTACCTCTGCCTCCCAGGTTCAAGCAATTCTCCTGTCTCAGCCTCCTGAGTAGCTGGGACTACAGGCATGCGCCACCATGCCCAGCTAATTTTTGTATTTTCAGTAGAGATGGCGTTTCACCATATTGGTCTGGCTGGTCTCGAACTCTTGACCTCAGGTGATCCACCTGCCTCGGCCTCCCAAAGTGCTAGGATTACAGGCATGAGCCACTGTGCCTGGCCTCTTTTGTTAATGTAATTAGCATGCCACAGCCACTGAACCTAAGACAGTAGAAAAAAATGTTTTTTTCCTTCCCTACAGATGCTAGCCTACATTCATTATTTTATTAAATTTTGAAAAACGAAAATATTCTATTATTTCTTTTGCATTTATTAGTTTCAAATTCTCGTATAAAGAAAAATTGTGCCAGCTGGGCATGGTGGCGCATGCCTGTAATTTCAACACTTTGGGAGGCCAAGGCCAGAGGATCACTTGAGGTCAGGAGTTGAAGACCACCCTGGGCAACATAGCAAGACACCCATCCTACAAAAAATTTAAAAATATACCAGGTGTGGTGGCTTGTGCCTGTAGTTCCAACTACTCAGGAGGCTGAGGCAGGAGGATTGCTTGAGCCAGGGAGGTGAAGGCTGCCTCCAGCCAAGATCATGCCACTGCACTCCAGCCTCGGTGAAAGAGCAAGACGCTGTCTCAAAAAAAAAAAAAAAAAAAAAAGAGAGAGAGAGAGAAACTGTTTACCCTGAAGTATATAGTTCATAGAGGAAAGTAAGGATGAATCCTTGATTCATTTCCTTTATTTACCAGTTTTTTAAATGAGTTGATTCCCAGAAGCCTCCCAAAGTAATCACTTAGTTTGGCTTTGGTTTTTAGTCCCTTTATGTCCTGGCTGAGTATGACAGGGACTTTTTTTTTTTTTAAGTTCATTTATGAATGCCAAATTCAAAGTTACTTTCCCCAGTTTTCTTACCCTGGTGCAAAACTATCTCCTCCCTTCTGTCAGATTTAAACATATCGTTCTAAGGTATCTAGTGCCTTCTCCCTGGATGCTTCCTTTATCGTAAGTATCAACTGGATCATAACTCCTTGAAGGCCTTCTGCATAGCACTCAACATCATGCCCAAGGCCGTGCTTCTCAAACGTTATTCCACATGTGAATCATCCAGGGGCAGGGGTCTTGTTAAAATTCTGATGCATTAGCTCTGGGTGAGCAGAGCTTCTGCATTTCTAGCAAGCAAGCACCAAGTGATGCTGATGCCGCTGGCTCGGGGACCACACTCTGAGTAGCAAAAGGGTGTGGTAAATGTGAGAAATCAGTTTCATTCATTCAGTTAAGAGGCACCTACTCTGGGTCACTGCATGGACTAGGCCCTACCACTTTACAGTGCAAAGCGTTTTTTTGGTGTTTGTTTGCTTTACTAGAAAGTTTTGATTTTAATTTATTCTTTTGAATATGTAATTTGCACATGGTAAAACATTTTTGTTCATAAAATCCAAAAGGGTACACAGTGAAAGTATCTAACTTTTCAAAAGTTATCACTGTTACTTCTCAAGTTTTATTCCAGATAATAGCAGATAATATGCAGATAATAGCATATATTTGTACCATATCTTTATTTTAACCACATGGCAGCATAATGATCTGCCACTTTCTTTTTTTCATTTTACTCTATCTTGGAGATTGTTTCATAGCTCAGTGTATATCTCTACATCCTGTTGAACAGATGGTATAGTATCCACACAAGATTCATTTGTTGGCCAGGCATGGTGGTTCACACCTGTAATCCCTGCACTTTGGGAGTCCAGTGCAGGCGGATCACCTGAAGTCAGGAGTTCAAGACCAGCCTGGCTGACGTGGCAAAACCCCATCTCTACTAAAAATACAAAAATTAGCCGGACATGGTGGCGGGCACCCATGTAGAAGATGTAATTCCATCTTCTCAGGAGGCTGAGGCAGGAGAATCGTTTGAACCTGGGAAGCAGAGGTTGTGGTGAGCCAAGATTGCACCACTGCACTCCAGCCTGAGCAACAGAGTGAAACTCCGTCTCAAAAAAAAAAAATGCATTTGTTATTGTTTTTATAAAGTATAAAATGAAGAGTGACTACTTCCTGCCTTTTATTAAATAAAGGTTATTTAATAAGATTTGCTTATGCAGATTCAAGTCTCCAGTGTTGAGTTATCTCCTCTACCTGATGGGAAATGTACAGGTCATCCCCAGGGAGAACAGGTGCTATGTCTTCCATTCTTTGAATCCTCTGAATGGCCTGACCCATGTTTGTGCATTTTGTCAATTTCACATGATCTAGCTAGTATACATCTGTCACTCATGTGCACAGCTTGTCTACACTTCACTTTGTCTTTTTCTTTTTGGTTCAGATTGCAGTCTCTCTAGACTCCAATTGTTTCTTGACTGTGTATTCTGTCAGCACTTGCAAATTGATCTGGTGTTCTCTGGCTTTAATAATATGTTATTGTGAAATACAACATGCATAGGTGTGCATAAAATGTACATATTTAAAGAAGAAATGAAACATGATATAGAAGTGGCTTCTGTCACACACCGTCCCCCCTTATCTCCTATGTGCCACTCTCCTATCACATGGGATCTCTCCATCTAAGGGGCAACTACTATCCTGATTCTGGGTTAATCTTAAGTTCTCTGACGTTCCTTTTTGAAGTGGTTCTCAGACTTTAGTGAATCAGACTTGCTTAGAGGGCTTGTCAAAACACAGATTGCTGGGCCCCACCCCTGGTTTCGCACTTAGTAGATCTGAAGTGGGGCCCAAGAATTTGCATTTCTTTTCAGTTCCCAGGGGATCCTGGTGCTGCCAGCGTGGGGACCACACTTTGAGAACTACCGCCTTATCTCAGAGATACTCTTAACTTGTGTATCGTGACTCCTAGTCCCCTGGGGATGCTTTACTCCTCCCCTAAAACCTAGTCACTCGATGGGTGTCCCTTAAGCACCTCCCCTCTTCTTCCTGTACTCCATTTCCTATCACCTAGTTTGTGAGTGCACAATCTTCACTAAGTATTTCAACTGATTGTGGCATTTCACCAGTGTCCATAGTTTTCTTCTCTGTTGGTTATTCCATTTATAGCTTTCCTCTCCTTTGTGTGTATTGGAAGGAAGAGCATAAGCAACTTTTTTTTTTTTTTTGACAGAGTCTTGCTCTCTCACCGAGGCTGGAGTGTAGTGGTACAATTTTGGCTCACTGCAACCTCCGCCTTCCGGATTCAAGCGATTCTCGTGCCTCAGCCTCCTGAGTAGCTGGGATTACAGACATGCATCACCACACCCGGCTCAGTTTTGTATTTTTAGTAGAGATGGGGTTTCACCATGTTGGCTAGGCTGGTCTCGAACTCCTGACCTCATGTGATCCGCCCACCTAATTTTGTGTTTTTAGTAGAGATGGGGTTTTGCCATGTTACCCAGGCTGGTCTCAAACTCCTGACCTCAAGGGATACACCCACCTTGGCCTCCCAAAGTGCTGGGATTACAGGTGTGAGCCACCGTGCCCGGCCAGGAACATTTACATGTCTCATTCACCTGGTCTGTAAGCGCCTTGAAAGTAGGAACCAAGTTTAATTTCCCTTGTAGTCCACTTCCTCGATTAAACTGCAGTTGATGGTTTACAAACGCAGTTGCTTATAAAGGCCAAAGGCAATGTAAACAAGTGAAGCTTGCCAAGTAGAAAGTTCCCTGGAAGCCATGTCCTGTGTAAAGAGGGCAGCTGCTACTTGGCTTTAAGCCAGTCGCAGGTCCACTGTTCTCTAATCTTCCCAGTTTTCAAGAGAAACCAGAAACAATTCCAACTAGTTTAGTATTTTAAGTACACAAATTGGGTCAGAGAAAATACATCTACAGGAAGCAAAACTAAATCCATTTCATGTTTCAAGATCTTTGCAGTGGATGGATGGATGGATGGATGGATGGATGGATGGATGGATGGATGGATGGATGGGTGGGTGGATGGGTGGATGGGTGGGTGGATGGCTGGGTGGATGGATGGATGCGCGAGTGAATGAGTGAATCTGGATCATTGCGGCTGCTCTCTGGTTGAAACTGGGGGAGTAGAGATACACTATCTACTATATGCCTGGCCGTGTGCAAGGGGCTTTATATACTTATGTCATTTGACCTTCATAACAACACCACAGAGTGGTTATCATTCTTATTTATCTCCATACTCATTTCACGGATAAAGAAACAGAGGCTTAGGAAGACTCAAGGTCACGCTGCTAGTTTTCTTTATTTAGAGCCCACCTAATTCCAAAAAAAAAAAGGATTTCAGATGGGCTCATGTGATTGAAGCTGGGTCCTGAACTTTGGATTTCAGATAGCTCTGTTACACAAAATCGCCACTACAAAGGGAATCAGGTTTTCAGAAGGTAGGTAAGGGGGAATGCCAACAGGTCAGGGAGTAGGTTTGATTTGTGAAAGGAAAATAAAAACTTGGGACCCCAATTCACTCTGTCGAAAGGAAAAAAGATAAGCCGAAAGCTGAGACATGCCAGAAGCTGCCTTTCCTTTTGTTCCTAAACAGATAGCTACAGGTAAAAGGTTAACTATCTCAACAGATAGCTATTCTATGTTCACCATATCTTATGTAAACTGCTGGATTTACTGAGCATGAGACAAATATATAATGGACTATTCCCCTACCTGCTCCTTTTCTCTTATAACATGTGGATTCAGTGATGTGACCATTCCCTCCCTCTTTCCCCGCTTTTCCCCTTTAAATACTGAAGCTCTCAAAATCATCTTTGGAGAAAGGCACAGACCACAGACTGTTCCTCTGATTCTGTATTTTTTTCTCCCCGGCATTGTCCTTAACCTTGGCAAAATAAACTTCTCAATTGATTGAGACCTGTCTCAGATACTTTTTGGGTTACAAATTGGCAACCCGTGAATGGCCTCTGAATGGAGGTGGCCCTGACCTCTGACAAATCTATCGTTGCTTGGTACTGGTTTGAGCTGTCTTTATTGCTCAAACCAACAGGACAGTTTTCTGGGTCCAGGAGCTCCCCCTTAAGAGAATGAGACCTGTCTCAGATACCTTTTGGTTTAGAGATTCCCTGAGCATCTTACTAAGCAAGTCATAGCTTCATGCTCCTCAAGGATCCCAGCCAACACTAAGGAGCTAAGACACAAGGGGGTCTCTTGCCATCTTGGTGTGTCCTTTCTATTTCCTCCTGTCTCCCTACTTACTCTCCTCTTGGAAGTCAAGATTTCTACCTATCAGCCTTGGGGCTCATTCCATCTTAATTCCTTTGTAAAGCCCAGTAGGAGGACAGAGACGCAGATACAGGAGCTGTTGGATGGAAAATGTTTTATTGGAGTTCCTGAGGCAGGAAAGAGTTATGGTAGGTTGAGAATCAGCGCTCACGCTAGCCCCCTCTTCCAGTGGAGGTCATGGTCACTGGGCATCAGGAGTTGCGCTCCTCAGTCCTTTCAGCTAGAGGGAGAGGGGTCAGGGTTAGATGGGGAACCCGTGGGTGCCCAGTATAGGATGGCATGGATGGAAAGGAATTTCTGCCTCGGTGTGAGTTCCCGTTCTCCTCTATATGTAGTAGCTAAGACCTCCCTTCAGTTTGGTGAGAAGGCTGATCCTCCTTTCCCTGTCCCCACTCTCTCTCCCATATCTTCTGCTTCTTCCCTTACCCCCAAGCTCCATACCCTCCTAATGCCCACACCTCTTACCTTAGGAAAGGCATCCCAGTTGAGGAAAGGAAGTTTCCTTTTGATAGACTAAAAGAAAGAAAGAGAAAGAGAGTGATGTGTTGCAGGTCAGCCGGGCATGGATGGGTAAGCATTCCCTTAATGAACTCCCACAGTAACCATAGTAACAATAATGTCATTATTTTGTCATTACTTTATCAAGAGCTAATATTTCCTGAGGCCTTAGTCTGTGTCTGCCTTGCACGGGCTGCTCTACAAGCATGATTTCAGTGGGTTTTTACAGCAACCTTTTGTGGTGGGAATTGTCATCATCCCCACATCACAGAGGAAGCGGAGGCCGAGGGAGCTGAAGGCGTTCGCATGAGGCCATGTGAGAAGTCAGTGCAGAGTCAGGAGACGCGGGCCCCAGCTCTGTCGCTGACTTTGCCTTCTAAGTGCGGGTGGGCCTCAGTTTTTCCATAGAGGATGAGGGGATTCAAATAAAATCTTGACCGATTAGCCTCTTCCTCTTCTGCAATTGTCCTTGGGGCCCTGCTCCTCCACCACCATCTTAGGAAAACACGGGTAGCCAGGACTGGCGCCGGGGGAAGCTTTCTTCCGTTGACAGCCCATTGGGCAGCATCCAGGCAGGACAGTCACTCCCTCCCAGAGATCAGGAACCAACCCATACATTTAAAGCCAAAATGTGTGGCCACTACCCTGGGATGACTGCAGACAACCGAGGAGGGCAAGGGGCGCCGGAGCACTCACCTCAAAGAGGGCGTGCCAGTTCAGGAACTCATCAGCCTTAAACGCCTGAGGAGGAAGAGAGACAGCAGAAGCAGGTCAGCTCCAGGGGAGGCCAGAGCTTAGCCCCCAGCCCTCTGGAGAAGGTGAAGGAACCGTGGCAGCTTTGCAAGCTCTCTACCAAGGCGTTTATCCCCTCTGTGATGAGGGTATTCGTGGGGGTAGCACCAGAGAAGCGTACTCACAGATCGCAATTTGTCGATGTTCAGGAACGGGGTGTTAAAGGCCTAGGCAGAAACGCAGGGTGTTAGGAAAGTTGCTAAGAAGCAAAAAGAGAGAGAGGACAGACTCGTGGCTGGAGGGCCGGGGAAAACAGACGGCTTACCTCGGGTCGTGACGCATAATTCTCAATGGTGCTTTCTTCCTGGAAAAGGAGAGGGAGAAAAGGCGGCAGGGGGTCACGTGATGCCAGGGCCCTTGCCCACATCCCTGTCTGCCAGCTCTGCCTTCATCCACAGCCCAGTCCCCGAAAGAACGCAACCCATTCCCCACCATGGTCTCCGTTCCAGTCGCGCACATGGTTGGCGGATGTGCAGGGTGAGGAGGGGGAATTGGAGAATGGTACATGTAAGCAGTGTCACCATGGGCAGCAGGCAGAAAGCCTGGAGCCGAGCATTCCTCTCCGGAAAAGCTAGCTAGTGCTGTCCTGCAGTTGACTTAAGTCTAAGAGGTGGGGTGTTCTGGAGACACCCACGCTCAGTCCGTATAGCTGGATGGGAAAGATTTGCGAGCAGGTGGGAGCCCAGCTGCTGAGGTGACCCGCCTGCCTCTCACTGATCGAGGTTGCTTTGCTTTGTGGATTTATTGCCACCACTGTTGGAGGTTCCATAATCCCCCTCCATGGGGACCCCACCCCAGGCCTCAGTGTGTCCCATCGTGTCTTCCCCATGACAGAGCCCAACACGGAGCCCGCAGGCTGGATCCAGATGCTTAGATCTCATAAAAATTTGGTCATTTGTTTTTTGGTTTGAATTAGACATTTTGAATTAGTAAGAATTCATAAATTCATCCAGATTTCTAGTTTCCCCTGAAAAATGTAAAACTCTAGGCACATCTTCCCAATCCATGGCGTCAGGTGGGGTGAAAGCTGCCCTTTCAGACTGGGAAAGTTGGCCCCATTTCACCTCAGGCCCTGACAGCCCCCCCAGCTCAGTGACACCACTGGCTTGGTCCTTAGCAGCTGAGCCTGTGCCCCTGTCTTAGACTTTTAAATCCGGAATAGGCATCAGGATTCCTCTCTGGCTGAGGACTGGATGGTAAAGATTCTCACTGTGGCCTATGCTCCAGAGACAGCAGGGAGCCACCCGTCACCTGGGCACCACTCCCAGGGGCACAAATGAAGCAAAGAGGAGCTAAGCAGGGGTGTCTCCAGAACACCCCAGCCCCACTCCTCTTTGAGTTAAGTCAGCTGCAGGCAGAACTAGCTAGTTTTTTGCTTTGCTTCACCCTCTCCACCTGCTGCCCATGTGGATGCAGGCCTGGGTTTGGAGCTGCTCTGCCTCACATTGCCGTTCTCCAGTTCCCCCTCTTCCCCTGCACGTCCCCAGGCATGTGTGCAGCTGGAACGGAATGGGTGAACACTCTTGAGAGCCCATGGTGGAGATAGTCTGAACCCAGACCACCCACTCAGTCCCAAGGTTCAGTACACGAGCCTCCCCAACACACTTCACCATCCCTTCCAGAAAGAGGAGCATCTCTGTCCCAAATGTCTCCCCAGGGATGCTCTGTTCCCTCCTCCCTTCCTCAGAGCCCCAGTTTCTTCAGCCCCCATCAGAATCCAAAACTAAGAGCCACTTATCCAGGAATGGACAGGAGGTAGAGAGATGGAGGGGTAGGTGGGTAACACGTATAAGAATAAAAATGCAGGTGACGTGCTCACCTCAGGACCACCCAGGGTGGCTCCCTGGGCAGAGTGGAGCACCAGGAGGGAGAGGAGCACCACGGCAGGAAGGACCGGGATCTTCATGGCGTCAAGTTTGGGGTGCTCTGAGGCGGGGCCTCAGTGCTTGCTCTTTATATTGCCAAGGAGGCAGATGAGCACAGAAATGGGGTCCCCACCCCACTGACTCACCCCCAGATCTTGTCGCCCACCCCCGGGGCTCTGGGAGGGGGAGGCATGGACTGTTCCTCATTTGCCTCGGATTTCTCAATTCGCATTCTGCCCCAGGCACGTGGAAGGTAACACTGCAATGGGTCTCTTCATGCAGATGGGGCTGGGACAGAGACAGGTTGGACCTGTCCCTCCAAGGGATTGGCAGTGGTACCCAAGCAACCTCTCCTTTTGTCTTTGTCTCTTTTCGTTATATCCCTCATTCCTCTCTTAGAATTCAGGCTTTTTCTTTTCTTTTCTTTTCTTTTTTTTTGACAGGCTCTCACTCGTTGCCCAGACTGGAGTGCAGTGGTGTGATCACAGCTCACTGCAGCCTTGACCTCCCAGGCTCAAGCAATCCTCCCACCTCAGTCTCCCTAGTAGCTGGGACTAGAGGCACGCATCACCTCACCTAGCTAACTTTTTTATTTTCTTGTAGAGATGTTGCAGCTTTTTTTTTTTTTAATTTTCTCGTAGAGATGAAAATGTCTCGCCATGTTGCCCAAGCTGGCCTCAAACTCCTGGACTCAAGGGGTCCGCCTGCCTTGACCTCCCAAAGGACTATAGGTGTGAGCCTGCGCTCCATGCTCATTCAGGCCTTTTCTTCCACCCTACCAAAATCTATGTAAACTCTTTAGCTTGGCATTGAAGGTGGTCCATGCTCTGAACTCAACCCACCTTTATAACTTCTTCCTTTACTAGCTTTGTACATACCTCACATTCTGGCCAAATTAGACCCCTTACCAACTATATCCTTCTTTTTCCCTCTTCAAAGCATCCGGCCATGCTGTTCCTTATTCCTAACATGGCCTTCTCTCATCTCCAGTTCTCAGAACCCAACACTCATCTTGGATGAAGCTTCCCAGATTTTTCCTGCAATGCCCAGTCCTTCTCTCCACACCTTTCCTTTCACAGAATTCCCATATTCATTCGTTTGTATGTCTCTGGCATTGTATCTAAGTAAGTCATGTTCTCGCCTTGTTTCCCTTTTAGAGTATCAAGTTCCTTGAGGTCAGGAGCTGTATCTTGATCAGCTTTACATCCCCCTAGAACCATGGCTCACACAGAACCCAGGTAGAGTCAGCATTGGTCAGATATGATACGTTAGACTTAGTATTCAGGCATCCTTCAGCCACAGTGTACATTTTCCTTTCATGGGGCTGAACCTTTCCATTTTCCAACTGCCCGTCTTTTACTCTTGGGTCTTCAGAGAAATGACTGTCTTGAGCTAAGATGACAAGGAACAGGGAACAAAAAACAGCTCTTAGGGTGCCCAGTTGGAGATGGGATCCAGGTACCCTGAACCTGGAGTGCCCACTCCATGTCATTGCCCTAACCCACCTTGCCCCACCCCCAGTTTGGAAGTTGGATCACCTCACTGTGACACAATGTCCTAGTCAAGCAGCCTTCTCCACAGTGAGGTTCAGGTGGCCAAACCGGCTCCTGCTGTAACAGGGAGGGGCTGGGACATGGACCGGCGCTGTCAGGGAAAAGCAAGACCTTATCAACACAACCTGATGCAATGCACGGTGGCGGTGGCCCTGGGTGGGAGGGCTGGACGGCATCCATGAACAACCTTTACGAACCCCAGAAGCTGGGCACCTCAGCTCCATCCTCACGCTGCCCCCACACCCCAGTCCCAGACATCCTCTTCAGCCTCCTCTGATTTTATAATGGCAGCTTCCCCTTTGCAGAGCTACCTGAGGGAACACTGCTTAGAGAACACTCCCTTAGCCCAGATGGCCACACAGTAGTGGATGTCACAGAGTTGGTGCTCCTGGAGGGGACGAGTTAGAGAATGACTGAGGTGGGTGGAGCACCTCCCAAAAGGTTTTCTGGAGGACACAAGTTCTGTGTAATGAATCCTTGCTAATTAACGAACAGTGACTGAAAAAGCTCATTAGCCACCATTCCATCCGCATAGGGTCGACTCCAGGGAGTGAAGAATCAGACAAAAGAGAACTGATGTTGTATAACCAGCTACGATTTGACAGGCGGGTGAGGGGACCCAGTGCCAGTTTTGGCCTGGGTGATCTAGAGCATCGGTCAATCCAACGCTGTCTTCTGTTTTGCTCTAGAGTCTAATCTGTGATTTTCCTTTGACAATAAATTGCCCTCCCTATGTTTTCCTCTCCACCCGATGGTATTGATAACAATGTTAGCTGAGTTACTGAGGCTTACTATATGGCAGACCTTGTACTAAGTGCTCCAAATACGCGATCTCATTGAAATGTCCCAGTGATTCTGACACAGGTGGGTACTATAATTATTCACATTCTATAGGCGGGGGAACCACAGCATATAGAGGTTAAATAACTCACCCCAGGTCACACAGCCAGAATGTGACAGGACCAGCATTAGAACGCTGGGCTTCCAGAGCCTGAACCTATATTGCTCCTCTCTATGCTGGACAGGCTATGTTACAGCACATGTAACACCCTGTGTGAATTAGACCCATGTCCTGAGAGTGGGGGGCAGACTGCATCGAACCCCCACAGGTCCCCTTTACAGTGTCCATTGTGGTGCATAGCCTGCACCATCAGAGGTGGCAGCCCCAAGCATAGGTGCATTCATTTAAATGAATCAAACTGCACACTCTTGACAAAATGAAAACGAAGAATGAAGGTTAGTGGCATCAGCCCCCGAATGAACCTGTGATTGCCTCCGTTTCCAGATGCCTCCAGTAGTATAATCATCTTGCCACACCAAGTATGTGTTTACAGATAGGGTTCCGTTTCTGGATCTAGTGTTCAACATTCTGCTGTTTAAAAATAGGTACTTTTTGTATCATACCTCTAAACACAGGCCAACTGCTTTGTGTGCTCAACCAAAGAAATTCTCTTCCTATGCTGGAAAAAAAGCTGTCTGTGTTGGACTCATGATTTGTTTCCACTTGGCATCTTCCTGGCACCTTCTGAGGGTAGTTTTTTGGGGTTTTGTTTGTTTGTTGTTTTTTGTTTTTGAGACAGAGTCTTGCTCTGTTGCCCAGGCTAGAGTGCAGTGGTATGATCTCGGCTCACTGCAACCTCCACCTCCCAGGAGGAGTGATTCTCCTGTCTCAGTCTCCCGAGTAGCTGGGATGACAGGCGTGCGCCGCCACACCCAGCTAATTTTTGTATTTTTAGCAGAGACGGGGTTTCACCATGTTGGCCAGGATCGTCTCAAATTCCTGACCTCAAGTGATCTGCCTCGGCCTCCCAAAGTGCTGGGATCACAGGAGTGAGCCACGGCGCCCAGCTAGTTCCATCTTGACGTGATTTTTGCTGTAAGCGGCCAACTTTAGAAGCCAGTGTCTCTCTCCAAACTCCTCCCTCTTCCTCCATCTACGCTGCCTGAGTAGTTTGTGTTCCCTGAGTTGGGTTGGGCAGATGGGGAAAGAGAGGGGCAGGGAGTTCTCCCTGGGAGAGGGTCCCAGCAGTTCAGGTGATGGGCTGCAGGAAAATCTGCCCGATACGCAGCTCAGCTTTGGATGAATCACGGAGGGTTAATGGAGTCAGGCAGCCGCAGAGACTGGCTCTGCAACATCACATCTCCAGGTCGGCTTGACTTCCTAGCTCCCTCACTGAGAATACCAGTAAACCTCTGTTTTCCCACAGGCCTGCCCCCACCCCACCCCAAATCTGCCAGAACTTGAGTGTGGGTAGGAGGCGAGGCCCAGCCTGGATTGCCCCATTGTGAGACACACCTAGGGCCTGGCAGCCAGCCTCCTGGGTCTAGGGAGGGAGTGGGGATTCCAAGAGAGAGACACTAGGTTTTCGGGGCCTTGGCGAACACTAGGTGGGAAGCCGGGAATCCTGGGAGAGAGAGGGGACTGGGATGTGGAGTATTAGGGGGCAGAACTCAGGGCATCCCTGTCCCATCCCTTCCTCCCTCCGTCGGTGTTGTCACAACCAAGAAAGCAGCCTCATCCACCAGCAGGTGTGGTTTCTTCCTTTGCCGCCCACCCTATGTGCCCGGTGCTTAAACCTCTCCCAGGAAGTCTTCCTGGATTGGTCCCACTTAATTCCAATCCCTCTCTCCATTGGCTAATTTGTAAATATTTATTTGGCTCTTGGTACTGGGGGCTGTAGATGGACAAAAGACCTGCCCTACAGATCCCATGTCCTAGCGAAGGAGACATCATAATGTAACCAAAAATAGATACGCAAACAAGATGACTTCAGAGAAGGACAGGTGCTGCGAAGAAAACGGGGCCATATGATGCTGACAGGGTTTCCTTGGTCGATGGCCTGAGGGCCGAGTGCGGTGGCTCGCACCTGTAGTCCCAGCACTTTAGGGGGCTGAGGCAGGAGGATCACTCAAGCCCAGGAGTTCCAGACCAGCCTGGGCAACATGGCAAGACCCCGTCTCTATTAAAATACAAATTTTAAAAGGTGGCCCAGGGAGGGACATTTGAAATTAGTCCTAAAAGCAGATGAAGCTCTGGCTTTCTGAAGACCTTGGTAACAGCCGCCCATGTTCCCTGATGGCCTGTGCCAGTAGGCCCAGAGGGACGTTAGAGAGGGAGGCCAGGCCCATCGCATAGAGCCGTAGTGAGGAATGGGGATTTTATTCCAGGGCTAATGAGAAGCTGGTGGTAGGTTCCGAGCAGGGGCTCCTTCTAGGGCGTTGTGGAAGAACGGGATCTAAAGAATAAGATGGAAGTTGGGGATTCAGGAGGTCACTGGAGGAGCCCTGAAGGGAGAAAGGGGTACCCACCCTTCACTGGAGGGCCCCTCATGCCAGGGGACCTTAGCCTGCCTCGGGTGTCACTCTAAGCTTTCAAGAGCCGCTTTCAGCTCTTTGGGCCAAGAACATCTCACGAGCCAAGAACCGTGTTGCTCACCTCCGCGTCTCCCCCGGTGCCTCAGTGACTGGGCTGAGGAGACTTCAGCTCCCCACGGGTTTCCACCCCCACCCACGCTCCGGGAAGCTCTCTGTGCAGCGAGGACGGAGCGTCCTCCCTGGGAGGGCCCCGCGCTCTCCCCCCTGTGGCCTCTAGGAGGTACTGCAAGGCCCTCCTATGGCGTTGAACTCCGGAGGACAAGTGCAAACCAGCATCAGGATTTCAGGACCCAGGAGAGAAGGGAGGCCAAGCAGAGGAGCGGCCCTCCCAGGCAGGCCGACTGGGTCAGCTCGGTCTCCTCAAGTCAGTTTTGGGCCGGGTTTCTTTCACGTATACATGCACTGTTTGAGGCCCTGTGCCTGTCCTGTGGGTGGAGAGTGACCTAGGCAGATGGGGGCCATGCCCTCAGGGAACTCAAACCTGGAGGGAGTCACTTAGGCTGGCAGGGCGCCTCCTGTCCACCTTTTACTTCCTGTCCCCTGCAGGGATCCCAGGGGGACAAAGGGGTGGGGGATCCTTAATCCGGGCATGTTGGACCAGCTTGGTGGGACTTAGGGGCTCCTACTGCAGACCCCCAGCCCAGTCCCAAGGGCTCTTCAGCGTGGGATAAGCCTGGCTCAGCCTGCGCCGCAGCCTCTCCTGTTTCATTGGTACAGTGATGGGGTGGAAGTGTTCTGCCTCCCTCCCTCTGCATCCTGGAAACACAGGGCAGTCAGTGCCCGTGATAAGGCCCTGGGTTAGATCCAGTGCCCCCAACTTCCTAAGCGCGTCTCCCCAACCACGCCCCCATCCCCACGGCAGCCTGTCCATGTGGAGAAGCACAGTCTCTATCAGCACCTCGCTCCTGTTTCCTGCCCTCTCCCTGACCTTCTGGGACTGACCTCCCGTTTTGAACAACCTCTTTCCCCCTGCTCCTGACTTGAATATTTCCATTGTCGCTTTTTCAGGCCAACAAAACACCTGTGGCTGCTTCAAGTGCAAAAAGAACAGTACTCAGGCCGGTCGCAGTGGCTCACGCCTGTAATCCCAGCACTTTGGGAGGCCGAGGCGGGCGGATCACGAGGTCAGGAGATGGAGATCATCCTGGCTAACACGGTGAAACCCCGTCTCTACTAAAAAATACAAAAAATTAGCCGGGCGTGGTGGCGGGCGCCTGTAGTCCCAGCTACTCGGGAGGCTGAGGCAGGAGAATGGCGTGAACCTGGGAGGCGGAGCTTGCAGTGAGCGGAGATCGCGCCACTGCGCTCCAGCCTGGGTGACAGAGCGAGACTCCGTCTCAAGAAAAAAAAAAAAAGAACAGTATTCAAGCCGGGCATGGTGGCTTCCGCCTGTAATCCCAGCAACTTTGGGAGGCTGAGGCGGGTAGATCACCTGAGGTCAGGAGTTCAAGAACACCCTGGCCAACATGGTGAAACCCCATCTGTACTAAAGATACAAAAATTAGCCAGGTGTGGTGGCGCATGCGTGTAATCCTAGCTACTCAGGAGGCTGAAGCAGGAGAATTGCATGAATCCAGGAGGCGGAGGTTGCAGTGAGCCGACATCGTGCCACTGCACTCTAGCCTGGGCCACAGAGTGAGATTGAGTCTCTAAAAAAAGAATGGTATTCAGATATAGGTTGGGCAATGATTTTTTTTTTTAACAGATGAGGAAACTGAGGCACAATGCAGGCTTCTTGTCAGAAATAAAACCCAGGTCTCATCTCTCTCAGCCTCTGTGCTTTATACCAGTTTCAGGCAGAAGGCAGATTAGCTGCCCCTGAATCACTCTTCCATCCTCCCTGAGCCAGGCCATCAACATAGCATTAAAGAATAAAATTTGAGAAAGTCGTAGGGAAACAAGATTCATGTTTTATTTCCACAGAGAAACTCAAAAGTAGGAAGCTCCTCCTTCCTGGAGAACTGTCACAGTGACTTCAGGTCACCAAAGGGAGGAGGTACAGAAAGATGCTGGTGTATGTGACGAGGCTGGTGGCCACTGAAGCACCACAGTGCAGTGGGAAGAAACAAGGAGAGACAAGCTGGGTCCCCAGCCTAGGAAACAGAGGTGTGGCAGCCGGGCCAGGGCTGGCACAGGCTGGGGGCCAAGGGGAGGAGCTCCCTGACGACCAGTGCTTTTCGGGGCCTCGGTGGTGGTTGCAAGAAATTGCCTAGAAGAAAGAAAATCAAATGGTAGCACGTGGCCACTCCTAAGCCTGCGGAAACGGGGCATCTTTTCACCCAGCGTCTGGGCACCCACCATTCTTTTGCTGTCCTACCTGTTCGCCTGTGGTGCCCCTCACTTTTGCTCCGCCTAAAACAGAGTTTGTGGTTCTGCCGAGCCAAGCTATCACCTCTCGCCCATGCAGCCTCGCTGCGTCCCACCTCTGAACCCTTCCACCAGGAGGCTCTTTTCTCCACAGTTCCCCTGTAACATCTCTATCCCGGTCCCTGTGCTCCATCTAGAACACCATCTTCTCAGAGCTGTGCCTATGTGGTCCCACCCTAAGGTGCTTTCCGAGGGTCCTAGGTCATTTTCTTTCTTCTTTCTCTCTTGCTTGCTTTCTTTCCCTCTTTCTCTCTCTCTCTCTTTCTCTCTTTCTTTCCAGACAGGGTCTCCCTCTGTTGCCCAGACTTGGAGTGCAATGGTGTGATCATAGCTCACTGCAGTTTTGAACTCCTGGGCTCAAGCGATCTTCCTGCCTCTGCCTTCCAAGTAGCTAGAACTACAGGCATGTGTCACCATGCCTGGCTAAGGTTTTTCATTTGTTTGTTTGTTTGTTTTGAGACAAGGTCTCACTGTGATTGCCCAGGCTGGAGTGCAGCGGTGCAATCGCAGTTCGCAGCAGCCTCAACCTCCCAAGCTCAGGTGATTCTCCCACCTCAGCCTCCAGAGTAGCTGGGATTACAATCATGCACCACCTCACCTGGCTAATTTTTTGTATTTTTAGTAGACGGGGTTTTGCCATGTTTCCCAGGCTGGAATGGTTTGTTTTGTTTTGGTTTGTTTTGTTTTGTTCTTTTAGAGATGGGGTCTTGCTATATTGCCCAGTCTGGTCTCAAACTCCCAGACTCAAGTGATCCTCCCACCCCAGCCTCCCAAAGCACAGAGATTACAGGCATGAGCCACTGCACCCAGCCCTAGATCACTTTATTATGGGTCTTTCTCCACACCCCACCATGAGGTCCCCTCTTCCTTATCACCTTTAGAGCACGCACCCAGAGCATACCTGACTTCATGTCGCTGCCCACTGAGATCTGAGGATATACCAAGATCCTGGCCCTGCCCCGGGTGACTGTGCCTCCACTGCCAGGATGTGGCCTGGGTCGGCTCACTCTGACACTCACCTACCAAAACTTCACCCACTGCAGCAGGCCAGGTTGCACCCGGGAAGCCTGCCAGAAAAAGAGAAAGTCTGAGTGGCCACCACAGGGTCCCTTCCATACCCTCTGGCCTCAGGCCCCTTCTCTCTCCAGCCAGATGAAGATCAGGCCCCCATACTCACCGAGGAAGAAGGTGAGACTCCCCCCTGCAAAAAGATCAAAGGAAAGTGATGTGGGGTCATGGCCTCCCTGTACTCTGCCATGGCCTCCACGCTCATGAAGGGCCCAGCAGCAAGGGCAGGCTCACACCAGGGCTATCACCAAGGTTTTCCAGTCTGACTGTGGACATTCAGGCTGTGGAGTTGGTTTCACAGCACGTTTATCATCCTGAGTGCACTTGATCCAAGATGATATTGAACATGGTTCCTGGGCACGTACTGACCAAGGGGGTCAAAAGAGCATAGGCCTCGCTTTGGCCTGCCAGGTAGGGAGACACTGACCACAGATAACCCGGCAGAGTGGAAGCCACAGATAACTCAGCAGAGTGGAAGCCACAGGCAGTAGAAGCTGCATGTCCCTCCTCTCACCAGCCTGTAGTTTCTCGTCCCTCAGTGGAAGGTCCTCTCCCCAAGGGCGGGGACTTTATTGTCATGAGAGATGGAAATACACAGCCTGCTGTTGCTTTGTCAGCCAAATTTGTACTTAGCATATTCATTTACTGATGTTATGAGATTGCCTTCTTTGCAACGGAATAAAACCAAATTCTCACGTATTTTTTCTTTTCATTTCCTTTGTGGAATAAAGCATTCATTTCACCGCCAACCAGGCATCCACAGGCCGGCCTCCCCTAAGTGCTAGTCTGCTTTCCTCGCCCTCCATTCCATCTTCCCCCGCAAAAAAAGGTCCACAGAGAGGGAACCTGTGAGGAAGAGCTGCTTGCGTGTTTTGCAGGTGTCATGATTTTTTAAAGCCTATATTCTTCTTGGAGAGGGTGTTGGTTCTCAGTTTTCTCTGTTGCTGCTGCTGCTCCTTTTTAACCTTTTCTGACTGGGTGGGTGTGAGGCGCATTGAACCCTCCTGCCCTCCACTTCCAAACTGTCTCAGGGAACCCGAGTCTCCCTTGCAAAGGGGTGGGGAGGCCTGGACTCAAAGAGAGCGGGATCCGGCCTCCGGCAACCAACCGAGAGGACCCCGGCAGTGAAAGCCTCTCTCCCCATCCCTCATGCAGAGCCCCCAGCGGGAAGACAGGGTGGTTGCCGGTCTCACCTTTGCAGGGGTCTTGACTGAGTACTTCCCACCATAGGCAGTGGGATACGCATGCTGGTTGTAATTGTAGTTCTGTGGAAGAAGTGGGCATGGCGGTTAGAACAGACGGACGAAGGCCATTTTGCTCTGGAATAAACATCCCACCTTCCTGCCTGGACCAGACCTTTCCTAAAACACCTGCCTGCTCCCCTCCTTGTGTCACGTGTTTTCTTTTATACAATCTCCTCCAGCCAGCCAGGGCCCCCACCCTCACCTGCCTTTACTGTCCTAGCCCAAATGGCCGCCGCCTCCTCCTCCTACTCCTCCTCCTGCCCTCAAGACCTCTGCCAACTCTTCAAGTGTTACTTGGGAGGTGAGGGTAGGAGACCAAGAAAAGAAGTGCCAGGACGTAACCCAGCGGGTCCATGGTAGATGTCTCACCTTGGAAGTTACAGCTGCCACCTCCTGCCATCCTGCACCCGGCTGAGAAAGCCATTGAATGGAGGAGTGAAAGAGAATTTCAGATTGCCCAGACCCGGGAGCAAGGCCAAGGGGGACCAAGGGCCCTGCAGGGTAACTTGAGGACAGAGACTCACCTGATCGTCTCTGCCTGCACGTTTCTGCAGTGATGACGCGTCCGCACCCTGAAAGGAAGAAGGGGCCACAGTTCGTGCCTCCGCAGTCGTGCGGGCATTGCCGGGCTTTCAGAGCCCCAGTTTCTCCCTCACCCCACCCCTTTCCACGTGCTACCTATAGAGAAGGCAGTGAGCCTGGAGGAGCTGATGGCCCAGATAGATAGAAGACAGATATCCACACTCAGCATTGGGAGCCAGGGAGAGAACCAGGTTTGGCAACACCTTCCCCACCCATGCCGTGGGAGAGTTGGCAGCCCCAGCCTAAGACTGAGCTAGAACAAGTGAGCTGCAGCCATGCAGGCTCCTCTGGGGCAGACGCAGGCACTGCAGCCCAGCCCACCTTCTGCCTGCACCAAGTCCTGCTGCTATGCCCGTAGGCCCTTAGTCCCTGCACACCGACGCCATGCCCCACAGGGTGCTTGAAGGAGGGGTTGTTATCTGCAGAAGCTGCGTGCTTAGGTTAGCTCTGGACCACAGGAAGCAAAAGAAGAGAAATACAAGAAAACAGATAAAGCAACTTAAGACACTGCAGATGCACCGGACACCCCCCCCAGCCCCAGCGCAAGAGGAGAAACTCTAAGCGTTGAAAAGAAGTTCAGTTCCTGCCATCACGGCTTCTCCACTTGGACCGTCCGCCCTGCCACACACACACACAGAGTGACAGTGAAGTCCTGACTCCAGCATTAATTCTGCCTTATCCATACCTGACCTTGAACCTAAACCCCACTGCAAGCCCTAACCCTGAGGTCACAAACTGGTTGACCATGGGCCTCCAGATATTTTTTGCTTGGTCTACTTAAAAATTAAATTAGTTACAGTTAGAGATCAGCATCCTGGTTCTTCGTGAAACATCAGACAACACGCCACCCTGTTCACACATGCATGCATGACTGCACTTAGCTGGAGCGCCTCGACCTCCCCCTTTGCAGGGCCCCACCTGTCCAGCCTCATATACTTGGCACACGTAGACACGGGAGCAGGCAGCCTTTGTCTCAGTGCCCACGGGTCCTGTTTCTCAAAGGCTACTGGCCATGCAGAATTGGAGTGTGGTCTTTGGCACCGCCCAGAGGTTCTCCCCATCCTCCCTGACCCAGGTCTTCAGACCCTCAGCAGCTGCCTCCACTAGACAGGGACCTGACCCCTGCACACCGCCCTCCCGTTCCACCTCAGCTGTCCTCCCCATGCCGCAGCCTAGGCCCCTTCTTCCCCTCAATACGATCTCCCCGCACCTGTGCACCCTGCGGTACCCACCCAGCCGTGGCTCCCCTGGGTCCAGGCCAGGCCCAGCAGGAGCAGGAGCAGAGCAGAGGCAGTGGCCGGCTTCATGTTCATGTGCTTGTGGAGGCCCCAGCCCTCGGCCTCGGCTTTTATGCTAGGGAGGTCCTCCCACCCTGCTCCTCAGTGACTCACGGCTTCTCCCTCTCACCCCGCCCCCACTCGGGATTGCACAAAGCCTGGGAAAGTGGGAAGGGAGGGGAAGAAACTGGGACAGACACCTGGGTCAGCGGCTCGCCCAGGGCCCCGAACCCTGTGTCCCAGAGCTGAGAAGTCCTGCCCCCCTTACCTCAATAATTGCTTTCCAGTTGAGGAAAGGAGTGTTCTGTTTGAAATCCTGCAGGGAGAAGGAGGGCAGAGTGGGCCGGGGAGGCAGAACCCACGGGGTGGTCTATGCAGCAAATTGGGGGGATTCCAGATCTCGGGTAGGAAGGAGCTTTTGGGTGTGGCTTGGGGTTGGAGGAAGGTAAGCACGTGGGAGATTGAGGGTGTCAGCACTTGAGATGGTATTGGTGATAAGATTTGGTGATAAGATTTGGATGAGCTGTCTCAAAAATGAAGAGGGGGAGTTGGCTGGGCGCGGTGGCTCACGCCTGTAATCCCAGCATTTTGGGAGGCCGAGGCAGGTGGATCACGAGGTCAGGAGATTGAGACTATCCTGGCTAACATGGTATAAACCCTGTCTCTACTAAAAATACAAAAAAAAAATTAGCCGGGCACGGTGGCAGGCGCCTGTAGTCCCAGCTACTCGGGAGGCTGAGGCAGGAGAATGGCGTGAACCCAGGAGGCAGGAGTTTGCAGTGAGCCGAGATAGTGCCACTGTACTTCAGCCTGGGTGATAGAGCGAGACTCTGTCTCAAAAAAAAAAAGGGGGGGAGTTTTGAAACAGGTGGTTGGAGCAGAGGGTGGCTGCCTTGAGGGAGGCTTGGGGAGAGTCAGGAGGGCCAGGCCCCCAGTTCTTCAAACAGCAAGAATTCTCCTACCTCCCAGAGTCGGCTGAAGTAGAGGAGGGCTCGGGTGCTGGGGGGCGGGACCTGGTTCTGTGGATGAAAGGCGGGGAGCAGGTTAGCAGAGAGCCTGGGCCCACTCACCCACCCCTCCTCCTGCTACTGCCCTATCTCAACCTTCAGAATGTCATTGTGACTAAGGTTGGGGATGGGAGGAGCTGAGAGTCTTTAGGGACACCAGGAAACCATTTTGGGAAACACAGGGAGAGAGAGAGGCACTAACCAACTCTCCCTGTCCCAGAGCATACAATGTTTTCTATCCCAAGTTCCCCAGCCTCCAGCAGAACCTAATTCTAGCAAAACCTCAAGACTAGGACCTGCCTCAGAGTGTCCCCTTTCCACCTGCCGGGCCTCCTCCAGCCCGTTTCCCGAAGCTGTGGGGCTGCAGCCACCCCTTCCACACCACCCTGGATAACAGCGGAGACGTAAGAAAGGAGCAGAGGCCAGGAGTGTGGGGCAGCTAAGGTTTATTTCAAGGGCAAGGGCTGAGATTAGTGATGAGAGGGTGGTGTTTTAAGGAGGGAGTGTGGGGGCTCCCATCCAATCTGGTGGCTCCTTGTCTGGAGGTCACGGGATGCGAGAGCTTCTCTGGTCCTGGGCAAAGAAACAGGTTTTTTTTTGTTTTTTTTTTTTTTTTTTTGAGATGGAGTCTCGCTCTGTCGCCCAGGCTGGAGTGCAGTGGCACGATATCAGCTCACCGCAACCTCCGCTTCCCAGGTTCAAGCGATTCTCCTGCCTCAGCCTCCCAAGTAGCTGGGACTACAGGCGCACACCACCACGCCTGGCTAATTTTTGTATTTTTAGTAGAGATGGGGTTTCACCACATTGGCCAGGCTGGTTTCAGACTCCTGACCTCAAGTGATCTGCCAGCCTCGGCCTCCCAAAGTGCTAGGATTACAGGCATGAGCCACCGCGCCTGGCCAGAAATAGGTTCTAAGAGAGAGCTTGAGAAATAGGAATTCCAGGGCATTGTGAGCCAGCACAAGGGTATAAGAGACCCCTGCTCCAGAAACCTACAGGGACCTTTTTGCCCACCACTGCTATCCAAACAAACCCAGATATCCTGGCTTGGGCTTAAGAACCCCCTGCATCGTCAGGAACATTACACTGCGTTCCCCTCTGCTCCCTCCTCACTCTGGCTGAAGTCCTCAGCTCCCTCACCCCACTGTGAAGAATGGGGCTCCATTCTCTCCCCTGCCCACCTCTGCCCTGCCCTGCTTTCTAGGAGATCTGCCCCTTGAGGAGCTGGCCCAGATGGATCCTGCCTCACTGCGATCACTCCCTCGACTGCCGCCCTAGATGGGCAAAACTGGCAGGGTGTCTATCCTGGCTCTCTGGGAAGTGTCTGTATGTGCCCCGGCTCTCCCATCAGACCCTAAGTTCCCTGTGACCCAGGAAAGAGTCTTGCTCCTACCAGAAACCGTTCTCTGTGAAACAGAGAGGCCAGATGCAGTGACTCATGCCTGTAATCCCAACATTTTGGGAAGCCAAGGTGGGCAGATCACTGGAGGTCAGGAGTTCGAGACCAGCCTGGCCAACATAGTGAAAGCCCATCTCTACTAAAAATACAAACATTACCCGGGTGTGGTGGCGGGCACCTGTAAACTCAGCTACTGGAGCGGCTGAGGCAGGAGAATCATTTTGAACCCAGGAGGCAGAGGCTGCATTGAGCTGAGATCGAACCACTACACTCCAACCTGGGTGACAGAGCGAGACTCCGTCTCACCAAAAAAAAAAAAAACAAAAGAAAGAAAGAAAGAAAAAGAAAAAAGAAAAGAAACAGAGAACATGAATCCACTGTAGCTGGGTGGGAACATCTGTACTCTCCTGTCTCCTCAATCTCCTTCCTAAAAGGTCAGACTTAGATTTTCCTGAGCCCAGTCTTCTCTCTTTTACATTAAAGGCCAGAAACTCCACTGCTCACAGGGGCCAGTCAGGTGGCTAAAATGACTGTGACAGGTAGGGACAGTCTGGCCACTAGGGAGTGACCCCCCCACCCATTCCCAACACCCCCCACCTGGGCCAAGCAGCAGCTGTTTCTCAGCTCTAGCCTAACCCCACCCCATGGAAATGGAACCCAGTGTTACCAAAGTTTTTGAAAGAAACCAGAAATCCAAATCATTATGTGAAGTCTCTCCATGTTTAAACTTTGACAATTAATTCATATTCTTAAAAAAAAAAAAAAATAGAGTGTCTCAAAAACCCATCCTCCAATCACGAATCGCAGCTTCTGCCGGGGGTGTGTCTGCATGGGTTGTCCACCTGTCCTTCCTCCCCTCCCTTCCACTCCAGCCCCCTCTACTCTAGAGGTGCCTGTGCTACTCAGGTATCAAAGCAGCCTGGCCAGGGGTTCCCCTGCAAGACGGAAGGGTAGGCAGGGAGGAAGGAGGGAGGGGTTCTGCGCCCCAGCTGTGTTTTTGTTTGTGCGGGAGAGACTAATGCCTGTCACCCCTGAGGCTCTCGGCCAGTGCTGGTTCCTTTCTCTGGGTGCCCTTCCTCTTGGGGCCTCTTAGCTCCACCTCACTCCTCATTCCATGTGCCCTCTAGGAGTCAATCTACTCTCCCCTTAACCTTCCCCATCTCAAAGGGGAAAGTGAGGTTCAGGACCTGCTCGGGTCTATATGCTGAAACAGCAAAGAAGCCCGTCCCCTCTGCTCAACCTCAATCTCAGCTGCTCCAGATTCTCCCCCTCTTTTCAGGTCTCCTCTGTCCTCCCTCCTCCACCCCCAGTGTGTTTAGTTTTTGTTTTTAGCACTGGCCTAAATGCTTCCTCAGTGGCCAGCATCACTGTTTCCCCAGCTCACAGAGCGGAGGTTTAGCTTTCTTCCCTATAGCCCTCTCCGACGAAGATGTCCAGCCCTTACCTTGTTTATGGCATCCCAGTTGATGAAACCCAGCTTGGATTTAAAATTCTATGGAGGAAACAAAAAGAAGAATGGCCAAATTGAGTCATAAGGTAATTGGCCGAGAGAGGTCAAGGGCCACTGCTGACTGTTGGTTTAGAAAGAGGACCCCAGACTGTGGGGCCAAGGGCAGGGGTTGGTTTTCCAAATGCGAGTGAACAGAGCCATCTCGCAGAACTCACCTTCCAGAAAGTGTCAAAGTTAAACATCCCAGGAGACGTCTCAGAGTTCTATGGAACCAAGGAGATATGGGATGAGAGAAGAACCCACTTTGTGAGCCAGAGTCGGGAGATCTGAGTGGCAGGAGGGGAGGCGAGGATTGTGTGACACCATGGTCCCAGCCCAAGGTGGAGTGTTGCCTCCACTCACCACAGTATTGACTCCACCAACAGCGTCACCTCCTCCACTGCCCCAGCTCGACCCTTGCCCCTGGGTGGGGAAAAGGGGGACCGATGTCCAAGGCTTATGCTTCCTATCATGCCTGCCACCTGTCAACCTGCCCCGGATTGCTTCATCCCCACCTCGGTCCAGGCTTCCTGTCCTCCTCTCTATAAAGCTGCCTTCTCTTCCTTACACAGCACCAAAAAGTTCACTTGGGAAAGCTTTCTTAGAATGGATTGCTCCCATGGAACCCCACCCAGTCCCCTGAATCTCAATATTCAGACTCTTGCCTCCATCCTGGTCTGTCCCCAAAACACCTCAAGCAAATGAGATTAGCTAACGTGTAGTCCCACGGCACGCCAAGCACCATGCCTTATGCAGCATCTGTCTCCAGAGTCTGGACTCCACAACACCTTGGTCTGGTGGTGACATGGAAAGCTGTACAGTAACTGAAGGCTGCGTGAGTCAGGTTTCACTGTCCTCATTTTACTGGAGGAAGCTCAGGCTCGGAGAGGTTAGCTGACTTGCCTGAAGATATACAGATGACATGATAGAGCTGGTGGTGATTTTAATATATATCTTAAATTTTTTTGAGGCTGGGCATCGTGGGTCACGCCTGTAATCCCAGCACTTTGAGAGGCCGAGGTGGGTGGATCACCTGAGGTCAGGAGTTTGAAAACAGCCTGGCCAACATAGTGAAACCCCATCTCTACTAAAAATACAAAATTAGTCAGGCATGGTGGCACATGCCTGTAATCCCAGCTACTTGGGAGGCTGAGGCATGTAATCCTAGCTACCTGGGATTACAGGTGTGAGCCACTGCACATGGCCTATTATTTTCTTTTTAAAAAGTAGAGACAGGGTCTTCCTACGTTGCTCAGGCTGGTCTCAAACTTCTGGGCTCAAATGATCCCCACACCTCAGCCTCCCAAAGTGCTGGGATTACAGTTATGCTGGTGCCTGGCCAGAGCTGGCTTTCGAAACCTCATCTTCTACCTCAAAGCTCAGTGACTTTCTCCTTCTCAACACTGCCTCCCTAAGTATGGAAATCCCCTTGACCATTCTTCTGTTACTTTTATCTGTTTTCTCCCCTTACAAAAGTAACATGGCTCCGATCCAAATCAAAAGGAAGGAAGGAATGAATGAACCAAAGATGGAGATGGGGATCCCAGAACCCTGTTTTGGTCTCTTGATGGTCACTGGACGCAGATTCAGAGCAGCTTGCAAGAAGAAACTGATATTTTTGTTTCTTTTCCCAGGATCTTAGCATGCTTCACCATCCCTTCTCCTAAAGCCAACCCTGCCTGCCCCTAGGCTCACCCTATAATTGTCTCCAGAGCCTCCAAGGAGGCGATTGCCCTCTTTGCTTATTTCCTAGGGAGACAGAAAACGGAGAGGAGTTGATGGGGAGGCAGGCGGGCAGGGGGACGAGAGGGCAAGGAAGCAGGGTGTCGGCGAGGGATTCCTGAATCGGGGGACTGAGACATGAGCATGACAGAGGACTTCCCAGAGGCCTGAGAAAGAGGTCCTTCTCTCGGGGAAGTTCCATCTGCCCTGAGATCTCGTTTCAAGCTCCTGTGGGTCGGGTGGCTGCTCACTTACGATGTCCATAGATAACATCGCCATCTCTGTTTATGTTCATTTCTGCAAGCCGCCCAAAATCCATCAGGGAGGGCTTTGCCAGCAAAGCATCCGAATTCTCCCCTGGCTTTGGAGCTGGAGTGGGCCAGGCTGTTACACTAAATTGATTCAAACTGAAGGACCCTGTCTGGGCTGATTGGCATTAGTAAAAAAAGGAGATGCTAGCTGGAGAGCCAGTGGGGGCTGAGGCGGCATAGAGTAGACTGGCTGGTCCCCTCTTAAGGGAGAGGTGGGCTCCTCTGGAGTCCTGCTTTATCTGCTGTGAAACATGGCCAGACCCATCAGTACTTCCTCGTTCCCAGAGCTCTCAGGTAGACCTGGCAGGGATGTGGGACCACCTGTCTGCCAGTATTGCTCCTGGAGAACAGACCTCTACCCCACTTACTACCGGCACAGTCTCTGACCCCACATCTACCATCCTCTTACCCTCATGTTGCTGGAAACTCCCTGTCCTCTGAAGCCCTGCAGGGTGAGACAAAGAAACACAGACCCCTGCTGAAGATCCTGAGGCCACCCCCGAAAATTAATGTATTGATTTAATATGATTCCTCTAAGAATCCTAATGGCACTCTCTTTTGGAACTGGTCCAAACACTGACATTTTTTTAGGAGAATGAAAGTTTAAGAATAGGTAAGAAAACACTGGAAAAGATAAATGGTAAGTGAAGATAAGAGGTAGATAGTAACATACTCTAAAGCTACCATAAATAAAGCAGTCCTGTCCGACAGAATTCCCAGAAACTCCCCAAAATACTAAGGTATTTACAAGAGGCATTTTAAATCAGTGGTTGAAGTGATTGAATACATGGGAATGGGAATATCAGTGAAGTATTTTGGGGGAAAATTTTAGTTCTAGCTCATCAATTTCCTCCTCTCTGTTTTTAACCAGTTTTCCCCTCATAAAGGAGGACACAGCTCGGATACAAAGCGTAGGGTAAGTCTGGTTAGATGGAGGGGTGGGACTAGACAGCATATAGGAAAACAAAGTCCAGATGCATCCCAGTTAAACTGAAAAAGTGAAATTGCAGGAGTATGCATAGTGCTAGAAGAAAATTACCTTAAAGCGGTACACCAAGAGCAAAAACCATAGAGGAAAAGATGGCTGCTTTTTGACTACTTATATACTTAAAACTGAGGTATATTAAAAAACTAGAAAAGTCCGAGTGCAGTAGCTCATGCCTGTAATCCCAGCACTTTGAGAGGCAGAGGCGGACAGATCACCTGAGATCAGGAGTTTGAGACCAGCCTGGCCAACATGGTGAAACCCCATCTCTACTAAAAATACAAAAAAAAATTAGCCAGAGGTGGTGGCTGGCGTCTGTAATCCCAGCTACTCGGGAGGCTGAGGTAAGAGAATCGCTTGAACCCAGGAGGTGGAGTTTCCAGTGAGCTCAGATCGCACCACTGCCCTCCAGCCTGGGTAACAGAGCGGGACTCCATCTCAAAAAGGAAAAAAACACAAACTAGAAAGAGGGTTACAAATGGGAAGAAATTTTTTTTTAAAAAAACCAGTTTGTTCCCATAAAAGGTTAGTATCCCTCATAGATTATCTAAAAAGAGATGTCTCTACTCAGCCCCAGCACCTCCGGTCTGGCCTTGCCCCTGGCCACGTGGGTCCTTTCCCACCAACGCCTCACCCAGGAGCTTGTTAGCAACGCGGCTAACAGGCTCAGCCCCACCCAGCCCTGTTAGAGCAACCTGCACTTTCACAAGATCTCCGTGACACTAACTCTCAGCACCACAGGTGCTGACATAAAGCCCACATTTCCAGCATAACTGGGGGGAATGTTTTTCCAAAGCACTCTGAATCCCCCAGAGTTCACCACAGTCTGTTCCCCGGCTGGATAGAGGACATTTAAGACAATTGTGCTTCTAAAAGGACCGGTTTACATGGAATTTCTCCCAGCCCCATCTGTGGTATAAGGTGAGGTATATCACAGCAAGATTTGCAATTAATTAGTACTTTGGAAATCGTTAGCATTTTTAGGAGTGCATTTGGTTTCTTCTGCCGAAATAGTCAGTTCCCTGCAGACAAGGCAGGAGGGGGTTGAGCAGAGTTGAGTTAGGAGGAGTGGGCACAGTCCTGGGCAGGAACTGCAGTCCCCAGGAGACTTAAGAGACTTTGGCTCTCACCTGAATCCCAGATTCCCCGCTCCCGCGGGCTTCATTCCCTGGCTTTTCACACTGCCGGGGAGAGAAAGGGGAGACTTTCCCTCAGTCCCCTCCCAGACCAGTCCCAGCCCCAAAATGGCAGCATTTTAACCCTGGGGCGAGCCGCTTCCGCTCCACCTCCGCGGCCATCCAGCCCCATCTCCGCGGAGCCTTGGCTCCCCGATCCTGCGAGTGAAACCAGCTGCTCTCCTTTTCCTTCCCGCGGTTGGTGGGAGATTCACGCCAGCCACTCACCCCGGGTTTATGTCCATTTCCTCCGCCGCTCCCACCGTGGTTGCCGGAGGAGGAGCCGGTGCTGGATCCCTGCAGGGGAAAGCAAGATTTCAAACGCTGTCCTAAAGGACCTAAAGGGGACCCAGTCGTTCCCAGCGGTGTTACAGATTTGTTGGAACCCCAATCAGATTCCAGTCCTCTTTCCAACCTCCAGACCTTCCCCCTCTTTAGCCTGTTGGTCGCTGCAGGAAGTTATTCCGAGCATGGAGAAGGCCAGGTGTGGCCGAGGGTATTCGGAACTACGCAATGATTTGGAGAACCTGAGCTGCTGCCCACCGCAGGCCGGGGGTGGGAACCCCTGGAGCCCGGCCGCGCAGTAGCCGCGATCCTGCCACCAGGGGGCAGCAAGTGGAAGGGACCCTAGAGCCCTCACCTGGGAGCGGCCGTAGCTGCCTTGGTCACCATTCCCAGAACTGCCCTAGATGGGGGAGAGGAGGATCATACGGGGAGCGGCGCATGAGAGCAGCTCAGGTTATTCGGCTTATTGTGTCCACGCACCTCCTCCTGTCTGACACTTTTCCCGACCCCCGAGGAAGCCAGATGTGGCTCCCTCTCCAGCTCGACTCCAAGACACGGGATGGGAGAGGCCGTCAGCCAAGGGGTTGGACAGGCCATTGACCAGGAGGCTGGAGAGACTGCCGGCTCTGGAGTCAGTGAGGCCCGGGGCCCTGGGGTGGCAGCTGCGGGGTCACAGCGCCCCTTCCTGCCCTCACACCCATCGTGCAGGGGCCCCATGTGTGAATGTCGTCTGCACCGTCGCTCTGTCAGCGTCCGTAGGTCTCCCGGATCACAGTCCTGCCCCCATTCTCCTGGGAGCTTCCCAGACAAGTGTCATATTCTCCCATGTCCCCCTCTTTCTCCGCCACCCCACGGTCTCCTGAGACTTGCCAAGTGGACTTGACTGCAAGAGCTTAGACAGGCGGGATAACGTCCCCACCATCACAGAGTGGAAAATAGGGATACAGAGTCAGAAGCAGTGGGGTGGCTCTGGCAGAAACGATAGTGCGCGCATCAGGGGCACAGCATGGGTGGGGAACAGGAGGCTGAGGGAGCCTCAGGGTGACGACTATCAGCGAGGCCGCCCATCCTCGGGCAGCGGCAGCTTTCAGAGAAACTTGGAGCCCTCTCCCGGCAGGGACCACTAGGGCCTCACCCCATCTCAGCCTTCCACAGAGGTGCCAAACTCACCCAGGAGGACTCACTGCCGCTGTCACCTCTGCTGCCACCACTGTTGCCACTGCTGCCACCACTGCTGCCGCCACTGCTGCCGCCACTGCTGCTGCCACTGCTGCTGCCACCACTGCTGCTGCCATTGTTGTTGTCACCATTGCTGCCACTGCCACTGCTGCCCGACTGTGAGCCGCTGCCTCCCTGAGGGGCAGGAAGGGAGCAGGGCTGGGATTAAAGACAGAGCACCAAGACGGGCCCCTCCTCCCTCCCTCTCCACCCAGGCCATATTCCATGATGCCCAGTCTAAGGGGAGCAGAACTTCTCCATTTCCTCCTGGTGCACAACTCCTGGGTTGCCCCTCTCCACTCACCCCAGAGTTGCTGGAGCCTCCACCTGAGCCAGATGGTGGGGGATTCGTGCACTGTCGAGGGAAAGGGATGGTGAGTTTGGGGACGGTGAGTTTGGAGACGTTGGCCTCGGCCATGGACACAGGCCAGGCCTCTCCCATTCTTTGGGGCTTGGCTTCCTTTCTCCTAATGTGTTTCTCCCACCTCCCCTTCCCATCTGCCTCCTCCCCAGGCCCAGGCCCGTCTCTTCCTCCTTTTTTTTTTTTTTTTTTTTTTGAGACAGGGTCTCACTCTGTTGCTCAGGCTGGAGTGCAGTGATGCGATCTCGGCTCACTGCAACCTCCATCTCCCAGGTTCAAGTGATTCTCCTGCCTCCGCCTCCCAAGTGGCTGCAATTACAGGCGCATGCCACTATGACCGGCTGATTTTTGTATTTTTAGTGAAGACAGGGTTTCACCATGTTGACCAGGCTGGTCTTGAACTCCTGACCTCAGGTGATCCACGTGCCTTGGCCTCCCAAAGTGCTGGGATTACAGGTGTGAGCCACCTCGCCCAGCCCCATCTCTTCCTCTCACCCCAATCCCTCCACTCCCCCATCTTGCTTTCCTCTTTGTCTTTCCCCAGCTCTCTGTAGCCTGCACCCAGTGGCTTCTTCATTTGTTCCCAGCCCCTTCCTCTTACCCCTTCATTCTGGTTGCTGGCTCTCACTGAACCATAGCCAGGCTGGGCCACAGCTCCCTGCAGAGAGGGTGAGACTGAGAGTAGGATCCAGAGGGACCAGGGAGGCACGCGGAGCATGTGGGCTTGGAGGGAGGGAGGTGGCAGGTAGCAGGTCTGGGGGTGACTTTACCTGAGTGTTGGTCCCAAAGTTTGGTGGCCCTCCATTGCCTCCTTGACCCCAGGGAGCTCCCTGAGGATTCATTCCAAAGCTGCCTGCTGAGTTTCCGGGGTATCCGTGGACCCACGGAGTCCCCAGACCTCCAGGATTGCCCTGGCCCTGGCCTCCAAGGCCACCTTGAGAGCCAAAGATGCCATGGCCTCCAGAAGTTTCCTGCAAGAACAACATACCTGCACTTAGTGGGACCATCTCTGACCCTGGTAGAGAAGAGCCAGGGCAAATCATAAAGAGACCAGGAGAGAGACAGGCAGAGGGACTCCAGGGTGGCATAGGAGGGGGGCAGAACATAGAAGGAAGCTGCCCCAGAAGCCTGCAAGTAAGAGATCCATCCATCCTTTCAACCGTTTCCCAAGAATCTCAGCCCAGCAGCCCACAGCCTCCCATTTCCACATGCAGCCCCACAGCCACTCACCCAAGCACCATTGTGGCCAGGCACCCCCTGCCAGGAGCCGCGGACAGCATCTGCTCCGTGTCGAATGACATCTTCTGCCTGTCTGCCAATCTCGTGCCCAGTGTTTCCCAGAGCATGGGCTGCTTCCCCGACCCTGTTGCCCAAAGCATCTGCTACGCCAAAGCCTGGAACCTGCCTGACTCCAGTGCCAACTGCTTCTCTGGTCCCTTGGCCAAGGGCCTCACTGACTTTAGAGCCAGCTGCCCCTCCGGCCTCTTTGCCAATGGCCTTTCCCACCCCTTCGCTCAGGGCGTCTCCCAGGCCATGTCCAAGGGCCTCCCCAATATTTGTCCCAGTGCTTTCCTCTCCGCTCTGCAGGGGGCCAGCCTCCCCACTGCCCAGGCAGAGGGCCAGCAGGAGGCAGGCCAGGGGCCCCTGGAACTTCATCTCTGCCCAGCCCCCTCTCTCTCCAGAGTGTCTTCCTCCCACCAGGGTCTCCTCCTTGCCGCCCTTGCTCTGCGTCTCTGTGCCCTCCTCTGTCCTCCTCCTTCCGACTCCCTGTCCTCCCTCCCTCTGGGTCTGCAGCCTTCTCTCTCCTGTCCTCAACTGCCTGGGCTTCTCAGAGTCCACCTCCCTGTCACTACTCCTTATACTCTAGGTTGGGAGAAGGTGACAGGGCTGGGCAACCTGAGGTCCCTCCCCGCAGTGACTCAGGGCCCAGCCACCAATAGGGTAATCAGCTGTTATTGTGAGTCTGAGAGTCTCTGTCGAAACAGAGAGTGAGCCGCATCAGGGAGGGAGGGAGAAATGGATGAGGTGATGCAAAAGTGCTCCCATTTCCCAACCCCAGGCATTCGGGGAGCTGGGTGGGGGCAGGGGCATCTAAGGAGACAGGTTGTCGTTGGCTCCTGGAGGCGGTGGGGTGGGGGCAGACTTAGAAGAGAGGAGTTACTGGCAGGACCCCACCAAAGGAGTAAGGACAGGGAAGCCCCAGGGGACAGGACCCACCCAGGCTCAGCCAGCCTGGCTCAGGGGCTCCAGAGTGACAGGCATTGCCCGTCCTCGGCCTGGCCTTTCTCGGTTTCAGCACCTCAGCCTCTCCTCTCCCTCTCCCCTCCCGCATTGCCACCTACAGGTGACTGCCTTCTTGTTCCTCCACACCTTCCAGCCCACAGAGAGAGACTGGCAAACACGGGGCTGCGTGTCAGTTTCTGAGATTCTGGGGAGAGCCCCCGGGGGGACCCTCGGTGTCGGGGAAGGAGGTGGCCATAGCCCTTTGAGTGGTCAGCAGGGTGTCTCAGCGTTCAGGCTGCTCCCGGCTGAGAAAGCTGGGCGCGGAGCAGGGCAGCCAGGCGCGCCAGCCACCCCCAGGGAACGAGTGGGAGGGAAGGCCAAGGGAGGGAGCCGCTGACCCAGGCACCCATCCTGTTTACGCAGCCCTAGAGGGGCACGTGTGAGTATAAGCGCCTATGAGGGGCGGGACTGGGCCAGCTCACCCCACCCATCCCCCAGGCCAGGGGCCAGGGCAGCAATGGCAAGCGAGAAGAGGGTAGCGCAAGGTCAGGAGCCATCCGTGAGAGCCACGGCCCTCTCCCCAGTCCCAGCTCGGGATACAGAACCTGGGAGCCTCCCCCCGCCTCACCCCTGCCCAGCAAGTGTGGCTGCTTCTCTATTCCCAGGGGCCACAGGGCCTCCCACTGTTTCGTATCACTGGGGTTCATCGCCCAGTTAGGAGGGGCCAGTTTCCATCAGCCTTTCTCAATGTCTCTCAGTCAGTCTCTCTCTTCTCTCCACCCCAATATCCGCACCCCAGCTTATAACATCCAACACTTCTTACCTTGTAAACACTATCCCCATCTGTCCTCCTCAGCTCCTACTTCCCTGTTATTCCATCTCTGACTCGTTAATGATGATAATAGCGATGGTGGTAATAATAATAATAATAATAATAATAATTACAGCTCCAGCTTATCAGCGGTTCTGTATGTACCCAGCATTGGACTAAGCACAAGCAGTTTAAGAATTATACAACTCTGGGAGATGGTTCTTTTTTTCTAGAGACAGGGTCTTGCCCAGGCTGGAGTACACTGGCACAATTGTAGCTCACTGCAGCATCGACCTCCTGGGCTCAAGCGATCCTCCTGTCTCAGTCTCCCAAGTAGCTGGGACTATAGATGCACACCAGCACACCCAGCTAATTTTTTTTTTCTTTTTGAGACAGAGTCTTACTCTGTTGCCCAGGCTGAAGTGCAATGGCACGATCTTGGCTCACTGCAACCTCCGCCTCCCAGGTTCAAGTGATTATCCTGCCTCAGCCTCCCAAGTAGCTGGGATTACAGGCGCATGCTGGGCCTGTAATCCCACGCTGGGCTAATTTTTGTGTTTTTAGTAGAGACAGGGTTTCACCATGTTGGCCAGGCTGGTCGTGAACTCCTGACCTCGTGATCTGCCTGCCTCGGCCTCCCAAAGTGCTGGGATTACAGGCGTGAGCCACCGCACCTAGCCTCCAGCTAATTTTTTAATTTTTATTTTTGTGGAGATGAGATCTTGTTGTGTTGCCCAGGCTGATCTCAAACCCCTGGGCTCATACGATCCTCCTGCCTTAGCCTCCCAAAGTGCTGGGATGACAGGCATGAGCAAACAGTGGTATTACATTATGCTTGCTGCAGCTCCTGCACTCTCTTTGTTTTTTGTTTGTTTGTTTGTTTTGTTTCGAGATGGAGTCTCCCTCTGTTGCCCAGGCTGGAGTGCAATGGCGCAATCTCGGCTCACTGCAACCTCCACCTCCAGAGTTCAAGCAATTCTCCTTCCTCAGCCTCCCAAATAGCTGGGATTGCAGATGCACACCACCATGCCCAGTTAATTTTTGTATTTTTAGTAGAGACGGAGTTTGACCATGTTGGACAAGCTGGTCTCGAACTCCTGACCTCAAGTGATCTGCCTGCCTTGGCCTCCCAAAGCGCTGGGATTACAGGCATGAGCCACCACGCCCGGCCATGTGCCCTTTTTGTTAAGAAGGAAGATTAGCAAGTATGAAAGAGGTGTTCTGACTCACCAGCACAGCTGGACATGGGGTCTTTCTCAAAGGTAGGTCCAGGCCTCAAGAAAATAACACTAATAATAAATTTTTTCAAAAACTAAAATGAAGTCTTTCTCTTTAACATAGTCAGAGAGCTTAAAAGAAAATTGAGAAGAAAGTAAGTTTCTCCCTGTGTGATTCAGTTATTCAAAGCCGTGTCCATGGATCACCTCAATTCTCCCATGCCACCAACAGGCCTGTGTTCTACCTGCTAGGAAAAAATTGCCCCTCAGACATCGCTGGGCCTGAGGAGCCACCTCAGATCAGCCCTAGGGCATCCTTATTAAATAACTAGTGTGAACCAAATAAAATATTAGGTGCTTTCACATACATGATCTCATTGAATCCTCAATATGACCACAAGAGGTTAATATTATTCCCATTATACAGATGAGGTAACTGAGGCCCAAGTGGCTCAGCATCACACACAAAATCATATGTGAAAAGACTGTGGTAAAATAGAGTTGTCAAAACTTGAGCCAGGCACTTTGGGAGGCTAAGGCAGGTGGATCATCTGAGGTCAGGAGTTCAAGACCAGTCTGGCCAACATGGTGAAAACCCCCTCTCTACTAAAAATACAAAAATTAGCCGAACGTGGTGACAGGCACCTATAATCCCAGCTACTCAGGAGGCTGAAGCAGGAAAATTGTTTGAACCTGGAAAGTGGAGGTTGCAGTGAGCCGAGATTGCACCATTGCACTCCAGCCTGGACAACAGAGCGAAACTCCGTCTCAAAACAACAACAACAACAAAAAAAAACTTGAGCCAGGTCAGTCTGACTCCAAACAGCTTTCTCTCCTCCATCACCATGCCACCCATGTTCTTATGCGTGATGGCACCCACAAATCTGATATGCCTATGTCATGTCCAAGGCCCTCTGGTCTCAGCTCTTCTCTCTAATTCACATCATTCATTCAGCAAATATTTATGACTACCTGCTCCGTGACACGCCTATTCCAGACACTGGGGATACAGCCTAGAAACCATTCTCCAGCTGAGTGACACCTCATAATCCCAGCTCATGCCTGCAAGCCCAGCACTTTGGGAGGCCGAGGCAAGTGGATCACTTGAGGTCAAAAGTTCGAGACCAGCCTGGGCAACACAGAGAGACCCCAACTATAAAAAATGTTTTTGAAAAAGTAGTTGGATGTGGTGGTGCACACCTGTAGTTCTAGCTACTCCAGAGGCTGAGGTGAGAGGATCGCTTGAGCTCTGGAGGTTGAGGCTGCTATGACCACACCACTGCACTCCAGTCTGGGTGACAGAGTGAGACCTTGTCTCAAAAAAAGCATTCTCCTTGCAGAACTTACATTCATGGTGGGGGAAGTTAGGCAATAGGTGACAGAGAGGTGTTTTAAATAGGGTACTCGGGAAAGGCTCTTTGAGATGTGGCCTGTGAGCTGACCCCTGCAGGGAGTGGAAGAGTGAGCCATGGGGATTAGCTGGGGCTAGTGGATTCCAAGCAGGGGGAACAGCCATGCAAAGGCCTGGAGGCAGGAGCCTGCCTACTGTATTTGAGAACCATTGTGGCTGGAGCAGTGTTGGGATGGGAGAAGCTAAAGTCAAAGAGGGAAAGATCCTGGGGTCTTGCGGACTATTATGAAGACTGGCTTTTTTTTTTTTTTTTTTTTTTGAGACTGGGTCTTGCTCTGTCGCTCAGGCTGAAGGTCAATGGCGCAATCTCGGCTCACCACAACCTCCGCCTCCAGCGTACAAGTGATTCTCCTGCCTTAGCCTCCCGAGTAGCTGGGATTATAGGCGCCTGCCACCACGCCTGGCTAATTTTTGTATTTTTAGTAGAAACGGGGTTTCACCATGTTGTCTAGGCTGGTCTGGAACTCCTGACCTCAAGTGATCCACCCGCCTAGGCCTCCCAAAGTGCTGGGATTACAGGCGTCAGCCACCACACCTGGCCAACTTTGACTTTTATTTTTACTCTGAATGAGGTAGAACCAGCCAAGGGTTCTGGGCTGCCACGGGTGCTAACAGAGTTCCCCTAGGGAACTGATTGTTGGGGGTTGTGGAGTAGAGAGACCAGGGAGGAGGGAGATTGGAGGCTGGACTCAGTCTAGTGGGAAGATGAGGCTTTGGGGGTGGGTGATGTCTCTGCTCCCTTCTGGGGGGTCCCAGATCTCAAACTGGCACCTACAGTCTTACCTCTTCCACGGTGCCTATCCCAGAGCCTACATTCAAACCCTAGCTCCACCGCTTACTAACCATGATCTTAACCCATCTGTGCAACAGTTTTCTCATCTGTAAAGAGGGGTGAATGTGAGGATTAAGTGAAGTAATACATGTAAATTGCTTAGAGAAGTGTCTGCCACTCAGAAGCACTCAATATATGTTCTCGGCAGTGCTGGTCACATTGCTGTGGCTGGAATGCTTTCTTGGCAGTTGTTTAATCTTGTGACACACACATGCACACATCCTGAAAATGCCAGATGCATGGCTCATGCCTGTAATCCCAAAACCGTGGGAGGCCAAGGAGGGAAGATTGCTTGAGCCCAAGAGTTCCCGACCAAGCTGGGCAACATCGTGAGACCCTGTCTCTACAAAAAATACAAAAATTGCCAGGGTGTAGTGACGTGTGCCCATAGTCCCAGCCACTTGGGAAGCTGAGGCACACGGATCACTTGAATCCAGGAGGCTGAGGTTGCAGTGAGCCATGATTACGCCACTGCACTCCAGCCTGGACAACAGGGTGAGACCCTGCCTCAATTAAAAAAAAAATGCCAGATGCAGAAACTTACTTTTAAAGAACACTCATTTGGAGCCAGGAGAGGGTAGCTCTCACCTGTAATCCCAGCACTTTGGGAGGCCAAGGCAGGCAGATCACCTAAAGTCAGGAGTTCGAGACCAGCCTGGCCAACATGGTGAAACCTCATGGCTACTAAAAATACAAAAATTAGCCAGGCGTGGTGTGCGCCTGTAATCCCAGCTACTTAGGAGGCTGAGGCAGGAGAATCTCCTGAACCCGGGGTTCGGAGGTTGCAGTGAGCCAAGATCGCACCACTGCACTCCAGCCTGGGCAACAGAACAAGACTCTGTCAAAAAAAAAAAAAAAAAAACCCACTCATTTGGATGTAGCCCCCTCCCGCTTCCTGGGGGTCGCAAGGGCAGCATGCCACCTCACTGCTAGAGATGTTCAGCAGGGAAGTGCCCTTGAACTGGAGCCTGGCCATCACCACTGACTAGCAGGGTGGCCTCAGGCAACACGCTCCGTTCCGTGCACCTCTTCTTCAACATCTGTGAGGGCAATGATCATGGTACTTGCCTCCCGGATGGTTGTGGGGATGAAATGAATCATGCCTGTAAGTGCTTAGCACAGACCCTGTAAAAGATGCCCGGTGAGAGCCACACCCAAACTCCTCTCCCTGTTCTTCAACATCCTCAGAAACCGGCCCTTCCTCTCTGTGTTTCTCCCTAGCCTGGCTCCACCCATCTCAGGCAAAGCAGCCTGTGTCTTGCTCACACTCGTTCCATGGCCCTTCCCAACCTGCTCAAGTCAGTGGCTTCCCTTCTGCTCCTTGCCAGACATTCATGCCTGGCCTTGACATCACTGCTTGAACCTCTTTGTCTGGGGGGAAATGGATACGATATTTGTAATATGATTACAGATTGTCATAACCAACAAGAAAAACAAGATCAGCGCTATGAGAGAGAGTGACAGGGTGGCCGTAGCTCAGGTTGAGCGGTCAAGGTAGCTGAGATGCAAAGGGTAGGGAAGAGCCAGTATGAGGGGCCGAGGGGCATGGAGAGTGTTCCTAGTAGAGGGAACAGCACAGAAGACCTCCAGGCAGGAGAGAGCCAGGCGTCTTTTACCCTCAAAACCGACTCAAAGCTCTCCTTTTTCAGAAGCTTCCCAGGACTGACTCAGTGCCTATCAATTATCTTGTATCTCTTTGGTATTTTCAGGACCCCCATCCAAGCAAACCCAGCAAGAAAATGTGCCTAAAAAATAGTCAGTCAGCCGGGTGATGGCCAGGCGCGGTGGCTCACGCCTGTAATCCCAATACTTTGGGAGGCCAAGGCGGGCGAATCAACTGAAGTCAGGAGTTCAAGACCAGCCTGACCAACATGGTGAAACCCCGTCTCTACTGAAAATACAAAAATTAGCTGGGTGTGGTGGCGCGCACCTGTAAGGGAGGCTGAGGCAGGAGAATTGCTTGAGCCTGGGAAGCAGAGGTTGCAGTGAGCCGATATCACCCCACTGCAATCCAGCCTGGATGAAAAAGCAAGACTCTGTCTCAATATATATATATACATACACATATATACATATATATACACGTATATATATACACACACATATATGTATATTTTTTTAAATAAAAATAAAGTCAATGAAAGCTTTTACTTCAAGAAAGAAAGAGTCCCTTGAATGTTGCCTTTTCGAAAGCCGCCACTATAGGATTCTTTTAAGTAGGGCCTCCCCCAATACCTGTGAGATGATGTCCAGCACGGAGCAGACCCTCAATCAGTATCTGACATGAATGGAAGGTTCTATTTATATCAGTGCAGCAAGCAGCTGGGTGCTGTGGCTCACACCTGTATTCCTAGCACTTTGGGAGCCTGAGGCAGGAGGATTGCTTGAGCTCAGGATTTCAAGACCAGCCTGGGCAACATTATGAGACCCTCGTCTCTACAAAAAAAAATTACAAAATTAGCCAGGCATGGTGGTGTGTGCTTGTAGTCCCAGCTACTTGGGAGGCTGAGGTGGGAGGATTGCTTGAGCCCAGGAGATTGAGGCTGCAGTTAGCCATGACTGTGCCACTGCACTCCAGCCTGAACGATAGACCAAGACTCTGTCTCAAAAAATAAATAAGACAAAATGCAGCAAATATAATGTTTACAGTTTACTTTGAAATACATCAAAAATGTTTGATATGGGGCTAAATGGACAGATGTGTGACCAAGCAAGTATGGTAAAATCTAAGTGGTGAGAATTCTGGTGTTCACTATAAAATTCTTTCATCTTTTCATGATGCTTGAAATGTTTTCAAAATAAAATATCGCAGGGGGAGGGAAGGAGCATATGTAATGAAATGATGGTATTCCACAAAATAAGGGAAAATGCAGTGACTATAAAGTGAGGAACGTCCCATTTTTTGCACAAATGCAGGCCCCTCCCCTTGCCGGTCATTGAGCTCTTATTGATGCGTGGCTTTGTGTGTTTGCATTCACATTCTGTTTATAGGCCTTGCCTCCCAGGAAGGCTGTGAATTCCCCAAGGGCAAGAACACTGTCTATTATTTTCAGTCCCCCATTGATGGAATTTTGTAGCTGGAAGCAACAGTTGTCGAATCCCTGCCTCCCTTTATACAGGAGGAAATCGTGGCCCCTAGAGGGGAAGTAGGCGGCCTTCAGGCATCTTGCTCCCGATTGGAACGCAAGTCTCCCAGCACCCAGGCTAGTGCCTGGGAGTGTTACAGAGACTTCACCGGGAACCACGAGAAGTCAGGTGCTGGCGACAGACGGAGCCAGACCCAGGCCTGCTGCTTTCTCTGTGGGCGCCCTTGTCCCACTGAGCCGCAGCATCCTCATCCATACAACGGTGACGATAACAGGGCTTCTGCCTTTGGGTTGTGGGAGACTTAAAGAGTTAAAGAACATGAACAGGCCAGATGAAGTGGCTCATGCCTGTAATCCCACCACTTTGGGAGGCCGAGGCAGGAGAATCCCTTGAGCCCAGGAGTTTGAGAACAGCGTGGGCAATATAGTGAGGCCCTGTCTCTACCAAAAAAAGAAAAAAAAAATTTTTTTTTGAGACAGGGTCTCACCCTGTCACCCAGGCTGGAGTGCAGAGGTGCAATCTCGGCTCACTGTAACCTCCACTTCCCAGGTTCAAGTGATTCTCCTGCCTCAACCTCCTGAGCAGCTGGGATTACAGGCACGCGCCACCACACCCAGCTAATTTCTTTTTTGGTATTTTTAGTAGAGACAGGGTTTCACCATGTTGGTCAGGCTAGTCTCGAACTCCTGACCTCATGATCTGCCAGCCTCGGCCTCCCAAAGTACTGGGATTACAGGCATGAGCCACTGTGCCCGGCCAAAAAAATAATTTTTAATTAGCCAAGTGTGGTGGTGTGTGCCTGTAGTTCCAGCTACTCAAGAGGCTGAGGTGGGAGAATCCCTTGAGCCCAGGAGTTTGAGAACAGCCTGGGCAATATAGTGAGACCCCATCTCTTAAAAAAAAAAAAGAAAGAAAAAGAAAATTTGATGAGCCAAGTGTGGTGGCGCGTACCTGTAGTAATTCCAGCTACTCAAGAGGCTGAGGTGGGAGGATTTCTTGAGCCCAGGAGGTCGAGGCAGCAGTGAGCCATGATCGCATCTCTGCACTCTGGCCTGGGCGAAAGAGCAAGATTCTGTCTCAAAAAAAAAAAAAAAAAAAAAAAAAAAAAGAATATGAACAACTCTGGACACGGTACCTTGAGTCTAGCAAGTGCTCTATGCTCAGTAATTGTAATCATTGTTCCTCTGGGCTTTGAATGGTCCACAGATCTGAAAATGGGGCCTTCTGTGCCCCTACTCAGGTGGCTCCTGTCACCAGCATGTCTTCCACCTGAGCCTTCCATCCTTCTCCCTCTTTCCCCTGAGAGGATCCCCAGCCCCATCCCGTGTCTCACTTTTCTTATTCACCAATTCTCCTTCTCTGCTGACGCCAAAGGGCAAAGACCTCTGTTTTTCCAGAATATCCTTTGTAGCTCTTCACTGTTTCTCTCCTTCCACTTACTGACTGTGTAAACTTGGTCATGTTTCTTAATGTGTGCAAGCGCCCACGTGCTTCTCTATAAAATGGGGCAATAACAGTCCCTTTCACCTAACTGGGGGGTTGGGAGGAGTCAATGATGTCATGCAGGTAACGCACCTGGCAGGCAGCCTGGCAGGTCTTAACTGCACAATAAATACAAGTTATTGTTGTTATTATTTTGGCGCCCCCCACCCCCTTGACTGAGGATGCTACCTCCTGGGCCCAGACCATTCTCTCCCGGTGTGTCTGTCCCCACGAGTGGCCTGCAGTGGTTTTCCCTGCACGAGTCCTCCTGCCAGTAGCCAGCACGAACTTTGCACCCCAGCAAAGCGTGGTTTGTCCCCATTACCCGCCCTCTTACAGCTAATCAGCCTGAAATCTCCAGCTCAACCCACCCTATGCCTCAGACACTCCGACTCCTTCAGCAAAGTAACAAGAAAAGACAAGGCCCTCCTGCCTCCCTGTCCATCCCTCCTTAGGGAGCCCAGGGGACCACAATGAGACAGCATAGTGTATCAAGTTTATTCACAAATCCCAGTACAACCCCCTTCAGGGATTTCAGAAACCTGTCCCCCACCCCCAACCCCTCCAGGTCATGTCAGCTGATGTGACAACGGCGACATTATTCTCCCAGCAAGGCCGGATGCCAGTTTAGGGCATGATGTTGGCGACGCTCTGGAAGAGAGAAGGAGAGCAGGGGTGAATGTAGGGTCCACAGTCATGACGGGACCCGAGACCTCAGCCCCGCCCCTCGGGAGAAGCACAAGGGGACTGGCTGCTCTGGCCCCGGAGTTATGTTCTGGGGAAGTTTCAGGAAGGTAGCATCTAAACTTAAGAACACAAGGAAGCCAGTCCCCACAGGCAGAGGGGCTGGGGCCTCTGCAGGAACCAACAAGCCTCGTGTGTTTAGCCTGAGAGGATGCTCTGCCGCCCCCATAGCCTGGGATACACAAGGGTGGGCCTTCCTCCTCCGTGATACACCCTCACCCTGGCCTGCACCAGGTCTCGGGCAGCAGATACAATAAGTGCAAAAAGAGGCTGGGTGCAGTGGCTTACGCCTGTAATCCCAGCACTTTGGGAGGCTGAGGAAGGAGGGGATCACTTGAGATCAGGAGTTCGAGACCAGCCTGGCCAATATGGTGAAACCCCTGTCTCTACTAAAAATACAAAAATTAGCTGGGCATGTTGGCGCACACCTGTAATCCCAGCCACTCAGGAGACTGAGATAGGAGAATCACTTGAACCCAGAAGACGGAGGTTGCAGCGAGCTGAGATTGCACCACTGCACTCCAGCCTGGGAGATAGAGTGAGACTCCGTCTCAATAAATTAAAATAAAGAAAGAGAGTCAGGAGTTTACTTTGAGCCCCAACTGGGAACCAGGATTCCATAGGAGCCTCTGCACTGGGGTGACCTTGCACCAGGGAGAGGACAAAGACACAGGCTCCCCCTCCCAGCATGAAGCAAAGGCATTTGCAGGAGGGTTGGGACAGGAGGGAAGCCAGTCAGCAAATGGGAATCGAGGAATGACAAGGAGAGAGAGGGAATGAGAACAGTCAGCAGCCCCTCCTCCCTCCCTGGCTCCCAGGGGCACCAGGGCCTGGGAGGTCTTTTCTGCCAGCTTGTGTTTGCCTTGGTGGAAATGAAAGGCACCCAAAAGATGAGGGCAGGGTGCAAAGGGGAGGGAGCAGGTGGAGAGAGGGAAGCCCAGGACTGGGTATCAGGTTGGAGGGTCTTTGCAGAGGCTGCAGGTCTGCCCGCCCGGGGAGCTGTCCAAACAGACACCGGGAAGGGGTCGGGGTGAGCGTATCTATCAGGACGCAGAGCAGAAAAGAGACACCATGGGGCACTCACCCTCCACAGGGCGGGAAGGTTGATGAAAGGCGTGTTGACCGAGGCCTGCAATTCAAGGACAAGAAGGTCAGTCTCCAGCGTCTGACCCACAGCCATGCTAGGGAACTCCCAGGGGCCTCCTCTCCCCTACCCCAGAGTCCGCGCTTACCCCAGAGGCTAACGGCGTGGTTGTGGCCCCTCCTTGATGGCTGGAAGATCCGCTTTGATGGTTGCCCTGTGGACAAAGCCCAGACTCTTGTTACAACCCCACAAACGCGGAGGGTCTCCCAGTTCCTTTTCCCCAGGGACCTGGTCCCCTCCAGGGTGACTGGGGCTGCGGTGGGAGGCACAGCTTAACCCACTGCCTCCTCACTGTCCAGAAGAAAACCCAAAGCCCGTGCTCGCGTGGGCATTCTGCCTCCTGCTGCCTTTTCCTCCCCAAAGCCCCTTTTAATTTCCTTAATGAAGTGCTCTCAGTCATGGAGGAGGGGCTGGTGGAAAGGGAAGGTAGAGGACCCGTGACAAACAATATCAGGACCTAGTTTAACCTCAGCCCTGACCTCAAATCTACCCTTCTATGCCCTGTCTAGCTGCATCCCTAACTCCACTGATCCTTGTCCTTAACCCAGCCCCAGACACTCAGCCATGCACCCCAGCAGTGCCCCCAACCCCGGCTGCTGTTGCCAGCCCCAAATCCTACAGTGCACCGTCCTCTGCTCGCGGCACCCTGCAGCCTGCCGTGCCCGCTCCTCTGCTGCGCCGTTCCTCCCCACCCACCCATCCCTGGCTCTGTCTGGCGGCAGATGTGGCTCTGGACTTCGACGTCTGAGCCAGTCACATCTTGCAGATCCAGGACCCCTCATGGAGCCTGGAGAGTGAGGGCGCACAGGAGTCCACCCTCTCCTGCTCCCCACGCTCCCTTCTTGGTGCCTGTTCTGTTGTGAGTGGTGCTATTTGCCTGCCTCCAGTCTCTGTTCCCTCTACATATTTTATTTTATTATTATTTTTTTTGAGACAGAGTCTCACTCTGTTGCCCAGGCTGGAGTGCAATGGTGCAATCTCAGCTCACTGCAAACTCCGCTTCTCGGGTTCAAGGGATTCTCCTGCCTCAGCCTTCTGAGTAGTTGGGATTAGAGGCGCCAGCCACCACACCTGGCTAATTTTTGTATTTTTAGTAGAGATAGGGTTTCACCATGTTGGCCAGGCTGCTCTTGAACTCCTGAGCTCAAGTGATCCACCTGCCTCGGCCTCCCAAAGTGCTGGGGTTAACAGGCATGAGCCACTGAACCTGGCCTCTGTTCCCCCTACATAAATGGGTAAGAGAAACCTTCCAGAAAACCTCTCCTGGCTGGGCAGTGCAGGGGAAGAGAACCCTGGCCTGCCCTCTGCCAAAGCTGGGCACTAGCCACAGGACTTTGGCACGTCCCCTAACCTCTCTGAGCCTTTGTTTCCTTATCTGAGAATCAGGGCGTCAGCAGCCTCATCTTGACCACATCAGAGGGTAGTTACAAAGATTACACAGGCCAAGGCTCATCTCCGAAAGCTATTCCTCATGCTCACTCTCCTAACCAGGTTTTGTCAACACTCAGTCCCTTTGCACTATACTAGATCTTGATCTCAGGAACTGTTTCCCATTCCCCAGGAAGGGCTTCATGGGCCCCACTTGAGGCCCCCTTAACCAGGAGGGCAGCTCCCTGAAGGTGGGACAGGGTGCCCGCCACCCTGTCTGATACGTGCTTTGCAGATAAGGTGGCTCACCCCATCTGACCAGCTGCCACCAGCTCCTTTGTAAGGGAGATGGGGAAGGGGGAGGAACCCAGTGATATAGCTGCCCAAGCTTCTTTCACCAAACAAAGGCTACGCGGACCCCCCCGCCCCGCCAAATGTCCCAGGGGTTTAACCTTTCCCTCCCCCAACCCCCCTGTCCCCCATCTCCCCATCCCTGTTCACCTACATTCAGCAGCTGGTTGGCCTCCTTGCTGGCTTGGTTGACCCCATTATGAGCATTCTGCAGCTCCTTCCCGGCCTGGCCAGCAGCATGGTGGGCACCTTGGCCAAGCTTCTCCACTTCCTTTCCAGCCTGGTCAGCAGCATGGTTGACCCCTTGGCCAAGTTTCTCTGCTTCCTTCCCAGCCTGGTGGACCCCAGTGTGGAACCCTTGGACCGCTTTGTCTGCTTCCTTCCCGGCCTGTTCAAGGGTATGGTGAACTCCCTGGCCAAACTGCCCTGCCTCCTTCCCGGCCTCGTGGACCCCAGGTTGGACACCATGAACTGCTATGTCTCCCTCTTTCCCAGCCTGCCCTGCTGTGTGGTGAATGTCGTGGCCAAACTGCCCCGCCTCCCTTCCAGCCTGACTAACGCCATGATGGAGGCCTTGGACCACTCTGTCTTCCTCCTTCCCCACCTGCGAGGCAGCATGGTGGACACCCTGGCCAAACTTCTCTGCTTCCTTCCAGGCCTCATTAACCCCATGGTGGACCCCATGGCCGAGCTTCTCTGTTTCCTTCCCAAACTGACTGGCAGCATGGTGGACCCCCTGGCCAAACTTCTCTGTCTCCTTCCAGCCCTCACTGAGACCATGGTGGACCCCCTGGCCAAACCTCCCAGCCTCATTTCCGGCCTGCCCCGCAGCATGGTGGGCCCCCTGGCCAAATCTCCCTGCCTCATTTCCGGCCTGCCCCGCAGCATGGTGGGCCCCCTGGCCAAACTTCTCTGCCTCCTTCCCAACCTGACCAGCAGTATGGTGGACCCCCTGGCCAAACTTCTCTGTCTCCTTCCAGCCCTCACTGAGACCATGGTGGACCCCCTGGCCAAATCTCCCTGCCTCATTTCCGGCCTGCCCCGCAGCATGGTGGGCCCCCTGGCCAAACTTCTCTGCCTCCTTCCCAACCTGACCGGCAGCATGGTGGATCCCCTGGCCAAACTTCTCTGTCTCCTTCCAGCCCTCACTGAGACCATGGTGGGCCCCCTGGCCAAATCTCCCAGCCTCATTTCCGGCCTGCCCTGCAGCATGGTGGACTCCCTGGCCAAACCTCCCAGCCTCATTTCCGGCCTGCCCTGCAGCATGGTGGACTCCCTGGCCAAACCTCCCAGCCTCATTTCCAGCCTGCCCTGCAGCATTGTCGACTCCCTGGCCAAACTTCCCTGCCTCACTTCCCGCCTGGTTGGCCCCGTGATGGACCCCATGATGGATCAGTTTGTCTGCCTCCTTCCCAACCTGTCCAGCAGCGTTGTTGACCCCATGGCCAAGCTTCTCTGCTTCCTTTCCTGCTTGTCCAATACCATGGTTGATCTCATGGGCAACCTTGTCCATGCCGTGGTTGAGCCCCTGGACGCCTTTGTCCAACTCCTTGCCGGTGTGGCTCCCCATGTTGCTAAGTCCGTTGAAAACCTTCTCCACTTCCCTTCCGGCATGCGTGATTCCACTGTTGATGCCATCCAGGGCCTTGCCCACCTCTCTCTCTGCATTGCTCAGCCCTCGGTTGATCCCTTCAATGACCTTCTCAATGGGGTCATCGCTGGCCGCCCATCCAGACAGGGCCCCCAGTAGCAGAAGGAGGGAGCAGGAGCCGACCAGACGTGCAAGATGCATATTGCTGGGAAGGTCGGGAAGGATGCAGAGAGGAGCCAGGGAAGCCACGCTGCTATTTATCCTCTCTCCCTCTCGCCCTCTTCTCCACCCCTCATGACTCAATTACCCCTGTGAGGCACTGAGTTGGTCTTCAGTCAAGGAGGTGTTTCCCAGGGAGATTTGGAGTTGAGCAATGGAGAGGAGGAGGAAGAGAGGGTGAGTCATGGATGGAGAAGAACTCTGGCATCTTTGCTCCTTGCCCTCCACCCCAGAGATGGGTGTCTGCCCTTCCAACCACCTCCTCTTTCATTCCTCACCCACTGTCCAGGCCTCCTCTCTCGCAAACCCACCTTCCACCATGCTCCATCCCTGGGATGCAGGCAATTCTTCAACACCTCACTCCTCTCAGGCATCTAAGCCTCCAGCTCCCCAGGCAGTGAGGGGCTAGAATGATGGGAGGCACCGTCTGGAGAGGGGAGAACACTAGGTGGGATGAAGGAGTCATCAGACCTCGTTCTTGTGGGCCAGCCCCTGCCCTCACTCATTCCATTCCAGCCACACAGGCCTTCTCCCTGTTCCACAAACACACCAAGCTCATTCCTGCTGCAGGGCCTTTGCACATGCTCCTCTCTCTGCCTGGAATGCAGAACCCAGATCTTCACGTGGCTGGCTCCTCCTCATCCGTACTTGACTTAAATGCCAACTTCGCAAGAAAACCTCTCCTGACCATAACATGGCATTAATTATACTCTGTAGTATCACCCTTTTGTTTTCACAGAAAAAAAAAATCTGAAATTACCTTTATTTTTTATTGCCTGTCTCACCTACTAGCAATGTAAATTGGTCGTGTTGATCACTGCTGTATTCCTAGCTTCTTGAACACTGCCTGGGGTTCAGTAAATATTTATTGACTGGACAAATGGATGGATTCGAACAGGCCAAGGAAAGAGACTCCGAGCCCGAGTCTGGGTCTCACAGGGTGCTGGAGGGAAGGGCGCCTGGGTCGCCAGGGCAGCATAGAGTCCCTTGTGGAGTGCCGCAGATTTTGGAGGCAGGATCCCATTCCTGTCGCAGAACCCAGACCTCCTGCCTCCCAGCCCTTGGGCAAGGGCAGGGGGCTGATTGCCACGAGCTGGAACAGGACGCAGTGTCTCCTGAAAAGCCGGTTGAGGCAGCCACGGGGAGGGGCCGAAGACCCAGGGCAGCAGGAGCCTGTGAGCCAGAACCTGGGCTGGGGCCAGGCCCTCATCCTTCCTGCCCTCCCGACATGGGGCCTCCTAAGCCCCAACCTGAAGCCCCAAGTGTTGACATATTGGCTCGGGTTGGAGGGGAAACAGCTGAGAGTCTGGCCTCAGGCATGAAAAGGGCATCGGAAGGAAGGGCAGGTGGTGGTGGGCAGGCTTGGGGCAGCAGATGCATCTAGAAGCCAGTTGGGAGGGAGGCTAAGACCAGAACGAGAGCCAGTGGGTGGGTACAGTAGGTGCAGGGGTGAAAGATATTTGGGTTTTGGTGCCAAGGGGAGAGACTGAGAGAGGGGTGGAGGTGGGATTGCTGGTGGGAAGGCCAGGCAGGAACAATGTGCAGGGTGTGAGCAGCTGGAGGTGGCAGAGCTATGTGTGTGGGTGCCCAGGTGTGGCGAGAATCTGCACGTGTTTTCAGGCTTTGCTCAAACAAAGGCGCCAAGGCCCACTCCCCTCAGAGGACCCGGGGTTCCTCTCCAGCTCCTGGACACTTGACTCCACCCAAAGACAGGCATCCCAGGACAGATATCCAGAAGCTTCTGCCTTCTCTGGGCTCTGCCTATAGAGGGTGACTAAGTGTGCCACCTCTCCAAGCTTGAGCTCATCAAATCTGTTTCCCGGTTTCACACTCCAGGGACAAAGCCAAATTCCTGGGCAAACTCAGGTGTGGTTTTTCTGCCCTGGTCCAGGGCCGAAATGATGGAGTTTCCCATACCAGGAGGTGGCTGGGCAGAGAAGAGTGGGTGATGAGTGTCAGAATCCTAACCCACCCAGAGATCAAGAGGTGGGATTTCTCCCACTTTGAACTGTGTTCCATCTTCTTTTTGTGTTTTTGGAGGGAGAGTCTCACTCTATCCCCCAGGCTGGCATGCAGTGGCATGATCTCGGCTCACTGCAACCTCCGCCTCCCGGGTTCAAGTGATTCTTCTGCCTCAGCCTCCCGAGTAGCTGGGATTAGCCGGGCACCTGCCATGATGCCCAGCTAATTTTTGTACTTTCAGTAGAGACGGGGTTTCACCATGTTGGCCAGGCTGGTCTCGAACCCCTGACCTCAGGTGATCCGCCCACCTCGGCCTCCCCAAGGGCAGGGATTACAGGCGTGAGCCACTGTGCCTGGCCTGAACTGTGTTCCATCTTCTCTATCCCTCTCCACCCCATCCTTTCATCTTCTGCCAGCCTCAGTCCCTCTCCTCTGTCTCTCTATTCCCATGTGGCACGATTCGATTCAGGACTTCAGCATCTGGCTCCATAACTGAGAATGGCCTGGAGTTGTCCTTTCTTTATTTTATTTATTTTTTTTATGAAGTATCACTCTGTTGCCCAGGTTGGAGTGCAGTGGCAATCTCGGCTCACTGCAACCTCCGCCTCCCAGGTTCAAGTGATTCGCCTGCCTCAGCCTCCCGAGTAGCTAGGATTACAGATGCATGCCACTACACCTGGCTAATTTTTGTATTTTTAGTAGAGATGGAGTTTCACCATGTTGGCCAGGCTGGTCTCAAACTCCTGACCTCAGGTGGTCTACCTGCCTCGGCCTCCCAAAGTGCTGGGATTACATGTGTGAGCCACTGCACCCAGCCAAAATCAGCCCCTTTTGAATCCTGGTTTTGTTGAGGTTATATTTTTCACCTCCTTGATTGTACACCAAAATGTAGCTCCCTTTGTTTAATTAATCATCTGTGTTTTGGTCTCGGTTCGTTAAAACCTCCTCACCTGTACACTTAGTTTACTTTCTTCTCCCAGGCCATCAAAGCAGGAGAGCCTCACCCTGCCCTGGTCCCATGGCAGGTGCTTGGCAAATGAATTTCTCATGGATGTTGGCGGAAGGAAGAGGTTATGTCATTCTGCCCCTTCTTGCATCCATCCCTCTCTGGGATGGTGACTCCTTCCTGGCACAAACCCCCACTCCCCCTGAACCTTGGTCACAGCTGCGTGTCAACCTGCTGTGCAGGTGATGGTGCCTGCCTGTGAGTCACTGAGGTGCAAGCAAACCCCTACCCCGGGGCTGCAGGGGAGGGAGCTGTTTGTCCACTTGTTCTTTGTCAGACGTTCATTGAAAACCTGCTTTGTATTGTTCTAAGTGCTGGAGGCACAGTCGTGAACAAACAAACAAGAACAGGAGCCCTGTGAGGGGCTTAGAGCCCAAGGGGGAGACATCGAACAAATAAACCAATCAGTAGATCATGACAAACTACATGAAAAGCTACAAGGAAAAGAATGGGTGCTGCGAGAAGATATAACGTGAAGAGTTTGATAAGATTGGCGATCAGGGCCGGGCGAGGTGGTTCACGCCTGTAATCCCACCACTTTGGGAGGCCGAGGCAGATGGATCACCTGAGGTCAGGAGTTTGAGATCAGCCTGGCCAACATGGTGAAACCCCGTCTCTACTAAAAATACAAAAACAAAAAAAAAATTAGCTAGGTGTAGTGGCGCACGCCTGTAGTCCCAGCTACTCAGGAGGCTGAGGCGGGAGAATCACTTGAACCCAGGAGGCGGAGGTTGCGGTGAGCTGAGATCGCACCATTGCACTCCAGCCTAGGCAACAAGAGCGAAACTCTGTCTCAAAAAAAAGAAAAGAAAAGAAAAGATTAGCGATCAGATGAAACCTGAGGAATTGACATTTATTCATTCAGGTATAGTTTATTGGGCTAACGCCTTTTTCAGACAGGGTCTTGCTCTGTCTCCCAGCTGGAGTGCAGTGACACAATCACAGCTCACTGCAGCCTTGACCTCCTAGGCTCAAGTGATCCTCCCACCTCAGCCTCCCTAATAATTGGGACAACAGGCATGCACCACCACACCTGGCTACTTTTTTTATTTTTTGTAGATACAGGGTTTTGCCACATTGCCCATGTTGGTCTCAAACTCCTGGACTCAAATGATCCTCCCACCTCAGCCTCCCAAAGTGTTGGGATTACAGGCATGAGCCACTGCGTCCAGCCCACAAACACCTTTCAGGTGCCAAACACTTTTCTTGTCAATGGGATACAGAAGTGACATAGATGACGTCCCTGTCCTCTCAGAGCTTACAGTCTGGTGGACAGAGACAGTTGGCAAGAAAACAAACAATTTTTAGAGAGACATGTGCTCTAAGGAAAATAAAAACATAGACAGTGTAGCCCTAGAGAAATTTTGCACACTGAAGCATAACTCAGAATGGAGAAGTCAGACAAGGCTTCCTGGAAGATGGGCAGAAATTGGGAAGGGGGTGACGGCTGACAGTGACAGAGAAAGGAGGGAACTTAGATGCAGAGTGTAGAAAGCCTCTCTTAAAGGGTGGGAAACCAAGAGGCAGCCAAGGGAAGCCCTGGGTGGGCCTTCCAGGCATACGGAGGCAGCAAGAGTCACTCCACTGGAGAATCCAAGGGACAGCATGGAACCTGTGTGCTTCAAGAGACAGAGAAGAGGAAAGGGCTTTCAGGAACAGTGTAAAAGGTGGGATTCCAGGCTGGGTGTGGTGGCTCGCTCCTGTAATCCCAGCATTTTGGAAGGCCGAGGTGGGAGGATCGCTTGAGCCCAAGGGTTCTAGACCAGCCTGAGCAAAAGAGTGAGACCCTCTCTCTACAAAAAAATAAAAAGTAAAAATAGCCTGCAGTGGTGGCTGCACATGTAGTCCCAGCTACTCAGGAGGCCGAGGCGGGAGGATCGCTTGAGCCCAGGAGTTCAAGGCTGCAGTGAGCCATGATTGCACCACTGCACTCCAGCCTAGGAGAAAGAGTGACACCCCGTCTCAAAATAAATAAACAAATGATAATTTTAAAAAGTGGGATTCCATTCCAGACGGCAGTGCGTGGCCGTGGAACGGTGATGCATAGCGTGCTGACGTCCCATGCCTCTACGGGGATGGGATGCGATGGTGTCAGGCCTCTGGCTTGGGCGCCGCCCCTCGGCGACGTCACTGGGTACTGTGACGTCACTGGGTGCTGTGACATCAGGGCAATTAGCCCAGGACCCACAGCCCTGGCGCTCCGCACGCACCTCGGTAACATCACAGCAGGTCCAGGCCAATGATAACCTTATAAGAGGCCATGTCGAAGCGCGACATCGTCCTCACCAATGTCACCGTTGTCCAGTTGCTGCGACAGCCGTGCCCGGGTGAGGGAGGCAGCGGAGGGCGCGGGGGAGGGGTGGAAAGGGTAGTGGGGAGCGTCTGCACCCTCACACCTGTGCCGTATCCCTACCGCCCTTCCTGGCGTGTGCACCATCTAGGGACCAGGGGATCAGCCGCTCTCCCTCCCTCCACACCCGCCAGTGTGCTGGCAGAGTGGGGTTTACTGCCATGGCGGGGAGACCGGGCCTCCGCCCCCAGGGCTGGGTGGGCTTCGCGCCGCTATCACGCGGTAGAAAGAGCAGAAACGAGGGCCATCGGAGGCTGCAGCCTGAAAGTGGCGGGAAGTGGGCGGGCTTAGGAGGGGCTTAGGGAGAACCCAGGGGTGCTGGGCTTCCATGTAAAAGTGATGTTCATGGCGCTTCGCGTGAGGTGAGCTTTGCCCTCCCTGTGATGCACAAAACAAGGACACTTGGAACCTTGCCGGGGACGTGCTGACCACTTCGCAGGCGAGAGCTCAGGGAAGCCTCACCACCACCTGAGAAGGCCAGAGTGTGCCCGCAGTTTACAGAGCGGCCAACAGAGGTTAAGAGAGGGCAAACTACTTCCTTAGTCTCTCAACAAGGGCGGCGCGCCCGCGCGCGCGCACACACACACACACACACTCACTCACTCACTCTAGCCGGAGGAACCAGGTCTTCCGGTGGGCTGCCTCCATTCCCACACTGTTCCCTCACTTCCCAAGGGCGGGGGCCGCAGGGGTAGGTGGGGCTGGGGCTTTGGTCCAGGAGACCCTGGAAGACACAGGAGCAGACAGGCTTACCAGCCTCATGAGACTTGAACCCCTGCCCTGCGCATCACTGCTCCGTGGCCTCAGGCTTCATTTTCCCCTCTGTAAAGTGGGTTTATAGCGCATGCCTCTCGGGATTCAGTGGGAGGACGCAGTGAGGAGCTGGGGGCAGCACCCAGCTAGCCCCCAGGCTTTTCTCCAACCGGGGGACCCCACCCCTACAGTGGAGGGGAAGAGAGTGCAAGGCTGGGAGTGCTGGGAGAGGAGGACCATCTGAGTTTTCTTCGGAAGGGTCACCCATTGGGCTCAGATTCCCACCTGAACCAGGTGGACAAATCCCCTTTCTCCCATAGCAGAAACAACCCCCAAGGATGCAAACATCCTCAAGTTCACCAATAAACACTAACACCTTCATGAACTTGGACAGCCACTGGAAACACCTATAGTCCAGCCTCAGGCCACAAGGTCTGTGGCAACAGGGAGAGGTCAGGGAGACAGACAGGCCAGCTGGCCCCCGGCTCCCAGCCCCACCACCCCCCAGGTGCCTTTGATTTGGTGCCAAAAACTTGGACTCCCACTACCCCCTTCCAGCCCTTCTCCACCCCCTGCTGTCTCCCTTTCCTCAGGAATCTGTGTAGGATCAGACTTCCCTCCTCTATTAAAATCAGCTCCTATGTGTGGGCCTCGAGATCTCACTGCGCCCTCACAGCAGCCCCTAGGTGGGGGATCAGCCCCAAGAGGTTCATTAACTTGCTCAAATCCACAGAGCAGCAGGTCTGTGTGGACTGAGCCAGGCTTGACTTTCCAGCTTGAAACTCTCTGCCACCAGGTCCCCTGAGTCTCCACTTCTCCCCTCTTCTCAAGCCCTCCTCTGTAGCTCAGGCGGCTGCTACCTCCAGGCGCAGGTGTTTTTAAGTGCAGTCTGGGAGCAGGAGTGTGTGTGGAGAGGTGGGAGCCAATGTGAGCTTCCATGGGTTTCACAGAGTATGATACACGGTACTCTCTAAGCTTCCCTGAGGATAAGAAATGCCTGGAGTGCTTATTTTATTTTTTATTTTTTTTTGGGAGATGGAGTTTCGCTCTTGTTGCCCAGGCTGGAGTGCAGTGGCACGATCTCGCCCACCACAACCTCCGCCTCCTGGGTTCAAGCGATTCTCCTGCTTCAGCCTCCTGAGTAGCTGGGATTACAAGCATGTGCCACCACGCCTGGCTAATTTTTTTGTATTTTTAGTAGAGACGGGGTTTCTGCATGTTGGTCAGACTGGTCTCAAACTCCCAACCTCAGGTGATCTGCCTGCCTCGGCCTCCCAAAGTGCTGGGATTACAGGCGTGAGCCACCGCTCCCGGCCTGGAGTGCTGATTAAAAACAGGATTTCTGGGCCTCCATACAGACCCACTGAGTCCGATTTTTCTAGGAAGAGCCCTCCTCAGGTGATTTTTTTTTTTTTTTGAGACAGAGTCTCACTCTGTCGCCCAGGCTGGAGTGCAGTGGCGCAATCTCGGCTCACTGCACCCTCCGCCTCCCAGGTTCAAGAGATTCTCTTGCCTCAGCCCCCCGAGGAGCTGGGATTACAGTATTTTTAGTAGAGAACAGGTTTCTCCATGTTGGCCAAGCTGGTCTTGAACTCCTGACCTCAAGTGATCCACCCACCTTGGCCTCCCAAAGTGCCAGGATTACAGGTGTGAGCCACCACGCCTGGCCACTCCGACGACTCCTATCATGGAACAGTTTGGGGACCACTGGGCTAAATCAATTATTGGACAAATTCGGGGAACAATCTACAAAATACTAATGCATGTCAAACATTTCCTCGGCTTGGTCATAAGCAATCCATGTATTACCTCATTTAATCCTCACAACAACCCTCTAAGAAAAGTACTATTATCTCCCCTTACAGAGGAGGAAACTGAGGCACAGAGAATGTCACCCCAAGCGATCTATGTTGAAAGTACATACCCCGGCCAGGCGCAGTGGCTCACACCTGTAATCCCAGCACTTTGGGAGGCTGAGGCGGGTGGATCACCTAAGGTCAGGAGTTCGAGACCAGCCTGGCCAAGTGAAACCCTGTATCTACTAAAAATACAAAAATTAGCCAGGCACCTTGGCGGGTGCTTATAATCCCAGCTACTCGGGAGGCTGAGGCAGGAGAATCACTTGAACCCAGGAGGCGGAGGTTGCAGTAAGCCAAGATCAGTCCACTGCACTCCAGCCTGGGTGACAGAGCAATACTCTGTCTCGGGAAAAAAAAAACAACGGAAGTACATAACCAGTGAATTAGAATCTCCAGGAAAGAGCCCTTGGGATTGACATTTTAAACAAGTTCATTCTGTAGAGAAAGTGGGTTTGGGAAACACTGGGCTAAATGGTTGGTCACGAGGGGCCAGGAGCCAGCAACAGATTCTGGGCAGCAAAGACAGTTTGTTCTCTTTCACTTTGGTGGTCATGCAACCCATTCCCTCCCTTCCCCCGCATAGTGACCAGAGCACCGCCCCCACCTGAGCCTAAGGCTGAAGTAGAGCCCCAGCCACAACCAGAGCCCACACCAGTCAGGGAGGAAATAAAGCCACCACCGCCACCACTGCCTCCTCACCCCGCTACTCCTCCTCCTAAGATGGTGTCTGTGGCCCGGGAGCTGACTGTGGGCATCAATGGGTGAGTCTACTCCAGCCCCTGATCAGTCTGAAGCCTTAGAGCCCAGCCCCTCCTCTGGCTGCTAACTGGGGGCACCTCCACATTTCCCCCCATCAATGCTTTCGTTCCGACGACCCTGGAGAAATAGCCCGGAGCAAGGCAGACAGGGCCCCATGCTCAGCAGCATGCTGGTGGGGAAGACAGTAATCAAATAAAGAAATTAGATTGTTCAGTAGAGTGTGCTGGGAACAGTGTAGAATCCAGTGGAAAAGTCAGGCTGGAGAGGGCAGCCTTTGCCAGTGATCAGGGAAGGCCTTGGGGAGAAGGTGTCATTGGAGCGGGACCAGAGTGATGAGACACAGCCAGCTCCCAGGGCACCTTGCTGGGGAAGGAGTCTTCCAGGCAGCGGGACAAGCAATGATTCTGGGGCAGAGGCGAGCTCAGTATGTTCAGGGACAGCCAGGAAGTCAGAGTGGCTGGTGTCCACCAAGCAAAGGGAAAAGGAGGGAGGCCAGTGAGAAGCCCGGAGGGGGCTGCTACACCACAGTAAGGAGTGTGGATCTTGTTTTACTGATGGACAGTCGTGGATGTTTTCATGCCAAGAGACGTAATCTGTCTTGAAGTTTTAAGATCCATCCAGGCTCTCACACCTGTAAACCCAGCACTTTGGGAGGCCAAGGTAGGAGAATCCTTTGAGACCAGGAGTTTGAGACCAGCGTGGGCAACATAGCGAGACTCTGTCTCTACAGAAAAAAATTGTTTTAATTGTTTAATGAAAAAATAAAAGATCCATCCAGCTACAAGGTTAAGAATAGGGGTTAGGAGCCAGGCGCAGTGGCTCACGCCTGTAATCCCAGCACTTTGGGAGGCCAAGGCGGGTCTATCAACTTGAGGTCAGGAGTTCGAGACCAGCCTGGCCAACATGGCAAAACCCCGTCTCTATTAAAAATACAAAAATTAGCCAGGTGTGGTGGTACGCGCCTGTAGTCCCAGCTACTTGGGAGGCTGAGGCAGGAGAATCACTTGAACCCAGGAGGCAGAGGTTGCAATGAGCCCAGATAGCGCCACTGCACTCCAGCCTGGGCGAAAGAGCTGGATTCCATCTCAAAATATATATATATATATATGTATATATGGGTTAGGGAACGGATTGGGAGAGGGAGCTGAAAAAGCAGTTAAAGGGGCTGGTGAGGTCATCTTGGCAAGAGATGCCCATGGCCAGCACAGAGGTTGTTGCCTTCTTCCCCTGGATTAAGGATTCCCAACCAGGCTCCTTGAGGGAGCCTCCTCTCCATTACCCCCTTCTCTCCCATCCCTTCCTGTCTGTCCCTGGCCAGATTTGGACGCATCGGTCGCCTGGTCCTGCGCGCCTGCATGGAGAAGGGTGTTAAGGTGGTGGCTGTGAATGATCCATTCATTGACCCGGAATACATGGTCAGTAGCTGGCAGAGGGCAGGAACAGCAGGGTGGGACTGGGGTGGGAAAGGGACTCAGGGAAGCTGTATGGAAGGCTCTCAGCTGTAATGTGAGACCTTCACCAAAGAGGGGACTCTCTAGGGATCCTCACCCTGCCACCCCAAGACTAGGAGCCATTCCATCCCCCACAGGTGTACATGTTTAAGTATGACTCCACCCACGGCCGATACAAGGGAAGTGTGGAATTCAGGAATGGACAACTGGTCGTGGACAACCATGAGATCTCTGTCTACCAGTGGTAAGGAAAGCATCTGTCTGATGCACGGCTGTGACATATTGAGGCAGGGCATGTGGAGGTGGCTAAAATGGGATTCCAGCCTCTCACATGGGGTGCTGAAACCACCCCCAAAATTGCGTGTGCATGCCTCTAGGTACTAATTTGAAGAGGGAAGTCTCAGGTCCTTCACCCCTAAAATGATTAAGAAGCACTAATCTAAAAAGATGCCTCACTGTACTGAAGAATGCTTTTTCTTTATATTTTTTTTAGGGACGGGGTATCACTCTTTTGCCCAGTCTGGAGTGCAGTGGTGTAATCATAGCTCACCGCATCCTTGACCTCCCGGGCTCAAGTGGTCCTCCCACCTCGGCCTCCCAAGTAGTGGGCACCAGCCACCACACCTGGCAAATTTTTTGTAGAGATGAGGTCTTGCCATCTGGCCCAGGCTGGTCTCAAACTCCTGGCCCCAAGCAATCCTCCCACCTTGGCCTCCCAGAGTGCTGGGATTACAGGCAGGAGCCACTGCATTTTGCTTTAACGCACATTTGCATGTTTTCTCGTGGGCATATCAACATGTCCAGAACTCAACTCTTGATTCCCCTTCAACCCACACCTATTCAGCTCCCATTGACCACTGCTGGTCAACTATGCCTGAATTCCAAAGGGAGGAAGGTATAATGAGGCTTGTGCGAACATCCGAACATCCGTTCCCATCATGGCCTGAACCAGTGTTTCAGTTTTACTTTAGAATGCCCTGGGCCGAGAGAAGGGCTACATTCAGTTAGTTGGGGGAGTTTAGAATTTTATTTTTGGCTGACATTCACCTTTCTAATGTAAACTATTAGCGACTCCTGGCTCTGTGGCTGCCTGGGGCTTTTACACATACACACCCACAGGCCCACACACATGCAAATACACACAGGCACACTAGTGAACCCTGTCTGGGCCCAGGCAGGGTCTGCAGCCTCCCCAGCGCCCCTCCCCACAGATCTAATCTCAGCCCTTCTCCTTGTACTTACTGGGGGTAGGGTGAGTGATAAAGGGGCAGGGATGGGTGCAGGAAGTTTGTGGGCAGGGGGCAGAGACTGGAGAGTCAGTGAAAATTGAAGAAAGCTGCTTAACCCAAGTTTGAAATCATGACACTAGAAACAACTCCAGCACCATAGTTATCACGCAGACTTCAACGTGGCCACCACCATTACCGCCACTTGGAGTCATCCCTCTTCCCCACCTAGCTGCCCCCTCCGTCCACGGTCCCGACTCAGGTCTTGCCTTCTCTGGTCACTTGTGCAATGCAGTTCCCCGCCCCTCCAGCCCCCTCTCCATCCCCGCACTGTTGGGCTGCACAAGCCAGGCTGTGTGCCTGCACTCTGCCCTGCACCTCCGCTAGCTAGCTGGGTGACCTTGGGCAAGGAACCAAACTTGCCTGAGCCTCAGTTCCCCGCTGTATCTGATGGGGATGATGAGCAAACCCACCACAGCGGTAGCTGGGAGCACGAATGGAGTGAACATGTGTTTGTGGACACTTAAACGGGCACTTCCCACAAGGCCATGGCCTTGCACGGAGGGCTCTGTCAACTGGTACCACCACTGTTGCTCTGGCATTAGCAGGTACAGGCCCTGATAGCCATTCAGAACTTCCTTTGAATGAATGAATGGAATCCTCAAAACAGCCTGGTGGGCAGGAGGCTGGGGCCCATGACAGCCTTGGGGAGGGCCTGGGGTCTTCTGGGGGCACAGTCTTTGCCTCAGGCCAACTCAGCAATTGTTGCAGAGGAATCGCAAGTGTCCCTAATTTGGAAGGCAGGAAATGGGGGGTATCTGAGAAGAGCTCGTTGGGCCAGATGATGGAAAGTGGACTGACAGAGCAGGAGACAGGAAGAGGATAACCATGCATGTGTGATGGCTTTGCAGGGCAGCCCATTCATTCATTCATTCAGGCAGTGGAAACAGGAGTGCAGACCCGAGGTGGGACCAGCCACCTGCACTCCAGCAGGCTCTCCCTCTCACTCCCCTCCCCTCTGCCCTGACAGCAGTAAAAAAATGCAAAAAATGACAGCGGTAGCACTTCCTCATCGGGTTGTGAAGGTTACATGAGTTTAATGCAGGTAAGGCACTTAGAATATGGGCACAGGACAGGTGTTCAGTAAACACGTATAAAATGGCTAACTAAAAAAAAAACACGAGGCCAGGTGCAGAGGCTCATGCCTGTCATCCCAGCACTTTGGGAGGCTGAAGTGGGGATCACCTGAGGTCAGGAGTTTGAGACCAGCCTGGCCAACAGAGCAAACCCCGTCACCACTAAAAATACAAAAAACAACAACAATAAAAAACTAGCCAGGTGTGGTAGCGCATGCCTGTAACCCCAACTACTCGGGAGGCGGAGGCAGGAGAATCGCTTGAACCCGGAAGGTGGAGGTTGCAGTGAGCCAAAATCGTGCCACTGCACTCCAGCCTGAGTGACAGAGTGAGACTCTGTCTCAAAAACAAAACAAAACAAAACAAAGAAAACCCATGAGGCCAGGCACGGTGGCTCACACCTGTAATCCCAGCACTGTGGGAGGTCAAGGATCACTTGAGCCCAGGGGTTCTAAAGCACCCTGGGCAACAAAAGTGAGACCCCATCTCTACAAAAAAATTTAAAAATTAGCTTGGCATGGTGGTGTGCGCCTGTAGTCCCAGCTACTCGGGAGGCCAAGGCAGGAGGATGGCCGGAGCCAGGAAGATCAAGGCTGCAGTGAGCTCTGATTGCACCACTGCACTCCAGCCTGGGCGACAGAGGAAGACCCTGTCTCAAAACAAACAAACCCCACAAACATTGATTGAACCCCCCATTGAGGGGAGCAGGCTCAATGGCAAAGGAAACAGACCGACACTGGCCAAGAATCACAGAAGCAAAGCACCCGGTTACTCATGATAAACCTGGGAAGGAAGAAAGTGGAACAGTTTATTCACTTAATGCTTGTTTGCTAAAGCCAAGTAGAAAACGGCAATACTAGATGTTTAGTGTGCTTCAAATACAAATGTTTGTCAAAATACCAAGTAAAAACATAAATTTATAAAACAGGAAACCAGAAACCTCCCTTACCTTTCCAATGTAAACCATGAGCCACTGCTGCCCCAAGGCTGCCTCAGGCTTCAGGAGTCCTCCAGGAGCTTTTTCTTTAATGCAGTGTCTGTTTTCAGGGACCCTCCTGGCCTTTGGCAGCCAGCTTCCTATTGCAGGAGCTGAGGGTCTAGGAGGGTTCATGGCGAGGTTGTCAGAGCTGGGAAGCAGAAAGCAGCCGGGCAGGCCTCACAGTCACAGAGTCCACGTCCCGGGCAGCATATGGAGAAAGGGTCTGGGCTGGCTGACAGCAGTCAGCATTGGCGCCTCTGAGGAGGTTGAGGGCTGAGTTGGGGAGGTCACCACCTGTACCCAGGCATAACAGGGGTGGTGCAATCAGCAAAGGGAAAGTGGTCTGAAGTGGGGCAGTGGTGAAAAGCTAGGCCAGCGGGGTGGAGCCCATCTGGAACAAGTAGGTGTGTGGGGTAGGGGACGCAGGTGGTTGCAGGTGGGCCGGTACCTGCTCAGCCTGTCAAATGGTGAAAGCCATGGACTATGAAGGTGGGGCTCAAGCAGGGGAGACTGACTCAGCCCTGCCACTTCCCCACAGCAAAGAGCCCAAACAGATCCCCTGGAGGGCTGTCGGGAGCCCCTACGTGGTGGAGTCCACAGGCGTGTACCTCTCCATACAGGCAGCTTCGGTAAGCTGGGGAGAGGTGCCCAGGGCTAGCTGGGGGGATGATGGTGCCAGAAGCCCCTGACACCTGCGCTTCCTCCCCAGGACCACATCTCTGCAGGTGCTCAACGTGTGGTCATCTCCGCGCCCTCACCGGATGCACCAATGTTCGTCATGGGTGTCAATGAAAATGACTATAACCCTGGCTCCATGAACATTGTGAGGTAATGTGGGCAGTGACATCCTGCAATGTGTGGAAGGGAGGGTAGACTCGTCCTCCCCACCCTCAGCCCCACTGGATTCCTGGTCGCTTGGCTTCTGCTTCTCCTTCCCGAAACTATCTGCTAAAAACGCATGACTTCCAGAGGACAAGCTTGGGGAGCCTCCCCAGCTGCACCTCAGTGCCTCCTTCAGTCTGACAGTGTCCCCACAGATCCCTCTCACCCTCATCCTGACGTTTCATAAAACCAAGTCTGCGTGCATACCCCAAGAGGGGTAAGGGTGGAGGGGTGGCTCTGCGACTCACCTCACAGTGTCCGTGCACACCTTGGCTGTTTCAGCAACGCGTCCTGCACCACCAACTGTTTGGCTCCCCTCGCCAAAGTCATCCACGAGCGATTTGGGATCGTGGAAGGGTTGATGGTGAGTTGAGGATGAGGGGCTGGGGCAGGAAGGATGGCAGGGAAACCCAACTTCTTCCCGGGCCTTGCTTACTGTATGGAGTTAAGAGGGAGAGACTGGTTTCGGGAGGAGAGGCCCACCAGTGCAGAAGTCACTTAAAACACTGTGCAACCCTCAGGCAAGGCTGGACCCTGGCCTGCACACATCCCCTCCTGTGGTCTGTGGTGGTGGCCCCACCAGCCTCCACACCTAGGCCACCAACTTAGTCCTGGAAAAAAGAGGCATGGGAGCTTAGGAGCATGAAGGCCTCATCTTGGTCCTTCTCTTCCCCAAGACCACAGTCCATTCCTACACGGCCACCCAGAAGACAGTGGACGGGCCATCAAGGAAGGCCTGGCGAGATGGGCGGGGTGCCCACCAGAACATCATCCCAGCCTCCACTGGGGCTGCGAAAGCTGTGACCAAAGTCATCCCAGAGCTCAAAGGGTATGAGGACAAGAAGCTGCAACCAGGGTGGGGGCATACGCCAGGAGGACTGGACTGGCCCGGCCCTCAGTCCTTAAGAGGAAAGCAGGGGCCTGGCCCAGCCACAGGGAAAGGGGGAATGGAGGGCAACGTCCCTAAGTTCTGACTCCTGTTCCTCATGGGGGATTCTCCAGGAAGCTGACAGGGATGGCGTTCCGGGTACCAACCCCGGATGTGTCTGTCGTGGACCTGACCTGCCGCCTCGCCCAGCCTGCCCCCTACTCAGCCATCAAGGAGGCTGTAAAAGCAGCAGCCAAGGGGCCCATGGCTGGCATCCTTGCCTACACCGAGGATGAGGTAGGGGCTGAGGAGAGGAGACCCTGGGAGGAGCCCTCTGGGAAGGGACATGATTTCCACTTGCCAGGGAGCTGCTCTCAATGTGCCAAGTCAGAAACTGCAGGGCAGGAAGGGAGATCTCCCTGCCTCAGGGCCTTTGCACTTGCTGTTCCTTTAGTCTGGAATGCTTCCCTTGCCAGGTGACCATACAGTCTGTCCTTACTTCCTCCAAGTCTCTGGAGGAACCTCCCTCTTCAGCAAGGCACCCCCTCAAAATATGTTCTTTTTGTGGCCATATTCCTCACCTGAAATTTCATTTCATAGTCACTGTTGGCCCCAGTGGTGTGTGCACTCCAAGAAAACAGGGATTTAGGGGCTGCCTTTTCACTTTTGTGGCTCCAACCTGGCATACAGCAGGTGACTAATACATGCTTAGTGAACAAAAGACAACAGCTCCCATTTTTTTCAATACTTGCTCAGGGCCAGGCCATGGCCAGATGCCTTCTCTGTGAGGAGTGGATGCCATGGTCATGGTGGACCCCTGTACATCCACCTTGGTGCTGTCTCCCTGCATTAACTCCTGCAGGTCCACTTTCCCACAGTCACTGGGATCTTTTGTTTTAATGGAATCACATTGCATCACCCGTTTTCAGGATTGAAAACACTCCTGTGGCCTTTCATGACACTAGGGCTAAAACCCTCAGGTCCTCCCTTCCTGCAGCTCCTTCTACCTCAGACACTGTGCTGAGGGCCCCAGCCGGTCAGATCTTTCTAGTCATCTAGACCCAGGCTCATGGCCACCCCTCAGAGAGGCCCTCCATGCTGGCCCATTCCAAACGCTTGCATTATTCCTAGGAAAGGGATGTACTGGTACAGCATGAGGGTGTTTGTGACCTGTGCCCTTTGGCCAGACCCTGACACAGTGCCTTGGTCATACCCTGCACTTGGTCATACCCTCCAGTCCAGAGACTGGACACAGTAGGGCTACATCAAATATTATAGATGAATGCATGGATGGGCGATAGAGTTAAGAGTCGGGGCCTCAGCTCCTGGAGGTCCTTGCTCTGCCGGACACACTTATCTTTGAAATTCTGACTTCCAGGTCGTCTCTACGGACTTCCTCGGTGATACCCACTCGTCCATCTTCGATGCTAAGGCCGGCATTGCGCTCAATGACAATTTCGTGAAGCTCATTTCATGGTAAGGGGGAAGGAGCTGGAGACTTAGAGGGAGGGGAACTAAGGGGTGGTCGGAAGGAACCCCCTTGAACCTCCCGACCCCTCCTCCACAGGTACGACAACGAATATGGCTACAGTCACCGGGTGGTCGACCTCCTCCGCTACATGTTCAGCCGAGACAAGTGAAACGGGAAGGTCCTTTCTTTCCTTCCCAGGGGCCGGGGCCGGAACATGTGCCTCCCGTTCCAGCATCTGGCTGCCCGGGGGAGGAAGGACACCCGGGGCGGGCGCCCCACGCCGATGGGTCCATGGTGAAATAAAAAACAGTGCTCACGGCTGCGTCCCGTATCTCTGCGCCGGTCAGGGCGGGTTCTGATCCGGGTTTGAGGCCCGCCCCACCCTTACTCGATCGCCTGCGCCCACGGGCGAGGGGTCGCGCTCGACTCCAAGCCGGGTTCCACTTCAGGAGACCGGGACCGCGATGGCAGCGGTAGAGGCCCCGCATGGCCGGAAGTCACTCCCCAAAGCGCTGGGCCGGCAGCGGTGGGACCCAGGGCCGGCCACGGGCTCTCTGACGTCACTGGGCGCGACGCCCCGCGCCGGGACTACTGCTCCCAGAAGGTCGCGCGCGGGCCCCCGCCAGTCAGGTGGGTGCCAGGCCCTGGCCGTGGCGAAAGAGCCGGCGGAGCCGGAGACCCGCTCCCGGAGACGCCGCCTCGCGATCCCCGCGCGGGCGGGACCGGGCGGCCGGCATCATGACCCTGTTTCACTTCGGGAACTGCTTCGCTCTTGCCTACTTCCCCTACTTCATCACCTACAAGTGCAGCGGCCTGTGAGTGCGGGAAGGGCGCGGGGCGGAGAGGGCGCGGGGCCCGGGCCGACCCTCACCTCCCGCTTCTCCAGGTCCGAGTACAACGCCTTCTGGAAATGCGTCCAGGCTGGAGTCACCTACCTCTTTGTCCAACTCTGCAAGGTGAGGGCCACCGGGAAGCCACGTGTTCTGGCCCCCAGGCTCTGCAGACCCAGGGACCCGCCCCCGTTGCCTATCCGCGCCCCCGCCGCCCCACGGTGGGACCGCCCTCGGGACTCCGCACTGGGAGGCGTCAGGATACCTAGAGAGGATGGACTTTAAAGAGGGCACGACCTGAGAAGAGACCTAGAAGCAACTTTTGCGTAGCACTTAGTAAAACTGAGAAAACCTCAGTAGTGTGGTTGGCTAACAGGTTTTTTTTGGTGCGGTTAAGAGTGATCACTGATTCCGTACGTGCTGCTAACACTGCCCAAGGAGCAGCACCTTCAGACCTGACTCAGATGCCCTGTGATCACCCAGAACTCAAACTTCCAGCCCCCTCGGGGACCCGGGGACCTATCCTCTATCTCCCCGATTCCTGTAATTTTGCCACCATCTGGTGGTTCCTCTTCCAGATGGGCCCCCAGAACCTGTCCTGCCCTCTTCCTACCCACGAACTTCCCACAAATCCCACGTGGTTTATCTTGATCCCCTCACCTTGAAGTGACCTCTTTCTGCTTTCTGTTCTCAGATGCTGTTCTTGGCCACTTTCTTTCCCACCTGGGAAGGCGGCATCTATGACTTCATTGGGGTGAGAGGGGCCAGGGAAGGGAAGGGAGTTCAGGAATGGGGCTCCCTGTCCCCCTGTGCTTACTTAAGCCTCAACCTGACCCGCAGGAGTTCATGAAGGCCAGCGTGGATGTGGCAGACCTGATAGGTCTAAACCTTGTCATGTCCCGGAATGCCGGCAAGGGAGAGTACAAGATCATGGTTGCTGCCCTGGGCTGGGCCACTGCTGAGCTTATTATGTCCCGGTGCGTACAGCAGCCTGGAGCCCAGACCCCTGAGAAGGGACACCTGGGTTCCACGGGGGTGCTGGAGGGCAGGGGCTCAAAGCCTGGTGCTGAAGGTGTCTGAGTACTGGAGAATCCCATCCTTTGCCTTCCTCAGCTGCATTCCCCTATGGGTCGGAGCCCGGGGCATTGAGTTTGACTGGAAGTACATCCAGATGAGCATAGACTCCAACATCAGTCTGGTAGGCAGTCGTGCTCTCCCACATACACATTTCTGCTGGCGGCCATACTCCTCCCCAAGGCCTGGCCCCGACTTTCTGCCTCCCTCTAGGTCCATTACATCGTCGCGTCTGCTCAGGTCTGGATGATAACACGCTATGATCTGTACCACACCTTCCGGCCAGCTGTCCTCCTGCTGATGTTCCTCAGTGTCTACAAGGCCTTTGTTATGGAGTGAGTTGGGTGGGGTTTAGGGCTGGGTCCAAAGTGGGGTGGGTTATCTAGTCTCCCTTCCTTATTGTGACATTTTCCTGCAGGACCTTCGTCCACCTCTGCTCGCTGGGCAGTTGGGCAGCTCTACTGGCCCGAGCAGTGGTAACGGGGCTGCTGGCCCTCAGCACTTTGGCCCTGTATGTCGCCGTTGTCAATGTGCACTCCTAGGCTTGGTGTCTCAGACATTGATGTACCTTTTCCCTGCCTCACTCCAGGTTTTAGTGAAGTAAACAGTATTTGGAAAGTTGTTGCTGCCTCCATTTCTCTCTCTTGGGAACTGTCTCCCAATACCGTGTCCACCTGGGTCTCAGAGGCCCTGGTTCTGTCTCAGGAGCCAGGTAGACAAGCTGGAAGCTAGCCAGTCACTGACTTGTCCCATGTCTTGTTCCTCAGGCTCCTGGTTTGCCAGGAGTAGACAGAAGGTTTGGATGATCTTTGAGCAGTGGCAGAGGCCAGGGCCCTCAGGGAACAGATGATAGAGGGGAGCTAGAATCCAAGAGAAGGCCCTTGGGGGGCTCTTCCTCCTCACAGCCCCAACCTGGGCCTCCTCACATGGGCCCTTCCCGGGCTGGTTGCCTCTGAGGCTCCTGGCCCCAGTGTCCCCCTCCAATCCATCCTCTGTATGGCAGCCAGGGGATCTATCTGAAACCCGTCTAACCAGGTCATCCTCCCACTTGCAGCCACTTGCGGCCCCTTGTTACACAGTGGACAGTCCAATTGCTTGGCCTTTGGTTTTACCCAACCAGCAAAACCAGCTTTTCTGAAACTGCTCCCTAGAATAATTTGTCCAGCCAGATTCTTAACATCGTTCAAGCCATGGGGTCAGCATGGGGCTGGGGGGAGAGTTGTGACTGTGAGCTCCTCAGTTCTATGGCCCTCAGATCAGATCCCAGCCTGAGCCTTCTCAGGGTGGAGTGGAGAGACAGCTGCAGCCAAGAAGCAGAGCAGTGGGGCCCCCAGCTTGGACATTGTCCTGGATGCCCCCCTCCACCCTCAGCCTTCCTTGGTCCACTGAAGCCGGCTCCCCGCCTTTCTCTGAGGGGGATGTGTCAGAAGTTTTGAATGTCATGTTTAAGCTCCACTTTGATGTACACCCTCCCCACTCAGGAAGATGCTCCCCATCCTTGGTGTTCCCAGTGGGGTACCCCAGGGAGTAGGATAGCACCATTGCCCCTCCTCCTCCACCAGGCCGTTGAAGTTCCACCTGATTTTTTTTAAGCTTAGGCCTAGGAAAGCTCACTATGACCATCTCGATGTTTCCAGAGGGAGCATTTGCCTTCAGACGGCAGCTGCCATCTAGGCCACTCTTCCTCATTGTTTGGAGTAAAGACAGGGTCCATGGGTCTCTTGGGAGCTGGAAGTGATTGATCACCTTGACTTTGATGTAGAAAGGAAGTAGATGGGGCAGTCTATCTGGGTGGACTTGTGACAAGGTCACTTTCTCCCACACTTCCATGCCCCACATAGCTCTTCACACATATTGAGACAAGTGTAGGATGCAAAATTACCAACTGGAATAATCCCAGCTTACATGGGGTTCAGGGAGAGAGACTGGAGTGGCTGGGCCTGAGTTGGCAGAGGACGGTGAAGCCTGGGCGGTTGGACTGTGGGGAGCCAGGCTTCAGGTGATCGGGGTTATGATGGGAAAACCCCGGGTTATGGGGACCCAGAGGAGCCGCCTGGCCTGCCGTGGAAGCAGTGCGGGCTCCCCTGAGCAGAGGACATGTGAGCTGAGACCTAAAGAATGAGTGATTGGGGCAAGGCAGAGGTAATGGTCTTGAGGTCAGAGAGGGGGCCTGTTTTTCCCAAGGGAACATAACTGGTTGGAATGAGTTCAAGGGGACTTGTAAGACTACAGAAGCTGGCAGGGGTCAGATCACAGGAGGCTTTGGGAACCAAGGAGAGCTCTAGGCAGAGGAAGGACAGGGTCAGATTTGGCTTTAGGAAGCTCTGCATGGCTGTTGTCTGAAATGGGAAAGCTGAGGCCACGAGGCCAGGGCTGGACCAGGGCAGGGCTTTGTGGGGTTAGGAGAGTGACTAGAAGCCAAGCCCAGGTGTTGGTGATCAGTGGCTGTGTGTATTTATTTACCGGCAGGGGGCGCTAACAGGTAAGGGAGGAGCAAAGAGTTCCAGGATAACTGGAGTTTGGGGCTTGTAAGCCCGAGGGCTCACCACGTTTCCAAGGGAGAAGGGACCACACTGATGGGACAGTGGGACTATCAGATTGGGTCAGTGCATGGGTACAGGCATGGGGGGTGATGAAGAGGCCAGTGTAGGTCACCAACACTGGGGGAAGCTGGGGACAGAGGTGGGTCTCACTGCAGAAACAACTGAAGCCATGGGGGACTGGGGGGCTGTGGTCACAAGGAAGGAGAAGCCCAGGCCCTAGCCAGAGAAAGCCACATAAGAAAGAGGAAGAGAGGTGAACAGAGGGGCTGGGAAAGGAGCGGCAGAGATGGGAGGTAGGGGGATGGGGTTAACCTTTCAGGTGAGGGGTGTGAGGAGGGGACCTCCAGGAGTTGTTCAGGAACTGGCCATTGCCGGGACAGAGGAGTAAGCAGGTAGGCTCAGAAAGGAGACACCGCTGGGGGGTGGGGGATGCTTGATGTGGAAATGACTTGGGCCCCCTTGTGTCTGGGAGCCTCCAGGAGGGAGAAGGGTGCTGAGAACAGAGAAAGCCCAGAGGTGGTAGGGGGTGCCTATCGCCACGGCCCAGCTTGCGTTTAGATGCCATGACCCTGGGCAAAGGAATAGGAATCATTTCCCCAAGGCAGGTTTATTGAGGACCTACTATGTGCCAGGCTGTGTACTAGGCACTGGAGGTGCAGCCCTGGATAAACAGCCCCCATGTACAGGACTGTGGGAGATCACAAGCACTAATGAGAGACGCTGAGGACAGTGCCTGGCACCAGATACAGCACAGTCAGCATGAGCTGGTTTTATTACCATCGCCCAGGACACAAGCGTGTCTTTAACGAAGGGCCCTCAGGCAGCCGTCCAGCCTGGACTGGAGTCCTAAGAACAGAAACACCCTCCAGAAGCGGTCAGCTGTACTCCCTGTCAGAGCCCCACCGCCACCACAGGTGGCGGCTTTCCCGAGGCCAGCCCAGAGGACTGCCCAGGCGCTGCTGCTCCAGGAGGTGCGAACCTTGGGAATGGGGGAGGGGAGTGGGCAGGTCCCTCCAAGTTTGGGGTGCCGTGGGCTACAGAAGCAGATACTGGTGGGGCTGGGACTCTTGGTTGCTCAGATATCTTGGTGGCTGTCCAGAGGGTCCCACGAGCCCTGCCCCCACCTGCTGTGGCAGTTGCAGGGATGCTTGAAGGCAGTCGTCCCTCTAATAGTAGAGTTCCTGGTCCCACCAGCCTGGGAGAGAGAGGGAGAAAGGAGACTCAGTGCTGGGGGTGCCACTTAGGCAGGGCCAGGGGCTCAGAGGTCAGTGCTGGTTGCTATGGAGGGTCAAGGGCTTAGAGGCCAAGTGTTGAGGATCAAAGGTGGGTGCAGCTGCTCAAACGTTTCAGTCCCCTGCCCCCAGGCTCCCAGTCTCCACACTCACTCCCTGGGCAACAGCGAACTCCAAGCTTCCGGATCTCATCATAGACGAAGATGAGGATGCCGTAGGGCAGGGGGACCAGCCACCACTGGAACCTGAAGGCACATGGCAAGGTGAAGGCCATCCCAGGCCTGTGCCCTACAGCCCCCTCCCTGTCCTTGCCCCTCACAGCCTCTCACCGAATGGGCATGAAGTTGAAGATGTTGGGCATGCCGGGGCAGTAGCACAGGAAGCAGCCGATGCAGACCTGGAACACGATGGCGATCACCAGGATCTTATTCCTGGGGGTGGGCAGAATGGGACAGGCCATTAGGAATTGGGGACGTGATGGAAATCAGGATACTGTGGGTCAAAGTAGGTCAGATGTCAGCAGCAGCAGGGAGGTGTTCTACACACTGAACACTGGAGTGGCCCGGGCCTCTCAGCACCACCCCTTTAGTGAAATGTGGAGGGGGCCGTGGGGGGAGTTATTGGCCAGTTAGAAAGGTTTTTTTGGCATGTCACCATCTGGCACTGGCACCCGCTGGCATTTGCCGGCTGTTCTAAACCACAGTCAGGATCTGATGGGAGTTGGGACCAGGGGTTGGAGGGCAGGAAGAGGGCCAGCCAGGGACACCTGAAGAAGCCTTGCTGGAAGGCAGAGAGACGGCGCGTCTTGCGGATGAGGACATCGGCGATCTGGCACACCTCAATGCTGATGAAGAACACGGTGTAGCAGGTGTACTGCTGGTACAGGCGCTGCCCGAATGTCTGCAGGCCAGGGGCAAACGGAAACAGCCTGAGTCCAGCCTGAGTCCCGGCGGAGAGCCTCTGCAGCCCACCGGGCATAGGGTCCCAGGGCCGTGAACCCCTAAATGCTCTCTCTGCCTTGCATCAGAGTGTGGGGGTGGGGGGAAGGAGAGAGGCAGGGTCTGCCAGGTGTGCAGGACCCCAGAACGTGGGGCCCAGAAACCTCAGCCTAGCAGAGCTTGGATGACAGTGGCCGGGAAAACTGTAGGCTGGGCCGACTGCTTTCATAGTGAAAGGGGGGAGGCACCCAAAAGAAAGGGCCTGGGAAAGGGGAATTGAAATCCTCAGATGGGATTTGCAAAGTCCAGTGACTCCAGGGGCCAGGCAGATGGCAAAAATAGGTGAGGCAGTCACCGCGGGCCTTTGGGAAAAGAGGGCAGATGCCCCATTTAAAGGGGGCAGCCACTATGCAGCCCATTTCTTCAACACAGCTACTTTTTTTTTTGAGATGGAATCTCGCTCTGTCACCCAGGCTGGAGTGCAGTGGTGCAATCTCAGCTCACTGCAACTTCCGAATCCCAGGTTCAGGAGATTCTCCTGCCTTAGCCTCCCAAGTAGCTGGAATTACAAGCATGTGCCACCATGCCTGGCAACACAACTCCTAATACCAGCTAACTGTGGGGATCACTGACTGCTCCAGGTGCCGAGTGTTGCACGTGCATTAGCTCATTTAATCCGCTGGGTAACCCTAGGAGGTAAATCAGTGGTGCTGGAACTTGAACATGCATGAGAATCCCAGCAAGGGCTCCCAGAGGGCTGGGATAGAGCCTGAGAATTTGCACTGCAAACATGTTCCCAGGAGATGGTGATGCTGCTGGTCTGGGAGCAAACTGAAAACCACTGAGGTAGACTTTGATATTCTCTCCACTTTGCAGGTGAGAAAACAGGCACAGAGAGGCAAAGCAACCTGCCCAGGGTTACACAGCTTGTGAGAAGCAGTACCAGACCATAAGTCCAGGCAGTCTGGCTTCAGTGTCTACCTTAACCATGATAGTAAATGTTTAAGGGAAGTATCCTCGTCTGTATGTAACTCTACAGGTGAACTAAACACATCTGCTGGCCAGATCTAGCCTCACTGTGCTCCAAACCTTCATTAAAATAGACCACATGTGCAAATACCCTGTGGGAGTGATGCTGTAGGGAAAATAGCAGAATAGGGGCCTGGTTCCACATCTGAGATGATGCATTAGTGTCAGGGCAGAGACACCCATCTGCAGTTGCGATCATCAGAAGCAGGAGTTTGGAGCTGGAGATGGTGGGAAAGGCCCTTGCCCCCCCGAACTGGCAGGGAGTCTGGGGGTCCGGGATGCTCTGGCTGAACTCAGTCACACGTGGAGGAACAAGTGGGCCGCACACAAGGCAAGTTGCCCTGGGAAGGAGGGAGCCCAGGGATGGGATGGGGCGGGGCAGGGCTCACCCACTCCTGGCCGTAGCTGTCCTGCAGATCTTGTAGGTGGTGGTCCTCCCACTGCGCCCGCAGCCCCACGCACAGCAGTGGGAACCAGCCCTCCTGGGCCATTGCCGTGAAGTAGTCAGTGAAGCCAGCAAAGGACTGAATGGCACCTGGAGAGAGACAAGGGGACACAGGGAGACAGAGATGGACACAGAGACAGGGACACAGGAAGAGAGGGACATGGAGAGACAGGGACACAGATACACAAAGGTCAAGGACACACAGACAGGGACACGGGAAGAGAGACAGGGACACAGATACACAAGGTCAAGGACACACAGAGCCAGGGACACAGAAACAGTGACAGAGACACAGAGGCAGAGAGAGAAGCAGGGACAGAGAGACAGAGGCAGGGACAGAGAGAAAAAGACACATCCAGGACCCAAAAAGACAGAAATAGGCAACAACTCAGAGACAGGGTCATGGAGAGCAAGGTCAGAGAGAGAGCAGGGACACAGCAGAACCAGAGAGACTGTCACAAACAGAGAGGGACACGGAGGACAACGGAGACCCAGGACCAAATGCAGACACTGAGGTCCAGAACCAGCCGGAGCCCAAGGCAGGGCCTGGGGCAGGCGAGCAGCCCAGCGCAGAGCCCCCCACCTCCAGGCTCCCCGGCCCACGGGCACCCACCAATCTGGAAGTAGGAGTAGGCAGCCAGGGGCTCGTTGACCAATCTGTCACGCTTTGGGTTGCGTGGACGCAGGTGCATGATGTCACTCTCGGCCTTTTCATATGCCAGGGACACAGATGGGAACTGGCCAGGAGTGGAAGGAACTGGGACTGAGGGTTTGGCTGGGCCCTTGTCCCCTCCACTTCGGGTCCCCCTTCCCCCACTTGTGAGCAGGAACAGGACTGAGGTTAGCAGGCAGGACCTGCAGGGACGGCACAGCCACACCAGCCTGGACAGCCTGGGCCCCACTGGCCCCTGGGTGTTGGCATCCTGGTGCCCATCTTCGTAAGAACATCTGCTTTTATCTTCTCCCTCTGTCTCCCTCCCTCTCTTTCTCTGTTCCTCACTCTGTTTCTCTGTCCCTGTCTCCAGTGTAATTCTCTGTGACTGTATCTGCTCTTGTGTATTTCTGTGTCACTCCCTATCTCTGTGTATCTTCAGTCTCTCAGTGTCGCCGTGCCCCTTCATCTGCTTGTGCCTAGAGTGGCAGCAGAGCATACTGACCACGACCACAGGCTGTGGGACCTGTGACTGCTCAAGCTCAAGTCACAGCCGGGCCACTTATTTGCCCAGTGACCTGGGACAATCCACTCTACCTGTCTATGCCTTGATGAGCTCATCAGTAAAGTACGGGTGATAGTAACAAAACTCATCTCATAGTGTGGTTATGAGTACAAAATTAAGGAAATGATGGTGTGTCTGGCCCAGAGAAAGCACTGTGTAAATGTTACCGAATAAATACCTGTCAACACAGCTGCGCCTCTGGCTGCATTCGTGACTGTATCTGTGGTTCTTTTCTGTCTGTCTGCCATGGGGTCTATCTGAGGGGGTTTATTTGTCCGTGTCTGTTTAGGGGCACGTGTCTGTGATTCAAGTTTGGCCAGATACCTGTTCTGTTTCCATCTCTGTCTGAGTATCTGTATCTGAGTCATGTGTGTGCATGGGTCGGCCCGGGCCTACCTGAGTGTCCGCCTGTGTGTGCATGGCTGTATGTCCATTTAGGTCTGTTCACCTGCCTGCCACCCATGTGTCCTGCACTGGCTGTCATTGCACACACAGGTCTTGTCTGTCACTCTGTGCCCAAGAGTGTCTGTGGTGGTCTCTGTCCCTCCTGTCCATCTGCAAGCAAGTGTCTCTGGGCACCCTGTGGATGGGTACCCTGGGCTGTGGACTTACAATGTCAGTGCAGAGTTCGATGAAGAGGATGGTGATGCACCCGAGGGGCAGGGGCACGCTGACGGTGATGTAGATGAGGTAGGGTGTCAGCTCTGGGATGTTCTTGGTCAATGTGTAGGCAATAGACTTCTTCAGGTTGTCGAAGATCAGTCGACCTGTGGGGTAGGGTGGGCACCTCAGCCTCCTCACAGCCCTCTCCCTCCTGTGCCCACACTGCCTGCCCTCCCCCTGGCGTGGCTCGGACCCTGCTCCACGCCTGTCACAATGGAGGCAAAGTTGTCATCCAGCAGGATCATGTCAGCTGCATTTTTGGCAGCATCTGAGCCAGCGATGCCCATGGCTACTCCGATGTCTGCCTTCTTCAGAGCTGGGGAGTCATTCACACCATCCCCCGTGACGGCCACAATCGCACCCTGCAGGCAGTGGGTGCAGGTGGTGGGTGGGTGGTCAGTGAGAGGCCGGTCCAAGACCAGCCCCGCCTGTCTGCCCGCCTGCCCACCCTCATCAGCAGGGCTCACCAGCCGCTGGCAGCTCTCCACGATCACCAGCTTCTGCTGGGGGCTGGTGCGCGCAAACACCATCTCGGGGTGGGTGCGCAGGGCCTCGACCAGTTCCGATGGGTCCATGTCCTTCAGCTGCATGCCATTGATCACACAGGCACGGGCATCCCTGGGGAGGAGATGGGAGGACCTCGCTGGGACCTCGGTCTGTGCCAGATGTGGGGAGAACCCCGGGGAGGTCTGGGGGGGCTTACTTGCGATTAACCTGGTCTACGGGCACACGGAGGCGGGCAGCGATGTCCTCCACTGTCTCGCTGCCTTCCGAGATGATGCCCACACTGGCTGCAATGGCCTTGGCGGTGATGGGGTGGTCACCCGTTACCATGATCACCTGTAGGGGGAACCAGTGGATCACTGACCCCTTCAGATCAGCCCAATCTCCCTGTCCTCCCTGGGAGACATCTGCTGATACACGTGTTCATTTACTTGACCAAGCGTGACCACCTCCTACGTGCCTGGGATATAGCAGAGACAAAAGAGACAAAAATCCCTGTCCTTGAGGAGCTCTAGTGAGGGTGACAGAAAATAAAGAAACGAATTATATAGTGTGTTAGAAAGTGGAAAAAAACATATTAAGCTTGGTGAAGGAAACGGTGACTCGATTTTAAGTGTACCCAGGGAAGGGCTTATTGAGAAGGTGATATCTGAGCAGAGACCTGTAAGAGGTGAGAGAGTCAGCCACGTGGAAAGCTGGGAGAAGAGTGCTCCTGGCAGGGAGAACAGCAGGTGCAAAGGCCCTGAGGTGAGGACAGGCCCGAACTGTCGGAGGAACAGCAGGGAGGACACCATAACTGCAGAGGAGTGAACAAGGAAAGAGGGCTAACGAACAAGCTTAGAAAGGTAACAAGGCCCGATGTAACAGGGCCGTAGAGACACGGGAAGGGCTTGGGCATTGCCTGCCTGGCCTTGGCTTTCCCACCCTTGTTTTGTGTTTGGGGAACCACTCCTCTCCCCTACACCATCAGTTGCAGTGAGGTCCCTGGCTAAGATTGGGTAAGTAAGCCCAGACCTGGCCAATCAAGGTCTTCCATCCCCCAGCCCCAGTGACTGGCTCAGGGATAAATGAGTGACCCAATCCAGTGCTACTGCAAAAGAGGCACTCTCTTTTTGTGGGGTGGCTAAGCAGGTGGGAGTTAAGTTTGAGCTGCTGGAGCAGGGGTGTGTGTGTCCCCAAGTGAAGGGAGTGCCTGCAAATAAAGCCAGCAAAGAGAACAGCAGAGCTGAGACATGGAGAAAGGAAAATTCCTAATGACACTGAGCTCCTGGATCTGGCTAGACCTGAAGCTTAATTCCCCAGAATTTTTCAGTATCATAAACCAATGCATTTTGGTTCAAGCCAGTTTCAGGTGGGTTTGTCATGGGGTTCTTCAACCCAAATCCTGCTGCCATCCTCTGTCCTCACTCCACTTGTTCCTCCCCACAGTGGCATACCCGGATGCCTGCGGTGCGACACTTGAGCACAGCATCAGGGACGGTGGCCCGGGGTGGGTCAATCATGGATACAAGTCCCGCAAAGCAGAGGCCGCTAGATGGAAAGTTCATGGCCTCTACGTCGAAGGCATAGCCAGGCGGGTAGTCCTTCTCATTCAGGTAGAGCTGGCAGAAGCCTGACCGGAAACGGGGAAGTCAGGGAAGAGCCCTGGGCACACCCTTTCTTAGCAGGGCCAGGAAATGGGTAAAATAACCAGGCCCCTTGCACCAAACACCTATGGATGCCTGACCTTGTGCTGACCCCTTCACTCACATTATCTGAATCTACCCTCACAACCACCCTGTGAGGCCCATTCTCATCTTACAGATGAGGAAACTGAGGCTCAGAGAGGGGACATTTCTTGCCAGAGGTCACACAGCAAGTAAAAGGCCCAGAATTGGACCACAGATCTGCTTTCTAGGGTAGAGGCAGCGAAGTTTAAGGCGTCAGGACAAAAATTGGGAGAGGTTAGAGGTCAGGATACGGATAAAAGTCCAGGTGAGGACTGGGGTCAAGGTAGAAAGTGAGGACAGACAGGGGTCAGGACTGGTACAGGGAAAGTCAAGGGTGAGGCTGTGGACTGCGACAAATCAGCCAGCAGCCAGGGATGAGGACGGTCAGGGCTGGGCCGGGAGTGGTGGGCAGGGTCTGTGCTAGCTCCTCCTCGCACCTGGAGTCTCCTCCCCTGCCCAGGGGTCTCACCGAGCACGCGTTCGCCCAGGCCTCCCAGGCTGAGGTAGGCGGTCTGGAAGGCCTCGCGCCACTGCTCGTCCAGCGGCAGCTCCTGGCCCTTGATAAGGATGGAGCTGCAGCGCTCCAGCACGCGCTCGGGGGCGCCCTTCATCACCAGCAAGTGTCGCGGGTCCCGCGGGTCCTCCAGCGTATGGATGGACAGCTGTGGGCGGGGGGGAGAGGCGAGGCTGTGGACGGGGGAACGGGGCGGGGCTGTGGACGAGGGAACGGGGCGGGGCTGAGGAGAGGGGCGGGGCCGAGAGCTCGGTGCGGGCTCTGAGAGCTGCGGGGAAGGGTGAAGGTGGAAGATGGAGGCCTTGTGTGGAGGGGTCCTTGGTAGAAGGTAAGCGTTAAGGCGGGGCTAGGTGCAGATTTGGAGTCCTGGACGCAGGGAATGAACAGAATTAGGGTGCGGAGTTGGGCTGGGGGCGGATTTGGAGAGCGAGGTGCTCCCCATGGACAGTCCCGCCGAGGAGAAGCTGTGGGCGGGGCTGGGTGGTGGGCGGGGCCTTGCCTCTGGTGGACGGGGCCATAGGCGGAGCGGGAGATGGGGTGGGGTTTGGCTGCGGAGAGAAGGGGCAAGGAGCGAAGCCCCTCGTGGCCCGCTGATGTGGGTGTGGCCTGGGGCGGGGCCCGAGGTGGGCGGGCCCAGGCCGTGGGCGGGGCCGGCTGCGCACCTGGAACTTGTTGGTGGAGTTGAAGGGTATCTCGCAGACTTTTGGGAAGCGGTCCCGGTAGCCCATGGCGTTGCCCAGCGTCAGCTCCGAGAACTTGAGCAGCGCCGTCTCCGATGCGTCTCCAATCACGATGCGCTGGGAGCGGGGACCGGTGTCAGGGGCGAAGCCGGCTACACCAGCCTCCCGGGATTCCCTGGAGGCCCCCTGGCTCTCACCTTGGGCACAGGCACTGCATCCTGGCCGGACTTGAAGGCGGCGCGGTTGCACAGGGTGAGCACCCGGCACAGCGCCCGCCACGTCTCCGAGGACTGGTCAAACGTCTGCCCTGCAGACCAGGCGTCCAGGCTGGGTCCCGCACGGCGGCTCTCCCGGACCAGAACCGAGCCCCCTCCTCCTAGGCTCATATCGCGGGCCCCCTCCCCAGACCTGGGTGGAATTGGGTTCCACCCAACCCTGAGGGACCCAGCCCCCGGATGACCCTTCCCTCTAGACCCGGTAGCGAGTCTCCTTTGAGACCTGGAGCCGAGCCGCCCCGCCTTCGTACAAAGCCCTCCCTACCTCCCTATCCCTCTTCAGGTCTCCACCATCCACCAGATCCTGCCCTGGCGCCTGTGCCCTCCCTCCCCCACACCTGACTGGTCTTCCGTGGTGTCAGCTGTGTGGATGTGGTTGTCAAACCACAGATGGGACACAGTCATGCGGTTCTGAGTGAGAGTCCCTGTCTTGTCCGAGCAGATCACCGAAGTGGAGCCCAATGTCTCCACCGCCTCCAGGTTCTTGACCACGCAGTTCTTACTGGCCAGGCGCTTGGCTGTCAGGGACAGGCAGACCTGGGGAAGGGGTGAGCACCGCAGGCTGGGGACCCACCCTGGCTTCCAGTCCTCTTCCCCGCGTCAAAGAACGGGGAAGGCTTTACCCCAGCCGCGGGGCTGCGTGTGCAACGTGCTTCTGCAAACACCAGGTGTTTTCTTGGCCCCAGCTTTTGTTCAGCCAGTGCTTTGTTTGGGACTCCTTCCCCAGTCTGCCCAGATACAGTAGCGAGGCCCCTCTCTGAGCTGTCCCAGCCGAGGTTCTGAAAATTCTCTTCACACAATCAAAATGAGAAGAGGAACCTTCCCCGCACCTCCCTGGGGACTGGTCTGGAGCTGGGTGCTGACTGTGGAAGGTCTGGTGACATGCTGGCTGCCTGCACAGGACATCAGCCTCTTCCAGTTAAGGACCCGGCCTCGTCATCTCTGCGCCCTCAATGTGTGGCACAGGACTTGCCCCAGGGTTGCCTCGGGAAGGACTTGCTGAATGAGTGGATGATGGGAAGGCAGGAGAATGGATGGGAGCTAAGTGGACAGATAGACAGGCAGGGAGGTGATGGGGGAAATGTGGAGGAAAGAACAGATGGTTGAGCAGGCCCCTCAGCTCCCTGCATCCCCGCCTGCCCCCACTCACTGTGACAGTGGCCAGCAGCCCCTCAGGCACATAGGCCACCACGATGGCCATGAAGAAGACCATGGCCCGCAGGAAGGTGTAGCCAATGCACATGGCCACAATAAAAAATGTGGCACCGAAGAGAATGGCCAGGCCCGCGATGATGTCCACAAAATGCTCGATCTCGATAGCGATGGGTGTCTTCTCGTTTTCCACCCCCGACGCCAGCGATGCGATGCGCCCAATGATGGTGCGGTCGCCCGTGTTCACCACCAGGCCCTGCACGGTGCCTGCAGGGGGGCCAAGGCGCGACTCAGGGATAGGGGGCGGCAGTGGGGTGTGCACTGCCGTGTGAGCTGAAGGACAGCCAGTCACTGCCAGTGGAGGATGTGACCTGGGAGAGGGTAGTGACAGTGGGAGACAGAGAAGCAGTGTGCCCTGGGGAGGTGGCAGTCACGGGGAGGTGGCAGTCATGCAGGAGAGAGACAGGGAGGCTGAAGCCCCCTGTCCTAGAAGATAGCAGGAGAGAGGCCAGTGGAGGCAGCAGTTACTGGGCAGGCAGGCGGGGGCTTCACAGACCCTCAAGGCACATGGTGGAGAAGAAGGCGATGTTGCGGGTCTCCAGAGGGCTCTCGTGCGTGCACTCGGGTGAGCGGGTCTGTGGCTCAGACTCCCCTGTCAGCGAGGAGTTGTCCACCTTGCAGCCCTGGGCCGCCAGGATGCGGATGTCGGCGGGCACTCTGTCCCCACCTTTCATCTCCACCAGGTCGCCCACCACCAGTTGGTCAGCGTTGATCTGGAATTTGTCTCCATCGCGGATGACAGTGGCTTGCTGCGGGGCAGGGGCACCAAAGTTGAGGTGGACGGGGGTGGGGGTGGGAGCTGCTGCATGTGGGGAGGTAAAGGATGAGGAGAGCTGGGACCCATGGGGAGAGATGGAGGCCACAGATGAGGGACAGGGGCCTGATGGAAGGAGGCTACAGGAGCAGTTTGGAGTCTCTGGGATCTGGAGTGGCTGGGTGCTGGGGAACCCACCTGTGGCACAAGGTTCTTAAAGCTGGCGATGATGTTGGTGCTCTTGAATTCCTGGTAGTAGCCAAAGCAGCCGGTGACGACAACCACAGCAATGAGAGCGATTGCCAGGTACAGCTGGGGACAGGGAAGGGGTGGGGTTATTCAGAGGGGCCGGAAGCTGCCTGCCTGAGGCCACCGACCTGCTCCCTGGTGCCCTGGTTTTCTTGGTTTTCCCCATGCTTTTCCCCACCTACTAGGAAGCTCCATGCACCATTCCCTGTAGCCTTTAGCCCCCTCCCATGTCCCTCATGTCCCACACTCGCCTGCTCTGTCTTCTCAGTGTCTTGTGTTTCTGTGTATATTTCATATCCTCTGGCCCTGAATCCTCAATCTTCCATGTCCCCATATCTGTGACTTGTGCCCCAAATCACTGTGTGCCTTGGTCTGACGTGTTCCCTTCTCCTGTGTCCCCAAGCCTTGCATTCCCCATGTCCACTGTCCCATGTCTCCTCCTGTCCCCATGGCCTGTATTCCCCGTGTCTCCAGTTTCACATCCTGGGTTTTCCATAATCTGCTGCCACCCTCTGTGTGTCCCCTGGGCCCCCTTGTCCCTGCATCCTCACATCCCCGTCCCTGCGTGTGCTGCAGACCTTGTACGTCATGGTCTGTGTCCTCTGTGGCCACGGCCCCCATGTTCTAGCTCCCCAGTCACTGTGTCCCGTGTCTCCCATGTCTGTGTATCTCCGAGTTCCCATCCTGTGTCCCATGGCCATGACTTTTCGAGCCTCTGTCCCATGTCACATGTCCCTGAGTCCCCATGTCCCTTGCCCTCATCTCTGCCATATGTCCAATGTCCCTTGCCCTGCACCTCCATTTCCTCTCTGTCTCTGTGCTTCTATGTCTCATGTTTTGTGTCTCTCTATGTGCTGTGTCCTGAGGCTTGGGTCCCTGCCCTGGTGTCCTATGTCTGAGTCCCAGGGTCTCCTATTCCCCGTGCCTCAGTCTGTCCTGTGTCTGCACTGCATGTCCTCTGCTTCCAAGTCCCATCTCTTTTTTTTTTTTTTTTTTTTTTTTTTAAGATGCAGTCTCGCTCTGTCGCCCAGGCTGGAGTGCAGTGGCATGGTCTTGGCTCACTGCAACATCCACCTCCTGGGTTCAAATGATTCTCCTGCCTCAGCCTCCCAAGTAACTGGGATTACAGGTGCCCGCCACCATGTCTGGCTAATTTTTGTAATTTTAGTAGAGATGGGGTTTTGCCATGTTGGCCAGGCTGGTCTCGAACTCCTGACCTCAGGTGATCTGCCCGCCTCGGCCTCCCAAAGTGCTGGGATTACAGGCATGGGATTACACGCCCGGCCTCCAAATCCCATCTCTTACGTATCACATTGCCATACTCTTTATGCCCCCACCTATGTCCCCATACCCAAGATTCACCCCAGTGTCCCTGTGTCCTGTGTCCTTGGGTCTGCCCCATCCATATCCCAATGTCCTTCACCCTCCATGACCCCTGTCTTGAGACTGCCTTTCGTGTTCGTCTATCCCCATCCTTCTCTGCCCCTCTTGTCCCAAGTCCCAGGCTCAGTGTCTTCCATCCCCAGGTCCCCATGTCCTGAGCCTGTCCCCACAACATGGCTCACATTGTCGTCGGTGGTGAGGTCCCCCTCACTAGCCTGGATGGCAAAGGCGATGAGGCAGATGGCGGCGGCAACCCACATGAGGCACTGCAGGCCCCCGGCCAGCTGCCTCGCGAACTTGACGTACTCTGGGGTGCCCCGTGGTGGCCGCAGTGCGTTGGGCCCATCCCGCAGCAGCAGCTCAGCAGCCAGGCTCGCAGAGAGGCCCTGGGACAGAGGGGCAGGGCGAGGCGGTCCTGGGGGCTTTCCTCCACATGCACACCCCGTGGAAAGCCCCCTGCTTCAGTTTCCCTTCTCCAGCTTGGTCTGTCCTGCTCCTTCTCATCTCTTTGTCTCTTGGTTCCTGCCCCCACCCCATCTCTCCCTCCCTCCTTCATCTCTCCCTTTGTCTCTCTCTCCTCGCTCCCCTTTCTATGTGTCTCTCTCCTGCTGCTCTCTCCTTATTTGTCTCTGCCTTCTCTGTCTTGCTGTCTCTTTTCAGCTACTCCTCTCTCCGTCTCTGTGTGTCACCCTTTCTCTCTAATGCTTTCTCCCTTCTCTCCCTCTCCCTCTCTCTCCCTCTCTCCATCTCCCTCCCTCTCTCCTCCCCTCCCTCCATCCTTTCCTCTCTCCCTCCCTCCCTCTTTCCTTTTCTGCCTCCCTCCCTCTCTCTATTTCTCCATATCTTCCTCTCTTCATCTCTCCCTCTCTCTCCCTCTCTCCATCTCCCTCCTTCCATCTCCCTCTCCCTCCCTCTCTCCTCCTCCCCTTTCTGTACGCTCCCAGTCTCCAGCTCACCTTGGTGGCACTGGTCTGGTATTTCTGTTCCAGCTCCGCCACTGACAGCTGGTGGTCGTTCTGTGTGGTGGGGTGGGGCAGGGTGCTTGCTCTGGGCTCTCCTGGCCCCCTCCCCGCCCACTGCCTGGTTCCCAGCCTACCCTCCAGCTCCCGCCCCTCCCCAGTCAGAGCTCACAATCTCCATCTCCTTCTTCATGTTCTCCAGCTTCTCCTTCCTCTTGCCACCCCCGCCACCCGCCTTCTTCTTCTTGCTCATCTTGGCAGCCATGTCCCCGCCAGGGCCAGGACCCAGCTCCACCGAGTAGAGCTCATAGTTCTCCTGGGAATGGACAGGATGGAGGGAGGGAGAACTCAGATTCCACTGCAACCCCTGTCCCCACTGCACCCCGGACCCCTGGGCCCCACTCACGGCCTTCCCCATGGTGCCCGGTGCCTGTGCTCCCACCCAACAGAGCCTGGGCCCGGACCAGTCCTGATATACCCAGGGAGGGCGGTGGGGTGGAGCAGAACCGCCCGACCACAGCTGATTACAGGCTCCTTGGGGTGACCTCTAGGCCTGGGCACCTCAGGCATTCCCTCCTGGGCTGGCCCCCCCCTCCCCTGCCCAGATCCCCCCATGTCAACCTGCCCTGAGATCAGGGAGCCCCTGGGAACCGCTGCAGCAACAAGAAGAGCAAACATAAGGTGCTCATTATGCGCTGGGCATTGTGCTGACGGCTTCCATGTGCTAACTTATTTAACCTTCCAATAACCCTTTGAGGGGACAAGACCCTTTACAGATGGGGAAACTGAGGCATGGAGGGGTTGAGTCATTCTCCTATGGCTCCATCACAGGCTAGGACATAATGGAGTGAGAACCAGATCAGCTGGCTGCAGAGTGTCCTCTTTCAGTCTAAATAGCACGTGCCTGATCAACTGGAAGAGGAGGGTGCTCCCACACTCTTTTTTTTTTTCTTTTTTTTTTTGAGATGGAGTGTCACTCTGACACCCAGGTTGGAGTGCAGTGGTGCAATCTCAGCTCGCTGCAACCTCCGCCTCCCGGGTTCAAGTGATTCTCCTGCCTCAGCCTCTTGAGTAGCTGGGACTACAGGCACATGCCACCACACCCAGCTAATTTTTGTACTTTTAGTAGAGACGGGGTTTCACCAGGTTGGCCAGGCTGGTCTCGAACTCCTGACCTCAGGTGATCCACCCGCCTTGGCCTCCCAAAGTGCTGGGATTACAGGCGTGAGCCACCATGCCCTGCCATGCTTACAACACTCTCTATGGTGGCTGAATGTTTACTGAACTCTGACTATTCACTATGGGCTGGGTGTGCTCTGTGTGTCACTCAAATGGTTTCCTTAGCATCTAACAGCAGCCCTGTAAAGCAATATTCTCTTCTTAGCCCCCATCAGGGACTTTGCAGAAGATTTCAACGTCTAAGAATTAGGGACAGGGTTCCAGCCCGGGCTTGACCCCAGGGCTTGACCCCAGAGCCTAGCTCTTCTATGGCACCACCAATGGAAAAACCCAAACTTCACTGCAGCAGCACCACACACATGCCAGGCTCTGCACGTGTGACCTCACGGGTCTTTGCAAAAAACCCTGTGCAGGCAGAACTATCATTCCTGTTGTGCAGAGGGGGAAACTGAGGCTCACAGGGACTCACATATCCAGCTACAGACTTTACAGCTCTCAACCATTCCCCGTCCCTACCCTAGATGGGGAAACCAAGGTGCAACATGGGGAAAGGATGTGTCCAAGGGTCTTGGCTTGATCTTGGTGTTGGGTGACAGATGCCAGGAGGCCTGGGGACTCCCTCCTCATCCCTCAGGTAGGGACCTCCATGGGCAGCAGCAGCGAGGGGCTGGGCCAGTGGAATGGTGGGGACCTTGGTATGTTATGGGGTGAGCGTGTCTCCAGGAGCAGGTGAGCGTGCGCCTGATAAGATAACTGCCCTGGCAATGTCCTTCTCTACTGGGGCAGGTCACCTGGGAAACTCAAAGCTGTTGGGCAGCCAGAGCTCCTCCCCGCACCCACACGGCTGGTCATCCCCAGCCTGCTAGAAGAAACCTCCAAAGAAGAGGTGGCGTGGGGCCACATGCTGTCCTTGTAGTGAATCTACTCGCTCACTGGGCTCCCATCAGCTCTGAGCCATGTATGTCAAACAGCTTGTGTCACCCCCTGCTTACAACCCTCCAAAGCCTTCCCTTCCCACTCAGAATAAACTCTGCACTCCTTCCTGCAACATCTGGCCCTGGTCACCTGTCCTGCCTCTGTTGCTGCTAGGTTTCCAGGGGCACTGACCTCTCTGCTGCACTTTGCACAGACCAAGGTCGTTCCTGCTTCAGGACCTTGGTACTTACAGTTCCTTCTGCCTGGGCCCCCTTCCTTAGATGTCTGCACTGGCTTTCTCACCTCTTTCAGGTCTCAGCTCAAATGTCACCTCTTCAGAGAGTCCATTCTGTAATACTGCACACTGTGTTCTGTTCCTTTACCCCACTGTATTTACACCTCCTACTCCAACCTGACACTGTGTTTTCTTTTTATTTGTTTGGTGTTCATTAGAAGGAGGACTGGGCCGGACACTGTGACTCACATCTGTAATCCCAGCACTCTGGAAGGCTGAGGTGGACGGATCATGAGGTCAGGAGTTCGAGACCAGCCTGGTCAACATGGTGAAACCCTGTCTCTACTAAAAATACAAAAATTAGCTGGATGTGGTGGTGTGTGCCTGTAATCCCAGCTACCAGGGAGGCCGAGGCAGGAGAATCACTTGAACCTGGGAGGTGAAAGTTGCAGTGAGCCGAGATCATGCCACTGCACTCCAGCCTGGGTGACAGAGTGAGACTCTGTCTCAAAAAAAAAAAAAAAAAAAAATAGAAAAATAGATAGATAAGAGATGTTAGACAGATAGATGGATACATAAATGATAGATGATTGATAGATTTTTTTTTTTTTTCTTTTTGAGACAGAGTCTTTCTCTGTCGCCCAGGCTGTAGTGCAGTGTCATGATCTCGGCTCACTGCAACCTCTGTCTCCTGGATTCAAGCAATTCTTGTGCCTCAGCCTCCCAAGCAGCTGGGATTACAGGCACCCGCCACCATGCCCAGCTAATTTCTGTATTTTTAGTAGAGACGGGGTTTCACCATGTTGGCCAGGATGGTCTAGAACTCCTGGTCTCAAGTGATCCACCCGCCTTGGCCTCCCAAAGTGCTGGGATTACAGGTGTGAGCCACCATGCCTGGCCAGAATTTTTTAAATTTTTGGCTGAATCATTTGGAAGCAAGTTGGAGACAGGATCCCCTTTATCCATACTTAGGCATGTGTCTTCTATGAATAAGGACATTTTCTTACATAAGCACAGTCTAATAATCAAATTCAGGAAATTAACATTAATAAAACACTAGTAAATAATCTAGAGCAAGCTTGTCCAACCCATGGCCTGCAGGCCATATGTGGCCCAGGACTGCTTTGAATGCTGCCCAATACAAATTCGTAGACTTTCTTAAAACATTATGAGATTTGTTTGCGATTTTTTTTTTTTTTAGCTCATCAGCTATTGATAGTGTTAATGTATTTTATGTGTGACCCAGGACAATTCTTCTTCCAATGTGGCCCAGGGAAGCCAAAAGATTGGACACCCATGATTTGGAGGATTTATTTGAATTTCCCCAGTTTTCCCACTAATGTCCTTTTCCTAGTCCAGGATCCAGTCCGGGACCACACCTCACATTTTGGCTTCCTCCATTGCGTAACAATTCCTCCATCTTTCCTTGTCTTTCATGACCTGGGCGTTTTGGAAGAGTATGATTCAGTGATTTTGTAGACTTCGCTCAGTGTGGCTTTGCTGCTGGTTCTTCGTGATTAAGTTCGGGTTGTGTGCTGGCAGGAACACAGAAGGGATGTGTGTCCCCCCCATCCCCTGCCCCAGAGCATCATCGTGTCAGGCCATGCCCCATTTTGGAGTCTGTAACTTGTCTAGAGCAGGGTGGACATGGTGGGGAGGGGTCTCAAGAGCCTTAGGGAGTGATCAGGAAACCATTCTATGCCCTCTTTAATTTTTACTCAAGACAGTGCCACAGCCAGGGCTGGCACCCAGCTGCCCTGGTAGTTAAAGTAATTGAAAGAAATACAGCCACTGCCTGAGCCCCCAGCACTTCCCCTAAGACTCCAGACCTCCCACACCCAACCCCTTAAAGTGGATGCCTGTGCCAGTCCCAAGGCCTTGTCCTTTTTTTTTTTTTTTTTTTTTGAGACGGAGTCTGGCTCTGTCACCTAGGCTGAAGTGCAGTGGCACGATCTTGGCTTACTGCAACCTCCACCTCCTAGGTTCAAGCGATTCTCCTGCCTCAGCCTCCCAAGTAGCTGGGACTACAGGCACGTACCACCATGCCCAGCTAATTTTTGTATTTTTAGTAGAGATGGGGTTTTGCCATGTTGGCCAGGCTGGTCTCCAACTTCTTACCTCAAGTAATCTGCCCACTTCAGCCTCCCAAAATGCTGGGATAACAGGTGTGAGCCACCACGCCCAGCCACCCTTGTCCATTCTGACCATCCCCTGCTCAGCTAGGTTCATGGGTAAATACTTTTACCTACTCCCCTAATTTTGCAGTCTTCAGATGGTATGCAAGTTGTGTGTTTTTGTGGGGAAGGTCTTTGCTTGGGTCATTTATTATTTTACCGTGTGTCTAAGCAATACTAACCCCTGTCTCTGGGAGGTGAACACTGAGGCCTTAGTCCACAGGCAGGATCTGGATAAGTTGGGAAGTGTTCCAAGTCTTTGGCACCCTGGAATGCAGCCTGGGTGGACCGCACGATGCCATTTCAGGCGGATGGACAACCCCTAGCACAACTCAGGGGCAAAGAAACTTCTCACAAGAATGTTGCAAGTGTGACATGGTCCACAGTAGTGCAAGTTTCTCTGAGCCTGGGGCACACAGAACGTTGGAAACTTTTTTGAGAACAATTAGTGGTCAGAATTGAAAAAAATTTTCTTTTCTTGAGAAAGAGGGGCAGAGGACAGACTATTAAATGGACGGTGGTCCAGGAGCAGTGGCTCATACCTGTAATCCCAGCACTAGGAGGCTGAGGCGGGCATATCACTGGAGGTCAGGAGTTCGAGACCAGCCTGGCCAGCATGGTGAAACCCTGCCTCTACTAAAAATACAAAAATCTGGCCGGGCGCAGTGGCTCACGCCTGTAATCCCAGCACTTTGGGAGGCCAAGGTGGGTGGATCACGAGGTCAGGAGTTCAAGACCAGCCTGACCAACAGGGTAAAACCCCGTCTCTACTAAAAATACAAAAATCAGCTGGGCATGGTGGCGCATGCCTGTAATCCCAGCTACTCAGGAGGCTGAGGCAGAAGAATCGCTTGAACCTGGGAGGTGGAGGTTGCAGTGAGCCAAGATTGCGCCATTGCACTCCAGCCTGGGTGACAGAGTGAGACTGCATCTCAAAAAAAATAAAAAATAAAAAATAAAAAAATTTGCCAAGTGCAGTGGCGGGTGCCTGTAGTCCCAGCAACTCGGGAGGCTGAGGCAGGAGAACCTCTTGAATCTGGGAGGCGCAGGTTGCAGTGAGCCAAGATTGCACCACTGCACTCCAGCCTGGGCGACAGAACAAAACTCCGTCTCAAAAAAAAAAAAAAATGTGGATGGTGAACATTACTTGGGTTTGAAGGGGAATTTGAACAATAATGTCCTAGAATTGTAGCCATACACACTCTTAGGAACCCAGCGCCCTGTAAACCTTGATGGGATCAGACCCCTGGCTATTCCTCCTCCTTCCCATGTTCTACTTTTCCCTTTCATGCTTTGGGATCCTGCCCGCCCAGGCCTTCTGCTTTTCCAAAGGATCATTTCAAAACCTCAGCACATGCAATTTCCTCTACCTGAAGTGTGCACCCTACCTCCTCCCCATGTTTAACCACTCCTCACCTTTCCTGTTAAGCACAGATGATCCTTCCTCCGGGAAGCCTTGGACTACCCACCAGGCTGAGTCAGGCACCTCCCTGGGCTTCCACAGACCCCTGGGGTCCCCATCACAGCCCCCACCTCCCTGCCTGTGCTTCCCCCATCCCAGTCCTGACGACTCTGACCCTATAATTCCTCCATCACAGCCCTGACCACTCTGGGCTGTCATGCTTTGGTGACATTTCATCTCCCCCTCCAGATCCATGAGGGCAGGACCCAGGATGTCTCAGTCACCACTGTGTGCCCTGCATTGCCTGGCCCAGGCTGGCCTTGGGGAGTGTTTGCCAAGTGACAGGAGTCATTGTGACTGTGACTTTGGGTACAGTGTTTGCATCTCCCTGATAAGATAATGGGCCCAGCAATGCCCTTCACCTCCTGAGCAGGTCACCCCGCCCCCTCGACCCTGGGAGGATGAAAGCAAGGGGCTGGGCATACAGGGACCTTGCTTCTCCCGCCTCTCCAGGCCAGGTGCAGGGGCAGGTGGTCAGAATTGAAAAAATTGTCTAGGAGTCAAGGAGTTGGCCCCCAGCCCAGCTAAGCTGGCAGCCAGGCCCCTGCGTTCTGTCCCTCTCCCATCTTTGTGCAGATTGGAAAGGTCAGCCATCCTGGGCTGGGTGCAGAGCCCTTCACTTCTTCAGGAAATTTCCAGGCTGTACTTGCTCTGGGATTTTAAAAAATCATATTCAGGGCCGGGCGCAGTGGCTCACACCTGTAATCCCAGCACTTTGTGAGGCCGAGGTGGGCAGATCACCTGAGATCAGGAGTTTGAGACCAGCCTGGCCAATATGGTGAAACCCCGTCTCTGCTAAAAATACAAAAATCAGCCAGGCATGGTAGCGGGCGCCTGTAATCCCAGATACTCGGGAGGCTGAGGCAGGAGAATCACTGGAACCTGGGAGGTGGAGGTGGCAGTGAGCCGAGATTGTGCCACTGCACTCCAGCCTGGGCAACAGAATGAGACTCCAGCTCAAAAAAAAAATAAAAATAAAAAAAATAAGGGTACTGGTGGAGAGACTTCCTCCATGGGATGGGGCAAGGGCAGAGCGCTGATGTCCAAATCCAAGCTCAAAGATTCCCAGGGGAGCAAGGAGGCCTTGTGGTTCCTAGAACTGTGAAGGGTACAGGGCGATTGCAAGAGGGCTTCTGGCTCGTGGGTCTCCTGCTTCTGGGCTGTCTGCTGTCACAAGAACCTGCAGGATCATTAACAAGCTCAGAACGATGGCCCTGATGCTGAAGCCCAAAGCTAGCCTGGAATTTCTCTTTGTGCTGACCTCGTTTTCCAAACGGCTCACTATCCGTGCCTATGGAGATGAAGACAGGCCGATGGGGGTGTTTTTCTAAGAAGGGGTGAAATTGCAGAAGGGCCACCTGGAGTGAAACTGAAGGCCATGATCAGGGTTGGGGGAGGGAGGATTCAGCAGAGGAGAGGAGGAGGCAATGCAGGAAGACAGTGCGGGGATCCTGGGCACGCCCAGGTAGGAGGGCATGCTGGGAGACCTTGGGAAGAAGTGGGGTTGGCAGACTGTGAACAAAGTGGGGACAAGTCCCAGGGCAGCAGGAAGGGTGGGATGGAGAAGGGGTTGGGGCTGGTATCTAGAGAAGAGGGGAAGCTTCCGAGGCATCCATGGAAAGGGGTATAAGGTGGGTCAGGGGATGTTTCACCATGGGGGACAGAGGGTCACTCTCCACCCACCAAGCAGGATGGCACAATGGCAAGTATTCCTAGCAGGAAGAAACAAAAGATGAAAAAGATGCAGAGAGGCAGGCAGTCATTCACAGGAACACTTAAAGGCATTTTGTAGATGGTCATCTCCATGACTTTGACCTCTGGGCTCCGGAGGTCAGTCACACAGGCATGAACCCTGGTGGAGGGAGGGGCAGGGTCTGCAGAAGGACTGAGAAGGATCAGCAGATGCGAAGGAATGGGGACCAACAGAATCAATCCCATCAACAGGAATGTGCTGGGAACACTCAACCCACAGTGAACTTGGCCTTTGTTGTGGGAAAAGAACCCTGCAATGCCCCCACTGACCTCTATGATACCCTTGCTAGCCCTCAAAGTATCCTGTTGGCTGCTTTTTTTTTTTTTTTTTTTGAGATGGAGTCTCACTCTGTCACCCAGGCTGGAGTGCAGCGGTGTGATCTCAGCTCACAACAACCTCCACCTCCTAGGTTGGGATCCTCCCACCTCAGCTTCTTGAGTAGCTGGGATTACAAGCATGCACCACCATGCCCAGCTAATTTTTGTATTTTTAATAGAGGCAGGGTTTCACCATGTTGGCTAGGCTGGTCTCAAACTCCTGACCTCAAGTAAATCACCCACCTTGGTCTCCCAAAGTACTGGGATTACAGGCATGAGCCACCGTGCCCAACCCCTGTTGTCTTCTTCTGTCTCCCTAAACCCATCCCTGTTCTCCAGGAAGCACTACCTCTTGGTTTGCCAGTGCTTCCAGTTAGGTCTGGTCCTAGCAAGTTATTCTGAACTCCCCTTTCAGTCTAAAAAATGCTCAGTTTGAATTTTAAATCCAGTCACTCATTGCTTTAATCCAGTCACTCAATGGGGATAAGTTCTGAGAAATCCAGTCACTCAATGGGGATAAGTTCTGAGAAATGCATTGTTAGGTGATGTCATCATTGTTTGAACATCATAGCTTGTACTCACACAAACCTAAATGGAGAGCCTACTGCACACCTAGGCTATATGGGATAGCCTTTTGCTCCTAGGCTACAAACCTGCACAGCACCTTACTGTATTGAATACTGTAGGCAACTTATAACACAATGGTAAGTATTTGTGTATCTAAACATATCTGAACATAGAAAAGATACAGTAAAAGTACAGTATAAAAGATAAAAGTGGTATACATCTGATATGATTTGCTGTGTCCCCACCCAAATCTCATCTTGAATTGTACCTCATCTGCCTGAATCAGTGCTGAACCACTGAGGCTTAAAACAGTGCCTGGCACTGTTACCCAATAAATGTTCATTGAATATATGAGAGTCCCATGGTATCTGGCAACGTGGACACACAGGAGATGTGAACATGTGGGCACACATACGTGCATGCAACAGATGAATCAGAAAGTGGAAACCTCCTCATAAACTTTACTGCTCTTAAAAATGCTGATGGATGAAGGGGTGGGTTACAGATTAATAGCATCTCAAGGCAGAAGAATTTTTCTTAGTACAGAACAAAATGGAGTCTCCTGTGTCTACTTCTTTCTACACAGACACAGTAACAATCTGATCTCTCTTTCTTTTCCCCATATTTCCCCCTTTTCTTTTCAACAAAACCGCCATCGTCATCATGGCTCTTTCTCGATGGTCGCTGTCTCTTCGGAGCTGTTGGGTACCCCTGCAGACTAACAACAGACAGAACAGGCACACAAGGATTAATATGAAATTTATAATTATAGTACTTCCGATGGTCTTAACCCAAGTGACAGGGTTAAGATTTACGAGGCCATCAGCAACTCCTGCAATTGCCTCAGTTCCTGGCACCAAATTTAAATGGGCTTTTGATGTTTTGGAAATTTGTTCTTTTAATTTGGAAATGTCTAAAGTGAGATTATCTTCTCTTCCCTGTAGATGGCGTCTAACCATGTCCCAGTGATGCTCAGACTCATTATAAACTTGGGGTGTAATACAAAAATCTGACGTATTCCAGTCACACTGTAACTGGAAACGATGTTCTAAGCTCATGAGCCTGTCTCCCATCCAAATGACAGTTTGTCTAAGATCATTAATTTGGTTTGCCAATTTTTGATCAATACTAGATTGTGAATTCCACAATCTTGTAGAACTTTTTTGCCAATCATTAACAAAGTTTACTGACTGAACAGAAGAGTGCAATGCAACTCCTGCCACAGCAGCCATAGCTGTGACTGCAATTAATCCCATAATCACTGTAATTAAAGTAAAAATGAATCTTTTGGATCTATTTAAAACGCCTTTTAATACTTCAGTCAAAATATGAACGGATGGTGAGGCCTCCCACAGTCGGTCCATGGACACAAGGATCCACACGCCTTCCCTTGCTCTCACCAGCAGAATACGGTGTTGCCAATTAAAAGTTGAATCAATGCAAGTAAACAATCTGCAGTTTTCACAGGTTATAGTTTGAGAGTCTGGTTTAATAACTATATTTCCTATAACTAGCATATAAAGGGACTTTACACAGCTTTGTAAAGGAACTGTTAGACTGGAATTTAGGTCGATAGTATAAAATGGCTTATGATCTCGTTTCTAAAGTTTGATTTCCAGACCAAATTCTAATGTAGTATGAGGCTACACTAAGCCTCCACCATTCTGGATGTTCAGGACCAGAAACAGGACTTATTATTTTTGGTCATGGGGTAGAGATTCCTTTTTCTCCCCATTTCCAAGGGTAGAAAGACTGTAATTTTTTATGCTTATGTTCGTCTAAACTTTCTATGAAGTCGCTATCAACAGTTGGACTCACTTGTGCACTGGGACACGACTGAGTTTGTCCTGTGCAATTGTGGTAGAATTGACCTCGAGGTGCCCAATCTATAATAGTTCGGAATTCACTGTTTTGTAATATCACTGCACTATTGGCCACACATTCTTCCCAAACTAAAGCTTCTACATTTTTTGATCCTTTGGAAATTTCCTCGGGGCAAGGTTTCCCTTTAGGTCTAAATTTTAATGATCTTTGATAAGAAAAGTCTTGTAAATAATTTACCTGTGGCCTGAGCGACATCCCGCTTACCATGTGATAAGTGAATCTTCTGATGGGACTGACAGTAGGTACTTCTACCAACCAATTTTGGACTGCAGGCATTAAACATCCTGGTGCTCTCCCCAGGCAAATAGGAGGATAATGATACCCAATGAAAATATTTATCATCATCCCTTCTTCCTCAGGTTTGGCAGGGCAACGATCATCTGTTGGACCAGGTACCCATACACTATCATTAACATATACTTCCATAGGATTATCCATCCATGTGACTGCCTGAATTAAGGGCGGGAAAGGCACATAGGCCCAGTAATTATAATTAGCTGCAGCTGCTCCTGCAGGCATAGGGAGACTTACCACCATTGATACAATCATCAAAGCTGCAAGCAGCATACTCTCTGGAGTTTGTGTCACCTTTGTGTTCTCTAGATATTTTGTAGCTAACTGTGTCAGCTTCTTTAATTGTGCCCAAGTCAGCAGCTCTGCCTTCTTGGTGGATGGCAACTTCATCTGTTCTTCTGACATCACCATTCTGTTCATCTTCTGAGTCGATGGTTCTCGATGACGGTGCTCGATTGCGGTGTCTCCGTCTCCGTGGAGGTGCTTTTCTTTGCATCTCTGATGGGTTCATTGTAGAACTTCAAATGTCTAGTGGGTATCCAAACAGGACGCTGATTTTCTCCTGGTGAAACGCAAGCAAAACCTCTCCCCCACGTTACCACCTTCCATATTTCCCATGTCTTATTTTTATTATCTTTCCACCAAATCAGTTTTCCTTCATGTGGGCTGTTCTTTTTACCAGTAAGATGTTCTGCAGAAGTAGTAGTCTGATTTCTATAAATGTTTAAAAAATTTAAAGTATAGAGTGCTAGACTAAGTTGCATCTGAGGAGTGGTACACTCCTTACTGTCTCCCCCTTCTTTTTGTTTAACTAATTGAGTTTTGAGTGTTCTATTAGTTCTTTCAACTATGGCCTGTCCTTGGGAATTATAGGGAATTCCTGTTGTATGTGTAATTTTCTTGGAAAGCTTTACTACAGTATCCTGGTCCATTGTTAGTTTTGATTTTTTCTGGAACTCCCATTACAGCAAAACAAGATAATAAATGTTTTTTAACATAAGAAGTACTTTCTCCTGTCTGGCAAGTTGCCCATATGAAATGTGAATAAGTATCAACTGTTACATGAACATATGATAATCTTCCGAATGAAGGTACATGTGTGACATCCATTTGCCATAACACATTAGGACACAGACCTCTGGGATTAACTCCTGCCTCTTGAGTGGGCAGGTGTAGGACTTGACACTGGGTGCAATGTGGTACAGTATCTTTTGCCTGTTTCCATGTGACATCAAATTTGTTTTTTAATCCTGCTGCATTTACATGAGTTAAAGCATGAAGTTCTTGTGCTTTTATGAATGCAGATGATACCAGTAAGTCAGCTTGTTAATTTGCTTTAGTCAAAGGCCCTAGTAAATTAGTGTGTGCTCGAATATGAGTAACATAAAATGGGAAATTTCTTTTTCTTACAGTTTGTTGTAATAAATTGAATAGCTGGTTTAACTGATCATCCATGCTATATTTGATTAGAGCTGTCTCAACATCCCTTGTAGCCTGTACTACATATGCAGAATCTGATACAATATTGATAGGTTGATCAAAATCTTGTAACACTGTAATGACTGCAACCAACTCTGCTCTTTGAGTCAATTGATATTGAGTTTTGATTACTCGCTCATCAGACCCCAGAAAAGGTGTTGGTTGATATAGACAGCAGGACGGTGGCCATGGAAGTCAGAATCCACTAAGGAGTGTGTAACAACTCACCTGCCGAATCAACTAGCCCTGAAAATGGATGGCACTGGAGCATCAGGCCCATACCCGGCCATCGCCAGCAGTCAATGGAATGTGAGTGCCTTAGAGGTCTTGGGGCCGAAACGATCTCAACCTATTCTCAAACTTTAAATGGGCAAGAAGCCCAGCTAGCTCAGTCGGTAGAGCATAAGACTCTTAATCTCAGGGTTGTGGATTCGTGCCCCATGCTGGGTGCCAGATGAAGAGGTGAGTTGCCCCTAAAAAGGATACCCTATTCCTTCTCTTTCTTAATTTCTTTTAGTCTCAATTGGGACTTTAATGCCATTTTCATTTTTTCCTAGTCCCTTTCCTGGTATATATCCCATCTCAGTCATGATTTTTTGATTTGCGGGGCTGTATAATGGAGCAGGCATAGTGATTTCCGCACCCCGTTGTTGTAATAAATCTCGACCCCACAGATTAAGAGGAATCGAAGTAGTCATTGGCTGAACAGTACTTTCTTGATTATCTGACCCTAAACAATGTAAAATCTTAGTACTTTGATACACTTCTGAGGCTGTGCCTACGCCGATAAGTCCTATAACAGCCTTTGTTTAGGCCAATTTTTTGGCCACTGATTGAAAGCAATGATAGAGACATCTGCTCCAGTGTCTACTAACCCTTCAAACTGTTTTCCTTGAATAATGGCCTTACACACAGGTCTGTTTTCTGAGACCTGACTTGCCCAATATGCAGCCTTTCCTGTCGGATCAGTGCTTCCAAACTCTCCTATTCTTTTTATTTTACTATTTCCAATCTTAATATAAGGCAGGAGTAATAACTGAGCAATCCTGTCTCCTGGACAGGAGGGGGGACTTCCTCCAACACAGGCAGTCACTGATGTCCTAGTTCAAATGCTCCAGGGGGAACAGTCCATTACTCACTGAGGGAGGCAGGCTTTCCTATTTTCTGTTTCAAGCTTTTGATCACAATGGAGCAAATGATCACAATGCAGCCCACCAGGATGCTGGTGATGCTGAATCCAAAAAGTAGTCTGGAATTGATCTGTGCTTTTCTCTGATTCCCAAGGAAGTTGGCTTCCTGGGTCTGTGGGGGTAAAGGCAAGCTGGTGTGAATGTTTCCAAGATGGGGAGGGGGAAGAAAATCCCTGGGGAGAGGTGAAGAGGGCAAGATCAGGATGATGGCATGATGGAGGTCAGGGCAGGGCTCAGTCTCCCAGAGGAAAAAGGAAGAAACCAGGGAGCCAGGATGAGGGAGTAGATCTAGGCAGAATACAGAGGGAGGAGCAGAGAGGTGGCCCTGGAGAGGTGCAAGGGCAAGCAGATGGTGAAGAGGGAGGAGGCAAATCCCCGAGAAACACGAAGAGGTCCCTGGGGAGAAGCAGGGCATCGGCAGGAAAGAGAAAGAAGATCTGGGGACAAAGAGAGTTGGTAGCTGGGTGGTGCCCATCCTGAGGGAGAACACCAGAGCGGGGATTGCCAGCAGGACGCAGAAGAAGGATACGACAGCGAGCAGTAAATAGTCTCTTTCTGGAGGACACAAGGGCATCAGGGTGACTGGTTGCATTGGGGCGAGCAGCTGCACTGGGATGAAGGGCTGCATGGGGATGAGTGGCTGCATCGGGGTGACCAGGGACTTCAAGTCCCTGGGGCTCATTGCAGTAGCCATAGGCCTTGGCCTGAGGAGGAGATGCTGGGTGAGTGGAATCTGCAGACAGGGGTCATGGGGTCCGGGAAGGGGACATCTGAGTCCCCAAGCAACTGAGACCACCCAAACCAACCCCTCTGGCTAGAAAGGTACTGAAAGTTGACACTGTCCCAAGCCAGGGGACAGCGCTCCAAGCCAGAACCCACCACAGCCCCGTGCTCCTGTAGAGTAGCCTTGCTGGCTCTGGAACACCCACGCCACCCTCCTCTAGCCTCTCACAACCCCCTCCCTGCTCCCCTCTGGCTGTTGCACTTTCCTCCTCTAAACTCTCCCTACCCCTCCTTGCCCCGCAAACTCACACACCCCCACTGTTTTCTCAGCCTCCCAAAGTGCTGGAATTACAGGCGTGAGCCACTGTGCCCGGCCTATTTATTTATTTTTTGTAGAGGTCTCACTATGTTGCCCAGTCTGGTCTTGAACTCCTGGCCTCAAGCAATCCTCCTGCCTCGGCCTCCCAAAATGTTGGGATTACAGGCGTGAATCACTGTGCCCAGCCACTCTTCCTTTTTGTTGTTGTTGCCAGTTTGAACGCCTGATGGGTTCAATATATAGTGTGTGGATCTCACATCCAGATTGAATATAAGTATAATGGGCAGATTTATCACTATTAGGAGGCTACTGTACATTAGGCCCAGGCTGGCCCCTGAGGGCCACATGGTAACTAAGGCAGACAAGACCATAACTCAGATAGAATAATAGTCTCCAATCCCATCCAGGTTGCTGTGAATGCCATTAATTCATTCCTTTTCATGGCTGAGTAGTATTCCACCATATATATATGTAAAATCAGTTTCTTTATCCACTCATTCATTGATGGGCATCTGGGTTGGCTCCACATTTTTGCAATTGCAAATTGTGCTGCTATAAACATGTGTGTACAAGTATCTTTTTCACATAATGACTTCTTTTCCTTTGAGTAGATACCCAGTAGTGGGATTGCTGGATCAAATGGTAGTTCTACTTTTAGTTCTTTAAGGAATCTCCACACTGTTTTCCATAGTTATACTAGTTTACATTCCCACCAGCAATCAGGGAAATGCAAATCAAAACCACAATGCGATACCACCTTATTCCTGCAAGAATGGCCATAATCAAAAACTCAAAAAATAATAGATATTGGCATGGATGGAGTGAACAGGGAACACTTTCCTTGAGTTTTAACTCCAGACTGGCTCCTTTGCTGTTTTTCTGGTGGGGCTCTTACCACATTTCCCACAGCCATTGGCTGTGTGCTCCTGCATACTTGGATGCTCCTCTCCTGCCTGGGCCCCACCAGGACCCCTGAGATCCAGGAGCCGTGGCTTTTGGGGGCTGGTAGAGAAGAAACAGGGAGCTACGTGAAGGCCAATGGCAGAAACCAAGAGAGTTTCAAGAAAGCAAGAAAGAGAAACCAGCTCTGAAAATAGCAAAAGGAACAACGGGAAAAAATAAAATAGTTTCATGTAACCTAAAAACAGACATTGAGTCTTCGAATCAAATTGAAAGCACTTGCTAGCGTCAGAGGCATGTGAACCAGAGCAACTCCATCTTGAATGGGGCTGAGTAAAATGAGGCTGACGTCTACTGGGCTGCATTCCCAGACAGCTAAGGCATTCTAAGTCACACGATGAGATAGGAGGTTGGCACAAAATACAGATCATAAAGACTTTGCTGATAAAACAGGTTACAGTAAAGAAGCCAGCTAAAACCCACCAAAAACAAAAAGTGGCGATGAGAGTAACCTGTGGTCATCCCCACTGCTCATTATACACTAATTAGAATGCATTAGCATGCTAAGAGACACTCCCACCAGCGCCATGGCAGCTTACAAATGCCATGGCAACATCAGGAAGTTACCCTATATGGTCTAAAAAGAGAAGACATGAGGCCAGGCACGGTGGCTCACGCCTGTAATCCCAGCACTTTGGAAGACCAAGGCAGGCAGATAGGGTCACCTGAGGTCAGGAATTCCAGACCAGCCTGGGCAACATGGTGAAACCCTGTCTCTACTAAAAACAGGAAAAATTAACTGGGCATGGTGGCACGCACCTGTAATCCCAGCTACTCGGGAGGCTGAGGCAGGAGAATCTCTTAAACCCGGGAAGCAGAGGTTGCAGTGAGCCAAGATTGTGCCACTGCACTCCAGCCTAGGCAACAGAGCGAGACTCCATCTCGAAAATTTAAAAATAAATAAATAAATAAAGGGGAATATCACAAGCAACGTATGGCAACAAATTAGACAGCTTAGATGACAGCTAAAAATTCTTAGATGAATTACCAAAACCAACTCAAGAAGAAATAGAAAATCTGAATAGATGTATAACAAATAAAAAGAGATTTGTAATTTAAAATACTCCCGCAAAGAAAAGCTCAGGCCTAGATGGTTTCATTGGTGAATTTCACAAAACATTAAAGCATAAATAATATTAATTCTCTACAATCTGTTCCAAAATATGGAGAAAGGGAGCACTTTCCCAGCTTATTATATGAGGTCAGTATTACCCTAATATCAAAGCCAGACAGTGGCATCTCAAGACAACTAGAGACCAATCTCTTTCATAAATATGATATAAAAGTCATTGGTAAAATATCAGTAAGCCCAATACAGCAATATATAAAAAGGGTTATACACCATGATCAAGTGGGATTTACCCCAGAAATGCAAGATTGGTTTAACTTCTGAAAATCAATTAATGTAACACACCATAGTAAAAGAATAAATTTTATTCATTTATTTTAAAGATGGGGTCTCACTCTGTCACCCAGGTGAGATTGCAGCTCACTGCAGCCTCAAACTCCTGGGCTCAAGCAATCCTCCTGCCTTGGCCTCCCAGAGTGTTGGGATTACAGATGTGAGCCGTTGCACCTGCCCCTGTAAAAGAAGACACTTTTTTTTTTTTTGAGATGGAGTCTCACTCTGTCGCCCAGGCTGGAGTGAAAGACTAATTTCCGGGTGGGCGCGGTGGCTCACGCCTGTAATCCCAGCACTTTGGGAGGCCAAGGCAGGTGGATCACGAGGTCAGGAGATCGAGACCATCCTGGCTAACACGGTGAAACCCCGTCTCTACTAAAAAATACAAAAAAATCAGCCAGGCGTGGTGGCGGGTGCCTGTAGTCCCAGCTACTCGGGAGGCTGAGGCAGGAGAATGGCATGAACCCAGGAGGTGGAGCTTGCAGTGAGCCGAGATCATGCCACTGCACTCCAGCCTGGGCGACAGAGCAAGACTCTGTCTCAAAAAAAATAAATAAATAAAAGAAAAGAAAGACTAAATTCTTCCTGGCTAAGATAGGGAACAAAACAAGAATGTTCATTCTCACCACTTTTATTCAACAGTATAGTGGAGGTCCTAGCCAGTACAATTAGTCAATAAAAAGAAATAAAAGGCATCTGGGTTGGAAAGGAAGAAGAAAAAACTGTTTTGACCCACAGTTGACTTAAATTTGCTTGTAGAAAACTCTAATGAATCCACAAATAACTACTAGAAGAAATGAGTCCAGCAATGCTGCACAAGATCAATATCCAAAAATCAATTGTATGTCAATAAGCTACCAATGAACAATCAAAAAATGAAATTAATAAAATGAATTCATTCCCAATAGGATCAAAAAGAATAATAAATTCAGGCTGGGCGTGGTGACTTATGCCTGTAATCCCAGCACTTTGTTAGGCCGAGGCGGGCAGATCATCTGAAGTCAGGACTTCAAGACGAGTTTGGGCAACATGGTGAAACCCTGTCTCTACTAAAAAAAAATACAAAAATCAGCTGGGCATGGTGGCGGGTGCCTGTAATCCTAGCTACTTGGGAGGCTGAGGCAGGAGAATTGCTTGAACCTGGGAAGTGAAGGTTGCAGTGAGCCACGATCGCACCACTGCACTCCAGCTTGGGTAACAGAGAGAGGCTATCTCAAAAAAAAAAAAAGAAGAAATTCAATTAAAAAAAGTAATAAATTTAACAAAAATACAAGAGTTGTACAATAAAAACTATAAATCTTGGCTGGCGGCGTGATGGCTCACGCCTGTAATCCTAGCACTTTGGGAGGCCGAGGTGGGCGGATCATGAGGTCAGGAGATCGAGACCATCCTGGCTAACACGGTGAAACCCCGTCTCTACTAAAAATACAAAAAAATTAGCCGGGCGTAGTGGCAGGCGCCTGTAGTCCCAGCTACTCGGGAGGCTGAGGCAGGAGAATGGCATGAACCTGGGAGGCGGAGCTTGCAGTGAGCCGAGATCACGCCGCTGCACTCCAGCCTGGGCAATAGAGTGAGACTCTGCCTCAAAAAAACAAACAAACAAGCAAACAAACAAACTATAAATCATTCCTTTAAAAATTTAAAGATCTAAATAAATGGAGTGGCATCCCATGTTCATGGTTTGGAAAACTCAATGTTAGCAAAATGGCAGTACTCCCCTAATTGACCTAAAGAGTCAATGCAATCTTTATCGAAACCTCAACTGGCTTGTTTTTTTTTTTTTGCAGAATTTGACAAGTTGATCCTAAAAGTCATGTGGAAATGAAAAGGATGCAGAATAACCTAGCAATGTTGAAAAAGTAAAATAAAGTTGGAGGACTTCCAGTTACCAATTTCAAAATTTATTCCTGATTACAAAGCTATAGGAATAAAGACAGTGTGGTACTGGCATAAGGATGGACGTATAGCTCAATGAAGCAAAATTGAAAGTCCAGAAATAACTTTCATATTTATGGTCAAGTGATTTTTGACAAAAGTGGCAAAACCATTCAATGTGAAAAGGAGATCCAACAAATGGTGCTAGAACAATTGGATCTCTCTCTCTCTCTCTTTTTTTTTTTTTTTCTTTTTGGAGATGGAGCCTCGCTCTGTCACCCAGGCTGGAGTGCAGTGGCATGATCTCAGCTCACTGCAACCTCTGCCTCCCGGGCTCAAGCAATTCTCCTGCCTCAGCATCCCAAGTAGCTTGGGGCTACAGGTAACCACCACCAAGCCCAGCTAATTTTTGTATTTTTAGTAGAGACAGGTTTCACCATGTTGGCCAGGCCAATCTTGAACTCCTGGCCATTATTTTCAAATGATTCTCACATGCTCTGAACCCCACTCATTCATCATTATTATCTCTTTTTTTTTCTTGAGACAAGGTCTCCCTCTTGTCCAGGCTGGAGTAGAGGGGTGCGACCATGGCTCACCACAGCCTCAAATTCCTGAGCAAAAGCAAACCTCCCATCACACCCTCCCAAGCAGCTGAGAATACAGAAGCCTGCCCTCAGAGCCTGATATATATATATATCTGTCTAAAATATATACATTTTTTTTCTAGATACATGGTCCCACTGTATTGATCGGGCTAGGTTTCACTATCCTGGTCTCATGTGATCCTCTCCCCTTAGCCATTATCACCTTATAGAGTGCACATTTTGTTCCATGCACTGTTCAATACCACTTACATACATTAATTTAATCCTCACAATGAAACAAGAGAGAAATAATTATTATTCTCATTTTAAAGATGAGAAAACTGGTACACAGAGAGGTTGCACAAGGTGATATTGCTAGTTAGTGGCATGGTGGGGATCCAAACCTAGGTAGTCTAGTTCCAAGGTGTGTTTATTCAGCCCATGTTTACTGAGCACCTACTACTATGTGTTGGGCTCTGCTCTAGGTGTTAGAGCTATAGACAGTATAAAAGAACTACCTCGCCCCCATTAAGACATCTCTCCTGGCTGGGCATGGTGGCTCATTCCTGTAATCCTAGCACTTTGGGAGGCCAAGGTGGGTGGATCACTTGAGGTCAGGAGTTCAACACCAGCCTGGCCAACGTGGTGAAACCCCATATCTACTAAAAATACAAAAATAAGCCAAGCATGGTGGTGGGCACCTGTAATCCCAGCTACTCGGGAGGCTCAGGCAGGAAAATCACTTAGAACCCAGGAGGTGGAGGTTTCAGTGAGCCAAGGTTGCACCATTGCACTCCGCCCTGGGCAACAAGAGCAAAACTCCATCTCAAGAAAAAAAAAAAAAAAAGACATCTCTCCCATATCTCTCTCTTATTGAGACATGGTCTCTCTCACCTTTCCCACCAAAAATTTTTTTTAAAAAAACAAAACCCTTTCATCACTCAGCCCCCTCAAGTTATGGATCTGGTTTTTGGTTTTTAATTCCAGAGACAAAAAAGGGGGCAGAACATAGACCCATGCTACCATCTTGACAGAGTCTCCATTTCAGTTCCATACGCTCAAGTCCCTCCTATCTTTAAAACAAACAAGCAAAATCATCATTCTCACCCTTTTGCATCTACCCTAGTCCTGCCTTTCCTGGCTCTTCATAGGCAAACTTTTTTTTTTTTGAAACGGAGTCTCACTCTGTCACCCAGGCTGGAGTGCAGTGACACAATCTTGGTTCACTGCAAACTCCACCTCCCGGGTTCAAGCAATTTTCTGCCTCAGCTTCCCAAGTAGCTGGGATTACAGGCACCCACCACCACATCTGGCTAAATTTTGTATTTTTAGTAGAGACAGGGTTTCACCATCTTGGCCAGGCTTGTCTTGAACTCCTGACCTCGTGATCCACCCACCTTGGCCTCCCAAAGTGCTGGGATTACAGGCATGAGCCACTGCACCCAGCCATAGGCAAAATTCTTGAAGCAAATGTATACACTGTCTCCAATTCCACACCTCACACTCAATCCATGGCTCTCTGAAACCAGGTGTTGGCTTACAACATTCCAGAAACTGGAACCCATGTTCTTCTCAGCTGTGGCACTGCTCTCCTTACTCTTTCGCCTCCAAGCTCTTGGAAGAAATGTCTACATTGTCTATACTACCCCTTTCTTGCTCACTGCCTGGATCCCTGCAATATGGCCACTGCTTCTGCTGATCCTCTGATACTGCCCTTACCAAAGGAGCTAATTCATTCCCGCCTTCAGAGCTGGAGTACATGTCTCAGGGCTTGACACACTTGTCCATGTACTTGTTTCTAAGCCTGTCTTAGTTTGTTTGTTCCACTATCCAAGGGACTTGCCAGCAACCAATACACATGCTTCATCTCACCCAACCTTCACTTCTGTCTTCCCCCACCTCGGCGCCCCATGTTCTGTTGTCCTGGAACATCCACTTGGTCCTTTGAAAGGCTCTGAATCAATTTCCTCCATGAAGAATATCCTGACTTCTGGATTGCATGTGTTGTCACTGTTCTTCTAACTACTTCTAGGTCCAGGACTGGTCTTAAATACCCAGGTTGTGTCTTGGACTAGCCATACTAAGGTCTACATTTGTGGACTGCACAGTGTCACCTCCCACCCACCCCCAACTTCCTGAAAAGTGGCTCCTCAAACCCTCTACTCCCCTAGAACCACCAGCTAAAGGAAGCATCAGCTAAAACCCCACAGTATTAGCATTCATTAAAAGCTCCTACCTGAATCAGCAATTACTATGGTATTTGAAAATGTTCTCTAATGGTGCATAACAAATTCCCCACAGGTATTAACTCACAGTTCTGTAGGTCAGAATGGCTGCTTCTCTGCTCAGAATCTACCAAAGCTAAAATTAAGGTGTCAGCTGGGCTGGGTTCTCATGTGGAGCTCAGGATCCTCTTCCAAATGAATGTGATTACAGCAGGATTCACATCCTTGCTGTTGCAGTACTAAGGACCCCGTTTCCTTGCTGGCTGTCAGCTGGGAGCCATTCTCAGCCAGAGGCTGCCTGGATTCCTCCCTACGTGGCCCTGGTGACATCTTCATGCCAGCAATGGAGACCTTTGCTTGCCTCCAATCCTCTCACACCTGAAACCTCTTTTGCCAGGAAGACTCAGTCCTTTTCAAGAACTCACCTCATTAGGTGAGGCCCCCAGAGGATATTCTTCCTAACTTAAAGTTAACTGATTTCAGACCCTACCTACGTCTGCAAGACGCCTTCCCAGCAGCATACAGACTAGTACTTGACTGAGTGACTGGAGAAGGAGTGTGTACACCAGGGAGCAGGAATCTTCGGGTCATCTCAGAGTTCTGCCTACCACATTGGGGATTTCCTGTTCCATCGTTCCATTAGGTTGTGTTCTACTTTAAGAAAGATCTTCCCCCTTTTCCCCTTCTTTCTCTATTCTTTCCTTTTTTCTTTCTGTCAGCATAAACCAAGGAATTCTTTTTTTTTTTTTTTTTTGTCATTTTTTCTTGAGATGGAGTCTCACTCTGTCACCCAGGCTGGAGTGTGCAGTGTGATCTCGAATCACTGCAACCTCCGCCTCCCGGGTTCAAACGATTCTCCTGCCTCATCCTCCCTAGTAGCTGGGATTACGGGCGCCTGCCACCACACCCGGTTAATTTTTGTATTTTTAGTAGAGACGGGGTTTCACCACGTTGGTCAGGCTAGTCTCGAACTCCTGATCGCAGGTAATCCGCCCGCTTTGGCCTCCCAAAGTGTTGGGATTACAGGCATGAGCCACTGCGCCCAGCCGGAATTCATTTTTAATTCAAGACTTTACAATCCACTTCTGACACTACTCATTTTCCTCCCCTCAGTAAATCTCTTACTCTTACTGGGCGTGTCTAGTTTCTCTCTTCCACAACTCCTGGGAGACCCTCCTGACATCGCCCATCCGCGCAGGCTGCAGAGAGAGATCAGTGGGAGGAGGAGGAGCCGAGAGCCACCACTTAGGCTTCCAACCAATCCCTACCAGGGTGGGCGGAGCCCACTTCCTGATTGGCTGCACTCTCTGTGTCTTGGGGTGGGCGAGAACGGCGGGGCCACGCCCCCTAACTAGGCAGCCAATCAGGACGTGGGGTGCTGGTTTCTCCATTGCGAAGCTTCAGCCTTTGATGGTTTGGGTCCTGGGAGTCTGGTTAGTACAAGGGGAAGCCTAGTGGGTCTGGCGCTCCGTTTTCAAGACACTCGGAGTCCGTCTTTGAGGGGAAAGGTCATGGCCCTGAAACCACCTTCTGCCACCCAGCCTGCTCCCAACGCGCCAGCTACCCCAGACGCCCCCCCTACCACAGGTGATCCAGGTGCTTCAGCTGCCCCAGGTTCTCCCACTACCACAGGTGGTCCAGGTGCCCCAGCTGAGGTGCCCCAGGAGCCGCAAGAGCCTACACAGACACCAGAGGAACTAGCATTTTACGCCCCAAACTACCTATGTTTGACCATCTTTGCTATACTTTTATTCCCTCCATTTGGATTGGCAGCTTTGTACTTCTCTTATGAGGTAAAATAATGCCCAAGTCATAGCCCCCGTCCTTTTTTTTTTTTTTTTTTCTTTTTGAGACCCAGTCTCACTCTGTCCCCCAGGCTGGAGTGCAGTGGTGCAATCTCGGCTCACTGCAATCTCTGCCTTCCCGGTTCCAGCAATTCTCCTGCCTCAGCCTCCTGAGTAGCTGGGATTACAGACATGAGCCACAGTGCCCGGCTCATTTTTGTATTTTTAGTAGAGACGGGGTTTCACCATGCTGGCCAGGCTGGTCTCGAGCTTCTGACCTTGTGATCCACCCGCCTTGGCCTCCCAAAGTGCTGGCATTACAGGCGTGAGCCACTGCACCCAGCCTACCCTGTCCTCCATTTGGCCCCTGCATCTGCTCCTATCCTGGGACCTGCATAGGGGCTTTCCCTCAGTGACTGCAGGTCTCCAACCGTTCTCCCCAGGGTTCCTGGACACAGAAACCCACATCTATGCTTCCACCCCTACAGACTATGAAGGCCAACCAGAACAGTGAATGGGAAGAGGCTTACATCAACTCAGGCCGAACTGGTTGGTTCGGTGCATTCGTGGTAATGATTGGCTTAGGCATCATTTATGGCTTGGTCCTATATTAATGAAGTCTAGGCATAGCAACCCAGGGGTCCGCTCCCCAACCGAGCCACTCACCAAACACTAACCAGCCAAGTCAGCCATCAGGCAAGAAATTCAACCGCTGAGACATCTAGCCAAGAAATCCTCTAACCAAGGAACTCAACATTCAAGAAACCCACCAACCCAGGAACACACAGACCACCTGCCTGTGCTACTTCAACTCACTCAGCTCCAGAGCTGTCTTCGTTCACCCTAGGGGTCCACACTTCATGCCCTAGATCCCTTTAGCTCCTTGACACTGGGCTGTTCTTTCAGAGGAATTTTAAACCAAAAAACTGGAATGGAATGTTCTGGTTTCCTGTGGTGTGTGTGTATGTGTGTGTGTCAACATGCCCATGATTGTTTTCTGGGTCAGTGGTCAGTATCTGTGTTTCCCTGGAGCTGTTTCCTAGACTGTGAAAATCAGAATGTCCCAATGGGGAAGCCCACAGACATAGAATTCAGGCAGATGTCAGTTAAAAACTTACCTCTGACACTGAAAAACTGTATAGCCCTGAACAGATACTTTTCTTGAGCATAGTTCCTTTGTCTCTAAAGCAGGCATAATTGCCAATGTGGGGATGATATTTAGAAATCTGAACTGATGTTTATTCTCTAGGGGTCTTCTCATTTGAGCTGGGATTGGAGATGTCTAGTGTCTCAGAGCAGCAATAAGAAAACAGAAACCTCTTCCAGCTTCTGACATCCAAATGTCAAGCTCTTAGGAGAAGAATGGAAAGTCCTCAAGAAATGCAAATAGCTTTGGCAGAATAGCTGATGAAGACCACCTCTCCCCCCTCCAGAAAGGCATTGGTTCCCCATTCATGGAAAAGGGAATGTAGAGAGAGATTAGACAATAGTACATCCATAAGGTTCCTGGAATCTGCATCTGAGGAAGAGGGGCGTCAGAGACCCCAGCTGTTATCTATAATCCCTCCTCACAGATAAGGCCTAGAGAGGCTCCAAGTTCTCAAAGAAGATATGCTACATGGTGTAGACATTTACAAAGAAATGACCTCAGACAGCCAAGGAGGATACCCCATGGCCCAGCCTAGTGAGAAGAAGGTGGGTTCCATAGGAATCCCAAGTGCCAGGTGGAGACAGAACTGTAGAGGAAAACTAGGGATAAGCAGGGAGCCATCGTGCATGAATCAAAACAGAGATCTAGACTGACACCATGGGCCACAGACACCCCGGGGCTGCCTCTGATGCCCAAGCTTCATGGACAACCCCAAGTTCAGAACCAGATGAATATTTAGCACAATATTTAGCAGAACTAAGTTTCCACCACCATGGAGAATGGGGATTCTCAGTAGAAAGTCAATGGAGCTGCTGGGCAAGAGACTGCTCACTGTCCCCCAGAGCCCATCGCCTCTTTGTTCTGGGAACATTGCCTGGCCACGTCTCAGAGGTTCCCCTCTGCAGCCATGAAATGTGCTTTGGTCCTGTGGAATGTGAGCAGAACTGACATGTACCACAAACAAACCTGGCTTTTCAATGTCTCCTGGGACACTCCTCTAAACTCCTCCTCCCCCGGCCAACGGGGCAAGGGATACCCATGTGATGATTTAGAAGGCCACATGTTGTAGACGTGGCAAAGCCCCCATTAGCCTGGGTCCCTGAACCATTCTAGGAACAGCCTCCCTTCCCCCAACTGCCTCATGTGGTCAAGCAGAAAATAGACTACCATGTTGACAAATGACATGCTTGGCCTGTTTCCACAGCCCAATCCACCCAAACCAGTGCAGATGCAGGAGAATAGAGTTCTATTTCTTGCACATCTGGGATTACAGCTTCAAGTTCATACCCAACAGAGACATCCATCTTGTTGGGTGGTCTATAGGAAATAATAATAGAAGGAAACAACAAAGGCCCTAGTCCACCTTAATTGTAATTGTTGTGATGCTGAGTTTGTCTCCTCTGTGGGCTTGGGTGTCTGGGCAGATCTCATGTGTTTGTGGGACAATGCTCTGGGTTATGGGGATGCCTGCAGATAGGATGATGCCTAATTGTCTGTCATGTTAGCAGATCTAGAGGGTTAGCCATCCCTGTCCCTCTCCAGATCCAGCCCAGGCTGGGCCTGTCACATTCAGCTGCAAAGCCATGTCAGGTTAGGATGGTCCATGTCAACATCAGCAGGCAGACCCAAGTGTCACCTTCTGCTACAGGCCTTGGAAAGCCAGCCAGCCTCCTCCACTTCAGCTCCCAGACTTCATCCAACCTGAATTTCACTCTCGGGTATCCAACTGGTATTTAGCACCAGGTAAACACAAAACGAGGCCAGGCACAGTGGCTCGTGCCTGTAATTTCAATGCTTTGGGAGGCTGAGAGAGGAGGATGGCTTGAGCCCAGGACTTTGAGACCAGCCTAGGCAGCAAGTCGATAGATAACTCTTTTCTACAAAATTTTTCAAAATTAGCCAGGCGTGGTGGCACACGCCTGTAGTCTCAGTTACTCAGGAGGGTGAGGTGAGAGGATCACTTTAGCCCAGGATTTTGAGGCTGCAGTAAGTCATAGTGATACTACTGCACTTCAGCCTGGGGGACACAGCTAGACTTTGTCTCCAAAATAAATAAATGTAAAAAATAAGGCCGGGTGCAGTGGCTCACACCTGTAATCCTAGCACTTTGGGAGACTGAGGTGGGAGGATCACCTGAGGCCAGGAGTTCGAGACCAGCCTGGCCAACATAGTGAAACCCTGTCTCTATAAAAATACAAAAATTAGCCACTGTGGTGGTGCGTGCCTGTAATCCCAGCTACTCGGGAGGCTGAGGCAGGATAATCTCTTGAACCCGGGGGTGGAGGTTGCAGTGAGCAGAGATTGCACCACTTCACTCCAGCCTGGGCGAAGGAGTGAGACTCAACCTCAAAAAAAAAAAAATCTTATCTGACTTTGATTGCATTACAATCAATTTAGTTATCAGTTTTGGGAGATTTAGCATCTTTATGATAAGCCTTCCTATTCATAAATATGATATATCAAATAGGACTTGTACATCTTTAGCTTTATTTTATGTATTATAAGCAATCCTTTTTTCCATTACATAATCTAAATTATTATTGGGGTAGAAGAAAGGTATTGAGTTTCCAATGTTGATATCTTGTGTGGCAAACTTACTGAACTTTCTTGGTGTAATAATTCATCATTTTACACACTTACATTGTCTATGCTAAATTTGAATTATTTCTTAACAATTTTAATACCTCATTATATATGTATTTTTTTAGTTCCTGGGCTAAACCTTTCAGCAAAATATGAATTAGCATCATAATCTTGTTTCCATCCTTGTATGGGTTAGTTCTATTGTTTTACTATTAAGTCAGGCAGTTGATGTAGATTTCTGATAAAAATTTCATCTTTTTTTTTTTTTTTTCTGAAGCAAACTCTGGCTCTGTCACCCAGGTTGGAGTGCAGCGGCACAATCTCAGCTCACTGCAATCTCCGCCTCCCAGGTTCAAGCGATTCTAGTGCCTCAGCCTCTATAGTAGCTGGGACCACAGGCACGCACCACCACTCGGGGCTAATTTTTTGTATTTTTAGTAGAGATGGGATTTCTCTATGTTGGCCAGGCTGGTCTTGAACCCCTGGCCTTAAATTATCTGCCTGCCTCAGCCTCTCAAAGTGGTGAAATTACATGCATGAGCCACCGTGACCAGCCAAAATTTCATCAATTTTGTTATGTTTTCTTCTATTCCTGGCTTGCCAAGATTTTTTAAATTAGAATTTTATATTGAGGCTAGGCACAGTGGCTCATGCCTGTAATTCCAGTACTTTGGGAGGCCAAGGAAGGAGAGTCATTTGAGGCCAGGAATTTGAGACCAGCCTGGGCAACATAGCTAGATCTCGTCTCTACTGAAAAAAGAAAAAAAAATTAGCTAGGCATGGTACCTGTATTCTCAGCTACTCAGGAGGCTGAGATGGGAGGATAACTTGAACCCAGGAGTTAGAGGCAGCAGTGAGCCATGATCACACCCTTGTACTCCAGCCTGGGCAACACAGCGAGACCCTGTCTCAAAAAAAATTTGTGTTGAATCATATTAAATACTTTTCAGCATCTATTAACATGATCATACGAGATTTTAATTCAATCCTTTAACAAAGTTATTCACAATGAACCATTCTTATACTCTTGGGAAAACCTTACTGGGTCACAATCTATTATTCTTTTTTTTTTTTTTTAGAGACAGAGTCTTGCTCTGTCGCCCAGACTGGAGTGCAGTGGCACGATCTTGGCTCACTGTAAGCTCCGCCTCCCAGGTTCACGCCATTCTCCTGCCTCAGCCTCCCGAGTAGCTGGGACTACAGGCGCCCACCACCACACCCGGCTAATTTTTTGTATTTTTAGCAGAGACGGGGTTTCATCGTGTTAGCCAGATGGTCTTGATCTCCTGACCTCGTGATCCGCCCGCCTCAGCCTCCCAAAGTGCTGGGATTATAGGCGTGAGCCACCATGCCCGGCCTCTATTATTCTTTTAATATGTGATGGATATGGTTTGCTTATGCCTTATTTGGGTCCTACATAGTTTTCATCTGGGGGCTGTTCTCAGTCCTTTGCATTGGGGCAGTGCTGGCAATGCAGAATGGGTTGAGAAGCATTCAATGTGTTTCTGTGTTCTGGAAACATTTCTATGTCATGGGAATTAGCTGCTTCTTAAAGATTGGAGTGGGCCGGACATGGTGCCTCATGCCTGTAATCCTAGTACTTTGGGAGGCTGAGGCGGGTGGATCACCTGAGGTCAGGAGTTCGAGACCAGCCTGGCCAATATGGTGAAACCCCCATCTCTACTAATAATACAAAAATTAGCTGGGCATGGTGGCACACAACTGTAATCCCAGCTGCTCGGGAGGCTGAGGCAGGAGAATCACTTGAACCCGGGAAGCGGAGGTTGCAGTAAGCCAAGATCACGCCATTGCACTGCAGCCTGGGTGACAAGAGCGAAACTCCATCTCCAAAAAAAAAAAAAAAAGTTGGAGTGAACATGCCTGCAAAATCTTCTGGGCCTGTAATCTTTTTCGTGTAGCAGATTTTGAGTACTTTGTCTTCACTATGATGGTGAAAGCAGCAACTCTCGGAGTCAAGTACAAGCCACTGTTATGAGCAGCTTCGGAGTATTGATTCTTTTGGTCTCCACACTAACCCTATAGCCTGCATTCTTACAGACTGAGGATAAAGCACAGGGAGCTGGAAAGACACAGTGCAGGTCTCACAGCGAATTCACTGAGGGGCCAGGATTGGGAACCAGGAAATCTGCCACCAAAAGCCGTGTTCTTAAGCACTAGGTGGACAACACTGCCTCCCATCGACCGTTAGTAGCAATTCAATCTTTTTACCTGCTGGAGTCACTTGTTAATCACTTACCTTTCTCTTAACAAATCATTTTTATTTTCGACATAGAAGCTAACTTGAAGGAGCGCCCACTGGCCCAGAGTGGTACAACTTAAACATCAAAAATATTAATAACGGCCAGGCGCGGTGGCTCACTCCTGTAATCCCAGGACTTTGGGAGGCTGAGGCAGGTAAATCAATTGAGGTCAGGAGTTCGAGACCAGCCCGGCCAACATGGTGAAACCTCGTCTCTACTAAAAATATAAAAATTAGCCAGCCGTGGTGACAGTCACCTGTAATCCCAGCTACTCGGGAGGCTGATGCAGGAGAATCGCTTAGAGCTCGGGAGTCGGAGGTTGTAGTGAGCCGAGATGGCGCCATTGCACTCCAGCCTGGGCAACAAGAGCAAAACTCCGTCTCAAATAATAATAATAATAATAATAGTAATAACAATAATAGATTTAAACACACCAAATATATATCATATTTAATGATGAAGGATGGAATACTTTCCCTATAAGATCAACAACAAGGAAAGGATGTCTGCTCTTGACACTCCTATTTGACATAGTGCTGGAAGTTCTAGTCACTGCAAGAAAAAAACGCAAACAGGGCCCGGCGCAGTGGCTGACGTCTGTAATCCTAACACTTTGGGAGGCAGGAGGATCACTTGAGACTAGGATGTCAAGACCAGCCTAGGCAACACAGCATGACCCCATCTCTACAAAAAATATTAAAAAATTAGCCAAGCATGGTGGCACATGCCTGTAGTCCTACCTGCTCAGGGGGCTGAGGCAGGGAGATCACTTGAGCCCAGGACTTTGAGACTGCAGTGAGCTATGATCACACCAACACTGCACTCCAGCCTGAGGAATAGAGTGAGACTCTGTCTCAAAAAAGAAAAAAAGGCATTTAGATTGGAAAGGAAGAAATAAAACTGTATCTGCAGGTGACATGAGATATGTGTGTGTGTGTGTGTCTGTGTGTGTAGTTGATGCAAAAATAATTGCGGTTTTTGCCATTGAAAGGAATGACTGCTGGGCATGGTGGCTCACGCCTGTAATCCCAGCACTTTGGGAGGGTTTTTTTTTTTTTTTTTTTTTTTGAGATGGAGTCTCACTCTGTCACCCAAGCTGGAGTGCAGTGGTGTGGTCTCGGCTCACTGCCAGCTCCGCCTCCCGGGTTCACGCCATTCTCCTGTCTCAGCCTCCCGAGTAGCCGGGACTACAGGCACCCGCCACCACGCCCAGCTAAATTTTTGTATTTTTAGTAGAGACGGGGTTTCACCTTGTTAGCCAGGATGGGCTCGATCTCCTGACCTCGGGATCTGCCCTCCTCAACCTCCCAAAGTGCTGGGATTACAGGCATGAGCCACCGTGCCTGGCGTTTTTCTTTTCGTTTTTTTTTTTTCTTTTTTTTTTTTTTTTGGAGATAGAGTCTCACTCTGTCACCCAGGCTGGAGTGCAGTGGTGTGATCTTGGCTCACTGCAACTTCCACCTCCTGGGTTCAAGCGATTCTCCTGCCTCAGTCTCCCTAGTAGCTGGGATTACAGGCGCCCACCACCATGCCCAGCTAATTTTTGTATTTTTAGTAGAGACGGGGTCTCACCATGTTGGCCAGGCTGGTCTTGAACTCCTGACCTTAGGTGATCCACCTACCTCAGCCTCTCAAAGTGCTGGGATTACAGGCGTGAGCCACAGCCCTGGACGGATGTATTTTCAATACATGTCTTTATAATGCATGTGAAAGCTAACGCATACATGGGAGACAATGAAGGGACCAATATGGTGGAAGTTTTCCATATTCCACTTGAAGTTGCAAAATATTCAATCTAGGTAGACTATAGAATGTTTAAGTGTGTTTACCATAATCCGTAGAGCAATCACTTAAAACTTGCAAAGATATATAGTGAAAATCACAATAAATAAATTAAAATGGAGTACTAAAATAGTATTTGAATAATCCAAAAGAAAGAAGGAAAAGGGAAAACAAGGAACAAAACACAGAAAAGTGGAAATAAAAAACAAATAATAGTAGACCTAAAGCAAAACATACCAATAATCATATTTAAGGCACATGATCTAAACACACAAGTTATAAAATATTTTCATAATGCACTTAAAAAAAAAATAGCCAGAGCCGGGCGCGTTGGCTCACACCTGTAATCCCAGCACTTTGGGAGGCCAAGGCAGGCAGATCACGAGGTCAGGAGACCATCGTGGCCAACAAGGTGAAACCCTGTCTCTACTAAAAATACAAAAATTAGCTGGGCGTGGTGGCGGATGCCTGCAATCCCAGCTACTAGGGAGGCTGAGGCAGGAGAATCGCTTGAACCAGGGAGTCAGAGGTTGCAGTGAGCCGAGATCGCACCACTGCACTCCAGCCTGGCGACAGAGGGAGACTCCATCTCAAAAAAAAAAAATAGCCAGGTTCAAAGGCTCATGCCTGTAATATCAGCACTTCGGGAAGCCGAGGTGGGTGGATCACTTGAGCCCAGGAGTTTGAGATCAGCCTGGAAAACATGGTGAAACTCCGTCTCTACTAAAAATACAAAGAAGTTAGCTGGGTGTGGTGGCACACGCCTATAGTCCCAGCTACTTGGGAGACTGAGGCAGGAGGATAACCTGAGCCCAGGAAGTCGAGGCTGCAGTGAGCCATCATCACATCACTGCACTCCAGCCTGGGTGACAGAGTGAGGCCCTGTCTCAAATAAATACATACATAAATAACTTGAGCCCAGGAGTTCAAGATCAGCCTGGGCAACATAGTGAGACCCCATCTCTGCAAAAAATTTCAAAATTAACCTGGCATGGTGGCTTGCACCTGTAGCCCCAGCTACTCAGAAGTTTGGGGCAGGAGGTTGTTTGAGCCCAGGAGGTCAAGGCTGCAGTGAGCCGTGTTCACACCACTACACTCCAGACTAGCAACAGAACAAAACCTTGTCTTAAAAAAAATAGAAGTAGGCCAGGCGCGGTGGCTCACTCCTGCAATCCCAGCATTTTGGGAGGCCAAGATGGGCTGATCACCTGAGGTCAGGAGTTCGAGACCAGCCTCACTAACATGGTGAAACCCAGTCTCTACTAAGCATACAAAAATTAGCCAGGCATAGTGGCAGGTGCCTGTAATCCCAGCTACTTGGGAGGCTGAGGCAGGAGAATCACTTGAATGCAGGAGGCGGAGGTTGCAGTGAGCCGAGATCACGCCATTGCACTCCAGCCTGAACAACAGAGTGAGACTCTGTCTCAAAAAATAAAAAAATTAAAAACTTAAAAAATAGAAGTAGGCCGGGCGTAATGCCTGTAATCCTAGAACTTTAGGAGGCCAAGGCAGGCGGATCACTTAAGGTCAGGCGTTCGAGACCAGCCTAGTCAACATGGCAGAACCCCGTCTCTACTAAAAATACAAAAAATTAGCCAGGCATGGTGGTGCGCACCTGTAGTCCCAGCTACTCAGGTGGCTGAGGCAGGAGAATCACTTGAACCCAGGAGGCGGAGGTTGCAGTGAGCCAAGATCACATCACCACACTCCAGCCTGGAAGACAGAGCAAGAAGAAAGAAGGAAAAGAAAGAAGAGAAGGAAAAGGAAGAAAAGAGGGAAGGGAAGGGAAAGGGAAAGGGAAAGGGGAAGGGGAAGGGAAGGGGAAAGGGAAAGGGAGGGGAGGGGAAGGGAAGGGGGAAAGAATGAAGGAAAGAAAGGAAAGGAAAGGAAGGAAGAAAAGAAATGATTGTTTGCTTGGTGTTGGAGGGGCTTGAGGGGGTGGGGAAAAAGGGGGGAACCCACACATTTGATCAAAGAACTCTTCTGTGTTGACTGTTGTGGTATGAGAGCAGAGAAAATGCATTGTGTTTTTCCTGAAACACAAGACTCCGAGGCCTACATCACTCTTGCCCCAAGTAGTGCTTTTCTCTCAAGATGCTCAGGAGGAATCTTTAAACAAAGATGATCAAGGAAATGAGGCTTATTTATAGGTCTGTTTTGAAGGTGGAACCAGGGATTCCTCAATTGGCCAATCACTTGAGAGAGTAGAAGGAGCTGTCACCCCATCAAACCAATCAGAAGCCAGGTGTTGGTTCCCACCCTATGACATACCACCTCCAATTGGCCAGTAGAAGTAGAGAGACAGGCTAGGAGGCGGGGCCTGCCTGGCCGCCATGGTAATCCCCTGTGGTTGGTGATCAAGGAAGAGCATAGTGCCAGACCTAGGTGCCCTCCTGGGAATGTTCCAGGAGGGCAGGAGTAGGAGGAGGAGTGTTAGAGTAGAGGGGAAATGATGAGAGCAGAAAGGGTATCATAAAGGAACCTCAGGGGTGATATAAGTGGACACAGACATATGTCACAAGGGCACGGGTTTAGAACAGGAAGGCTGTTGTACGTGGTTGGAGAGGGAGTTCAAAGAGTCAGAAAGCTGGTTTCAGAAGTTGAGAGGTGTTAGAGGGAGACAGGGCAGGACTTTGTAAGGTGACAAAGAAGTAGAGACTGAAACCCTGTCTCTACTACAAATACAAAAATTAGCCGGGCGTGGTGGCGGGCGCCTATAGTCCCAGCAAGAGGAGTGAATAGGTGGTCAAATAAGGTCTTAGAGGAGCTAAAGGGGCAGGGAGCTTATGGGCGAACAGGAAAGGTTTACAGCAGGACCCCGCAGGATTCATAGGGACGAAGTAAAGGATATTATAAAAGGAACAGTGAGAGAGCTAACAGAAGTTTTACTTTGGGGGGCAGAGGTGGGAGGATCACCTGAGCCCAGGAATTCAAGACCAGCATGGGCAACATTGTAGCAAAACCCCATCTCTACCAAAAGAAAAAAATTTTTTTTTTTTTTTTTTTTTTTTGAGAGAGTCTCGCTGTGTCACCCAGGCTGGAGTGCAGTGGCAGGATCTTGGCTCACTTCAACCTCCACCTCCCGAGTTCTGCCTCAGCCTCCCAAGTAGCTGGGATTACAGGTGCGTGCCACCACGCCCGGCTAATTTTTGTATTTTTAGTAGAGACGGGGTTTCACTATGTTAGCCAAGGTGGCCTCAAACTCCTGACCTCAGGTGATCCGCCCACCTCGGCCTCCCAAAGTATTGGGATTACAGGCGTCAGCCACCACACCCAGCAAAACAAAAACAAAACAAAACAAAATTTTAGTTAGCTGGGCCTGGTGGTGTGCACCTGTAGTCCCAGCCACTCAGGAAGCTGAGGCAGGAGGATCACTTGAGCCCAGGAGTTTGAGGCTGCACTGAGCTATGATTGTGCCTTTGCACTCCTACAGCCTGGGAGAGAAGACCCTGTCTCTGAAAAAAAAAAAAAAAAAAAAAAAAAAACAGAAGACAAAGAAGTTTTACAGGGTGAGAGTTTTATAAGGGAACAGTGAATTTATAATGAAGGTTTTATACCCAAACACAGGTCCAGTCACTCCACGCTTGCAGAGTCCAATTAACAAGAGCAAGTTCTGGTAGAAAGAAGGTGACTTTATTCCAGAGCTCAGGTGAGGGGAAGAGGTACAGGTTCCTGCCTTAAGGGTATTGCTTCAGCTTTCAGGACAGAAAGCAGGGACTTTTAAAGGGGGGCTTGATGTGAATGACATAAAGGTGGGGGGCAAGGAGGTGTGGGGTCTATGTGACATGCTTTGATGTCTTATCTATCAGGTGTTCTAGCTGTCACCATCGTGAGAAGAGAAATTGACCATTGTCTCAAGGCAATCTGATGGGAGAGAATTCTGGGGGTGCCTGATTTGTTTCAAGGTTCAGTCCCTGGAACTTCTAAGTAAACATATTGTTAGATAAGCTTGCCATGTAGGGAGGTTACAGTTGCATTCCTAAAGAGTTAAGTAGGAGATGGGGGGAAAAGAAAAAGGAAAAAAATCCTTTTTTTTCTTTAAAAATGGGGTACTCTGGCCAGGCACAGTGGCTCAAACCTGTAATCCCAGCACTTTGGGAAGCTGAGGCAGGCAGATCACAAGGTCGGAAGTTCAAGACCAGCCTGGCCAACACAGTGAAACCCCGTCTCTACTAAAAATACAAAAATTAGCCGGGCGTGGTGGCAGGTGCCTGTAGTCCCAGCTACTTGGGAGGCTGAGGCAGGAGAATCGCTTCAACCCACAAGGCGGAGGTTGCAGCTGAGCTCACGCCACTGCACTCCAGCCTGGGCGACACAGCAAGACTTTGTCTCAAAAAAAAAAAATGTGGTACTCAATTACAGTTTCCCACTGTCAAATTCCATTCCATTTCTATGGGATTTGGATGCCACATTCATGCTGGCTACTTCCTGCTGAAAGAGGGCATTGTGATTAGTCATCAGAATGGAACCGATCCACTTGGAGTTGGAAATATTTATGAGTAGTTGGACCAATATGGTGTAAGGTCTGGAAAGTCTCTGGGGAAGTCTGTCTTGCATTCCCATATAGAAGGTGAAACAGCAGAAAAATCCACAGCAGAGAAGTATGTCTATCATTGCAACTAGGGCCAAAGTTGTAAATAGCTTCTTTCCAGGTGAGAACAGTCCTCACCTGCAACAGGATGCCAACCATTGACCTGGTGATAATGTGGGGTCAGACATAGCTTTGATTTTTAGGTGCATGTCTCTCAGGGCTATTGAGACATTTACTGAATTATCTGAGATGTGTACACAGCATTTAGTCTTAATTGTCAGGCACATTCCCAGCTGTCAATTGTACCTGGAGCTCCTGTGGAGATATGATGACAGGGTGGTTAAACACATATATTTAACAGGTTACAAGAGGAGCTATGGGCCGGGCGTGGTGGCTCACGCCTGTAATCCCAGCACTTTGGGAGGCCGAGGTGGGAGGATCACTCAAGGCCAGGAGTTCAAGACTAGCCTGGCCAACTACCAGACCGATGAACTCAGTCTCTACTAAAAATACAAAAATTAGCGGGCATAGTGGTGCACACCTGTAATCCCGGCTCCTCAAGTGGCTGAGGCATAAGAATTGCCTGAGCCCAGGAGGCAGAGGCTGCAGTGAGGCGAGATCGTGCCACTGCCCTCCAGCCTGGGTGACATAGTGAGACTTTGTCTCAAAAATAAAAAATAAGTAAATAAGAAAGGGCTGGGTGTGGTGGCTCATGCCTGTAATCCCAGCACTTTGGGAGGCCAAGGCAGGTGGGTCACCTGAGGTCAGGAGTTCAAGACCAGCCTGGCCAACATGGTGAAACCCCAACTCTACTAAAAATACAAAAATTAGCTGGGCATGGTAGCACATGCCTGTAATCCCAACTACTCAGGAGGCTGAGGCACGAGAACTGCTTGAACCCAGGAGGCAGAGGTTGCAGTGAGCTGAGATCACACCATTGTACTCCAGCCTGGAGAAAAGACTGAGACTCTGTCTCAGTAAATAAATAAGAGCGATACAGAGGCCAGGCATGGTGGTTCACACCTATAATCCTAGCACTTTGAAAGATCAAGGCAGAAGGATCATTTAAGGCCAGGAGTTCACGACAAGCCTGGGCAACATAATGAGATTCCATCTCTACAACAACAACAAAAATCAAAAATTAGCTGGGTGTGGTGGTTTGTACCAGCTACGTGGGAGGCTGAGGCAGGAGGATTGCTTGAGCCCAGGAGTTCGAGGCTGCAGTGAACTGTGATCATGCCAGTGCACTTCAGCCTGAGTGAGAGAGCAAGACCTTGTCTCAAAAAATAAAAGGGATTTGCCGGGCGCGGTGGCTCACGCCTGTAATCCCAGCACTTTGGGAGGCTGAGACAGGTGGATCACGAGGTCAGGAGATTGAGACCATCCTGGCTAACACGGTGAAACCCCGTCTCTACTAAAAATACAAAAAATTAGCCAGGCGTGGTAGCGGGCGCCTGTAGTCCCAGCTACTCGGGAGGCTGAGGCAGGAGAATGGCATGAACCTGGGAGGCAGAGCTTGCAGTGAGCCAAGATCGCACCACTGCACTCTAGCCTGGATGACAGAGCGAGATTCCGTCTCAAAAAAATAAATAAATAAAATAAAAAATAAAAAAAAGGGATAGAGAGAGGTTAGAGGAGACATGGTGGGGGTTAGAGAAAGTCAATGAGAATTTTAAATGGGGTCAATGAAGATCATATAGCTGCCAAGGAGAGATGTGTTAGGGTAAGTAGGGAGAGAGTGAGAAAGGATTGTTAGAGTTCAGAAGCCATAGTGAGACATAACCAACTCTCTGCCCCCCAGGTGTTTGAACTGATGTCTGATGAGGATGAATCCAGCGACTACCTCTGCCTGTCCATCCTGGGCCTCTTCTGTTGCCTTCCCCTAGCCATCCCAGCCGTGATCTTTTCTTGCCTGGTGGGCACCTGCATCATGCCAATCCTTCACCCTCCCTCTCCATCTTGCCCCTGACCCTGACTCAACTTCTTCCTTGTTCTCCCTTCTGAACTAGGAGCCTGAGCAACACCAGCACCTCCTGTGGGTTCAGACCCCCACCCTGAGTCCTTACAGTTCCACAGCCCACCCTCACCCAACAACTGTTTTTTTTTTTTTTGAAACAGAGTCTCGCTCTGTCACCCAAGCTGGAGTGCAGTGGTGAGATCTCAGCTCACCGCAACCTCCATCTCGCAGGTTCAAACAATTATCCTGCCTCAGCTTCCTGAGTAGCTGGGATTAGAGGCGCCCACCAACACGCCTGGCTAATTTTCGTATTTTTGGTGGAGCTGGGTTTCACCATGTTGGCCAGGCTGGTCTTGAACACCTGACCTCAGGTGATCTGCCCACCTCAGCTTCCCAAAGTGCTGGGATTACAGGCATGAGCCACCATGCCCGGCCACGCAATAACTCTTTTATACTCATCTTTCCCTGTTCCCTCTCTCCTAAAACTCAGACAAAGTTTGTATTGTAGACAAAGAACTACAATAAATCCAGTGACTATGAGCTGGCAGCCAAGACCTCCAAACAAGCCTACTACTGGGCCATCGCGAGCATCACTGTGGGAATCTTAGGTACCATCTTGTACACCTACCTGATATACTTACTTAGATTGTAAACTGCTTCCCAGCTCTTGAACAAACCACCAAATATACACCACAGTGCAATTTACCTTGGCTCTAAGCATCTACTTGGGCTGAATGGAACACCTGCTCCTCAATGTCTGGAGTGCCAAGCTATCTAAGATTAGAAAAACAAAATGCAAAGTGTTCTTCCTATTCTTACATGCCCCTCAAAGTAACACTTCTTTTTTTTTTTTTTTTTTTGACAGAGTCTTCCTCTGTCCAGGCTGGAGTGCAGTGCCACGATGTCGGCTCACTGCAACCTCTGCCCCCAAGGTTTAAGTGATTCTTCTGCCTCAGCCTCCTGAGTAGCTGGGATTACAGGTGCGTACCACCATGCCCAGCTAATTTTGTATTTTTAGTAGAGACGGGGTTTCACCGTGTTGGCCAGGCTGGTCTCAAACTCCTGACCTCAGGTGATCCACTCACCTTAGCTTCCCAAAGTGCTGGGATTACAGGTGTGAGCCACCATACCAGGCCTCAGCATAACACTTCTAACACCAAATGTTAGAGCCAGGGGCAGGGGTATTTTCCCCACCTACCAACCAACCAGATTCTCCAGCAGACACCAACTGGGTGTCCTGTAATTTAATTCAATTCTGACACTATCTACCTGGAGATGGCATCAGATCCCACAGGTTGAAGGCTCAGTTCCACAAGACTGCCCCCAAATTTGGATGTCAGCCACAAGTGGTAAGTTGTCACCTAGACTTGTGACTGACAAGCTATAAATCAGGTGTTCCCATGACCCCCCTCCTCAAGCCTGATTAATTTGTTCCAGCTGGCCAGGTGCAGTAGCTCAGGCCTGTAATCCCAGCACTTTGGGCGGCTGAGGCAGGAAGATCGCTTGAAGCCAGGAGTTTGAGACCAGCCTGGCCAACATGGCAAAACCCCGTCTCTACTAAAAATACAAAAATTAGACAGGTGTGATGGCATACGCCTATAATCCCAGCTACTCAGGAGGCTGAGGCAGGAGAATCGCTTGAACCCAGGAGGTGGAGGTTGCAGAGAGCTGAGATCATGCCACTGCACTCCAGCCTGGGCAACACAGCGAGACTCCGTCAAAAAAAAAAAAAACAAAACACTATTATCACTCCAGCGATTCCAAGGGTTTTAGGAGCTCTGGGCCACAAAATGGGACCTAGACCAAATATATATGTCACAGTATCACACAAGTGTTGCCAGCCTGGGTCAGCAGCTTGAAGGGAAGGAAGTGGTAGTGCCAGCAGCCCACTCGACCAGAACTCAAGACCAACTCCAGGACCCTGCTATGGCGTGGGGGACATGGGAGAGAGAGGAGGACCCCGTTGCTCGAGGACAGCCTGCCCAGATTCATGTATTCACATCGCAAGTCTAGTTCTGCCTACCAAGGGCGTTGGCTGTGCTACCTGACTCTGGAGACGTAGCAATGACTACTTCAAATTCAACTCAACCCCCTCAGAACATATAAATTGGGGTGAGAGACAGACATGCCACCAGACAGTGACAATCGGAGTGGTCCAATATATAATGGAAGAAAACTTGGGAAGGGTTACTAAAGAAACACTTGTTTAATGACACTCGTTACAGACAGTAAGGCGGGCCAGGCACAGTGGCTCATGCCTGTAATCTCAGCACTTTGGGAGGCCGAGGCGGGCGGATCACTTGAGCTTGGGAGTTCAAGACCAGCCTGGCCAACATGGTGAAACCTTGTCTCTACTAAAAATACAAAATTAGCCAGGCGTGGTGGTGTGCACCTGTAATCCCAGCTACTCAGGAGGCTGAGGCATGAGAATTGCTTGAACCTGGGAGGCAGAGGTTGCAGTGGTTCGAGATTGTGCCACTGCACTCCAACCTGTGGGACAGAGCAAAACTGACTCCATCTCAAAAAGAAAAAGACAGTAAGGCAGACTTTATTCAGGACCATTGCAATATGCAGAGGGAATACTGAGACAGGGGCCTGCACTGGAGGAGAAAGATGGGGCTCAACACTAAATACAGCATGAGCAAGTGGGAAGTCCTACCCAAGGAGCAGGGTAGGGGTCAGTGGATGGAAAATTAGTAAGAGAAAACATTGAGGGTAAGGGGGATTCTGACTAAACCAACCTAATAGGATTCTAGTTGAAGACAGGCCAGGGTGACCAGACATCACCAGGGGGATGGTGGAGGATGAGGAACCTGATCAGATGCCGAGGTGTATCAGATACAGAGGATGAGGGTTTCTAGCTAAACTGACGTAGAAGGGTTCTTTTGCTACAACTGGATTTTACAAAGAAGTGCACAGAAGGAGAAGGTTCAGATGCTTTTTTTTTTTTTTTTGAGATGGAGTCTCACTCTGTCACCCAGGCTGGAATGCAGTGGTGCAATCTTGGCTCACTACAGCTTCCGCCTCCCGTATTCAAGCCATTTTCCTGCCTCAGCCTCCTGAGTAGCTAGGATTACAGGTGCTCACCACCTCAACCAGCTAATTTTTTATAGTTTTAATAGAGATGGGGTTTCACCATGTTGGTGAGGCTGGTCTTGAACTCCTGACTTCGTGATATGCCCGCCTCGGCCTCTCAAAGTGCTGGAATTATAGGCGTGAGCCACCGTGCCCAGCCTTTCTTTTTTTTTTTTTTTTTTTTTTCTTTTCTTTTCTTTTTTTTTTTTTTTTGAGACGGGGTCTCGCTCTCTCACTCAGGCTGGAGTACAGTGGCATGATCTCGGCTCACTGCAACCTCTGCCTCCCAGGTTCAAGTGATTCTCCTGCCTCCACCTCCTGAGTAGCTGGGATTACATGCGCCTGCCGCCACGCCTGGCTAATTTTTTTATTTTTAGTAGAGATGGGATTTCATCATGTTGGCCAGGCTGGTCTTAAAACTCCTGACCCCAGGTGATCCACCTGCCTTGGCCTCCCAAAGTGTAGGAATTACAGGCGTGAGCCACCGCGCCTGGCCGCCCGGCTAATTTTTATATTTTTAGTAGAGCTGGGGTTCTCCATGTTGGCCAGGCTGGTCTCAAACTCCTGAGATCAGGTGATCCACCTGCCTCAGCCTCCCAAAGTCCTGGGATTACAGGCATGAGCCACTGGGCCCGGCCCAGGTTCAGAAGCCTGACTAAAGTTTGGCCAAGCAAAGAATCCTTGTCAGGAGGCTGTAAATAAGAGACCTGTGAGAAATAAAAATTGTCAGGTGTCTGAGCCCAAGCCTGCATGTATACATCCAGATGGCCTGAGGCAACTGAAGAACCACAAAAACAAGTGAAAATGGCCAGCTCCTGCCTTAACTGATGACATTACCTTGTGACATTCCTTCTCCTGGACAATAAGTCTCCGGAGCTCCCCACCGAGCACCTTGTGACCCCCGCCCCTGCCTGCAAGAGAACAACCCCCTTTAACTGTAATTTTCCACTACCTACCCAAATCCTATAAAACTGCCTCACTCCTATCTCCCTTTGCTGACTCCTTTTTCGGACTCAGTCCGCCTGCACCCAGGTGATTAAAAAGCTTTTACTGCTCACACAAAGCCTGTTTGATGGTCTCTTCACACGGACGCACGTGACAAAAATAAAATCCTAAGTCCGCCAACTGGCTGAATGAACACTGTCTTGGCCAAGGGGCCTACAGAGAAACACTAAAAGCTGAGTTCCTAGCCGTGACTGAACGGGTGGTCGGGCACACCTCATTCTACCTCCTCCCTTGCTGACTGCCATGAAGCTTTCTTCCCTAAGGGTTAAACAGAAACCAGCCCTATTGAAAGACTCATTCACTGCTAATTTCAACCAATGGCCTGAAATACATGGCTGCTCCTCCCTTTTGTGGTTTCAACATAACAACTGACCAGCATTCCTTCCTGATCAGAGGCCACCTAACCACGGGGTGTGGCTCTGGCCAGTCTACAGAGGCTGCACACAAAGGGCCTTTGTGTCCTCTGCATCACCTTTTGATGTATAGGGCCTAATTGTAATACATTTAAGTGTTAAGTCTCCACTCCAAAGTGAACATGGGGCCTGGCACGGTGGCTCACGCCTGTAATCCCAGCACTTTGGGAGGCCAAGGTGGGCGGATCACCTGAGGTCAGGAGTTTGAGACCAGCCTGGCCAACATGGTGAAACCCTGTCTCTACTAAAAATAAAAAAATTAGCCAGGCATGGTGATGGGTGCCTGTAATCCCAGCTACTCATGAGGCTGAGGCAGGAGAATTGCTTGAACCCTGGGAAAGAGAGGTTGCAGTGAGCTGAGATCGCACCACTACACTACAGCCTGGGTGACAGAGTAAGACTCCATCTCAAAAAAAAAAAAAAAAAAAAAAAAAAGTGAATATGGGATGTTACTACACATGTGCTGTACCTTCCCTTCATGAATATTCATAGCTCCTCCTATAACCTGTTGAATATGTATACTGAGCCAAGCCATTCAGCGTTAACTCTGACCTTATCCTTCCCTTACTGGAGGTGCCTGCTCTCAGCTTCTACCGGAGGCTACACTTCTCGGCCTGTGAGATGGCCCGGCTGCAGGCTGCAACTCTTTATGAGAAATAAAGCTCTCCTTTCCAAATTTGTAAACCTGTATTAGTCTGTTCTCACGCTGCTGAAAAGAACTGCCCAAGACTGGGTAATTTATAAAGGAAAGAGGTTTAATTGACTCACAGTTCCGCAGGGTTGGGGAGGCCTCAGGGAACTTAAAATCATGGTGGAAAAGAAAGCAAAAACGTCCTTCCTCAGATGGCAGCAGGAAGGAGAAGTGCCAAGCAAAGAGGGAAAAGCCCCTTATAAAACCATCAGATCTCGTGAGAACTCACTATCTCAAGAACAGCAGCATGGGGGTAACCACCCCCATGATTCGATTACCTCCCACTAGGTCCCTCCCACAACACATGGGGATTTGGGGAACTACAATTCAAGATGAGATTTGGGTGGGGACAGCCAAACCATATCAAAACCTCATGATTCTTCAGTTGACATCTAATCTGAGCTACCATGGTCTATCAAAAAACCACAGCTCTTGAGGGGATCTCAATGGCTGTTAACAAACTGGTTAGAGTTCTGGTCAGGTTCTGATTGTAGAGAGCCTCTGTAACAGATATGGATTGCCTCCTTCCCCCCACCCTCCTTGTTATTTTTATTTCATTTTATTAAATTTTTTTTTGAGACAGGGTCACACTATGTCACCCAGACTGGAATGCAGTGGCACAATCTCAGCTCACTGCAACTTCTGGCTCCCAGGTTCAAGTGATTCTCATGCCTCAGCCTCCTGAGTAGCTAGGACTACAGGTGCATGCCACCATGCCCAGCAAATTTTTATATTTTTTGTAGAGACAGGGTTTTGCCATGCTGCCCAGACTGGTCTCAAACTCCTGAGCTCAACCAATCTGTCTGCCTTGGCCTCCCAAAGTGCTGGGATTATAGGCGTGAGCCACTGTTCCCAGCCATGATTTTTATTTAACAAATACTCATTATTTAACAAATACTTTCTGAGCACCTACTGTGTCCCAGGCATTGTCTTGGGAACGAGGAACACAACGGAGCAAGAGAAGTAAGGCCAACTTCTTCTCTGATGGAGCTTACATTCTAGTGGGAAAGAAAACTATAAACAAGTATACCCAAAAATAAACAAGATAATTACAGGGAATGGTAAATGCTATAGAGAAAAATAAAACAGAATAAGAAGCTAAAGTGGTGCCAGGACTGGTCCAGCAACTATTATGGTGTTGGGAGCAAGCCCCCCAAAATATGGCCATAAACTGACCCCAAGACTGGCCACAAACAAAATCTCCACAGCACTGTGACATGTTCATAATGGCCCTAACGCCCAAGCTGGAAGGTTGTGGGTTTACGGGAATGAGGGCAAGGAACACCTGGCCCGCCCAGAGTGGAAAACCACTTAAAGGCATTCTTAAGCCACAAACAATAGCATGAGCGATGTGTGTCTTAAGGACGTGTTCCTGCTGCAGTTAACTAGCCCAACCTATTCCTTTAATTCGGCCCATCCCTTCGTTTCCCATAAGGGATACTTTTAATTTAATATCTATAGAAACAATGCTAATGACTGGTTTGCTGTTACTAAATATGTGGGTAAATCTCTGTTCGGGGCTCTCAGCTCTGAAGGCTGTGAGACCCCTGATTTCCCACTTCACACCTCTATATTTCTGTGTGTGTGTGTTTAATTCCTCTAGCACCAGTGGGTTAGGGTCTCCCCAACCGAGCTGGTGTCTGCAATGGTGTGCCACCAGATAAGTACGGAAATTGCCAGCAAGTGTTTAGAAACACAGCAATTTGACATATCCATGACATCCAAGTATAGGATCAATGGATTTTCTTGTTGAACAGGGTAGAGACCAAAAGGATTGGTCCATGACAGGTTGGAAACATCAAACAAATGATCCTTCTCCATAGTTACAAGTAGTTTGAGATACACTGAGCTAGTGGGCAATGATGTCTACAAGGTATATTATTTAGAGTCATGCTAGCTGCTATAACAAATAAACCCCACCATTTCAGTAGCTCACAAAATAAAAGTTCTTTTTTTTTTTTTTTTTGAGACGGAGTTTCACTTTTGTTGCCCAGGCTGGAGTGCAATGGCACGATCTCAGCTCACAACAACCTCTGCCCCCTGGGTTCAAGCGATTCTCCTGCCCCAGCCTCCCAAGTAGCTGAGATTACAGGCATGCACCACCACACCCGGCTGATTTTTTTGTATTTTTAGTAGAGACGGGGTTTCTCCATGTTGGTCAGGCTAGTCTCAAACTCCTAACCTCAGGTGATCCACCTGCCTCAGCCTCCCAAAGTGCTGGGATTACAGGCATGAGCCATCACGCCCAGCCAGAAGCTCATTTCTTACTGTTCCTTTGAGCACATTCCAGCATCAGGGTCTTTCCACTTGCTGTTCCCACTTTGGGAACTCCATTTTCACAGTTTTCAAGTAGCTCTCACACTTTGGCTCTCACGTCTCAGCTCAAAGAACATCTTAGAAAGGCCTTCTGTGGCAGAGCCAGCAGGATGTTTATTGACTGCCTAGACCAGGACTACATTTCCCAGAGGCCCTTGCAGCTAGTTGAAGCCATAAGACAAGTTATGTTCAATGGACTGAGAGCAGAAGTGATGTATGTCACTTTAGGGTGAAGACTTTCAAGAAGCAGGTGCGAGTTCCTTATTCTCTCTTCTGCCTGGATTCAAAAGACTCTGAGCCCATAGAAGATGGTTGAATCACCTTATGGAAGAAGCCTGGATCCCTGAATTACTATGTGGATCAGGAGAAATGTCTGATGGGATGTTCTATGAGTAAGAAATGAGAAGACTCTTCTCAAACGTGGAAGGAGCTGCTGAAACCAAAATCACAAGTCCTAGAGAAGCTTCTTATTATCTCTCAGATGGTGGATGGGTTCCAAAAAGCATCCTGAAATTATCCAGAAAAACAGAAAAGAGATTTCAGATAAAGCAAAGGGAGAGAGATGCTGACAGAAGAAGACCAAGAGGCCACAGGGGCTCTGCTCCTTCAGGATCTAAGAAAGCAGGAAGGCACCAGTACCTCCCACCAAGGCCAACAGAACAGATACCATGAGAAAGGAACCAAGAAAAGGACAAATGGTGACATGTCTCCAAAACAAGGAGACATTGAGCATAAGAAGCAGAAAGTGAGGCCAGGTGCAGTGGCTCACACCTGTAATCCCAGCACTTTGGGAGGCTGAGGCAAGTGGATCACTTGAGGTCAGGAGTTTGAGACCAGCCTGGCCAACATGGTGAAACCCCGTCTCTACTAAAAATACAAAAATTAGCCGGGTATGATGGTGCATGCCTGTAATCCTAGCTACTTGGGAGGCTGAGGCAGAGAATTGCTTGAACCCAAGAGGTAGAGGTTGCAGTGAGCCGAGATTGTGCCACTGCACTCCAGCCTGGGCGACAGAGGGAGACTCTGTCACAAAAAAAATAAATAAATAAAAGCAGAAAGTGGCCAGGTATAATGGCTCATGCCTGTAATCTCAGTGCTTTGGGAGGCCAAGGTGAGAGGACTGCTTGAGGCCAGGAGTTTGAGACCAGCCTGGGCCACATAGCGAGACCCCGTCTCTACAAAAAATTAAAACTGAAAAAAATCTAGCTGGGAGAATTGGCTCAAGTCCCAGCTACTAAGGAGGCTGAGGCAGGAGGATCACTTAAGCCCAGGAGTTCCAGCATGTGATGAGCCGTGATCGGGCCATGGCTCCAGCCTGGGCAACAGAGTGAGGTCCCATCTCACAAACAAACAAACAAACAAACGAGAAAGCCCAGGTAGCAATGAGAATGAGACTTGCCCAGACAGGCACCCCGGGTGACTGCTCCTGGGGGTGCAGGCCATCCATTGTCCTTTGGTGGTGTCTCAGTCCAAAGGCAATTGTGACCAAATCACAGGGACAGATCAAGTCTTCTCAAAGCAGAGACTGGTGAAACTTTCCAAATCATGGCGGTAGGGCACGCCTTGCATGTTACTGAGAACTTCCTCCTCTCTCTTGACTTTGCAGTCTGAGACCCGGTCATATCTACATGTGTGTTTGGGGCAGGATGGGCAGAGACATAGCAGGAAAGGAAGTCACAGGGGTGTGTCCTACCCCAGCCAGGAAGCAGGCAGCAGGGACCGCTGTGGGGCATGCCTGGAGGTTCTTCACCATCTGCTGAGCACCAGCATAACAATGGGACATTGGGACTGTCCACCTGCACTGTGCTGTTACCACTAACCAGACAACTGGCTTTCGTGGGATTCACCCTGGGTCCCTGGGGCAGAAAGCACCCTAAGTGCTCAGGGCCTTCCTCTGAAGGGGTCACTTTTTCCTTCATTGTCTTGGGTGATGTAACAAGCTGTGCCAGACTGGAGGAAGTGAGACCAGGTGCCTGCAGTGAGCTACTGAGACGCAGGTGACAGTCACAGCAGTTGCATTATCAGGGAGTTTCCTATGGTCATCTGAACTTCGAGGGAGGTTTTCTGGGGCCGGGCATTCCTTCCTCATTCCCATTTACCTAAATTGGCCCATCCTTGTCTGGTAGGTCAGCACCCAGCAGAGGCTTCTCCCCATGCACAGCACTGTGAGGTTCAGGCACCTGGGCACAGTAACCACAGTGATTCCTGGAAGCTGGTGGGCATGCTATCCTGGGGCCATCTGAACTGGGAAAAGCTGTGTGAGTTCTTGGGGGCCAGCTTGTAGCCTTTTTGGCTGGGGCCAGGTTGAAGGTCTTCCTGGGAACCAGAGTCAAGAGCGGCCACTTACATTAAGCGGATAAAGCCCACGACTTTCTTGAGCTGCTTGACAGCTGTACCAAAAAGGCACAAACCCATTGAGGATATTATGAAACATGAATACAGATGATTATTTTATTTTGGTTTGGTTTTGTTTTGGCTTTGAGACAGGGTCACCCAGGCTGGAGTGCAGTGGTGCCATCATAGCTCACTGAAGCCTCAACCTCCCAGGCTCAACTGATCCTCCTGTTTCAACCCCCCAAGTAGATGGGACTACAAGCGTGCACCACCACGCCTGGCTAATTTTTTTTAATTTTTAATAGAGACAAGGTTTTGCTGTGGTGCCCAGGTGGGTCTCAAATTCCTAGCCTCAAACATTCCTCCCACCTCAACCGCCCGAAGTGCTGGGATTACAGGCATGAGCCACCACGCCCAGCCATTGCCTTATAATTTTTTACTGATGTCAGATATTGTTAATTTTACAGTGTTGGATGCTGGATTTTTTTTAATCTCTATAAATATTCTTGAATTTTGTTCTGGAATGCAGCTAAATAATAGCTTGATCCTTTCGGGCCTTGCTTTTAAGCATGGTTGGTTAGTCAGCATCAGAGAAGTATTTCATCTAGGGCAGGGGCAGGGGTCTCCAAACCCCAAGCCGTGAACCAATACAAGTCCATGGCCTGTTAGAAACCAGGCTGCACAGCAGGAGGTGAGTGGCGTATGGGTGAGCATCACTGCCTGAGCTCCACCTCCTGCCAGATCAGGAGCGGCATTAGATTCTTACAGGAGCGCAAACCCTATTGTGAACTGTGCATACGAAGGATCTAGATTGCGCACTCCTTATGAGAATCTAATGCTTAGGCGGGGCATGGTGGCTCACACCTGTAATGCTAGCACTTTGGGAGGCTGAGATGGGCTGATCACTTAAGGTCAGGAGTTCAAGACCAGCCTGGCCAACATGGTGAAACCCCGTCTCTACTAAAAATACAAAAATTAGCTGGGCATGGTAGCGGGCGCCTGTAATCCCAGCTACTCAGGAGGCTGAGGCAGTAGAATCGCTTGAACCCCGGAGGCAAAGATTGCGCTGAGCCGAGATCGGGCCACTGCACTCCAGCCTGGGTGAAAGAGGGAGACTTCACCTCAAAAAAAAAAACAGGGAAGAAAAAAAAAAAGAGAGAGAGAGACAGAGAATATAATGCCTCACGACCTGAAGTGGAACAGTTTCATCCCGAAACCATCCACTGCTCCCACCCTCCATCCCCCAGACTGTGGAAAAATTGTCTTCCATGAAACCAGTCCCTGATGCTCAAAAGGTTGGGGACTGCTGGTCTAGCGCAGACCTCTCACACCTGCTGTGTCCCAAATTGACCCACCCCTGCTGCTTATTTTTACCACCCCTACCTGGTGGTGCGTCTGTCTCCCCACTCAACTGTGAGCTCCGTACAATAGGGACCAGGGCTGTTGTGGTCACCATGGTGTCCCCAGCATCACCCAGCACAGGGTCAGCTCCCTGAGTTTATGGAATGGTAAGCACGAATGAATGGGAAAACGCATGCCAGGGAAATGTTAGGGTCATGCTCTCTGCCCCTACCCTCCACTCAGACATGAGACACCTGTTTCTGAAATCAAAGAGCAGTAAGTCCAGGATCTCATTGCCTGGTTCCAGTCCTCCTAGGACGCAAGTCCCATTTTGTCAAGAAAATAAAGGGGGTGAGCGTGGTGGCTCACGCCTGTAATCCCAACATTTTGGGAGGCCGAGGCGGGAGGATCGCTTGAGCCCAGGAGTTCAAGAGCCCAGAAGCTGAGACTAGCCTGGGCAACAAGTGAGATCCCATCTCTATTAAAATAAAAGTGTTTAGTTAAAAGAAGAAAAAGAAAATAAATGGAAGCATCAAGGACTGTTTTGCCTCTTTCGGGTTAGCTGGTAGTGAGCGGGAGAACGAGGGAAGGCGGGCGGGGCTGCAGTCTCTCCACGCCCTTTTCATTTCCACTCAAGGAGACCTACCTGGGAAGAGTGAGCGCTGCAAGACCCAGCCTGACCGCGCTAAGATTACTATGCAGCGCCCGAGCCCGCTGTCTGCCCGGCAACCGATGACGTCACTGTTGGCGCGCCCGTGACGTCAGAGGCGGGCGCCACACTTGAAGAGGCTGAGGGAGGCGGTGTCGCCGCCGCGGCGCTGTCATGGAGCTAGCGCAGGAAGCGCGGGAACTGGGTTGCTGGGCGGTCGAAGAGATGGGGGTGCCCGTGGCGGCCCGGGCCCCGGAATCGACGCTGCGCAGGTGAGGACCGCTCCTGGAGTGAGGACACCCCACCCTGGAGATTGAGTCTCCGGGAGTGAGAACTCCACCCCTCATTGAGGACTCGACTCCCCCCAATTCCCCATCGAGAGTGACCCGACTTACTGAGGGCTCCCTACCCTGGGAGGCTCCCCAGAGTGAGGTCCCTAGCACTGGTGAGGATCCTCCACGAGTTAGCTAAGACCTCGCTCCTTATGGAAATAGGATCTCCAGAGTGAGGCTGTCCCCGCAGCACCTCCCCTCCCTCCCTTAACCTAACCAAGAAGGACACTCAGGAGTTAGCCGTGGCCACCCCATCGGGGATTGAAGCTGTAGGAGTGATGCCCCACGTCTGGTCATGAGATGGCACTTCCTGGCAGTACATCCCCCACCTCCACCTCTGGATGTGACTGGGATAACCCACTCCCAGGAGAAAGGGAGCACCCGCCTCTCCCGCGCTCCCCCACCACCCGCCTTCCCAGGGAATGAGAATAACACCACACTTAGTGCAAACATCCAGTCCCTACAAAAAAAATGTTTTACCAATTAGCCGGGTGTAGTGGTGCCTGCCTGTAGTCCTAGCTACTCTGGAGGCTGAGGTGGGAGGATCGCATGAGCCCAGGAGGTTGAGGCTGCAAGGAGCTATGATCGTACCACTGCGACAGAGCGAGACTGTCTCTTAAAAAAAAAAAAAAAAAAAAGGCAAAAAAAAGTTTGGGCCTTCCCTCCTCAAGAAGTGAGAACTCCCTAGTAAAAACTCCCTACCACCATCACCCTAGGAATGAGGATCCCACACCCTGTGTGCTGCCCCAGGCATATGCTTACACACTGTCCCCACAGGCTGTGTCTGGGCCAGGGGGCTGACATCTGGGCCTACATCTTGCAGCATGTGCACAGTCAGAGGTAAGCTGGGCTAGAGCAGGGGAGGGGGCACAGGTGAGGCCCATAGTAACTCCTCTTTCTGCCTCTGCACTGTAGGACTGTCAAGAAGATCCGGGGAAACCTACTCTGGTAACTGCTTCTTAAAGCTATCCCCTCCTGTCTTCCCCACTCCCATTTAGCCCTGTCCCCACCACAGCATCACACCTATTGCCCTCCCCCCTAGAAGCCCCACTCATCCGCTGACTCTGGCCTCGTTTTCCTAGGTATGGCCACCAGGACAGTCCACAGGTGAGAAGCATATGCTACAAGATTCTCTTTCATCCGAAAAATGACTTGTAGATCTTCTGCTCTAAGCCCAACCAGGTGCTGGGTGATGCTGGGGACAATGGGTCACAAGACAGCCTTGATCTCCATCCTCATAGGGCTTAAAGTCCAGTGGAAACAGCATTAGCTCAGCCAGGTGCAGTGGCTCACACCTGTAATCCCAGCACTTTGGGAGGCTCACCTGAGGCCTCATCTCAGGTGATGAGATCACCTGAGGGCTCCAGGAAGCGATCAGTACTGGGACAAAGATGTGGTTTGGGAGGCGGATCACCTGAGGTCAGGAGTTCGAGACCAGCCTGGCCAACACGGTGAAGCCCTGTCTCTAATAAAAATAAAAAATTAGCCAGGCGTGGTGGCACACGCCTGTAATCCTAGCTACTTGGGAGGCTGAGGCAGGAGAATCGCTTGAACCTGGGAGGCAGAGGTTGCAGTGAGCTGAGATCGCACTACTGCACTCCAGCCTGGGCAATAGAGCGAGACTCTATCTCAAAAAAAGAAAAAATAAATAAAGAGCATTAATTAGCTGGGCGCAGAGAGGTGGGACCTGGATATGTGGCATCAAAGCTGGTGAGAAGAGATGATGGGACAGGTATGGGAGAGATGCTGAGGCCAGTGTGGGACCCAATGGGTGCAAGGGGCTCATATGACACCTAAGGGGAGGCTTCCAGGAGGCCTTGGGACTTCTAGGTGCAGGGCTCCGGGAAGAGATCAGTACTGGGACAAAGATGTGGTTGTCACCAGCACAGACAGGAAACAGGCTGGAAGTGTGGGTAAGACAATCCTAGGAGGAAGGAGGGAGGGAGCCAATACCCTAATGCTTCTGTGTCAGACACAGAAACTGCTGAGCAAAAACCCTCTGCCACCAGTTGAGGAGCCTGGTACCCCCAAAAGACAGGCCAGGCTGAGCCCCGATCAGACCATCTGACCCTGAATCTGATCCTCCCAGGTCCGTCGGAAGTTAGAGCTGGAAGCTGCTGTGACCCGCCTGCGGGCAGAAATCCAGGAACTCGACCAGAGCCTGGAGCTGATGGAGCGAGACACTGAGGCTCAGGGTGAGCCATGGGGCCAGAAGATGGGCACCAGAATGTGGGGCGGGAAAGGTGCTGATGGCCACCCCTGTTCCTCCCACAGACACGGCCATGGAGCAGGCACGTCAGCACACTCAAGACACCCAGCGTCGAGCTCTCCTCCTCCGGGCCCAAGCTGGGGCCATGCGAAGACAGCAGCATACGCTCCGAGATCCCATGCAGCGGCTGCAGAATCAACTGAGGCGCCTGCAGGACATGGAGAGGTGGGCCTCAGGGACCCACCCTCACCAGGCTGGGTGGCCAGACATTCTCTTAGAGACCTCAGGGCTCTGCCCTGATCCCTTCTTGGGTTCCAGAATTCTGGAACCATTAGGATGGAATGTCCATGAGGCCAGGAGGTTTTGTCATCTCAGTCACCTGTATTTTCAGTGCCTAGAATGATACCACCTGTATACCTAGAACACCAGCCCTGGGGAAACAGCCACAAACAGAGAACATGTCCCTGCCCTCCTGGAGCTTATGCTGTGACACAGAGAAGACAGATAGTAAAGTAGGAACCAAACAGACCCTATCATTTCTGGTAGAGATGAGTGCTGTGAAGAAAAGCCTATCATAGAAGGGAGAGGGAGATGCTGCCCTAGCGAGGGTGGTCAGCGAAGGCCTCTGAGGAGGGGACATTGAGTTGGAAGAGGAATTTCTGTGGAGAAGGAATAGCAAGAGCAGAGGTGGTGTGCTCAGCATGCAGGAAGAGCAGCCCGGAGGCCAATGTCAGCTCAAGTTTCTCAGGCAAGACCGAGAACCTGAGGAGGTGAGGTCGAAGGAGTGGACAGAGAACTGTGGATGATGTGTTGCGATTTTACCCTGACACTGGTTCATGCCCTGGCTTGGCCACTTAAAATTGGGTGACCTAAGGCTGGGCATGGTGGCTCACACCTGTAATCCCAGCACTTTGGGAGGCCGAGGCAGGCGGATTACTTGAGGTCAGGAGTTCGAAACCAGCCTGGCCAACATAGTGAAACCCCGTCCCTACTAAAAAATACAAAAATTAGTCGAGTGTGGTGGCACGTGCCTGTAGTCCCAGCTACTCAGGAAGCTGAGGCAGGAGAATCACTTGAACCCAGGAAAAGGAGGTTGCAGTGAGCCTGGATTGCACCACTGCACTCCAGCCTGGGTGACAAGAGCAAAACTCTGTTTAAAAAAAAAAAAATTGGGTGACCTTGGGCAAGGTATTTAACTTCTTTCTATGTGCCTCAGATTCTAAGATCTGTGGAATGGGGATAATATTAATACCAAGCTTATAGGGTAGGCATGATCGTTAGGTGGAATAAATCATGTGAAGTGCTTAGAGAAGTGCCTGTTAACCATTGTTATTCTGGGTTTGGTTTTTTTGTTTTGTTTTGTTTTGTTTTTTTGAGACAGAGTCTGGCTCTGTTGCCCAGGCTGGAGTGCAGTGGCATGATCTTGGCTCACTGCAACCTCTGCCTCTGGGGTTCAAGCGATTCTCCTGCCTCAGCCTCCCCAGTAGCTGGGATTATAGGCGCATGCCACTGTGCTCGACTAATTTTTGTATTTTTAGTAGAGACGGGGTTTCACCATGTTGTCCAGGCTGGCCTTGAACTCCTGACCTCAAGTGATCCACCTACCTCAGCCTCCCAAAGCGCTGGGGTACAGGCATGAGCCACCACGCTGGGCCCATTGTTATTCTGAATGCGCTGGGGAAACATCACATTATTTTGGACAGATCTGAGCAGGGACATGATCTTCCTACAGTTTTAACAGAATCACTGACTTCTGGGTGGCAAACAGTCTCGTGGAGCAAAAGCAGTGGGGAGGCTAATGCAATATTCCAGCTGGGAGGTGACAGTGGCCTAATCTGGAGATGGCTCCCGAGATCTAGGCTTAGTGATTCCTCTGACCGGCCTTGCTGGCAGTGAGAGGAGATGGGGCACAGACATCTGTTCTCCCAGGGACCCCAGCCCCAGCTGCACTTCTCCCTCCAGGAAAGCCAAAGTAGATGTGACCTTTGGATCCCTCACGTCGGCAGCTCTGGGCCTGGAGCCCGTGGTCCTGGTAAGAGTCCTGGTCATGGGAGAAGGGGCAGGGAGCCTGGAGTCAGGCAGATGCTAGGGTCCCCCTCAGGTCCCTTCCTCCTCTTCTCCCTAGCGTGATGTCCGAACAGCCTGCACCCTCCGGGCCCAGTTCCTGCAGAACCTCCTGCTTCCCCAGGCCAAGAGGGGCAGCCTCCCGTGAGTGTCCCTAGCCCCCAGAGACCCTGTAAAGACCCTGGGTTTTAAGTGGGGGTCTCTTATTTATTAATTCCTCAGACACTGAGCTTCTGGGCTACGTTCTGTAGAAGGGGACTTCCAGGCTGGGAATAGAAGGAGACAGTCTCTCATCACAAACAGTGACAGCCAGGTGGTCAGGGCTGTTGCGGGAGTGAGGAGGCCTGAGAGGCTCTGGGCACCCAGAGGCAGTGCCTTTCCCAGCTAAGAAGGCAGGGAGGGGAGAGGTTCTCTGGTGAGGAGGCTTAGCTGGGGTGAAGGGTCCAGAGAGTGTCCCAGATGAACAACCCATGTAAAGGCCCCAAAGCCAGCAGGTTGGTATAATTGGGGAACTCAAGTCTAACAGGCATAGGGAAGATGACAGCCCCTACCTTATAGGGTGGTGGTGATAACTAGAGGATAATTGACGTGTCTTGTAACGTTCTCTGTCCGCTTACCCAACCCCACAGAACCCCTCATGATGACCACTTTGGCACTTCGTACCAGCAGTGGCTGAGCTCAGTGGAGGTGAGAGGGCAGGGCTCTCAGGAAAGCCACACCCTCCCGCTCCTTGATCAAAACTTAGGGTGCCAGGACCTAACTCTTGATGACAGCCCTATTCCCATGGGGTCTCAGCTCACAGCCCTGCCCCGATCCTGCCCTGACTTCACCCTCCCTCCCCCTAGACGCTGCTGACAAACCACCCCCCAGGCCACGTCCTGGCTGCCTTGGAGCACCTGGCTGCAGAGCGGGAGGCAGAGATTCGGTCCCTGTGCAGTGGGGATGGGCTTGGCGACACAGAGATATCCAGGTGTGGGGCAGGGTATTCTCACAGTTGGGGAAGGCCATGTGAGTGGGTGAGCTGGGACAGCCTCAGGACCCCTGGCCCAGCCACCTGCTGATGGGGTAGAACTGAAACCCACTGCCTGGTGGGGTGGCAGGACTGATACTGTCCACCCTCGAGTACCAAGGCAAGGCCGCAGCACGGCTCCCTCAGCAGCTCTTCCCCCACCCCAGACCCCAGGCCCCGGACCAGTCAGACTCCAGCCAGACCCTGCCGTCCATGGTTCATCTCATCCAGGTGACCCCAGGGCTCGCCTCCCCACCACATTCCAAGACTTCCTTAATCCCCTCACCCATGGATCATGCCCTGGGTGTACCCTGATTCTGTACCCCGCTTGCAGGAGGGCTGGCGGACTGTGGGTGTGCTGGTCTCCCAGCGGAGCACCCTCCTGAAGGAGCGGCAAGTCTTGACCCAGCGCCTCCAGGGCCTGGTGGAGGAGGTGGAGAGACGCGTCCTGGGATCCAGTGAGAGGTGGGGGGCTCTCCGAGAAGAGGTCTCTAGGCCATCTCGCTTCTGAGTGTCTCAGCCCATTGGACTTTTTCAGCCTCTGTGGCTCCTATCTCTGCCTCCTCTCCCTGCAGTGTCTCTCCCTGGTTTATGGTCCCTTGTGTGGCTCAGTCACCCTTCTCTCCTTTGCTCTCCTCCACTTGCCCTGCAGGCAGGTGCTGATACTGGGGCTTCGGCGCTGTTGCCTGTGGACGGAGCTCAAGGCCCTGCACGATCAGAGCCAGGAGCTGCAGGATGCAGCTGGGCATCGGCAGCTCCTGCTGAGGGAGCTACAGGCCAAACAGCAGCGGATCCTGCACTGGCGCCAGCTGGTGGTGAGAGGCTAGGCCCAGGGCCTTGTGGAGGGCCAGAGGGGAGGCTTGAAAACTATGGCTAAGAACTGGGCCTGAGCCCTGTGTGGTAGCACATGCCTGTGGTTCCAGCACTTTGGGAGGCTGAGGTGGGAGGATCTGAGCCCAGGAGTTCAAGGCTGAAGTGAGGTATGATCACACCACTGCACTCCAGCCTGGGTGACAGAGCAAGATGCTATCACTTAAAAAAAAAGAATGCTGTCACTTAAAAATTAAGAACTGGGCCTCCTAGGCAAGAGCCCAGGTGAGACTCCCAGGCAGAAGCAGGACCTAAGCAGAGAGGCACACTGAGGCTGGGAGCTGGGAGGAGTGGGTCTCAGGGTATCCTGGTTCCTCAGGAGGAGACCCAGGAACAGGTCCGCCTGCTCATCAAGGGAAACTCGGCCAGCAAGACCCGCCTGTGCCGGAGCCCGGGGGAGGTGAGATGGGAGTTGGGGTGAGGTCTGGGTAGGGCTGGATCTGCCAGGATGGGGCTGGGTGGACTTGTGATGTTGTGATGCCCCACCCACCCCTCCCCTTCCCCACAGGTGCTAGCTCTGGTCCAGCGAAAGGTGGTCCCTACATTTGAGGCAGTGGCACCACAGAGCCGGGAGCTGCTGCGCTGTCTGGAGGAGGAAGTCCGGCATTTGCCCCACATTCTGTTGGGCACGCTGCTGCGGCACAGGCCGGGAGAGTGAGACTGGGGCTGCCCCACCCCTGCCCTGCATCCCCTGCCATGGGTGACTGTCACTCCCTGAACCTCCTCAAAAAAGATAACCCCAGACCCCCAGTGTTCCCAGGCTGCCAGACCTCACCCTTGGGTCAGCAGCCCTGGTCTTGGCATCCTAGTCCCCAGACCCACCTTGAAGTTCCTGGGCCCCCAGAGCCTCCAGAACCCAAGGCCTCCTCTCAGTCCCCACCCAACCCAGACTTCTCCCCGCCCGTAGGTTGAAGCCCCTGCCCACGGTCCTCCCATCCATCCACCAGCTGCACCCCGCGTCCCCAAGGGGCTCCAGCTTCATAGCGCTGAGCCACAAGCTGGGGCTGCCTCCAGGGAAGGTGAGTGCCCGTCTCCTGTGACTTGTCTCCCCAGCCCCGCCCCAGGTGACCGTCCTTCCCTCCTCCTCCAGGCCTCGGAGCTGCTCCTGCCGGCGGCTGCCTCTCTTCGCCAGGACCTTCTGCTCCTGCAGGACCAGCGGAGCCTCTGGTGCTGGGATCTACTCCACATGAAGACCAGCCTGCCGCCAGGCCTTCCCACCCAGGGTAGGTCTGCCCTGCCACCCCATCCAGCCTCCCCGCCCATTCCCACTACCAGCAGCCTCCACGAGTCCTTACCAGCAACCCCGTTGTTTACGCAGTGCCCATTGTGTGCTAAGGGCTTTAAACATTCTCCCTTGTTTCATCTGCACGGCAGTCCCATAAGGTAAGTGCTGCTGTTCTCTCCATTCTACAGAGAAGGGAACTGAGACGCAGAGGTTAGTAGGTTGCCCAAATGGCAAAGCTGGAATTTGAATCCAGGTGGTCTGAAATGGGTCTGTGCTCCCAACCACTAAGCTACACTGCCGTCGACTTTCCACGTGTTCATTCATCACCGTCACATAGTATACCTCAGCAGTTCAAAGCCTGGGAATCCTCTCTGCCGTCTCTTCCTAGCTGTGTGGCCTCCCCGTGCCTTAGCTTCCTCCTCAGTGGAGTAAGCATGAAGCAATATCTTACCGAGGTGCTGGGCAGATTGAGGCAGGGGACCCACACAGGGCACTGAACACTGCCTGCTATGCAGTAAGCACCCTGTGTCTCCAATGTGATTAGCATCATTGTCTGTGTACACACACAGTCTCTTGGAGTCATGACGATGAGGAAAGGGACTTTTAAGAACCCCAGTTTACAGATGAGGAAACTGAAGGTTAGAGAAGTCATTCATTCCTGGATTCACTCACCAAATACTGGGTGTCTACCAGGTGCCAGCCCAGATGGCTTGATGGGGAGTGAGGAGAAAGGTCCCCACCCCAGGGGTTTCCCCAGATGGAAGTAAAGAGTAAAGAATGAAAGGATAAATACATGGAAGAGGAGAATTGATGAGAAATGAACCGGCAGTGCCAGCAGCACTGGAGGAAGAGACTGTTCAAGCCTCTGAGTTTGGGGCTCCCTGCCCTCCACTTCTTCACAAGGGGAGGGAACAGTGTGCAGGAGCAATGAGAGCAGCCCCAGACCCCACACGGCCTCTGCCCACCTCAGCCTCTGCCTACCACGCCCTCTGCCCACCTCATGTGTTTTTTGTTTTTGCTTTTGTTTTTTTGAGACAAGGTCTCATTCTGTCACTCAGGCTGGAGTGCAGTGGTGCCATCCTGGCTTACTGCAGCCTCAACCTCCTGGGCTCAAGCCATCCTCCTGCCTCAGCCTCCCGAGTAGCTGGGACCACAGGCATGCACCCCACACCCAGCTAATTTTATATTTCTTATAATCATGGGCATCTTGAACTGTACACATCTATCATGGAACTCCTGGTTCTCTCTACTCCAAAAAACAATTTTGTTCCTCTTCTTGGTTTCCTTCCTTGTTAAATTATCTCACCCTCCTCATCCAAGTGCTGCACCCAGAAACCCAGGAGTCATCCTGAATTTCTCCATCACCCTAATCCCCCCACCCTCACCAGCTTCAGCCTCTCAGCAAGCCCTAAGGGTCCCATCCCCAGAGTTCTCCCATCGGTCCCCTGCCCCAGTAATTCCACCTGACAGCAGACGGAGCTGAACAAAGAGCCAGTGTCGTGATCAAGGTCACAGGGCAGGGATGGGATGGGGTCAGGATTCAGGCCCAGCTTGTCTGATCACGCTGCTCGTCTGCACTTGCTGAGCTGGGCCTGTTCTGTGCACATGGAGAGGTAGGCCCAGTCCCAGTCCCAGAGGAAAGCACCGCTAGGGTGAAGCTAGAGCAGGCGGAGGAGGAAGCCTTGGAGCGAGAGTGTTGGAGGGGCCTCCAGGAGGAAAGATACTCTCTACTGTGGGCCCTGGGAATCGGCCAGGCTTTGCCACATCATGAAACTCAAATACCTGCTGAAGGGCTTGGACTCTGCCTTGGGGGCACTGGAGAACCTTGGAGGGTTCTAGACAGGAGGGAGAGCATCAAATTTAGGCTTCAGGAAGATCACTGTGGTGTAGTGCGGAGGGTGAACCAGAGCAGGAGACTGAGGCCTGGAGCAGAGGAGAGGAAGAAACGCTCAGGAGACTGAGCGGACAGGCCATGGAGATTGATGGGCTCTCACGGGGAGGGAGGAAGGCATCCAGAAGGAGGCCTGGATGGGGCTGGGGGTGGTGGACTGCCCTTGAGATGAGGATCTGGGAGGAGGGACAGGTCCTCATCTCAAGGGCAGTCCCTCAGAAGGGGACTTCCAGGCTGGGAAGAGAAGGAGACAGACTCATCATTGGTTTGCGGGAGCTGCTGAGGTCAAGACTAGGGGACTGGAGAATTGGGGACTCATTGCTGTAAGGTACCAGCGAGCCAGAGGACTCAAAGCTGCCTCCTGGCTTTCTCACCCTCAGAGCTGCTGCAGATCCAGGCATCCCAGGAAAAACAGCAGAAAGAGAACCTGGGGCAGGCTCTGAAGAGGCTGGAGAAGCTACTGAAACAGGCACTGGAGCGAATCCCTGAGCTGCAGGGGATCGTGGGGGACTGGTGAGAGGGGAACGTGCCGCGGATGGGAAACAGAAAAGTCAGGACTCAAGCTGGGGGCCTGATGAGAAGGAGCAGGCCATGGTTTTGCAGGGAGGGTCTGGAGGGTCAGTCCTTTCCTCGTTGACGCCATGCCATTCCCCAGGTGGGAGCAGCCAGGCCAGGCCGCCCTCTCTGAGGAGCTCTGCCAGGGCCTGTCCCTGCCCCAGTGGCGGCTGCGCTGGGTTCAGGCCCAGGGGGCCCTGCAGAAGCTGTGCAGCTGAAGAGAGGGTTCAAACGGAAGCCGAGAACTTGACACTGTTCACCCCAACACCTCACCTCCCCCAGGACATTTGGAAGAAAGCAGCGCCAGGATTCCTCGGCAGTCGTCCCCACCCGCACCTGCAGTCCCCTCATGTGCTGTTCTGCTGCCCCACTCAGCTCCTGGACCCTGTCCTTTCATCCCGCTAAAGCACCCCCTAAAACCCCTTCATCACTTTCATTCTCAGCAAAAAGTAATTGAGCACCTCCTCTAGGCGCTGGGGAGTCCACACTGAACAAAAGAAACAGAAAACCCTGTCTTCCAGCAGTTGAGTTCTAGGGCAGGGAGACAGAGTTTACAAGATAAGGAAAATATATATGTAGTATGCTGCAAGTTAACTGCTGTGTGGGAAATCCAGCAGGGGGTGGGATGTGTGATTTGAATTGAGGGCCACACTGCCCAGGTCGTGCTCCGTCAAGGGGTGAGCAGGAGCAACAGGGGTGGCTGAGTAAGGGCTTGCAGCTGGAGGCAACAGCACATGCAAAGGCCCTGAGCCAGGATGTGCTGCAATAAGGGCCACTGAGGGGGACAGTGTAGGTTGGGGGTGAGGAATGTATTAAAAGATGAGATTGCCTTCTAGTTTGTATAGTTTCTTTTTTTACATGTAAATCAGCCATTTGGAATTTATCCTAGCACATGGATCCAATTTTGTCTTATTTTACATATATCCTAGTAGCACTTACTGAAATTCCCAGTCAGAGTGGCAGTTGCCTCTGAGGGAAGGTGGGTGGCAGGGATCAACTGAGGAGGAGACACAGAAATGTCCTAGCTGATGGGAATGTGCTGTGTCAAGAGCAGCGGCGGTGACGCAGGTGTAGAGATTTGTCAGAGCTCATGTAGTTGTAGTCTTAAGGCCTGTGCATTTCACTGCGTGGGTTACTCAATTTATAAAGCAAAGCCCTTACACTTTTGAGATGCCACCTTTTTATGCACTAAATTTCCATGTTTAATTGGGTTATATCTGGCTTCTCTCCAGACCTGCTTTGTATTTAACTCTCCATGTGTCATTCCTACAGTAGCTTAATAGAAAGGCTTGTGACACATTGTCATATCTGTTCTTGTTTTCTTTTGTTTTTTTTTTTTTTTTTTTTGAGATGCAGTCTCATTCTGTTGCCCAAGTTGGAGTGCAGTGGCATGATCTCAGCTCACTGCAACCTCCGCCTCCCAGGTTCAAGCCATTCTCATGCCTCAGCTTCCCCAGTAGCTAGGATTACAGGTACGCACCACCACGCCCAGCTCATTTTTGTACTTTTAGTAGGGACGGGGTTTCATCATGTTGGCCAGACTGGTCTCGAACTCCTGACCTCAAGTGATCTGCCTGCCTCGGCCTCCCAAAGTGCTGGGATTACAGGCATGAGCCACCGCGCCTGACCACATTGCCATATCTGAAATGGCTGGATTCTCTTAGGTGCTTTTCTTTTTCTTTCTTTCTTTCTTTTTTTGAGACAGAATCTGGCTGTTTCCCAGGCTGAAGTGCAGTGGCATGAACTCAGCTCACTGCAACCTCTGCCTCCTGGATTCAAACAATTCTCATGTCTCAGCCTCCTGAATAGCTGGGATTACAGGCACCCACCACCATATCTGGCTAATATTTGTATTTTTTGTAGAGTCGGAGCTTTACCATGTTGGTCAGGCTGCTCTCCAACTCCTGGCCTCAAGTGATTCTATCGCCTCTGCCTCCCAAATCTTCACCTGCTGGGATTAGTTTCCCCTGTCTCAGTAAATTTTTTTTCCCAAACTAAGTGAACATTAGATTTAATTTGGCTGGCCCCAGAAGAAAAACATGCACAGATGGTAGTTTTACTGGTGTTGCAGTAAGTTTTCAAATTTGGAAGTTTGGCAGCTTTATGATCTTGAACCTTGCTGTCCATCTCTCACACAACTCCTCTCTTGGCCTCCAGAGTCCCTTTACTCTCCCAGCTTTCCTCCTGCCCCTGGCTGCTGTTTCCCAGCCTTTCCACATTGGCTTTCCCATGTAGTCCTTAGTGTGTCTGCTCCTCCTCTCTCTCCTCATCACAGTTCCCAGCCCCCACCTTCAACTGAACTCAACAAAATCTTCAACTTCATACAGTAGTCACATTGTTAGTAATAACACTGGCATTTTTATTTTGATAAAATAGACCGTTTAAATTTTTGAGATTCTACCTTATATTTTTTGAATTATATACTAAAGCAAATAAGTAGTGATGTAATGTCATTGGGGACCAAGATTTTTAGTGTAAATGAAAAAAGATAACAAATATAAACTCAAGTAAACACCCTGTAGTCTTTCACATGAATTGGAAATATCAGAATAAAGTCATGATTTTTCTCTTTCTAAAAAATATGTATTTCCCTAGTTAAGTCCCCTGAAAAGGTCTAAATATAATGACACCCCAGTAACACTGAGCAGCACTAGTATACAGACTGTGGTCTCTATAAGTGCCATTTCTGACTAAGAACTAGGGACTTTTGTGAAAACAGCTGATTCCAGGTCTGGGGCAAGAAATGTGCAAAATGTGTCCAGGATATTTTGTGCCAGGAAGCAAAGAGTCCTCCAAGACTACTGTGGCCAAGTCAAAGGAACTCAGGAGCCAGTCTGAAGGGCTGTCACTCACCAAAGGTGGGACATGTTGAGCAGCAAAAAGAACCACAGTGGTTTGAAGCACATCAAATATGCCTGAATGTGTAAGTTCATGTTGATACTCATATACCTCATTGAAATCACCTTTGAAGAGTACTAGGAACCCACTCATTATTTTGAAAAATTTTTTATATATAAAATAATCCAGCATGTTCTCTATTTTTCTTATATGTGAACAAGTAACCAACTTTTTTTTTTTTTTTTTTTTGAGACAGGGTCTTGTGCTGTCACCCAGGCTAGAGTGCAATGGTGAGATTTTGGCTCACTGCAACCTCCGCCTCCTGGGTTCAAGTGATTCTCGTGCTTCAGCCTCCTGAGTAGCTGGGATTACAGGTGCGCGCCACCATGCCAGGCTAATTTTTGTATTTTTATTAGAGGCGGGGTTTTGCCATGTTGGCCAGGCTGGTCTCAAACTTCTGACTTCAGGTAATCTGCCCGCCTCAGCCTCCCAAAGTGCTGGGATTATAGGTGTGAGCCACTGTGCCCAGCCTAAGTAACCAAATTTCTGATGAAGAGGTTATTTATGGAAGAATCACAACTAATAACTTCAGAGAAAATACTAGAATTCAAAAACCACTATTTGCTATTAATTAATCTAGTGATGGATACAGGTAATGATGATCAAGGGCTACTAAAACTATTAGGGGAAAGGTTGATTGGGCTTCTTAAAATAGGTAGACCAGGATGACACCACTGATCAATCCTGATGCCAAAGGAAGGCAACCAGACATCTTGTGCTTCTGATGGGATCCAATAGGATACAAGGGATATGATACCATACAATATTATCTATGAAGTGTGCTTTTACCAAATTAAACCTAAATCTCATCTAGCCTTAGCTCTCACTACAAGCATATGGGAAAGGGGCAGAAGGCAGTCAGAAACAAGTGAAACAAAAAGGATGTAATTAGTTAAATTCAAAATGTGTGACACCCTATAGGATAAATGATCCAGTTTCTTCAATAAAGAGAAGGCAAAAGGGGGAATGGAGAAAGAAAGAAGAAAGGGAGGGAGGGAAGAAGGGAGGAAGGAAGGAAAGAAAGAAAGATGGCAGGCAGGCAGGTATTCATTTGTACTGATTCATACTGCAGCTTCAAGAAACCAAGGCAGCCAATAAAATTAAATTTTCTTTTTTTTTTTTTTGACACGGAGTCTCGCACTGTCACTGGAGTGCAGTGGCACAATCTTGGCTCACTGCAACCTCCGCCTCCCGGGTTCAAGCGATTCTCCTGCCTCAGCCTCCCAAGTAGCTCGGATTACAGGCGCTCGCCACCACGCCCAGCTAATGTTTGTATTTTTAGTAGAGACGGGGTTTCACCACGTTAGCCAGGCTGGTCTTGAACTCCTGACCTCGTGATTCACCCGCCTTGGCCTCCCAAAGTGCTGGGATTACAGGTGTGAGCCACCTCGCCTGGCCTCTAAGTTTTTCTTGTTGGTAAACATCTGAGCAAGCAAAAATTTAAGTTTTGACAGGAAAAAAAAAAGACAATCAAATGCAATATTTGGACCTTGTTTTGATCCTGATTCTACTATCGTATAAAGACATTTTTGAGACAAGGAAAACTGAACACGGTCTGGGTGTTAGATGATACTAAGAAATTAATTTGATGGTATTCATAATGGCATAGTTAATGGTATTTTTTTTTTCTTGACACTGAGTTTCACTCTATCGCCCAGGCTGGAGTGCAGTGACGCGATCTCGGCTCACTGCAACCTCTGTCTCCCGGGTTCAAACAATTCTCCTGCCTCAGCCTCCCGAGTAGCTGGAACCACAGGCGCACGCCACCACGGCCGGCTAATTTTCGTATTTTTAGTAGAGACAGGGTTTCACCATGTTGGCCAGGCGGGTTTCAAACCCCTGACCTCAGGTGATCCGCCCACCTCGACCTCCCAGAGTGCTGGGATTACAGGTGTGAGCCACTGAGCCCAGCGTTAATGGTATTTTTTAAAAATAGTTCTTATCGGCCGGGCCGAGATCGCGCCACTGCACTCCAGCCTGGGCGACAGAGCGAGACTCCGTCTCAAAAAAAAAAAAATAGTTCTTATCTGTTAAGGAGACATAATGGCGCATTTATGACTGAGTTGATGTCTGGAATTTGCTTTAACATACTCCAGCAAAAAAATATAAAAATAAGAAAAGTATAAGGCCATGCGCAGTGGCTCATGCCTGTAATCCCAGCACTCTGGGAGGCCGAGGCGAGTGGATCACTTGAGATCAGAAGTTTGCTACCAGCCTGGCCAACATGGTGAAACCCCGCCTCTACTAAAAATACAAAAATTAGCCGGGTGTGGTAGTACACACCTGTAATCCCAGCTACTAGGGAAGCTGAGGCAGGAGAATCCCTTGAGTCCAGGAGGTGGAGGTTGCAGTGAGCCGAGGTCACACTACTGCAATCCAGCCTGGGCGACAGAGCGAGACTCCGTCTCAAAAAAAAAAAAAAAAAAAAGAAGAAGGTACTTTGTAACATTCTCCCCGCCCTTGAGAATGTACTTTATAAGCCTATCCCAAACCTGTAAGAACTAATGATAATCCCACCACCCTTTGCTGACTCCTTTTTCGGACTCAGCCCGCCTGCACCCAGGTGAAATAAACAGCCTTGTTGCTCACACAAAGCCTGCTTGGTGGTCTCTTCACACGGACGCGCGTGACAAAGAAGTATAGATCAAGTGAAATCCAGAAGTGTTGAATATTGGTAGCGTTTGAGATGTACTTAAGAGTGCGTTATACTATTCCCCTTAATGTGCATGTTTGAAAATACTCAGAATAAAACACTTGTGAGGGCTACGGGAAAAAAAAAAGGGTCAGCTGTGGCCCAAGAAAGGACAGGGACCAAGCCCACGGACGTGCTCCTCTGAGTTGCACTAGTCTCTGGGCCTTGGCTCCCACCCTGAACAGCTCTCATCTTTAAATGTCTTCAGCTGTCCTCCTCCAGGAAGCCGGGTCAGGCGCTTCCTCCCGGGCGTCTCCGGTCTTCCTGGAAACCACAGGTCGGGTGTCAACCTACTCCAGGATAGGGGCCCCGAGGGGCCAGCCAGGCCTCCCAGCCTTGCCCAACCCTGGGGTTGACACGGACTTTAGCGTCTTTTTAAACTTCCGGCGCGGGCTCTGCGGTGGCACAGGAGGGTCCTCCAAACTTTCCTGCGATCTCAAAGGTCCAGATTCCACATTGGGGATGGGCCCAACTGACTTTGCTTCGCTCTCATTAGCCGGTGGTCCTCCAGGAAAGCGGGGCCGCCTCTCCGCTGTGCTCTCATAGGCCCAGGTTCTTGCGTTCGTGTGTCCTTCTCTCACTCTGATTGGCCTATATTCCCCCTGAGGGTGTGGCCAAATCTCATTGGCTCTCGCGCCCGAATGTATGACGTCATGCGCCAGCGCCCGTCGCTTTTGCTGGACGTCATCCTCGGGAGCCCACCCGGACGAAGGGGGAGAGTAGACAGCAGAACCAGCGGCGGCGGCTAAGCAGAGACTGTAGTAGCGGCGACAGCGACGACGGCAGCGATGGCTGGGGCGGGGCCAGCCCCGGGACTCCCGGGTGCAGGAGGACCCGTGGTCCCGGGTCCTGGCGCTGGCATCCCGGGCAAAAGCGGCGAGGAACGCTTGAAGGAAATGGAGGCGGAGATGGCCCTGTAAGGCCCGCGACAGAGAGTGATAAAAGTCGTCCCAGAGCCAGAGCCACCGAATCTCGGAGCCTCCAGGCCTCGATAGGCCGGAGATACGGCTCTAACATGGGGAAGTGGGACCTTCGGGATTGTGGGGGCGGGGATAGGGGAGAGGTTGGCAGGGGTGAGGGTCCCCTCGCGATATACCCACAGTTCCAAAATTGGTACGAGGTCCTGAGCGCTGATGTCTGTTCTACTCCTCCAGGTTTGAGCAGGAAGTTCTGGGGGCTCCAGTACCTGGAATCCCAACTGCTGTGCCTGCGGTGCCCACTGTCCCCACGGTCCCCACAGTAGAAGCGATGCAGGTCCCAGCGGCTCCTGTGATCCGCCCAATTATCGCGACCAACACATACCAGCAGGTACGGCTGAGCTAAGGCATGTAAGTCAGGGAACACAATGCCTCGAACAGAGTAGGTGTTTGTGTACAGAGAGCTGTTGACGTTTTGGCTTGTTGACTAATTAGCATGACAAATATTTTATATGCCAGGCACTGAGAACACAGTAATGACTGAGAGAGACATTTCTGCCCTGTGGGAGCTTATATTCTAGAACATGTTGTCCAGTAGAGCTTTCTGCAATGACGAGACTGTTCTGATATATTTAAAATTTATATTTAATAGTTCGTTATTCTCATTAGTCACATTTCAAGTGCTCAGTAGCCAACTATATATGACTAGTAGAGAAAGAGAGAGAAATTATTAAGATGAAAATAGGCTGGGCGCTGGGCGTGGTGGCTCACACCTGTAATCCCAGCACTTTGGGAGACCAAGGCGGGCAGATCACGAGGTCAAGAGATCGAGTCCATCCTGGCCAACATGGTGAAACCCCATCTCTACTAAAATTACAAAAATTAGCTGGGTGTGGTGGCACGTGCCTGTAGTCCCAGCTACTTGGGAGGCTGAGGCAGGAGAATCGCTTGAACCCAGGAAGCGGAGGTTGCAGTGAGCTGAGATTGCGCCACTGCACTGGAGCCTGGTGACAGAGCGAGACTCCGTCTCAAAAAAAAAAAAAAAGCCCTGAGGCAGGTGCATACCTGTTGTGTTGTTGTGTTCAAGGAACAGCAAGGAGACCAGTGACAGTGGAGTGAGCAAAGAGGAAAGTGGGAGGAGATAAGGACAGAGAGGTGAGGCCAAATCTTGTAGAGCCTTATGGCCATTTTAAGAACCCTGGTGGCCAGGCACGGTTGCTCACGCCTGTAATCCCAGCACTTTGGGAAGCCAAGGCGGGTAGATCACAAGGTCAGGAGTTCAAGACCAACCTGGCCAACATGGTGCAACCCCGTCTCTATTAAAAATACAAAAATTAGGCGGGCGTGTCGGCGGGCGCCTATAATCCCAGCTACTCCGGAGGCTGAGGCAGGAATATCACTTGAACCCAGGAGGCGGAGGTTGCAGTGAGCCAAGCTCGTGCCACTGCACTCCAGCCTGGACAATAGAGCGAGACTCCGTCTCAAAAAAAAGACTGTAAGGGACAAGGGCAGAAGCCAGGAGATGGAGGAAGGGGCTAGTACAGTAATCTAGACAGGAGTTAATGGTGGCTTGGATGGAGGTTGTGCATGGGAGATGGGGAGGACAGGTTGGACACAGTTTCAGTGGGTGCTAAGTGCTGTGGGGAAGATGAAATAAGGTGGTGAGAGAAGTTGCTGCTCAGAGAGCCCTAGTGTGATCCAAAAAGCCTCCCCGAGAAGTGGCATTTTAGCTAAGACCTGAGATAGCCAGCCACATACAGAGCACAAAGCATGAAGCTCTTGGTCTCTTGGGGTGAGCTGGCCGCAGCAGATGGGAATGCTGAGTCAGGCCCCTCACCCTGACCTCTTCCTCGACAGGTCCAGCAGACTCTGGAGGCCCGAGCAGCTGCTGCAGCCACAGTAGTTCCTCCCATGGTGGGTGGCCCTCCTTTTGTAGGCCCTGGTAAGTAAAGAGTAGCAAGGTGAGGGGGTTGGGCAATCAGGCAGGGTGGTAAAAAGGTGTGCACAGGACTCTCCTCCCACCATCCTTGCCTCTCCCCTCCCAACAGTTGGCTTTGGCCCTGGTGATCGGAGTCACCTGGACAGCCCAGAGGCTCGAGAAGCCATGTTCCTGCGGCGGGCAGGTGAGTCTGGGGCCAGGGACCCCCACATTTAATCAGGCACTCTTGTTTACATGACTTCAGCCTCTTGCCTAAATCCTTGCTCTAAATTACCCTTTGCCTTTGATCCCAACTTGATGTTGTCATCCTAAAGCACGAACCTGATCATGTCCTTTCTGATGATGTCAATTTTGTTTTAACCTGATCATTGCAAACCAACCCTCCTGCTGTCAGTCCTAATTCCCAGTTACCACAGCACTTAACACCTCATAACAAGCTATATAATTTCTTATTTACTATGGCTATCATCTTTTGCATCCTCTAAAATAAAAGCTCCATGAGGGGCAGAAGTCTCAGTATCTGCCACATAGGAAGCATTATGTACTGTCTGTTGATGGGATGAACGGACTGTTGAGACAAGCGCCAGGCTTTTCCCCTGGCAGTCACAACCCTACATGACCTTGCTTCTTGCAGGGAGAGATCCCCAGCAGCCCGAACATTTCTGGGATGTGCCAGCAGTGCTTTTGTTAAGGTCCCTTCTCTCCCTGCTCACTGTCACCCAGCTGTAATCTTCCAGCCATCCTTCCCCCCCAGGCCATTTTCTACATTCCACCTTTTGTTCTTCAGGTAACCTTTACTCACACTGTCAATTTGTAGGACATTACTTCCTTATATGTATGAAAAGGATGCGTGTTCTTACTTGGATGTAAAATTCTGGTATAATCTCGGTTAAACCAAACGTGCTACTTATGTTACCTAAATCCTGTTATACTTATTAATCTGATGATCTCTGAGAAGTTGTAATGTCTCTTACTTTTTAGTATGGTTTTGATCAAAATGCAAATCTGACCTACTTCCCCTGCCCAGCTTCCAACCCTGCTGTGGCTCCCCAGTGCCCTCAGGAGGACACCCATGGCTCAGCCAAGAATGCTGTGCTTTAAGAACAAAAAAGCTCTACTGGGGTGCCTGCTGGCTGCTCAGCCCTTCTCATGACACTCTCTAAGCCCCACTACTTCTATTACAGTTACACTAAACTGAAAAGGGAAAGGTTTTGCTTATAAATATTCTTCCTGCCAATAATATTCCCACTCACCCCTTGCCTAACACTTCATTGCCCCTTGGGTCTCAGCTCACAGGTCCCTTTCTCCAGGAAGCCTTCCCTGGGCCTGGCTGGGTCAGAGGGCTCCCCTCTCTTAGCACTGATCCCACTGCCTGGGCTTCCCTGCTTCCAGCGCTGGTCCCCACTGGCTCTCCTTCTCTAGTGATGTCTCCATTCCCTCCTCCTCTGGACCAGGAGCTCCCTGAGAACCCTGGGTCTGTTGGTGTGTCCCCAGCATTGCCTGCCACAGGGCTGAGCCAGAGGAGCTTCTCAGTGGTAAATTTTCATGGAATGAACCAGGGGAGAGGCCCCCACATCTCCAGGAGGGCTCCCCAGACTCTTCTCCAGGATTTCTTGATGCTGAGAGTGCACACACACACACGCATGCACACACACACCTTGTCCCAAGTGCCCCTGTCCCCCATGACACACACCCCCATCTCTCTCTCCCACAGCTGTGGCCCCCCAGAGGGCCCCTATCCTGCGTCCAGCCTTCGTCCCCCACGTGCTACAGAGAGCAGGTGAGGGGCCAGGGTCATCATCCCTGCCACATAACTCCCCCCAGGCCCTGGAACTCCCCACTAACACCCTGACAGATTCCGCTCTCTCCTCTGCAGCAGCCGGCCCCCGCCCTATGGCCCTACGGCCCCCTCACCAGGCCCTCGTGGGCCCCCCTCTGCCTGGGCCCCCTGGACCACCCATGATGCTGCCACCAATGGCTCGGGCTCCAGGGCCCCCGCTGGGCTCCATGGCTGCACTGAGGCCCCCTCTGGTGAGTGTGAACAGGGAACTAACGGTCAGATGTGCGGTGGACGGGGAGACCATCCATCCTGGCCCAATGGGCTATGTCTGAGTTGGCCTCTCTCCTGACTTTCTGTTTCTCTACCTTCTCACTCTGCCTTTGTCTCTGTCTCTTTCTGCATCTTTCTGTGGCAAAATCTGTTCTCTCCTTTTGTGAAGGGAGTACAGAGAGAAACATGCTATTGGAATATTTCTCTTTTGATTGTTACTGATGTTCTTGTCTGTGGCTGTCTCTCTCTGCCTGTGTTTCTCCTTCTCTGTGTTTGTCTGGCTGGAGACTCTCTGCTTGGGTGTCTCTTGGCTGCTCTCTGGCCCCCAGGCCCTTTCTTTGTTGGATGGAATGGAGATGACAGTAAAGTCTGAGCCTGTGAGCCGGCCCCCCTCATGCTCTCCTCTTACCCACAGGAAGAGCCAGCAGCACCCCGAGAGCTGGGCCTAGGCCTGGGGTTGGGCCTGAAAGAGAAGGAAGAGGCAGTGGTGGCGGCGGCGGCTGGGCTGGAGGAGGCTAGCGCGGCTGTGGCCGTGGGGGCAGGAGGTGCCCCAGCTGGCCCTGCAGTCATTGGGCCCAGCCTGCCGCTGGCCCTGGCCATGCCATTGCCCGAGCCTGAGCCCCTGCCCCTCCCGTTGGAGGTCGTCCGCGGCCTCCTGCCCCCGCTGCGCATTCCTGAACTCCTGTCCCTGCGTCCTCGGCCCCGGCCCCCTCGGCCAGAGCCACCCCCAGGCCTCATGGCTCTTGAGGTAAGCAGGGAGCCTAGCGGTGAAGGGACAGAAGGGACGGGGGGCAGACAGGAGCCCAGGAACTTCCACACAGACAGACCGGACAGCAGGAGGACCTGGGGGAGGGAGGCGGACACATGTGCCCCACATCCAGAAGCACATCCAGCCCTTACTGTGGTGGCAGGAGGGCCGGGGACCAAAGGACAGTGGGAGACCCCAATACCAACCCCTTTGCACCTCTCCCCTTTCCTCTGCAGGTCCCAGAGCCCCTGGGTGAAGACAAGAAGAAGGGGAAGCCAGAGAAATTGAAACGGTGCATTCGCACAGCGGCAGGGAGCAGCTGGGAGGACCCCAGCCTGCTGGAGTGGGATGCAGGTAAGCTGCTGAAGCTCGAGGTCAGGCGTGGCTCGGCCAAGGTCAGACCAGGCTGCTGTCCTTGGGCTGCAGACTGGGAGGGTGAACCCTCTCAGTAGGGTGGGCGCTGTTGTTAGCCCACCTTGGGGAGGGGAGGCTATGGCTCAGGGGCTGGTTCTTCACCTAGCCATGGGCCGGAGCTTGGTGGAGGTGACGGGGACATGGGGCTTTGTAGCCTGTTTTACTCATGAGGTGCCTGGCTTCAGAGAGCATTCTTTTTTTTTCCCAACTCTTAGGATAAAAATTTTTTTTTTTTTTTTTTATGAGACAGAGTACCACTCTGTCGCCCAGGCTGCAGTGCAGTGGCGCAATCTTGGCTCACTGCAGCCTCCGCCCCCCAGGTTCAAGTGATTCTCCTGCCTCAGCCTCCCAAAGTGCTGGGATTACAGGCATGAGCCACTGTACCTGGCCGGGAAAAATTTTAAACACAGATGGCACAGTAAACACCCGTCTACCCACCACCTAGATTCTGCAATTAACATTTTGCTGTGTTCACTTTTTTCCTCTTTGTGTATGTATCTGGTTTCTTTGTTTTTAGCTCAGTCATTTGAAGCAAGTTATAAGTGAATTAATCACTTCTAAATATCTCAGTATTTATCTCCTAAGAAAAGAGATATTTTGGCCAGGCACGGTGGCTCACACCTGTAATCCCAGCACTTTGGGAGGCGGAGGCAGGTGGATCACTTGAGGTCAGGAGTTCAAGACCAGCCTGGCCAACATGGTGAAATCCCGTGTCTCTAAAAATACAAAAAAATTAGCCAGGCTTGGTGGGAGGCACCTATAATCCCAGCTACTCGGTTGGCTGAGACAGGAGTATCGCCTGAACCCAGGAGGCAGAGGTTGCAGTGAGCCGAGATCAGGCCACTGCACTCTAGCCTGGCAACAGAACAAGACTCCATCTCAAAAAAAAAAAAAAAAAGAAAAGAGATACTTTTTGCATATCATAATACTATTATCAAGTCTAAGAACATTAACTAATTCGGTATCTTCTTTTCAGTTTATATTCGTATTTCCCTAGGTGTCCCAAAACTCTGTTAGAACTATTAATGTTTTTGCCCTGAACCAGCATGCATGCAGTTTTATGTCCTTCAATTATATCTTTTTTTTTTTCTTTTTTTTTTTTGAAACGGAGTCTTGCTCCATCGCCCAGGCTGGAGTGCAGTGGCGCAATCTCGGCAGCTCACTGCAACCTCCACCTGCCAGGGTCAAGTAATTCTCCTGCCTCAGCCTCCCGAATAGCTGGGACTACAGGCGCGCACGACCATGCTTGGCTAATTTTTGGTATTTTTAGTAGAGACGGGGTTTCACCATGCTGGCCAGGCTGGTCTCGAACTCCTGACCTTGTGATCCGCCTGCCTCAGCCTTCCAAAGTGCTGGGATTACAGGCATAAGCCACCACGCCCAGCCTCGATTATATCTTAATAAGAACGGTCTCTTTCCTGCCTCTTTGTTTTGTACATATTTTTTGAAGTGTCCAGGGCAGTTGTCATGTATGATGTCCCACCTTCTGAGTTTGTCCGGTTGTTTGCTCCTGGCATTGCCTAACTTGTGCTTAGAGTGTCCCATATCACAGACGCCATGGGGCAGCCGTGCAATGGCTGAGGAAGGAGATGGACCCCTCCTGCTTCAGTGTTTGACTTCCACCCCCTCTCCTGGGACCGTCTACCTGGCCCAGAGAAGACCCTAGCTCTGTGACCTTGGGCAAGTCACTTAGCCTGGTTTTGTTTTGTTTCTTCTTTTGTTTTTTTTTTTTTTCTTTTTTTTGAGACAGAGTCTCGCACTGTCACCCAGGTTGGAGTGCAGTGGTGTAATCTTGGCTCACTGCAGCCTCCGCCTCCTGGGTTGAAGCAATTCTCCCACCTCAGCCTTCCGAGTAGCTGGGATTACAGGCACCCACCACCACACCCAGCTAATTTTTGTATTGTTTAGTAGAGATGGAGTTTCACCATGTTGGTCAGGCTGGTCTTGAACTCTTGAGCTCAAGTCATCCACCTGCCTCAGCCTCCCAAAGTGCTGGGATCACAGGCGTGAGCCACTGTGCTTGGCTCACTTAGCCTTTTAAGCCTCATATTCCTCATCCCCTCCCTTGTGGGGACAGGGATTCATTGGGACAGAGCATGTTCAGTGGAAGCACAGGCCCAACTCAGAGGCAGCATGAGAATGTCAGCTGGGTGCAGCCATGGCGGAGGAGCAGGCAGCATGTCCAGGTCTCAAGGGGGAGTTAGGGCAGGCCTTGCCAAGGAAGCAGGGCTGAGGAAAGATGAAGCCCATGTTCCTGAGGTGCCATGACGGGCAGCCAGTGGGTGACAGGGGTCCAGGGGACCAAGGGACACCAAGGCTCAGAGGAAAGGCCAGGGCTAGGGCAGAGTTAAGGGTGTTACTACAGGAATGAGTGAGGTGGCCCTGGGGTGGGGAGGGCAGTGCAGTTCAAGGTTAAAAGTAAGGACTGGAGCCAGATGCCTGAGCTCTTGTCTTAGCTCTGCCGCTTCCTGCTTGTGTCACTGTGGGCAGTGACTTCACCTCTCTGTGCCTCAGTGTAAAAGCATGGTTGGGAGTGCCAGAAATGGAAACACCCCTCCAGGTGCCAGCAGAGCTCCTGGCGCAGGGTCAGTAGGTGTTGACCATTATTACTAAGAGGTCCCTAGGCAGAGACTAGATACCTCCGAAAAGGTGGGATCGTTCAGACAAGGTAGACACTGGGCAAGGCCTCTGCATCCTCTGATGTCATCTCTTCCCCATCCCCAGATGACTTCCGGATCTTCTGTGGGGATCTGGGCAATGAGGTGAACGATGACATCTTGGCACGCGCCTTCAGCCGCTTCCCATCCTTCCTTAAGGCCAAGGTGATCCGTGACAAGCGCACAGGCAAGACCAAGGGCTACGGCTTCGTCAGCTTCAAGGACCCCAGCGACTACGTGCGCGCCATGCGTGAGATGAATGGTGGGTGCGGCCTCCCCTGGGAACTGCAGGCGCGGCAGGCGCTGGCCTAAGCCTGACCCGAGCCTGCCTTGAACCCTCTGTCTCCACAGGGAAGTATGTGGGCTCGCGCCCCATCAAGCTTCGCAAGAGCATGTGGAAGGACCGGAATCTGGACGTGGTCCGCAAGAAGCAGAAGGAAAAGAAGAAGCTGGGCCTGAGATAGGGTCTGTGGCCAGGCACCCGCTCCCACCTGGCCGGGCGCTGGCTCCTCCCTCAGTTCTCTTTGGAAAACCCCCAGCTGTCCACCCATCCCCTGCCCCAAAACCAGTTTCAATAAATTTACGTTCATTTCCACCCCTGGCTGGGCATGGAAGCACGCTGTGGGGAGCAGGGCTTGGCTTCCCCACAGCTGGAAATGGCGGGGAGCCTTGAGAGTTTACCCAGGCAAACACCCAGGCGGGGGCTTCTGAGCCCTTCCTGCGCACCCATTCCCTCTTCAAACCTCTTCCACACATGCTGAGTGCTGCTTATTCCAGAGGAGAAAGGGGGGCCAATGGCAAGGGTGAAGCCAAGCTGAGGCCCATCCCCGTGTCCTGGCTACTTCCTGTGTTCTCAGCACCAAGGTAGGAGATCTAGGCCCTTCCCTTCTGGAGCTCACAGGCTTCTAGGCCCTCTTCCATCCAGCAGACTCTCACCAAGGGTCTGAACAGTGCTTGAGGACACAATGGTGACTAAAAGTCCTGGGCCCTGCACCGTTAGAGCTCAAGGTCCAGTGCAGAAAATAGGCCCGGTGCCCTGACGATAAGAGCCCAGAGTGGTCAGGGCAGGATGGGGGCGCTGACCTGTGGGTGAGGGGGCCCTTCCTGAAGGAACCGTCCACCCCCAAGTCTCCTCTGGGGCTTTCCAGCTTCTCCAGTCTGCCATGCCCAGCCAGCTCACCATGCTCTAAGTCTCGGTGGGCACCTCTATCTCTGTCTCTGTGGGTACCCCTCCATTTCTTGTCTCTAAGCTTCTATATCCCTGTTGGTCTCTGTTCTCTCCCTTGGAGCTGGGAAATGAAAAAGGAGGAGAGACCCACAGATAGAGAGAACAGAGACTTGGGGTCTGTTCCCCTCTCTTCCCAGCTCCAAGCTGGCCTCTGCCTGTCTGAAGAGGTGTCTGTGCAGGGCCTTGAATGCCAGGCTGAGGGCTTAAGCTTTACGCAGAAGGCAGCAGCAAGCCCCAAAAAGCTGAGAAAATTCAAGCAGCAGCAAGGTCCTGGGCAGCACAGATGTGCGCTGTAGAAAGGGCCCTGTGACCGGCTGGGTGCGGTGGCGCACGCCTGTAATCCCAGCACTTTGGGAGGCAGGCAGATCACTTGAGGTCACGAGTTCGAGACCAGCCTGGCCAACATAGTGAAACCCTGTGCCTACTGAAAAATACAAAAATTAGTTGGGCGTGGTGGCGGGCACATGTAGTCCCAGCTACTTGGGAGGGCTGAGGCAGGAGAATCGCTTGAACCTGGTAAAAGGAGGTTGCAGTGAGCTGAGATCGCGCCACTGCACTCCAGCCTTAGTGACAGAGTGAGATTCTGTCTCAAAAAAAAAAAAAAAAAAACGCCCTGCGACCACCACTGTGGCTGGAAGTCTAGAAGGCTGGGGCAGGGACTGGGCCAGAGGAGGGAGATGGCAGGTTTGAGTATGGGGAGGAGTGGAGGGTCTCCCAGGGACACAGCCATCGGAACCCTCCATTAGGAGGGAGCAGGTTGGGCAGGACTTTGTGGGGCATAAGTCGGGGGATGGACAATACCAAGGCCTCTCAGGGACCGAGGTCCCCCAGGAGAGGTGTCGAATTTCTCCTGTTCCTGTCTTCCCCGCCTTACTGCCCCCTCTCTGACGTCACATTTTCCAGTCTGGTCAGAGGGTGAGAGCCTCCCTGGCAGGAAGTGCCCTTTAGCCCCCTGCCACCTGGGCCAGACCACCCAGCCCCAGGATCCTCAAAGCCCCTTCCCCCCATCACTAGTCTTTTCTACCCCTGACCCCCCTTGTACTGACAGCAAGCATAGGGTCACGGGAGGAGATGGGAAGAGAGGATGGCTCCAGAAAGGACGCTTCCAAATGCATGTGATTCTCACTTCCAAGTGGGAGCAGAACAGCAGGTACACGTGGACATGCAGAGTGGGGTAACAGGCACTGCAGACTCCAAAAGGTGGGAGCGTGGGGGAAGCTGAACAGTTACCAGTTGGGTACGTTGCTCACCATTCGGGTGCACTAAAGGCCCAGGCCAGTATACTGGATATACTGACATATATCCAGTAAGGAATCTGCACTTGTACCCCCTAAATGTTTATCTTTTTTTTTAATGCACACAAGTCTTCCTGAGAACAAGAAGAGACACACACACATAGAATGTGGCAAGCAGAGGTAGAGATGGCGCTGTGAGCAGGAGGCTCAGAGGCAGAGATGAGAACCATCAGAGACTGTGCAGTGGGAAGGGGGACGGGGAGAAAACCAAGAGACAGATGGAGACGGACAAGGAGATGAGATAGGAACACTCAAAGACAGATGGGGAGGGACAGAGATGTCAGAAGAGACCAGGTGACAAAGCCTCACTGGAGTCAGGCCCGTGGCAACAGAGACCCAGCTTTAGATATGCCAACCTGAAGAAAGAGGGCAGAGAGACATGGAGAGACAGACAAGAGGCCAGCTTCAAGGATGGGAAGCCAGGACTCCCTTCAGGCCTCCGCGCTGGACGGATAGAGGGACCAGTGATGCTCCAGGGCTCTGTGGCTTACCCCACACTGATTCCAATCCCAGTCCCACTCCCACTCCATGGGACCCCCGGTTTACTTTACTGTAAAATGGAAGGAGGAGCAATGCCACCCGCTCTCCAGAACGGCAAGTAGTTAATGATCAAGAGGCTGGGCTGGGGACTGGAAGATGCCGATATGCAAAAGTTATTTTTAATGGTAAATATTACATACTTATTAAAATACAGCAGGATGGCTGGGCACGGTGGTGGCTCATGCTTCTAATTACAGCACTAAGGCTAAGGCAGGTGGATAGCTTGAGGCCAGGAGTTTGAGACCAGCCTGGCCAACATGGCAAAACCCCATCTCTACTAAAAATGCAAAAATTAGCCTAGGCATGGTGGCTCACGCCTGTAATCCCAGCACTTTGGGAGACCGAGGCAAGTGGATCACTTGAGGTCAGGAGTTCGAGACCAGCCTGGCCAACATGGCAAAACCCCATCTCTACTAAAAATGCAAAAAATTAGCCGGGCATGGTGGTGCTTGCCTGTAATCCCAGCTACTTGGAAGGCTGAGGCACCAGAATTGCTTGAACCCGGGAGGCAGAGGTTGCAGTGAGCTGAGATCGCACCACTGCACTCCAGCCTGGGCGACAGAGTGAGACTCCATCTCGAAAAATATTTTATATATATATAGGACACCCAGTTATTGAATTTTACGTGAACAATTTTATAGTTTAGGTATGTCCTAAATATTTCATGTATGTATGTATATGTTACATGTATAGCTGTGGTTTTTTGTTGTTTTTTGCTGAATTATTTGAGCAAGTTACAGACTTTTTTTTTGTTGTTTCTTTTTTTGAGATGAAGTTTCGCTCTTGTTCCCCAGGCTGGAGTGCAATGGCATGATCTTGGCTCACTGCAACCTCCATCTCCCTGGTTCAAGCAATTCTCCTGCCTCAGCCTCCCGAGTAGCTGGGATTACAAGCACCCGCCACCACGCCTGGCTAATTTTTTGTATTTTTAGTAGAGACAGGGTTTCACCATGTTGGACAGGCTGATCTAGAACTCCTGACCTCAGATGATCCACCCGCCTCAGCCTCCCAAAGTGCTGGGATTACAGGCGTGAATCACCGCGCCCAACCACAAGTTACAGACATTATAACATTTCATCTCTGAGTTCATTTTCTAAATGATATCTTTCCTCCTGAATACCATTATCAAATCTAAGAAAAGAATTCTATGATATTTCATATTCAGTTCATACTCCAGTTTCCCCAATTGTCCTAAACTATTACAGCGCGGAAGGGCATGGGGTCTGGAGAAGGAGAGCAGTGGGAGGATGCCTGCCTTACCTTCCCCCTTCATCAAATGAGAGTATGTATTGTACTTGCCTCATAGAAGGATTCAATGAAGGGGTATGGCACAGTTGGTTTCACACAATGAGCCCTCATTTAATGTTGGCCGTTATTGCTACTATTGTTATTGTTGAAATTGTTGATGTCAATATTGCTATGATTGGCACTCCTGGGAAGCAGCCCCAGGACGCCCTCCCTACTGGGCCTGGTGGAGGATTGGGTGGGCCTTCACTCCTGCTCCACGCCCCCGCAGTTACTCTGCCGATTGTGACGTCAGCTGACGCTGGGGGCGGGTGGGGGAATCTGGCCGGAAATCCCTCTTCCTGTTGCAGATAAGCCCAGCTTAGCCCAGCTGACCCCAGACCCTCTCCCCTCACTCCCCCCATGTCGCAGGATCGAGACCCTGAGGCAGACAGCCCGTTCACCAAGCCCCCCGCCCCGCCCCCATCACCCCGTAAACTTCTCCCAGCCTCCGCCCTGCCCTCACCCAGCCCGCTGTTCCCCAAGCCTCGCTCCAAGCCCACGCCACCCCTGCAGCAGGGCAGCCCCAGAGGCCAGCACCTATCCCCGAGGCTGGGGTCGAGGCTCGGCCCCGCCCCTGCCTCTGCAACTTGAGCCTGGCTGCGACCCCTGCTCTGACGTCTCGGAAAATTCCCCCTTGCCCAGGCCCTTGGGGGAGGGGGTGCATGGTATGAAATGGGGCTGAGACCCCCGGCTGGGGGCAGAGGAACCCGCCAGAGGTGAGCGATGAACTGAGGACTAGATGCCTGGGTGTCTGGGTTAGGAAGGACCTGGGGGACTAGACTCCCAAGAAGCCGGGGGCCTGGACTCCTGGGTCTAACAGAGGAAGAGAGCTGGGGTCCCTCACTCCCAGGACCAAGATTTTAGGCTCCTGGGGAAGGAGGGAGCGGAGGCCTGGACTCCTGGCTCTGAGGGAAGCTAGGGCTGGGGCCCAGACTCCAGGGCCTCCAAGTGTCACCAGCTCACCCATTGCCATCTGGACTTTTCCCGACCCAGAACATTCAGAAGGCCTTCATCGCATCCATGGACCTGTGGAACTGGGATGAGGCATCCCCACAGGAAGTGCCTCCAGGGAACAAGCTGGCAGGGCTTGGTAGGCTGCCGAGGCTGCCACAACGTGTGTGGGGAGGGTGTCCAGGTGGGGCCTCTGCTGACCCTAACCCCTTATCGCCTGCAGAAGGAGCCAAATTAGGCTTCTGTTTCCCTGATCTGGCACTCCAAGGGGACACGCCGACAGCGACAGCAGAGACATGCTGGAAAGGTGGCTGCGGGCTGGGACCCCTAAGTGCTGGAGAAGAAGCGGGGAGGCTGGGATCCTAGGGCAAAGGGAGGAGGGGGGCGTGCCTAGGTTCCTGGGACTGGGTGGGGAGGGGCCGCGTGCTTGACCCCTGAGGGTGAAGGAAAAGGGGGCGCGGGGTGCTGAAATACGGGCTGGGGGGCCATAACTCCCAGTCCCTGACAAGTAGAGACTAGAGAGTGGGTAGTTGAGGGGTCTCTTTCATTGCTCACAGTCCTCCCTAAACTCAGGTACAAGCTCATCCCTGGCAAGCTTCCCACAGCTGGACTGGGGCTCCGCGTTACTGCACCCAGAAGTTCCATGGGGGGCGGGTGAGTGTGGGGAGAGGCGGTGGGAGGTGGGGACTGGGGTCCCGAGGCACCGGGGCTAGAGGTGTAGACTCCCTGATCTTTGAGGACTGAGAACACCTGCGCCCTCAAGGTGGCATGACCTGGATCCGGGTCAGCCGGGCCCCAAGTGCCAGGGTTGAGAGCTTAGACCCTAGAGTTTTTGAGGGGGCACCTGGGCTCCCCTCACTCGGGATCCGTTACTCCTCACAGAGCCCGACTCTCAGGCTCTTCCGTGGTCCGGGGACTGGACAGACATGGCGTGCACAGCCTGGGACTCTTGGAGCGGCGCCTCGCAGACCCTGGGCCCCGCCCCTCTCGGCCCGGGCCCCATCCCCGCCGCCGGCTCCGAAGGCGCCGCGGGCCAGAACTGCGTCCCCGTGGCGGGAGAGGCCACCTCGTGGTCGCGCGCCCAGGCCGCCGGGAGCAACACCAGCTGGGACTGTTCTGTGGGGCCCGACGGCGATACCTACTGGGGCAGTGGCCTGGGCGGGGAGCCGCGCACGGACTGTACCATTTCGTGGGGCGGGCCCGCGGGCCCGGACTGTACCACCTCCTGGAACCCGGGGCTGCATGCGGGTGGCACCACCTCTTTGAAGCGGTACCAGAGCTCAGCTCTCACCGTTTGCTCCGAACCGAGCCCGCAGTCGGACCGTGCCAGTTTGGCTCGATGCCCCAAAACTAACCACCGAGGTGAGAGGGCCGCAAAGACTGCGGGGAGGGCGAAGCTGGAGTCCTGAGCCGGGACCCAGGCACCTAAGGGGGCGGGGCCCGGGAGACTGACAGTGAGGGGGCGGGGGCTTAGGGACCAGGGGCTCGAAGGAGGGGCCGGTGGCCCGCACTCCAGGTCCTTGGGGAGGAGAGGGCTAAGAAACTGGTAGTCTTATAGGGACCAAGGGGATGAGGACCCAGGCTCCTGGATTATATAAAACGAAAGCGATAAAGGCCCAGATTCCTGGGTCTCCGAGATGGGGAGGCCAAACTCCTAAATCTCTGAGACTGGGGCCCTGGACGCTTGAGTCTCCAAGGCTGACTGTTGGATCTCAGAGAAGGGGGGGCGGATCCCCTTCTCGGGTCCTGGGTCCCGAGTTGGGAGGACCCGGACCTCTAGATCATTGAAGTGGTGTGATCTAGGGCCGGGAAGACTGAGTGTGCCCCTCCCTTCATCCCGCAGGTCCCATTCAGCTGTGGCAGTTCCTCCTGGAGCTGCTCCACGACGGGGCGCGTAGCAGCTGCATCCGTTGGACTGGCAACAGCCGCGAGTTCCAGCTGTGCGACCCCAAAGAGGTGGGGCAGCTCCCCTGCCCAGCCAAATCCGCCCCGTCTCTTCTAGTTCAATTTAGCTCCGCCCAAGGGCTAGGTTCAACCGCGTAGCCCTCGGCCCCGCCGCTCCCCGGCCCACTCGAGGCCCCGCCCAACCCTTCTCAAACCCAATCTCCCGCCTGTACTCCTGCCTCAACCAACCCAGTCTCCACCGGGCTCTGCGAGGCCTCGCCCAGGTCTGCACTGCACACCGCCCCCAGGCCCGGCCCTCCCCACTATCGCCAAGCCCCGCCCCTTCCCACTCCGACCGAGCGGGCCTCTGTCCTAGGTGGCTCGGCTGTGGGGCGAGCGCAAGAGAAAGCCGGGCATGAATTACGAGAAGCTGAGCCGGGGCCTTCGCTACTACTATCGCCGCGACATCGTGCGCAAGAGCGGGGGGCGAAAGTACACGTACCGCTTCGGGGGCCGCGTGCCCAGCCTAGCCTATCCGGACTGTGCGGGAGGCGGACGGGGAGCAGAGACACAATAAAAATTCCCGGTCAAACCTCTTCGCGCGTGCTCCTCTGCAGCATTCTTCCCGCTGATACTGACTACAGCAGCTAGGGAGCCTAAGTGTGCAGCTCCACATGTTGGAATTTGGCCTCCCCACCTCGGAGACCCAGGCGTCTGGGCCTTCATCTCTTTCCTCTCACATGATCCAGAGGCCTGGATCCTTGCTCGCTAAAAGACTGCAGTGTCTTAGTCCTCTTCTCCCTGAAGACCCTGAAGTGCGGGCCACCAGCCCCAAGTCCCTTAAGCTCCCAGGTCCCTAAGCCCCGCCCCACGCTGTCAGTTTCCCCGGTCCCGCCCCCTTAGGCCCCGCCTCTCGACTCCGCCTTCACTCCCTCCGCAATCTTCGCGGACCTCCCTCCTCGGTGGTTAGTTTTGGGATGAGGAACCACCCACCTCCAGTGCTGCGCAATGATCAAAGGAGACCCAGACTCAGGGAGCCTGCCATGTGCCCGCCCTGTGATGAGAGAGGCAAAGAAACTAAACCCAAAGCCCATAGGGCCTACTGTGTCCCTGCCCTGTGTCGGGATTTGTAAAGGAATCAGACCCAATCATGAGAGTATATCTGCTGTGTCCCCTTGAAGAGAAGACTCAGACCCTGAAAAGGGCTTACTGTGCTGTGTGTCCTCCCAGTGCAAGGGATCATCAAAGAATTAAAACTAGTGCTTGCACCCCAACACCACTCACTCTTTCCCCACTCCAAGCTGGAGGACACAGGACTCAGACCTACACTGTAAAGAGAGCCTACGCCATTCTGAGAGCCACTGAGCCCCTAAAGAGAGCCTGCTGTCTGTGAGCGATGCGGGGGATACAGCAGGGACCAAGACAGCCCTGGACCCTCCCCTTAAGGAGCTCACAGTCCAGTGGGAAGACAGACCCATCATCAGAGTGTTTTGACCTGGGATGAGAAGACTCCAGGGGACTGAGGGAGGCCAAAAGGAGAGACCTGATCTAGCCCAGGAGGAGAAGGGTCAGGGGAGACTCCCTGGAGGAGGAGACAGCTGATTTGAGAAGTCAGGTAGGCAAAGAATGTTTCAGGCAGAAGGAACAACAAGATCAAAGGCCCAGAGGCAGACGATCTCATACCACTGCTCAAAACTATCAGTGTGGGCCAGGCATAGTGGCTCACACCTGTAATCTCAGCATTTTGGAAGGCTGAGGCAGGAGGATGCCTTGAGGCCAGGAGTTCCAGACCAGCCTGAGCAACATAGGGGAGACCCCCATCTCTATTTAAAAAATTAAAAATAAACGTGGCTACAGCAGCAACAGGGACCAATTCATAAAGGATCTGTGGGCCGTGGTGAGGAGCCTGGACTTTGTCTCCAGGGCTCCTGGGGAGCCATCAAGGGTTTTGTTTGTTTGTTTGTTTTTTGAGATGGAGTCTCACTCTGTCACTCTGGCTGGAGTGCAGTGATGCAATTTCAGCTCACTGCAACCTCCGACTCCCAGGTTCAAGCAATTCTCCTGCCTCAGCCTCCCAAATAGCTGGGATTACAGGTGCACACCACCACGCACAGCTAATTTTTGTATTTTTAGTAAAGATGGGGTTGCACCGTGTTGGTCAGGCTGGTCTTGAACTCCTGACCTCAGGTGATCCGCCTGCCTTGGCCACCCAAAGTGCTGGGATTATAGGAGTGAGCCACCGTGCCTGGCCCCCATCAAGGGGTTTTAAGCAGGGAAAGGGATTTGGATTTTAGGAAGATCTCATTGCAGGGGATGAATACATGCATGTAAACAGGTAATTCCACAAATAATCACAATGTTGATGGACACAGAATGTGTAAGAAGAGGTCCCTGACCCAATTCCATCTGGACACTGCACCCCAGATGGTATGTGAGAGGCTTTAGAGGCCAGATGGGGGAGGAAGGAAAGCAGTTCTCTTTCATAGCTCCCTCTCCTAGTCCCTAGATGCTTCCTTCATTTCCACAAGAAATTCTTGCATTCAGCAAATATTTATAGACCACTTCCTGTGTGCCAGGCACTGCTTTAGATACAATGGTGAATGAATAAGGCAGACAAAAATTCTTCCTTTATGATAATTCTTTTCTGTTGAGGGAGGCAAAAAGAGGTAAACATAATGTAAAAGAACAGATATAGCCGGGCACGGTGGCTCACGCCTGTAATCCCAGCACTTTGGAAGGCCAAGGCGGGCAGATCACCTGAGGTCAAAAGTTCAAGACCAGCCTGACCAACATGGACAAACCGCATCTCTACTAAAAATACAAAATTAGCCAGGTGTGGTGGCGCATGCCTGTAATCCCAGCTACTGGGGAGGCTGAGGCAGAAGAATCGCTCTAGCTCGGGAGGTGGAGGTTGCAGTGAGCCAAGATCACACCACTGCACTCCAGCCTGGGCAACAAGAGCAAAACTCTGTCTGAAAAAAAAAAAAAAAAAAAAAAAAAAAAAGCCAAATTGGCCAGGTAGGGCAGCTCACGCCTGTAATCCCAGCATTTTGGGAGGCCGAGGTGGGCAGATCACCTGAGGTCAGGAGTTCAAGACCAACCTGACCAACATGGTGAAATCCCATCTCTACCAAAAATACCAAAATTAGCCGGGAGTGGTGGCGTGCGCTTGTAATCGCACCTACTCGGGAGGCTGAGGCAGGAGAATCGCTTGAACCGAGTAGACGCAGGTTGCAGTGAGCCAAGTTCGTGCCACTGCACTCCAGCCTGGGCGACAGAGTGAGACTCCGTCTCTCTCTCTATATATATATTTTAAGGGTAGGGATTTTTGTGTTTTGTGCAGCGTGCTTTCTCAACCCGTAAAGTGCCTGATGGCTGGATACGGTGGGTCACGCCGGTAATCCTAACGCTTTGGAAGGCCGAGGCGGGAGGATCGCTTAGAGACCAGGAGTTCGAGTCCAGCCTGGGTAACACAGCAAGACCCCATCTCTATAAAATGCATATATATATCCAGGAGTAGCGGTGCGCATCTGTAATCCCAGCTACTCGGGAGGATGAGGCGGGAGAATCGCTTGAACCCAGGAGGCGGAGGTTGCAGTGAGCTGAGATCGCGCTACTGCACTCCAGCCTGGGCCATAGAGTAAGACCCTGTCTCAAAAATTTAAAAAAAAGAAAAAAAAAATTTAAAGAAAAGAAATACCTGACACAGAAAAAGCGTTCAATAAATATTTCTTGCATGAATAAAAGTACTTTCGCTGGGACATTTTTCTCCACACCTACCCTCCAGCCAGCCCCGGGATCTATAACACTCTCTCCGAGTGAAGACACAGAGGTGATGAGATCGGGTAACCCACGGGCGCCCGAGCCCCAGCCGCGCAAGCTCACGATTGGGCCAGAAGTGAGGATGAACAAGCATTTAGCCCAATAGAAAGTCGTAGTTCTCTTGCTGGGCGTGGCTTGAATGACTTCAGTGGCCTCCTCCTGGGAGGGAGCTGAAGCCGCTCGCAAGACTCCCGTAGTCCCCACCTCTCTCAGCTTCCGGCTGGTAGTAGTTCCGCTTCCTGTCCGACTGTGGTGTCTTTGCTGAGGGTCACATTGAGCTGCAGGTTGAATCCGGGGTGCCTTTAGGTGAGTGTGGAGGGTTCTGTAACCTGGGACCCCAGTCTAGCGGGCTGAGGAGCCGGACCCCAGCTTCCCTGAGAACGGGTTGAGGCTTCCGGCTGGCGGCGTCCGGCCTCCCTGGACCCCGGGGCCCTGTTCTGTTCATCGTAAGAGCTAACAATGATACGGTTCTTCCTTGATGCCAGGCAACATCCCAAACAACTTTAATTAATTTATTTAACTCTCCCACCAGCCCTATGAGATAGGGCCTGCGATTATCCCCTTTTGTCAGTAAACAGGCTCAGAGATACCAAGCGACCTAGCTGAACCTACACAGCGACCAGGATTTGGCCCAGGAGTTTGTCCTCCAGGGCTCTTCATGGCTAATTCACAGGCGTGGCCTCTCGCGGCTTGCCTGGGCCGCAGCCTGGCTCCCGGGTGTCCAGTCCATCCTCCCTTTTGGACGTTGGAGGGGCCGCAGCGTCATCTCCGATGCACCCTCATCCTCAGATACCGGGTAGAGATCTCGCCGGTAACGATCCTTCCTACTGCGTCTGTGCCCCAGCAGCTGGTGTTTTACACCCCACTTCCCCACCGAAAGACTGTTTTAGTGCTCCAGACCCCCACCACCACCTTGCGTCGCTTGAATTTGACACTGCTCTGCAAGTCTCTGTATAGCCCCACGACTCCTAGGATTCCCTGGAATATAGATACTTTTCTCTCAGGCTCCCGACGAACACTGTCACTTCTTCAGAGACATTATATTAAAGGTGTTTAACCCTGGGTCCGCAGAGTTGGTAGAATTCAAGGAATGCTAGTACTTGAATTGGGGTGGGGGGTGGAATTGCATCTGTGTTTTTACTAACCTTTTGAGGCAGCAACCTCGGTAGTACTAGCAGCAGCGGTGATTTTGTTAGCAATGAAAATCATAGACATTCCTTTTTTTTGTTTTTCTCCTTTTTTGAGACAGGGTCACTGTGTCACCCAGGCTGGCGTGCAGTGGAGAAATCTTGGCTCACTGCAACCTCTGCTTCCCTGTGCAAGCGATCCTGCCTCAGTAGCTGGGACCACAGGCACGCGCCACCACACCTGGCTAATTTTAATTTTTTTTTTTTTTTTTGAGACAAGATCTTGCTGTATCGCCCAGGCTGGAGTACAATGGCACAATCTCGGCTCACTGCAACCTCCGCCTCTTGGGTTCAAGTGATTCTCCTGCCCCAGCCTCCCTGGTAGCTGGGATTACAGGTGCACGCCACCATGCCCAGCTAATTTTTTGTATTTTTAGTAGAGATGGGGTTTCACCATATTGGCCAAGCTGGTCTTGAACTCCTGACCTCAGGTGATCCACCCACCTCGGCTTCCCAAAGTGCTGGGATTACAGGCGTGAGCCACCTCTTCCGGCCAATTTTAATATTTTTTTTGTAGAGATGAGATGGGGTTTCACCATGTTGCCCAGGCTGGTCTTGAACTCCTGGGCTCAAGCGATCCTCCCACCTCAGCATTCCAAAGTGCTGGGATTACAGGTGTGAACCATTGTGCTCCACCCAAAATCACAGGTATTCTTATACCACATTATAACAGCAAATGTCACAAAATACTATATTCATTCATGATTACTTCAAAATTGTATTTTTTTTTTTTTTTGAGACAGTGTTTTTGCTCTGTTGCCCAGGTTGGAGTGCACTGGCACAATCTCGGCTCACTACAACCTCCGCCTCCTGGGTTTAAGCGATTCTTTTGCCTCAACATCCAGAGTAGCTGGGATTATAGGCACCTGCCACCACACCCAGCTGATTTTTATATTTTTAGTAGAGCCAGGGTTTCACCATGTTGGCCAGGCTGGTCTTGAACTCCTGACCTCAGGTGATCCACCCCCCTGGCCTCCCAAAGTGCTAGGATTACAGGCGTGAGCCACCGCACCCGGCGAAAATTGTATTCCTTAATGAATCCTCAGCTGGATATAACTGCTTTTCTTTGTGATGCTGTGCAGGTTTTTTTCACTTCATGTACTCATGGAGCCTATGCAATTTTTAAATACATTTAAACATATTCAGGCCGGGTTTGGTGTCTCCGTTCTGTAATCTCAACATTTTGGGAGGCCAAGCCGGGCAGATCATTTGAGGTCAGAAGTTGGAGAGCAGTCTGACCAACATGGTAAAACCTTGTCTAAAATACAAAAAAATTAGCAGGGCATGGTGGCAGGCGCCTGTAATCTCAGCTGTTCGGGAGGCTGAGGCAACAGAATTGCTTGAATCTTGGAGGCGGAGTTTGCAGTGAGCCTAGGTCGTACCAGTGAGCCTGGGTGACAGAGCAAGACTCTGTCTTAAAAAAAGAAAAAAAAAAACATTCAGCGAGAGGTTTCTGGGATTCATCAGACTGCTGAGGAGTTTGTGGCACCAAAAAGATTAAGAATCTTTGCAGTGTAGATTATGCCAACAACGGAGGCAGCCCACCAGTTATTTTTATGCCGTTTAACCGTAGGAAGTCACTTAGACACCCTGTTCCTTCCTCGTCTGGGCAATGGTGATAGTAATAGTTCCTACCTTTTAGAGTGGCTATAGGAGTAAAGTGTGTAGAACAGCGCCTGGCATGTAGTAAGCACTCAGTGAGTGTTAGCTCATGTTATTTGGGGACCAGGCTTGATTTTGCTGAGGAGTTGTACCCCAACCCTGCCGCGACCTCGACACTCAGATGTGTGGATTCGCCCTGCCCCTCATCTCTGTGTATGTTGAGAGGCAGGAACTTGTTCACACCCAGCCCATTGTTCCGTGCCTGCCCTCTTCCATTGATCCTGGGTAGTCTGGCTTGCTCAGGGCCCCTGGGGCCCCTGCTGACACCCACTCCTTTCGCCTCCAGGATTCAGCACCATGGCGGAAGACATGGAGACCAAAATCAAGAACTACAAGACCGCCCCTTTTGACAGCCGCTTCCCCAACCAGAACCAGACTAGAAACTGCTGGCAGAACTACCTGGGTAAGCAGGACCTTTCCCTGGCCACATACCTCGAGTCACTCACCGCTTGCCTCTTCCTAGGGGACCCATCCACCCCAGCCTCCTCCCTTTTATTCTGAACATCCTTACTCTGGAAGGCCCATGCCTCTCATCACCTGCTGTTCAGGTCCAGGCTAGGGTTACAAACTTTAGTTCCTGCAATGATTTTTTTTTTAATTTAAATTTTTTATTATTATTATGGTTTGGTTTTGTTTTTTTCCAGAGATGGGGTCTCACTTTGTCACCTAGGCTGGAGTGCAGTGGTGCAATCATAGCTCACTGCAGCCTCAACCTCCTGGGCTCAAGAGGTCCCCCTACCTCAGCCTCTCGAGTAGCTGGGACCACAGGCCCACACTACTGTACTTGGCTAATTTTTTTGTAGAGAAGAGGTCTCAGTTTGTTGCCCAGGCTGGTCTCAAACTCTTGGCTTCATGCGCTCTTCCTGCCTCAGCTTCTCAAAGTGTTGGGATTATAGGTGTGAGCCACCGTGCCTGGCCCCTACAATGATTTTTTTTTAAGCTGTATGTGTGTGCGTACTGTAACATGTACAGAAAGCACATAACAAACATGTACAGCTAAATGAATAATTCTAAAGTGAACCCCTTGTGCAACCATAACCTGGAGAGAAAAGCAGACATTGCCCACACTCTCATCTCCCTGCCTTCTTTTTTTTTTTTTTGAGATGGAGTTTTGCTCTTGTTGCCCAGGCTGGAGTGCAATGGTGCAATCTTGGCTCACTGCAACCTCCGCCTCCCAGGTTCAAGCAATTCTCCTGCCTCAGTCCCCCAAGTAGCTGGGATTACAGGCACCTGCCACCACACCCAGCTAATTTTTTGTATTTTTAGTAGAGACGGGGTTTCTCCATGTTGGTCAGGCTGGTCTCAAACTCCTGACCTCAGGTGATCCACCCGCCTCGGCCTCCCAAAATGCTGGGATTACAGGCATGAGCCACCGCGCCTGGCCTCCCCACCTTCTTTATGTCCTGTCTGGAACACAGCACCCCGCTCTCCCCAGTAGAGAAGTGACGCCACTAACTGGGGGTTATCACATCTTTGTTTTTGGTTTTGGTTTTTGTTTTTGAGACTGAGTTTTTTGTTTTCGTTGCCCAGGCTGGAGTGCAATGTCACGATCTCGGCTCACTGCAACCTCTTCTGCCTGCTGGGTTCAAGCAATTCTCCTGTCTCAGCCTCACTAGTAGCTGGGATTACAGGCACCCGCCACCATGCCCAGCTAATTTTTTGTATTTTTTTTTTTTTTTAGTAAAGACAAGGTTTCACCATGTTGATCAGGCTGATCTTGAACTCCTGACCTCAGGTGATCCACCCACCTCAGCCTCCCAAAGTGCTGGAATTACAGGCGTGAGCCACTGTGCCCGGCCTCACATCTTTGTTTTTTACCACCATGTTTATTATTTTATTTTATTTTATATATGTTATGTTGTTATGTTATTGATGGAGTCTGTTTCTTGTTGCCCAAGTTGGAGTGCAATGGCACGATCTCAGCTCATTGCAACCTCTGCCTCCCGGGTTCAAGTGATTCTCCTGCCTCAGCCTCCTGAGTAGCTGGGAATACAGGCGCTCGCCACCACACCCAGCTAATTTTTTTTTTTTTTTTTTTTTGAGACGGAGTCTCGCTTTGTCGCCCAGGTTGGAGTGCAGTGGTGCAATCTCGACTCACTGCAACCTCCGCCTCCCAGCTTCAAGCACTTCTCTGCCTCAGCCTGCCGAGTAGCTGGGATTACAGTCGCCTGCCACCATGCCTGGCTAATTTTTTTTTTTTGTATTTTTAGTAGAGACAGGGTTTTACCATCTTGGCCAGGCTGGTCTTAAACTCCTGACCTCGTGATCCACCCCCCTCAGCCTCCCAAAGTGCTGAGATTACAGGTGTAAGCCACCATGCCTGGCCAATTTTATTTATTTATTTGAGACAGAGTCTCGCTCTGTTGCCCAGGCTGGAGTGCAGTGGTACAACCTTGGCTCACTGCAACCTCCGCCTCCCGGGTTTAAGCAATTCTCCTGCCTCAGCTTCCTGAGTAGCTGGGACTACAGGCGCGTGCCACCATGCCCGGCTAATTTTTTGTGTTTTTAGTAGAGACAGGATTTCACCATGTTGGCCAGGCTGGTCTCGATCTCCTGACCTCATGATCTGCCTGCCTCGGCCTCCCAAAGTGCTGAGATTACAGGCGTGAGCCACCGTGCCTGGCCAATTTTTTGTATTTTTTTTTTTTTTTTGAGATGGAGTCTCGCTCTGTCGCCCAGGCTGGAGTGCAGTGGCGTGATCTCGGCTCCCTGCAAGCTCCGCCTCCTGGGTTCACACCATTCTCCTGCCTCAGCCTCCCGAGTAGCTGGGACTACAGGTGCCCGCCACCGCGCCCAGCTAATTTTTTGTATTTTTAGTAGAGATGGGGTTTCACCGTGGTCTCTATCTCCTGACCTCGTGATCTGCCTGCCTCGGCCTCCCAAAGTGCTGGGATTACAGGCATGAGCCACTAGGTCCAGCCACTTTTTTGTATTTTTAATAGAGACAGGGCTTCACCATGTTGTCCAGGCTGGTCTCGAACTCCTACCCTCAAGTGATCCACCTGCCTTAGCTTCCCAAAGTGCTGGGATTACAGGCCTGAGCCACCATGCCCGGCTACCACCGTGTTTAGATTCACCTCTTTGTGAACTTTATACATACTGTGTGTATTCTTTTGTGTTTGGATTTTTTCATTCAGTACCTTCTCAGATCCATACATGCTGTGGCATATAGCTTGCTCATTTTCATTGCTGTCCAGTTTTCTACAATTTATTCTATGCCTGTACACTTGTGTGATTTCCATTTTGGAGTTCTTACAAATGGTGTGGCTGTAAACATCTTTATAAATGTAATTTTGCTGGGTGCAGTGGCTCACGCCTGTAATCCTAGCACTTTGGGAGGCCGAGGTGGGCAGATCAAGACCAGCCTGGCCAACATGGCGAAACCCTGTCTCTACTAAAAATACAAAAATTAGCTGGGCATGGTGGCAGGTGCCTGTAATCCCAGCTACTTGAGAGGCTGAGGCAGGAGAATCACTTGAACCCAGGAGGAGGTAGAGGTTGCAGTGAGCTGAGATCGCACCACTGCACTCCAGCCTGAGTGACAGATTGAGACCCTACCTCAAAAAAAAAAAAAAATGTGTTCCAACTCTTGATCTGGGCTGACTTGAACCCCTTTCTTCACAGACTTCCACCGCTGTCAGAAGGCAATGACCGCTAAAGGAGGCGATATCTCTGTGTGCGAATGGTACCAGCGTGTGTACCAGTCCCTCTGCCCCACATCCTGGGTATGTGCCTCCTGCCAGGGCCCTTGGGATGCTGGGGTGGGGTCTTAGCAGAGGGGAGTGTGGTGGCTTGGTGGGAGCTCATCTGTGAGGGGCAGAGGGAGGACAGGGCACCACACTGTCCCAGGACTCAGTGCCTTTCCTCCCGCCTAGAATTACCTCCCTGTCTCCTTCTGCTGATGCCTCTCAACCAGTCAGGGCTCTCAGCTGAGGCGACCAGGGTGCTTTGCTAGATGTAGCTCACTCATGCACTCTCCAAATACACACTCAGCACTGGGCTCCCATCCCTGTGTAGCTCACAATTCTGTGCAGTCCTGTCCTTTTTTATTAGGAACATTTTTTTTTCTTTTTTTTTTTCTTTTTTTTTTTTTAGACAAGGGTCTTGCTGTGTTGCCAGGCTGGAAAGGCTGGAGTGCAGTGGCGCGATCTTGCCTCACTGCAACCTCCGCCTCCTGGGTTCAAGCGATTCCCCTGCCTCAGCCTTCCAAGTAGCTGGGACTACAGGTGTGCACCACCATGCCCAGCTAGTTTTTTGTATTTTAATAGAAACGGGGTTTCACCATGTTAGCCAGGATAGTCTCAATCTCCTGACTTCATGGTCCACCTGCCTCGGCCTCCCAGAGTGCTGGGATTACAGGCGTGAACCACCGTGCCCGGCCCTATTATGAACATTTTCAAAGCAGAGATAATAATTCATTGACCTCAAATACATCCATCACCCAAAGTGAATAGTTATCAGGATTTATCCACGGTTTCTTCATCTACCCCTTTTCGTTTTCTTCTTTCCTTTGCTGAAGTATTCTAAAGCAAGTCCCAGACACGTCATTTCACCCCTGCCTACTTCAGTGTGGACTTCTAAATAATGACACAGTAAGACAGTCCTTTCAGCCCTGATCTGACCAAATCTGTCGTCAATATTTAATAGCTCTTTGCTATGCCCCTGCCCTTTGTTTAAAAAAAAAAAAAAGTTTTTAAAGACAAGGTCTCATGATGTTGCCCAGGCTAGACTCGAACTCCTGGGCTCAAGTGTTCCTCCTGTCTCAGCCTCCTGAGTAGCTTGGACTACAGGCATGTGCCACTGTGCCTGTCTCTCTCTCTCTCTCTCTCTCTCTCTCTCTCTTTGTCGCCCTCTCGCTCTCTCTTGCTCTCTTTCTCTCTCGCTCTCTCTTTCTCACTCTTTCTCTCTTTCTTTCCTTTCTTTCTTTTCTTTCTTGAGCCTTGCTCTGTTGCCCAGACTGGAGTGCAGTAGCATGATCTCAGCTCACTGCAGCCTCAGCCTCCTGAATAGCTGGGACTACAGGCATGAGCCACCACACCTGGCCCAATTTTTGTATTTTTTTTGTAGAAATGGGGTTTCGCCTTGTTGCCCAGACTGGTCTCGAACTCCTGAGCTCAAAGCAGTCTGCCTGCCTCAGCCTCCCAAAGCGCTGGGATTATAGGCATGAGCTACCGCACCCAGCTGAATCTTTCAAAATAAAAAAAATTACCCTTTAACTTGGCAATTCCACATCTAGGGATGCTACAAAAATCTTCATGTACAAAGATGCCCATTGCAGAGTTGTTCGTAATGGAGAATATTTGGAAATAACCCAAGTTAAAACATTGATCTTGATAGTCTTTATGGAGACTATGGTGATCTACATGCTAGCACACAGAAAGAATGCTAAGACACAGGAAAAGTAAGTTGCAGAACAATCTATATAGTAGGAGTCAATTTGCAAGGATGGAGTTTTTATGGTGTGGTATGTGTATGTAAATAAAGTAGGCACATACCGCTGGCACTTATTATGGGCCAGCTATGTTGTTAGACCTTTTTTTTTTTTTTTTTTTGAGATGGAGTCTTGCTCTGTCTCCCAGGCTGGAGTGCAGTGGTGCAATCTCAGCTCACTGCAACCTCCGCCTTCCAGGTTCAGGCGATTCCCCTGCCTCAGCCTCCCGAGTGTCTGGGATTACAGGCGCCTGCCACCATGCCCAGCTGATTTTTGTATTTTTAGTAGAGACAGAGTTTCACCATGTTGGCCAGGCTGGTCTCAAACTCCTGACCTCAGGTGATGCACCTGCTTCGGCCTCCCAAAGTTCTGGGATTACCGGCGTGAGCCACCACGCCCAGCCATGTTAGCACTTTACATCACATAAGGTCAACATGCTAACACAACCGTATGAGGTAGGTACTATTGTTAGTATCCTCATTTTACAAAATTGGAAACTGAGGCCCAGAAAGGTTGAGTAACTTGCCCAAAGTCACACAGCTAGGAAGTGATGGAGCAGGGATTCAGATTCAGCCTCTCTGTTATCCATGCTTTCATCCACTGTTCGTTCTTGCACCAGTGGTCCTCACCCTTTTTGGCACCAGGGATGAGCTTCATGGAAGACAGTTTTTCCACAGACAGGGTTGGGGATGGTGTAAGGATGAGTCCAGCATATTACATTTATTGTCCACTTTATTTCTGTTATTATTACATTATATAATAAAATAATTATACAACTCACCATACTATAGAATCAGTGGGAGCCCTGAGCTTGTTTTCCTGCAACTAGATGGTCCCATCTGGGGGTGATGGGAGATAGTGACAGATCATCAGGCATTAGATTCTCATAAGGATCATGCAGCCTAGATCCCTCACATGCGCAGTTCACAATAGGGTTCGCACTCCTAAGAGAATCTAATGCTGCCGCTGATCTGACAGGAGGTGGAACTCAGGCAGTAATGCGAGCATTAGGGAGTGCTTGTAAATATAGTTGAAGCTTGTCTCGCTCACCTGCCACTCACTTCCAGCTGTGGGGCCCAGTTCCTAACAGGCCACAGACCAGTACCTGGTAGGCACTGGTTGGGGCTCGGGGACCCCTGCCTTATAGCATAAAATGTGAGCGTGTATGTATATAAAAACGTTTATGCTTGTAACTGCTTGTGAGGTCCACAAAGAGTAGAGTGTTACTTTCAGGGAGTGTTAACTTGACATAGGCCTTATATGGGCCTTTTCATTTTTTTTTTTTTTTTTTTTTTAGAGACAGTCTTGCTCTGTCAGGCTGGAGTGCGGTGTGCAGTGGTAGCATCATAGCTCACTGCAGCCTCGAACTCCTGGGTTCAAGCAGTTCTCCCACCTCAGCCTCCCTAGTAGCTGTGACTACAGGTGCATGCCACCATGCCTGGCTAAGTTTTGTATTTTTTGTAGAGACAGGGTTTTGCCACATTCACCAGGCTGGTCTCAAACTCCTGGGCTCAAGCGATCCTCCCACCTTTGCCTCCCAAAGTGCTGGAATTATAGGCGTGAGCCACCATGCCCGGCTTATTTTTTATTTTTTGTAGAGATGGGGGTCTTGCCGTGTTGTCCAGGTTGGTCTCAAACTCCTGAGCTCAAGCAGTCCTCCCACATCGGCCCCGCAAAGTGCTGGGATGACAGGTGCGAGTCACCACACCCAGCCTCCATCATTGTTTATACTGAGCATCGCCTGTGGTCAGTGGTGGGATTGCACTGTGTATTGTTTGGCACCTTTTTTGCACTTGACTATGTATCTTGAAGATCCATCCATTCATGCCAGAACATAAATCAGCCTCGTTTTTTTTCACAGCTGCCTGCTATTCCATCTCCCCTGTTTGGACAAACAGCATAGTGTTGACTTGAGGTTTTCAAAGCAGGGCCCACCCTTGGAGCTCTGTACAGTGACACATCTCCCCATCGACAGCTCTGCAGTGGGCCTGGGGTTTTCCTGCCCATTACTCTCCTCCCAGCATGTCAGCTTGTTCAGAACAGTGATTTCTGTCTTTTGGGGTCACTGCTGATTCCCCGGCCTCTAGAATAGAGGTTGGCACACAGCAGGTACCTGTGGATATTGGTTGAACAAACAGGTGGGCAAAGTGAGGAAGATAAGAAGTCCATCCGTTCAGTTTCCCCACTGCGGAGGGAATAACACTGTCTTTCCACAGGTCACAGACTGGGATGAGCAACGGGCTGAAGGCACGTTTCCCGGGAAGATCTGAACTGGCTGCATCTCCCTTTCCTCTGTCCTCCATCCTTCTCCCAGGATGGTGAAGGGGGACCTGGTACCCAGTGATCCCCACCCCAGGATCCTAAATCATGACTTACCTGCTAATAAAAACTCATTGGAAAAGTGAGACTATGCGTGTGAACGGGCCAGGCAGTGGCAAGAAGCTGGGCTGGAATCAGTGCCCTGACCAGGGAGGGGCTTGAATGAGTATTTTCTCTGTTTTGTTTTTATTTATTTAATTTAATTTAATTTTTTTTTTTTTTATGATGGAGTCTCGTTCTTCACGCAGGCTGGAGTGCAATGGCACGATCTCTGCTCACTGCAACCTCCACCTCCAGTGTTCAAGCGATTCTCCTGCCTCAGCCTCCCGACTAGCTGGGACTACAGGCACACCCCACCACACCTGGCTAATTTTTGTATTTTTAGTAGAGATGGGGTTTTACCATGTCGGCCAGGCTGGTCTCAAACTCCTGACCTCAGATGATCCACCTGCCTCGGCCTCCCAAAGTGCTGGGATTACAGGCATGAGCCACCATGCCTAGCGTTTTTTAACTTAATTTTATTGAACCTTGGCCACCCTCTCTGTGCCAGTCAATGAGTCAAATAGTTGATTATACAGAATAACCTAAGTTCCTATGTGTGCAACCACCCTACATAATTTTAAAGCAAATTATATAGATTATAATATAATATAAAATACATAAAGATTATATTTTATCCAGAAATAAGAAACTATATGTATCTCTTGGAGATACAATTTTTTTTTTTTTTTTTTTGAGACAGAGTCTCAATCTGTTGCCCAGGCTGGAGTGCAGTGGTGTCATCTCAGCTCTCTGCAACCTCTGCCTTCTGGGTTCAAACTATTCTCCTGCCTGGAGATACCTATTTTTTTAACATAATTATTTACACCTAAGAAATTAGTTCTTAATGGCCGGGCACAGTGGCTCATGCCTGTAATCCCAGCACTCTGGGAGGCTGAGGTGGGCAGATCACCTGAGGTCAGGAGTTCAAGATCAGCCTGGGCAACATGGCGAAACCTCGTCCCTACTAAAAGTACAGAATTAGCCAGGCATGGTAGCACATGCCTGTAATCCCAGCTACTCGGGAGTCTGAGGCAGGAGAATCGCGTGAACCTGGGAGGCAGAGGATGTGGTGAGCCGAGATCATGCCATTGCACTCCAGCCTGGGCAACAAGAGTAAATCTCCATCTCACCAAAAAAAAAAAAAAAAAAAAAAAAGAGTTCTTAATATCTAATAAGCAATCTCCTGCACAATGTGTAACTTCTCCCCGTGTTGGGACCTGCTCTTTCATGCTGATCATGATGGTAGTTGGAAGTCATTTAAGTAGGCCAAGTTGAGAGCTGTTCTTCATGGTGCCCCCAAAAGAATTGCCACACAATAACAGCCCAGAATATCCCCAACAGACTCGTCAACAGGGACCTAGCTAGCATGACCAGCCGGAACACTCTTATGGCTGAATTGGTGTGTCCTCAAAACCTTTCAAATGGCCGGGGTGTGGTGGCTCACACCTGTAACCCTAGCACTTTGGGAGGCCCAGGCGAGTGGGTCACGAGGTCAGGGATTCAAGACCAGCCTGGCCAAGCTGGTAAAACCCCATCTCTTCTAAAAATACAAAAAAAACTATAAAAATACAAAAATTAGCCAGGTGTGGTGGTGCGTGCCCCTAATCCCAGCTACTGGGGAGGCTGAGGCAGGAGAATCACTTGAACCTGGGAGGTGGAGGTTGCAGTGAGCTGAGATCACACCACTGTACTCCAGCCTGGGCGACAGAGCGAGACTCCATCCCCAAAAAACAAAAACAAAACTTCAAATGGTTACAAACTTGTCTGATGCATTCACATGAGCAGGGATGATTCTTGTATGGAGAAAAATGGCCCCAGAGATAGATCTTGTGAAATAGCTGCTCATGAAGAAAAGTGGCTGTAGGGGCCGGGCGCGGTGGCTCACGCCTGTAATGCCAGCACTTTGGGAGACCGAGGCAGGCAGATAACCTGAGGTCGGGAGTTCCAGACCAGCCTGACCAACATGGAGAAACCCCGTCTCTACTAAAAATACAAAATGAGCCAGGCGTGGTGGTGCATGCCTGTAATCCCAGCTACTCTGGATGCTGAGGCAGGAGAATTGCTTGAACCCAGGAGGTGGAGGTTGCTGTGACCCGAGATTGTGCCATTGTACTCCAGCCTAGGCAACAAGAGCGAAACTCCGTCTCAAAAAAAAAAAAAGTGGCTGTAAACAGGACCTTAGTGCACACACAGGGAGCTTGAGGGATCGTGGGAGGTTATGGCGTGGGTTGGAAGTAGCAAAGAACTTAAACACCATGAAAAAAAAATTTTTTTTTTGAAATGGAGTCTTGCTCTGTTGTCCAGACTGGAGTGCAGTGATGTGATCTCTGCTCACTGCAACCTCCACCTCCCGGTTCAAGCAATTCTGCCTCAGCCTTCCAAAACGCTGGGATTACAGGCGCTTGCCACCACACCCAGCTAATTTTTTGTATTTTTAGTAGCGATTTAGAGAGTAGTTTCACCGTGTTGACCAGGCTGGTCTTGAACTCCGTGACCTCAGGTTAACCATCCACCTCGGCCTCCCAAAGTGCTGGGATTACAGGCATGAGCCACCACACCCAGCCAACACCATGAAAATTTCAAATGAAACAGGACGGCCAGTGAAAAGTCAAGGTGCTGGACTCCTTGAGTCCAGCTGCCTGATTCTGCCCAGGGTTTGCCACCAGTGCCAGTGTTTCCTGTACATTCCTTTAGAGATAGCTCATGCATCTAGAAGTATTTGTAAATATATTGATCTGATTGGATATGGTGCCCTTTTGCTCACACAGCCCCTGCCACACTGGCCTCTTCAGTGCACAGGAACTGTGAGCAAATGTATTTCGACACACCAGGCTGGCTCCAACCCCGGATCCTTTACACTTGCTGTTTGCTCGACCTGGAATGTTTGGCCACCAGCTGTCCACAAGCTCACCCCTCACTGCCTTCAGGTCTTCATTTAGCGAGGCCTTCTCTGACCACTCAGCCTTCACCTTCAGCTCCTCCATCTTTGTGCCCCTTCACTCCTTTTGTTTCTTTCTCTTTTTTCAATTTTTATTTATTTTTTTAGTTTTTGGAGATGGAGTCTCTCTGTCACCAGGCTGGAGTGCAGTGGCGCAATCTCAGCTCACTGCAACCTCAGACTCCCTGGTTCAAGCGATTCTTCTGCCTCAGCCTCCCAAGTAGCTGGGATTACAGGCACGCGCCACCACGCCCAGCTAATTTTTGTATTTTTAGTAGAGACGGGGTTTCACCATGTTGGCCAGGATGGTCTCCATCTCCTGACTTTGTGATCCACCCAGCTCGGCTTCCCAAAGTGCTGGGATTACAGGTGTGAGCCACCACACCTGGCCTTGTTTCTTAAGCACTTACCGCTAACATGCCAAATGTTATCCTTCATCATTGCACCACTGGAATGTAATTTCCATGCGGGCAGATTTGGAAATATATATTTAATTCCCCTTTTCAGCTTTTTTTTTTTTTTTGAGATAAGGTCTTACTCTGTCACCTAGGCTGGCATGTAGTGGCGTAATCTCAGTTTACTGCAGCCTCCGCCGCCCAGACTCAAGCCATCCTCCTACCTCAGCCTCCCAAGTAGCTAGGACCACAGGCATAGACCACCATACTCAGCTAGTTTTTTGTTTGTTTGTTTGTTTTTGATAGAGACGGGGTTTCACCATGTTGCCCAGGCTGGTCTCAACTCCTGAGCTCAGGTGATCTGCCCGCCTTAGCCTCCCAAAGTGCTGGGATTACAGGCCTGAGCCACCGCACGCCAGCCTGCATTTTTTCCAAATGTTCTAATCTTTCTCATTTTATTATTTTTTTTTTTTTAATTTTTTTTTTGACACAAGACCTCACTCTGTCACCCAGCCTGGAGTGCAGTGGCCTGATCACAGCTTACTGCAGCCTTGAACTCCCAGGCTCAAGAGATCCTCCCACCCCAGCCTCTCAAGTAGATGGGACTACAGGCATATGCCACCACACCCAGCTAATTTTTGTATTCTTTTGTAGAGATGGAGTTTGCCCATATTGCCCAGGCTGATCTCCAACTCCTGGGCTCAAGTGATCCTCCCGCTTCAGCCTCCCAAGGTGCTGGGATTACAGGCATGAGCCACCACACCCAGCCCAGCTGTTAATCTTATTGATGATTAATTATACGTGATGGGTCACTTGTCAGTTGCTGCTTTCAAGGTTCTCTTTTTATCGTTCAATAATTTGATTATGATATGTCTGGTGATGGATATCTTTGAGTTTATCCTATTTGAAGATTATTGAGCTTCTTGGCTCTAGATTGATGGTTTTTTTCATCAAATTTTGGGAGTTTTCAGCCATTCTTTCTTCATATATTCTTTTTTACCCCTTTCTTTTTGTCCTCTCCTTCTGGGATTCCCATTATTTGATGATGTCTCACAGGTCTCTGAAGTTCTGTTCACTTATCTTCGTGCTTTTTTCTTTCTGTTCCTTAGACTTGATCATCTCAACTGATCTATACTCACGTTCACCGATCTTTTCTTCTGCCTACTCAAATCTGTTGTTGAACCCTCTATTCCTCTATTGAATTTTTTCTTTTTTTTTTTTTTTGAGACGGAGTCTCGCTCTGTCGCCCAAGCTGGAGTGCAGTGGCGCGATCTCGGCTCACCGCAACCTCCACTTCCCGAGTTCAAGTGATTATCCTGCCTCAGCCTCCTGAGTAGCTGGTACTACAGGCCCATACCACCATGCCTGATTAATTTTGTGTATTTTTAGTAGAGACAGGGTTTCACCATGTTAGCCAGGATGGCCTCGATCTCCTGACCTCGTGATCTGTCCACCTCGGCCTCCCAAAGTGCTGGGATTACAGGCATGAGCCACCACGCCTGGCCCATTTGAATTTTTTCATTTTAGTTACTGTACTTTTCAAGTCCCAAGTTTCTGTTTAGTTCTTTTAAAATAATTTCTGCTTTTAGGCCAGGCATGGTGGCTCACACCTGTAATCCCAGCACTTTGGGAGGCCAAAGTGGGAGGTTCACTTGAGGTCAGGAGTTCAAGACTAGCCTGGCCAACACTCCATCTCAAAAAAAAAGACAGTATTCTTTAGCATTAGTTCCGCTAATGATTGGACAAAGATTTCCTTAGCCTCCAAAAACCAATAATCTCCTAGCCTTTGCTGAGGCATGGTGGGCCATGCTTTCGACATTCAGCCAGGCAATTGACAACTCTGCCTTCGCCACTACTTCTCCCAGGAAGGCACACATCCTCAAGGTCAGCCCAATGTAAGAAGACTGGGTTCTCATCTCTGGTCTTTCTTGAGCCTGCATATACTCCTGGGCATGCACACAACCCTATGCATGCATGTGACCTTCTAGATTTCCAAGAATATTTTGGAGTTTTTCAAAGCCTTCTCATTCCCCAGCTTTATCTTTTAAACTGTTTCATTAGCCTATTATTGGCCTCAACTGTTATTCATTGCTTAGGCAGCTGCCTAGTTAAACAATTGCATGCAATTGTGTTTCACAAATGCCCCTGGGGAAATAATTTTGACGATGTATGAGCTCTAAGTTAGGTCAAATACAGACAACATTGCAAGTAGGGGCTTCCAGGGAACCATAAGACGAATCAAATAATTCTGACTTTCTGGGAGTGAGGCTTTTATGGAGTTTCATCCTCTTCTGCCCCGTTTGGTGTATGCCAGGCTGCTAGTTTCCACTGAGAATGCTGGCAGTTAATATTCAAGGCTACCATGGAGCTGGAATGGGGGAATGGAACTAGGCCAATTAAAAATGTCACAAAGTATAAAAATTAGCCGGGCGTGGTGGCGGGCGCCTGTAATCCTAGCTACTCGGGAGGCTGAGGCAGGAGAATTGCTTGAACCTGGGAGGCAGAGGTTGCAGTGAACTGAGATCGTGCCACTGCATTCCAGCCTGGGCGACAGTGAGACTCTGTCTCAAGAAAACAAAAATAAAAATAAATTTTAAAAAAGTCATAAAGTTCACTGCTCTTACTAAGATTCAGCTGCTTTTCTTGAATAAACACTTTACAGATTTTTGTTGTTGTTGTGGAGACAGAGTCTCACTCTGTCACCCAGGCTGGAGAGCAATGGCACGACCTCAGCTCACTGCAACCTCTGCCTTCGAGGTTCAAGCGATTAGCTCCTGCCTCAGCCTCCTGAGTAGCTGGGATTACAGGCACTTGCCACCACGACTGGCTAATTTTGTATTTTTAGTAGAGATAGGGTTTCACCATGTTAGTCAGCCTGACCTCAGGTGATCCCCCCACCCTGGCCTCCCAAAGTGCTGGGATTACAGGCGTGAGCCACCACGACTGGCCAAAAAAACTATTTTAAAATCTAAAGTGGGTTGACTAAAACCAAATTAACCATTTTAATCGGAAAACATCTCATGTATCTTATTACCAAACCAGTGCCTTGACGATGGGATTTTCAGTGTCATTTGCCAAATTCGCAGGCACCGCAGTGGGGAGCCACTGCTCCCACAGCAGAGGCAATACACGGCCTAGCCTTGGGGTTGAGAAGTTCTGGGGACGGTGTCGGGGGCCCTGGGCCACCATTTTTGCATGGAGCCAGCCCTGCGCTGCGAGGGCGTGGCATCGGAGAGACCGTGGCCTCGTGGGCAGCATCGGCGGCCCCTGGGGACACGCGCTGGCTCAGTCCCCACCTCCGCCAGGGAAGCGGTCTGATGATACCCATTTCGCAGATGGGCAAATCCACAAGCCAAGTCGTGCCGCCCAGAAGAGGCAGAACCGGGATTTGAACCTAGGTTTCTCATTCTGCACCTGAAGAAATAAATGTCTGGTCCATGCGTGTGTTGGGGGGCGACGGGGACTTTTCTTCAACCAAGCCCGGTGTGCCCCCTCTCATTTTCTAGCACGTTCTTCTCCCCCATCTTTGCACTTATCTCAGACTCCCCTCACACACCTATCCTGGGTGCCATCCTTTCCCTCAGCCCACCGCCCATGTAGTCAGCCTCCTAAGCGCCCCTTCCACCTGTCCCCTCATCTCCCCACTGCTCTGCCTCGGTCCAGCCCTGGCCTTGGCAGGGGTCCCTGCCTGGGCCTCCCCACGGGCTCCCGGCCTCACAGAGGAGCAGCCACCTGTGCAAGGTCACACAGCAGGAGAGACACTTCTGGGATTCAGGACCCACCTGTGGGTCCGAAGTGGATTTTTTGTTTGTTTGGTTTTGGAGACAGGGCCTGGCTCTGTCACTCAAGCTGGAGTGCAATGGCACGATCTTGGCTCACTGCAACCTCTGTCCCCAGGTTCAGCCATCCTCCCACCTCAGCCTCCCAAGTAGCTGGGACCACAGGCATGAGCCTGGCTAATTATTTTTGTATTTTTTATAGAAACGGGGTTTCACTATGTCACCCAGTCTGGTCTCAAACTACTGAGCTCAAGCGATCCGCCTACCTCAGTTTCCCAAAGTGCTGGGATTACAGGCCTGAGCTACCACGCCCCGCCCTGATTTGGATCTTGCTCCTATTCCCAGGAAGGCCCATGTCCTAGCAAGAGAGACACCAGGTGGTGCGCACGCCCCTCCACCTCCAACTCCTCCACCGCCAACAAAGCCTGGGACCCAGAGGCCATGGGTCCTACACAATCTGGTATTTCAGGTCTATAAATCATGGGGGTGGCAGGGAGCCCATCAAAGCTGTTCATCCAGCCTGGTCTGCCGGCTCAGCCTCTTGTCCACCCCACTGCCGTGCCCCAAAACACACACACACACACACACACCCTCCCTCCTTCCTGGGAGACTAGCCCAAGGAGGGGCCTGGGCGTATATAGGGAGCCACGGTGGGTGGGGCTGGCCAGAGAGGCTGCAGACAGAGAAGGTGAGGAGGGGGCCCTGGGAGTCTGGGTATGGCATGAGGGGTCTGAGGCTCAGGGAGGGGCAGTGCCAAGTTCAGGCCAGTGACTGCCCCACCGGAGCCCGGGTGTCCTCTTGTGCAAAATGCCTCCCCACCAGGGCTGTGGGTACATCAGTACCAGCCTGGGCCCCGCAGAGAGCTGGAGCAACCCCTCGAAGCCAGGGTGTGGCTCAGAGATGGGGGGTCCGGCTGGCCCTTTACGCTCCTGGCCTCATCCCTGCTCATGTGTCCCAGGATGATGGCGTCTGCGGCAGCAGCGGAGGCCGAGAAGGGATCTCCAGTTGTGGTGGGCCTGCTAGTTGTGGGCAATATCATTATTCTGGTGAGACTCGCCCCAGTGCTGGGAGCCGAGTGGTTGTGTGGTGGGGAGGGGACAGTCCTGAGCTCGGGGTGGGGGATGAGGGTCCAGAACTGTCTCTCGGGCAGACTCAGTGGTCAGCACAGCCTGGGTTGAAATCCCAGCTCTGCCTCTCCCCAGCTCTGTGACCTTAGCAAGCGACTGTCCCTCTCTGTGCCTTCTTTCCTCATCTATAGACTGTGTCCTCATTGTGTGGGCTGTTGTCATGTGGATTAATCCATGTGTGGCCCTCAGCTCAGAGAAAGTGCCCGACCAATGCTGGCTATCACCATCAGCATCACTATGGATATAAAGTGACAGCCTGGTGCACAGGAGGCCACAAGAAGGAAAAACAACAGTGTCTTTCAATTAACATTGGGTTTTGGTTTTGTGTTTTTTGTTTTGTTTTGTTTTGTTTTGTTTTGTTTTGTTTTGTTTTTGAGACGGAGTCTCACTCTGTTGCCCAGGCTGGAGTGCAGTGGCTGATCTCAGCTAACTGCAACCTCTAACTCCCGGGCTCAAGTGATTCTCCTGCCTCAGCCTCCAGAATAGCTGGGATTACAGGCGCACACCACCACGCCCGGCTAATTTTTTTTTTTTCAGACAGATTCTCCCTTTGTCACCCAGGCTGAAGTGCAGTGGCGAGATCTCGGCTCACTGCATCCTCCACCTCCTGGGCTCCAGCAATTCTCCTGCCTCAGCTTCCCGAGCAGCTGGGATTACAGGCACATGCTACCACACCCGGCTACTTTTTGTATTTTTAGAAGAGATGGGGTTTCACCATGTTGGCCAGGCTGGTCTTGAACTCCTGACCTGAGGTGATCTGCCCACCTCAGCCTCCCAAAGTGTTGGGATTACAGGTGTAAGCCACCGCGACTGGCCGTGTGTTTGTTTTAGAGACAGGGTCTCACTCTGTTGACCAGGCTGCAGTGCAGTGGTGTGATGCTTGCTCACTGCAGCCTCCAACTCCTGGGCTCAACTGATCCTCCTGCCTCAGCCTCCCAAGTAGCTGGGACTACAGGTGCACATCACCACATCTAGCTAATTTTTTTATTTTTTGTAGAGACGGGGTCTCACTATTGCCCAGGCTAGTCTCAAACTCCTGGGCTCAAGCAATCCTCCCGCCTCGGCCTCCCACAATGCTGGGACTGCAGGTGTGAGCCACCTTGCCTGGCCCATTTGTAATGTTTATGGCCATGGCCATGTTCCCCTCCTCGGGGAATAACAGCACTGTCAAGGGAGGGCAGATGGACCAAGCATCTCCTCTGTGCCAGTCCACTGCTCCAGCCTTTCCACGTGGCATCCCCTTTTATCCCCGAAGAAACTGGCAGCTGGGGCGTGGGGGTCGGTTGTCTGGCTGGGCTGTCTCTTCTCTCCTGGCCTCTGCTCACCCTCATCGCTGCTCATGGAAGGCGAGGTCTTTGCCCACTTTACTGAGAGGGCAGTGGAGGCTCCAAATGGGGAGGGAACTTGCTCGTGGAGATGCCTGGTGCCAGGGCTGCTGGCCCCGAGCAGACCTTCCTAACCCACCGCTCTGTCCAGCTGTCAGGCCTGTCCCTGTTTGCTGAGACCATATGGGTGACAGCCGACCAGTACCGTGTATACCCACTGATGGGAGTCTCAGGCAAGGATGACGTCTTCGCTGGTGCCTGGATTGCCATCTTCTGCGGCTTCTCCTTCTTCATGGTAGCCAGTTTTGGTGTGGGTGCCGCACTCTGCCGCCGCCGGTCCATGGTCCTCACGGTGAGACTCCAGGGGTTGGGGGATGGGGACACTGAAAACGGAGTTCAGCATCACTGAGTCATAGTAGCAGGTGCAGCCCCAGCCACTAGTGTGAGTTCCCCATGGTGTCACACTCAGGGATCCCAGGCATCATCTCATTCAGTCTTCCCACAGCCCAATAACCCAGGCTTGAGTAGCAGAGCTGGGATTTTTTCTTTTTTTTTTTTTTGGTAAAGATGGGGGTCTCACTATGTTGCCCAGGCTGGTCTCAAACTCCTGGCTCAAATGATTCTCCTGCCTCAGCCTCCCAAAGTGCTGGGATTACAGGCTTGAGCCCCTCTACCTGCACCCAGTGCAGGGCTAGAATTTGAACCCCTGCTAGCTGCTTTCCAGAGTCCATGCTCATGAACTCTGCCAATAATAGCACAGCTACCATTTAATAATGGTTTACTACAAGCCACGAGCTGTTCTAAATGGTTTACTGGATTAGTTCATTTATTCCTCATAGTCCACCAAGAGATACTGTCATCATCATGACCCTGTTTGATGAAGATTGAAACTGAGGCTCAGAGAAGTGAAGTCACTTATCCAGGGTCACACATTGAGACAATGGCAGAGCCAGTTTCAACCTGAGCAGATCGGCTCTTGAGGCTGTGCTCTTAATCTCTGCCCACAAGAATAACCCATACTTCCCAAGTGTCTCTCATGCACCTGACACTAGGGTAAGCAGTTTAGAAAATGAGCTTCGTGGCCAGGCGCAGTGGCTCATGCCTGTAATCCCAGCACGTGGGGAGGCTGAGGCGGACAGATCATTTGAGGTCGGGAGTCCAAGACCAGACTGGCCAACATGGCGAAATCCCATCTCTAAAAAAAAAAAAAAAAAAAAAATTAGCCACGCATGGTGGCAGGCACCTGTAATCCCCGCTACTCAGGAGGCTGGGGCGGAAGAATCACTAGAACCCGGGAGGCAGAGGTTGCAGTGAGCCAAGATCACACCACTGCATTCCAGCCTGGATGACAAAGCGAGACTCCATCTCAAAAAAAAGGAAAGAAAATGAGCTTCCTCAATCTTGCCAGAAGCCCTTCACAGCTAGTGCTTTTCAACCCATTTACCAGATGAGGAAACTGAGGCTCAAAGAGGCTAACAGCCTCTCCCAGGTGACCAGGAGAGCAGGGATTCCAATTCACGGCCCCAATGACACAGAGACAGCACTGTGTTTCCTCGACAGCAGAGGGTTTTTCAGATTCCCAGAAGCAGCCACTCATTTGATGAACAAATGCTTATGAGCAGGAGCTACATGCTGAGCCCTACGCTGGGCACTGGGGCTCTGTGCTGAGCGAAACATAAAAGCCCTTGACCCAGGGAAGTGGTGCTCAGAGGAGGAAGACAGTGAACAGGAGGGGAGGTCAGGAGCCGAGGAGGGCGAGGGAAGACCTCACTGCCAGGGAAAGCAAAGACCTAGAGGCACTGGGAGCGAGGCAGGTGTGTAACTGGAGGAAGAGCCTTCCAGGTGGAGGTGGCAGCAAGGGCAAAGGCTCTGAGGCCAGAGCGGGCCAGGAGTCCAAAGCAGCTGGAGCTGAGTGAGGAGGAGGTTGGGGGGTGAGAGGACATGAGGCAGACAGATGGGGAGGAGAACAGTGAGGAATGGGGATGGGAAAGAAGCAGGAGGGAAGGCAGGTGTTGTGGACTTTGGCTTTATCCTGAGTAAGATGGACCCATAGACCCCCTGCTCCCCTCCCCTCCCTTCCCCTCCCCTTCCCTCCCCTCCCCTCTCCTTCCTTCCTTCCTTCGTTTTTCTACACAGGCAGGTGTTGTGGACTTTGGCTTTATCCTGAGTAAGATGGAGCCATGGACTCCTCCCCTCCCCTCCCCTCCCCTCGCCTCCTCTCCCCTCCCCTCCCCTCCTTTCCCCTCCCCTCCCCTCCTCTCCCCTCCCCACCTCCCTCCTTCCTTCCTTCATTTTTCTAGACAGGCAGGTATTGTGGACTTTGGCTTTATCCTGGGTACGATGGAGCCATGGACTTCCTTCCCTTCCTTCTTTCCCTCCCTCCCTCCCTCCCTCCCTCCCTTCCTTCCTTCCTTCCTTTCTTTGTTTCTCTAGACAGGGTCTCACTCTGTTGCCCAGTTTGGAGTGCAGTGGCACAATCATAGCTCATTGCCACCTCGAACTCTTCATCTCAAATGATCCTCCCACCTCAGCCTCCCAATGAGCTGGGACTACAAGTGTGCATCACCATGTGCAGCTAATTTTTGTATTTTTTGTAGAGATGGAGTCTCACTATGGTGCCCAGGCTGGTCTCCAACTCCTGGCCTCAAGTGAGCCTCCCACCTCAGCCTCCCAAAGTGTTGGAATTACAGGCATGAGCCACCACACCTGCCCTCTTATTTTCTTATCCTGTATTTAATTATCTGGCATAACAATTTAACCAAAGCCCTAAAAAGTCACCCAACTAGTTTTAAAAATTGTGTCTGGGCCGGGCTCGGTGGCTCACGCCTGTAATCCCAGCAGTTTGGGAGGCCGAGGCAGGTGGATCACAAGGTCAGGAGATCGAGACCTTCCTGGCTAACACGGTGAAATCCCGTCTTTACTAAAAAACAAAAAATTAACCAGGCGTGGTGGCGGGCGCCTGTAGTCCCAGCTACTCGGGAGGCTGAGGCAGGAGAATGGCGTGAACCCGGGAGGCGCAGCTTGCAGTGAGCAGAGATCGCGCCACTGCACTCCAGCCTGGGCGACAGAGCAAGACTCTGTCTCAAAAAAAAAAAAAAATTGTGTCTGTTTCCCCATTAGTTTGTCATTAACTAAGACATTTTCTCCCCAAATTTCTTTTTTTTTTTTTTTTTGAGACGGAGTCTTGCTCAGTTGCCCAGGCTGGAGTGCAGTGGTGCGATCTCGGCTCACTGCAAGCTCCGCCTCCCGGGTTCACGCCATTCTCCTGCCTCAGCCTCCCGAGTAGCTGGGACTACAGGCACCTGCCACCACGCCTGGTTAATTTTTTTTTTTGTATTTTTAGTAGAGATGGGGTTTCGCCGTGTTAGCCAGGATGGTCTCGATCTCCTGACCTCGTGATCCGCCCACCTCGGCTTCCCAAAGTGCTGAGATTACAGGCATGAGCCACCGTGCCCGGCCCCCAAATTTCTTACAGGAAATTTCTAAAGTAGACTAGAGTCCGCAGTATTTGAGCCCTGCATACCTCTCACCTGATTTCAACAACATCAGCTGCAGACTGCCCGACATTGTCTCCTCTATCCCCCTTCTCTCATACTTTTTCTTCTGGGTATTTTGAAGCACATTCTAGATGCCAAGTCACTTGCCTGTAAATACTGGAGCACACATTTCTCTGAGTGATAAGCACATTGTTTTAAAGCAGTCAGGAGGTTGTGCAATGTCATCCATCTCCCAGCAGCAGAGTTCACACATCCACACGCAACCTCCTGCTGCTTTATAGATGAAGGTGCCAGGTGAGGACATGAAAAGAATTTGCATTAAACATCAACTGACAAGCTTTTTTTTTTCTCCTGCCCTCTGTGCCGTTGGCACAACCCACCAAATTCAATCAAGTTCTTCTATATCTTCCAATACCCAGTCTGTGTCAAATGTCTCTGATTATCTGAGAACATCGTTTTATGTTGTTTGTTTTATTTTAAGAGACAGGGTCTCACTCTGTTGCCCAGGCTGGAGTGTAATGGCACAATCTCGGCTCATTGCAACCTCTGCCTCCTGGGTTCAAGCTATTCTCCTATCTCATCCTCCTGAGTAGCTGGGATTACAGGCACCCATCACCATGCCCAGCTAATTTTTGTATTTTTGCATTTTTAGTAGATGGGGTTTCACCATATTGGTCAGGCTGGTCTTGAACTCCTGACCTCAGGTGATCCACCCGTCTCAACCTCCCAAAGTGTTGGGATTACAGGCGTAAGCCACTGCACCCACCCTTGTTTGTTTTGTTTTAAGAGACAGGGTTTTGCTCTGTTGCCCAGGCAGGAATGCAGTGGTGCGATCATAGCTCGCTGAGGCCTCCAACTACTGGGCTCAAACGATCCTCCAACCTCAGCCTCCCAAATAGCTAGGACTAACACTACCACTAGTAGTAACTATGCTTAACTAATTTTTTTATTTTTATTTTTTGTAGCGACGGGGTCTCACTGTGTTGCCCAGGCTGATCTTGAACTCCAGGGTTCAAGCAATCTTCCCATCTCAGCCTCCCAAAGTGCTGGGATTACAGGTGTGAGCCACCAATGCCCAGCCCTAATTTTTGTATTTTTAGTAGAGAAGGGGTTTCACCATGTTGGCCAGGCTGGTCTCGAACTCCTGACTCAGGTGATCGCCCCCTCGGCCTCCCAAAGTGCTGGGATTATAGGCGTGAGCCACCACGCCTCGCCTGTCTCAAAAATAAATTAATTAAATTAAATATTTCAAAATACAGAAAAGTTGGAAGACAATACAGCGAACACCTGAACACCCACCACATATTATAGATGCTGCTAGTCACACTGCCCCAAACTTTTTTAAAACTTGCATTTCCCCAGTGATGCTTCCCTGACGGGGTGTGGCTTCACGGGCTCTGCCCGACGGGCCGTCCTCCCTCTGTCTCCCCAGTACCTGGTGCTCATGCTCATCGTCTACATCTTCGAGTGCGCCTCCTGCATCACGTCCTACACCCACCGTGACTACGTGAGCCCGGCGAGGCCTGGGGAGGGGCCTGACCTGCATGGGAGGGGCGAGGGTCCCGGCGCGGCGGGGCGGAGGTCGTCCTCTCTCCCCACCCAGCCCTGCCGGCCCTTGTTCTTCCCTGTTCTCCTCAGATGGTGTCCAACCCATCCCTGATCACCAAGCAGATGCTGACCTTCTACAGCGCGGACACCGACCAGGGCCAGGAGCTGACCCGCCTCTGGGACCGCGTCATGATTGAGGTGGGCGGGGTGGACCGGGTGCTGGGAGGGCCCTGGGCTCCGTCCACAGAGGCCGATAGAGCTCCCGATGTGCCAGCTTTTAGAGGAGTGAGTGCCTTAAAGACATCCGCTCATGAGATCTCTAGGAGAGCAGGGCTGCGGTCATCACCGTTCTGCGGATGAGTAAACAGGCCCAGAAAGGGAAAGTCCCTTGCCCGAGGCCACACAGTCGGTAAGTGGTGGGAGCTGGGATTGGAACCCGGCAGCCTAGCTCCTGACCTCCCTGCTCTTAGCCTACACATACTACCTCAACAGAAATGTTGATAATAACAATGATAGTAACAGCACCATTCACTGAGCTAGGTTTCACACTGTTCAAAGGACTTTTATTTTTATATTTTGAGATGGGGTCTTGCTCTGTTGCCCAGGCTGGAGTGATCATAGCTCACTGCAACCTCCAACTCCTGGGCTCAAGTGATCCTCCCGCCTCAGCTTCCCGAGTAGCTGGGAATACAGGTGCGCCCCACCACACCCGGCTAAGTTTTTTAAATTATCTTTTGTGGAGATGGGGGTCTTGCTCTATTGCCCAGGCTGGTCTGGAACTCCTGGGCTCAGGATTGGAGCGATTCTCCCACCTCCGCCTCTCAAAGTGCCGAGATCACAGGCATGAGCCACGAGTGCCTGGCCTCAAAGCACATTTTTTTTTTTCTTTTTATCTTTTTTTTTTTTTTTTTTTTTTTGAGACAGAGTCTTGCTCTGTCGCCCAGGCTGGAATGCAGTGGCGCGATCTCGGCTCACTGCAAGCTCCGCCTCCCGGGTTCACGCTATTCTCCTGCCTCAGCCTCCCGAATAGCTGGGACTACAGGCGCCTGCCACCGCGCCCAGCTGATTTTTTGTATTTTTAGTAGAGATGGGTGTTAGCCAGGATGGTCTTGATCTCCTGACCTTGTGATCCACCTGCCTCGGCCTCCCAAAGTGCTGGGATTACAGGCTTGAGCCACCGTGCCCAGCCTTTCAAAGCACTTTTAAAGCTTTTTTAATCCTCACGACCACTCCATAAGGGAGATCGGCCTTTTAGTGATGAGGAGACCAAAGCAAGAGGTTGAATATCTTGCATGAGGTCACACACCTGGTAGGTCACAGAACTGGAAGGATTCAAACTCAGACTTCCAGGTTTGAAGAGATACAGTCTTCCTCAAATCCAACATGATATTGCACTGGAAAAGGAAGAAATTGGCTGGGTGCAGTGGCTCAAACCTATAATCCCAACACTTTGGGAGGCAAAGGCGGGCAGATCACTTGAGTTCAGGGGTTCAAGACCATCCTGGCCAACATGGTGAAACCCTGTCTCTACAAAAAATACAAAAATTAGTCAGGTGTAGTAGTGTGCGCCTGTGATTCCAGCTACTTGGGAGGCTGAGGCAGGAGAATCACTTGAACCCAGGAGGGGGAGGTTGCAGTGAGCCAAGATGGCGCCACTGTACTCCAGCCTGGACAACAGAGGGAGACTCCGTCTCAAAAAAAAAAAAAAAAAAGAAGAAGAAATTGAGGACTCAAGGAAAACTGAGGCGTCAATGTGGCCCAAGTCCTCTAGCTAGCCAGGATTTGAACCCATGTTTGAAGGGTGCCCAAGCCTATGTTTTCCTCATTCAGGAGCCACAAATTAAACACCTGGATTCCTTACCAAGGCCAGGAAAAGCCAGAAATCTGCCCTTTTTGTGTTATTTTATCAGCATAGTTGTTGATAAAAATATTTTATTTTATTTTATTTTTTGAGATGGAGTTTCATTCTTGATTCCCAGGCTGGAGTGCAGTGGCACGATCTTGGCTCACTGCAGTCGCCACCTCCCGGATTCAAGCAATTCTCCTGCCCCAGCCTCTCAAGTAGCTGGGATTACAGGCGCCCACCACCACACCCGGCAAATTTTGTATTTTTAGTAGAGACGGGGTTTCATCATGTTGGTCAGGCTGGTCTCGAACTCCTGACCTCAGGTGATCCATCCACCTCGGCCTCCCAGAGAGCTGGGATTACAGGCGTGAGACACCGTGCCCGGCAAAAATATTTTAAAATAAGTCAGAGGTGCAGGTTTAATCCAAATCCCCCATCAGCCTCCTGGTCCTGGGACAAATATTGTCTGCACCGTGCTCACACACACAGACACCCACCGGACACACTCGCTTGGAGGCCCAGGACATGGGGAAGTTGGGCCCAGCTGTGTCAAAGGCCAATCCTGCCCCTCCTTGCTGTGTGACCTCAGGCAAGCAACTGTCCTCTCTGAGCCCGAGCCTGCCTGACCCCCTGCTTTTCACTCTAGCAAGAATGCTGTGGCACATCTGGTCCCATGGACTGGGTGAACTTCACGTCAGCCTTCCGGGCGGCCACTCCGGAGGTGGTGTTCCCCTGGCCCCCACTGTGCTGTCGCCGGACGGGAAACTTCATCCCCCTCAACGAGGAGGGCTGCCGCCTGGGGCACATGGACTACCTGTTCACCAAGGTGTGGCCGTCTGCCCTGCTCCATCTGTCTATCCATCTGTCTGTCTTCCTCTGGTCTCTGCTCCCTCTCTGATTCTCTCTTTCTCCCTCCCTGTGTCTGTCCGTCTAGCTTTTTCCCTCTCCTCTTCCCCTCTCTGATTTTCTTGTTTTCTTTTTCTTTCTTTCTTTCTTTCTTTCTTTTTTTTTTTTCAAGACCGAGTCCTGCTCTGTCACCCAGGCTGGAGTACAGTGGCACAATCTCAGCTCACTGCAGCGTCTGCCTCCCGGGTTCAAGGGATTCTCCCACCTCAGCTTCCAGAGCAGCTGGGATTACAGGTGCGCACCACCCTCTTGGCTAGTTTTTGTATTTTTAGCAGAGACGGGGTTTGACCATGTTGTCCAGGCTGGTCTCGAACTCCTGAGCTCAAGTGATCCACCCACCTCAGCCTCCCAAAGTGCTCAGATTACAGGCGTGAGCCACCACGCTGGGTCCCCTCTCTGATTTTCTAGTGCTCCCCCAACTCTCTCTCAAGTCAGCAGGATGCACCCAGGGTCTGTCTGAACCAGACCTGGCACCTACAACTTTACTCAGGTTGTCCGAGAATAAGAGCAATAATAGGGCCGGGCGCGATGGCTCATGCCTGTAATCTCAGCACTTTGGGAGGCTGAGGAGGGCAGATCACTTGAGGTCAAGAGTTCGAGACCAGCCTGACCAACATGGCGAAACCCCATCTCTACTAAAAATGCAAAAATTAGCCCAGAGCAGTAGCACGTGCCTGTAATCCCAGCTACTCGGGAGGCTGAGGTAGGAGAATCACTTGAACTCTGGAGGTGAAGGTTGCAGTGAGCCGAGATTGTGCCACTGCACCCCAGCCTGGGCGACAGAGTGAAACTCCATCTCAAACAAAAAAAAACAAAACAAAACATCAAACAAAACAATAGAGCTAGGCACGGGGGCTCACGACTGTAATCCCAGTACTTTGGGAGGCCAAGGCAGGAGCATCACTTGAGGTCAGAAGCTCAAGACCAGCCTGGGCAACATATCAAGACCCCGTCTCTACAAAAAAGTACAGAAAATTAGCCAGGCGTGGTGGTGCGCGCCTGTAATCCCAGCTACTGGGGAGGCTAAGGCAGGAGGATTGTTTGAGTCTAGGAGGTCAAGGCTGCAGAGAGCTGTGATGGTGCCACTGCACTCTAGCCTAGGCAAGAGACTTAAAAAAGGCAAGAGACTTTAAAAAAAAAAAGGCCGGGCGCGCACAGTGGCTCATGCCTGTAATCCCAGCACTTTGGGAGACCGAGATGGGAGGATCACAAGATCAGGAGTTCGAGACCAGCCTGACCAACATGGTGAAACCCCGTCTCTACTAAAAATACAAAAATTAGCCGGGCGTAGTGGTGCACACCTGTAATCCCAGCTACTCAGGAGGCTGAGGCAGGAGAATTGCTTGAACGCGGGAGGTAAAGGTTTCAGTGAGCCGAGATCATGCCACTGCACTGTAGCCTGGGTGACAGAGGGAGACTGCGAGACTGTCTCCAAAAAAAAAAAAAAGCCAGCTGTAAGATCAAAATCACCCTCAGATTGTCATAGCCATCAGCAGGGCGGCACCTACTTGTGCAGGGCCTGGGTTCAACATCAGCTCCCTGGGGCCCCGAAACCACCCGAGGAGGTGGACAGTGCCATGGTCCCCATTGCACAAGTGAGAAAACCAATGCTCAGGGAAGGTGGTGACTTTCCCAAGGGCGCACAGTGACTCTCGCTTTCAGCGGCTACCCTCATGGGCGTCTTCTCAAACTTCCCCCATCCCCCTGCCCAGGGCTGCTTCGAACACATCGGCCACGCCATCGACAGCTACACGTGGGGTATCTCGTGGTTTGGGTTTGCCATCCTGATGTGGACGGTGAGAGGCGGGGAGCCCACAGGCTGGGTGGGCTGGGGGTGGGGGGCGGAGTGCCCTCATCTCGCTGCCTCCTCGCCAGCTCCCGGTCATGCTGATAGCCATGTATTTCTACACCATGCTCTGAGGGACAGGAGGGGAAGGCAACATACACACCCCGGACTCCTCCGCATCCTCCTCCTGCTTCCTCCGCTGGGCCTGGATGGCTGCCTCACCTCTCACCTCCCAACGTCCCTAGCCCTTACGTCCTTCCACTTCCAAGATCTTTTTCCAGGTTCCTGAGCCCTACTGTGTCTCAGGTGTGCCCTGAAACCCCAGGGCTTGTGTGCACATATCCTTAGCCCATCTTTCAAGGGACCTCTCCATGATCCCACCTCCCATTCACAGATACCTCTCTTGTAGCTCTCTGACCTCCTCCTTCATGGCAGGCATCGCCATTCTTGCTGAACCGTTTGTGATTGCCATTTGAGCTCTGGAAGCCTCTATTGCCATGAGAGTTCTGTCACGGTCACTTTACTGTCCCCATCATCACCCAGCACGGGGCTAAGCATATACTAGATAGTCAATAAATAAATAAATAATGAATGAATGAATGAGTTTTTTTTTTTCTGGGTCACGGGAGAGTGAACAAGAACTGTTCTAGGCCAGGCGCAGTGGCTCACGCCTGTAATCCCAGCACTTTGGGAGGCCGAGGCGGGCAGATCACCTGAGGTCAGGAGTTCAAGACCAGCCTGGCCAAAATGGTGAGACCCCCATCTCTACAAAAATGCAAAAATCAGCCGGGTATGGTGGCGCACATCTGTAATCCCAGCCACTCCGGAGGCTGAGGCAGAAGAATCACTTGAACCCGGGAGGTGGAGGTTGCAGTGAGCTGAGATCGCACCATTGTACTCCAGCCTCGGCAACAAATCGAGGCCCTGTCTCCAAAAACAAAAAAAACTATTCTGATGGAAGTGGTGGAAACCCAACTGTCACTGACTGAAGTGTAAAATGGAATTTATCAGCTCACGTAACTGAGTCAACGGGGCTGGCTTCAGGCATGTCTGGATCCAGATGTTCAATCTAAGTTTCCAGGAAACCTGCTTCATTCCCTGACAGGATTTCTCTGGCAACTCCAGACTTAATGTCTTTATAACTAAGCAATGCAACAGAAGGAAAGAGCCTCTCTCCCAAGGGCTGTAGCCAAGGTCCAGAGTTGTAGCCAAGGTCCAGAGTTGAATCTCACTGTCTCGGCTTAGGTTCTAGGCCCTTCGTTAGGTTGGGAAAGGGAGGGCACCTGGCTTGGTAATCCTGCTAAGGATGCATGCAGTGGTGGTGTTGGAAGGGGAGTTGTTTATCAAAGGAAAATCCAGATACAGGGCTGCTGAGGCTTATAGGTGATAAAAATCCTTCTCCTAGGGATATAGCTTCCAGCAAGTTCTCTAAGGGGTCCATGACAGCAAACCATTACGAATTGAATTATGGCTGGGCACTGTGGCTCACACCTGTAATCCCAGCACTTGCTGAGGTGGGCAGATCACTTGAGGCCAGGAACTTGAGACCAGCCTGGCCAAAATGGCGAAACCCTATCTCTATTAAAAATACAAAAAAGTACCTGGGCATGGTGGTGTGCACCTGTAGACCCAGCTACTCAGGAGGCTGAAGCACAAGAATCGCTTGAACCCGGAAGGTGGAGGTTGCAGTGAGCCAAGATTGCACCACTGCACTCCAGCCTGGGAGACAGAACAAGATTCCGTCTCTAAAAAAAAAAAAAAGAACCAAATTATCACTCTTTGTTCTCCCTGAAGCCACGACTAGGCCTTCCCAAGAGGGCCTGGGGGCTTCCTTCCCCATCAAATAATTTCTTGGGGTTCCCATTTACTCCAGTGGTCTGCAGATAGTCTTTGATTGCTGAATTCAGATTTCATTTTTTAAAAATATGTAATGGATAAAGAGGTCATTATTTATTAGAGTGAAAAATCGGAAACTACCCAACAACCATCACCAAAGGGATGGGTTGTGTAAATCATGTTATGCCCTTGGACTGAAATGCTCTGTGGCTGTTGTGTGTGCGCCTGTGGTCCCAGCTACTGGGAAGGCTTAGGCGGGAGGACCGCTTGAGCCCTGGAGTTCGAGGTTGCAGTAAGCTATGTTCACACCTATGAGTAGCCACTGCACTCCAGCCTGGGCGACACAGCAAAATTCCATCTCTAAATAATAATAATAATAGGCTGAGCACGGTGGCTCATGTCTGTAATCCCAGCACTTTGGGATGTCCAGGTGGGAGGATCGCTTGAGCCCCAGAGTTTAAGATCAGCCTGGGCAACATAGCAAGACCTTGTCTCTATAAAAAATTTTAAAAAGCAGGACGCAGTGGCTCAGGCCTGTAATCCCAGCACTTTGGGAGGCTGAGGTGGGAGGACCGCTTGAGCTCTCGAGACCAGCCTGGGCAACATGGCAAAACCCTGTCTCTACAAAAAATGCAAAAATTATCCAGGTGTGGTGATGCGTGCCTGTGGTCCCAGACACTGGGGAGGCTGAGATGGAAGGATGGCTTGAGCCCAGGAGGCAGAGGTTGCAGTGAGCCGAGATCGCACCACTGCACTCCAGCCTGGGTGATAGAGCCAGACTCTGTCTCAAAAAAAAAAAAAATTAAAAAAATTATCTGGGTGTAGTAGTGTGTGCCTGTGGTCCTAGCTTCTTAGGAGGCTGAGATGGAAGGACTGTCTGAGCACAGGAGGTCGAGGCTGCAGTGCTCCACACCACCACACTCCAGCCTGGGGAACAGAGCAAGAACCTGCTTCAAATAAATAAATATATATATATATAATTATAATAATAAATACTTTTTAAAAGAGATAGCTGTATGTGAGTTGACTATAAAAAGATCTCATAATAACTGGAAAGCCCATATGAGGATGTTCATTAGTAAAATAAATGACTATCAGCAGGGCACTGGGTAAATTAGCTACGCTATATCCATCCTCTGCAATACCACAAAGAGGTAAAAATAAAAAGAACAAGAACTCTGCTTTAACATGGAAAACGCGCTAAGAAATACATAGTAGGAAAAATTGAAAACTATATACAGTACTTTTTTTTTTTTTGAGATGGAGTTTCACTCTTTTGCCCAGGCTAGAGTGAAGTGGTGCGATCTTGGCTCACTGCAACCTCTGCCCCCTGTGTTCAAGCGATTCTCTTGCCTCAGGCTCTGAGTAGCTAAGATTATAGGCACCTGCCACCATGCCCGGCTAATTTTTGTATTTTTACTGGAGACAGGCTTCGCCATGTTGGCCAGGCTGGTCTGGAACTCCCGACCTCAGGTGATCCACTCACCTCAGTCTCCCAAAATGCTAGGATTACAGGTGTGAGCCATCACACCTGGCCCATATAGTACTCTTATTCCTGCAGGGTTGATCAAACGGAGCTTTAGTCTTTTTCTTCCTTAAAAAAATGAGTTAATGTTTTTATAATAATGTTTAGAAGAATAGAGGAAAAACTTTGTTGTTTTGCAGAACACTTTTTTGTTGTTGTTGTTGTTGACGGAGTCTCGCTCTGTTGACCAGGCTGAAGTTCAGTGGCACAATCCCGGCTCACTGCAACCTCCGCCTCCTGGGCTCAAGCAATCCTCCCCTCTCAGCCTCCTGAGTAGCTGGGACTACAGGCACGCACCATCACGCCCCGCTAATTTTTTTTTTTTTTTTTTTTTTTTTTTGAGATGGAGTCTCATTCTGTCGCCCAGGCTGGAGTGCAGTGGCGCAATCTTGGCTCACTGCAAGCTCCGCCTCCCAGGTTCACGTCATTCTTCCGCCTCAGCCTCCCACGTAGCTGGGACTACAGGTGCCCGCCACCACACCCAGATAATTTTTTGTATTTTTAGTAGAGACGGGGTTTCACTGTGTTAGCCAGGATGGTCTCGATCTCCTGACCTCATGATCCGCCCGTCTTGGCCTCCCAAAGTACTGGGATTATAGGCGTGAGCCACCGCGCCCGGCCTGTATTTTTTATAAAAATACAAAAACCGTTCTGCGCCTGGTAGAACACTTCTTTATTACAGCAATATATAAAACAAATATAACTTTAAGCCGGGTGTGGTGGCTCACACCTGTAATCTCAGCACTTTGGGAGGCCAAAACAGGTGGATCACCTGAGGTCAGGAGTTTAAGACCAGCCTGGGCAACATGGTGAAACCCCGTCTCTACTAAAAATACAAAAAATTAGCCAGGCATGGTGGCGGGTGCCTGAAATCCCAGCTACTCAGGAGACTGAGGCACAAGAATCGCTGGAACCTGGGAGGGGAGGTCGCAGTGAGCTGAGATCATACCACTGTACTCCAGCTTGGGTGACAAAGTGAGACTCCATCTCAAAAACAAATATATATATATATATATATATATAAATTTATATTATATATAAACTTAATATAACTTTAAATATTCATAATGACACTATACATTATGATTGATGGTGTTAGTCCACTCTCTCAAATTTGAGAGAATAGCTTGTAGAATTCTTGAAATTCACCAACCTTCTTCATAAAGACACAGGATTGAAATGCATGTGCATGTTTTTGTTAAGAGCATACCAATTTCATTCTCCTCAGTTTTGCTCATAATCTCCGTATTTTCATGCACCCTCAGTGAGTTAGCCAAACTCAAGGCCTTTTATTACGGAAAGGGCTAGCACAGTTGTGGTGACACCCTTAAAAGTTAATATCCTTAAAAGTTAATAACTAATAAGTCAACAACAGATTTTTGACCTAGCTCCCTTTTCCTTTAGAGCAAAAAGAACTTTCACCTGAGCATCCAGCCCAACCCCTAAAGACTGAAAATACCCTTCAAACTCCTTTAAAAGTGCCCTACACAGTGGCTCACGCCTGTAATCCCAGCACTTTGGGAGGCTGAGGTGGGCAGATCATCTGAGGTCAGGAGTTCGAGACAAGCCTGGCCAACATGGTGAAACCCCATCTCTACTAAAAATACAAACATTAGCTGGGCGTGGTGGCGGGCACCTGTAATCCCAGCTACTTGGGAGACTGAGGCAGGAGAATCGCTTGAACCTGGGAGGAGGTGGCAGTGAGCCGAGATTGAGCCATTACACTCCAGCCTGGGCAACAAGAGTGAAACTCCGTCTCAAAAAAAAAAAGAAAAAAAAAAAACAGAACTGGCAGCGGGGAAGGGCTGGAGGCAGTGTCATCAGAGGAAGATTTTTGGATTCCAAGCACAGATGATGATTTGTCTGTGGTCAGTTTGTTTTGTTCTTTTCCTTTCTTTCTTTTTTTTTTTTTTTTAAGACAGAGTCTCGCTGTCACCCAGGCTGGAGTGCAGTGGCGTGATTTTGGCTCACTGCAACCTCCACCTCCCAGGTTCAAGCGATTCTCCTGCCTCAGCCTCCCAAATAGCTGGGATTTACAGGTGCCCCCCGACATGCCTGGCTTTTTTTTTTTTCTCTGAGACAGAGTTTCGCTCTTGTTGCCCAGGCTGGAGTGCAATGGCGAGATCTTGGCTCACCACAACCTCTGTCTCCCAGGTTCAAGTGATTCTCCTGCCTCAGCCTCCCGAGTAGCTGGGATTACAGGCATGCACCACCATGCCTGGCTAATTTTGTATTTTTAGTATAGACAGGTTTTCTCCATGTTGGTCAGGCTGGTCTTGAACTCCTGACCTCAGGGGATCCACCCGCCTTGGCCTCCCAAAGTGCTGGGATTACAGGCATTAGCCACCGCACCCAGCCCCTGGCTAATTTTTGTATTTTTAGTAGAGATGAGTTTTCGCCGTGTTGGCCAGGCTGGTCTCAAATTCCTGACCTCAAGTGATCCACCCGCGTCGGCCTCCCAGAGTGCTGGGATTATGCCTTCTGTTGATGATGTCAATCACTTTTTGCGGTTGGTCGTCTCCTTGATCTGAATAATCTGAATCCATATCTTCGTATTCTGCCCAAAATGCCTCCACTGGAAGCCATAAACTGGGCCCAAGTCCCCTTCTTCTCAGTGGAGAATCCCAAGTTGTCCAAAAAGGGCTCCACTGCCTCATCTCACATTTTCACTCTCTTGGAAGACAGTTCTTCAGCATATGTGGATCCCTTGATAAACGACAGCAACTCCTCCAAAACATTGTGGTTGTCAGCAGAGGAAAGTCACTTCTCAGGCTGCAGTGGGACTGACTGACTGCCTGCCTGCCGAAAACGAAAACAGCGGCGGCAGAGAGCAGGTGCCCTGGGGGCGTCCTTCCTGCAGCTGCAGCAGACGATGTGCTCCACCTGCCTTAGGTACTGCAGCTCCCCGTGGGGCGGACAGGGCTCAGCATCCCGCTCCTGCGCGGCAGGACAGAGGCAGTGAGGAGACAGGGTTAGAGACCGGGTTTCACCATGTTGGCCAGGCTGGTCTCGAACTCCTGACCTTGTGATCTGCCCGCCTTGGCCTACCAAAGTGCTGAGATTACAGGCATGAGCCACCACGCCCAGCCCCAAATTCATAAACTTTCTTAAAACACTATGAGATTTTTTGCAATTTGTTTTAGCTCATCCACTATCGTTAGTGTATTTTATGTGTGGCTGAAGACAATTCTTCTTCTTCTAATGTGGCCCAGGGAAGCCAAAAGATTGGACATCCCCTTTGGGAGGCCGAGGCGGGTGGATCACGAGGTCAGGAGTTCGAGACCAACCTGGCTAACAAGGTGAAATCCTGTCTCTACTAAAAATACAAAAAAATTAGCCAAACGTGTTGGCGGGCGCCTGTAGTCCCAGCTACTCGGGAGGCTGAGGCAGGAGAATGGCATGAACTAGGGAGGCAGAGCTTGCAGTGAGCCAAGATGGCACCACTGCACTCCAGCCTTGGTGACAGAGCGAGACTCCATCTCAAAAAAAAAAAAAAAAAAAAAAAGATTGGACATCCCTGCTTTACAACTTGGTTTCTTCACCTAATCATGGATTGTGGTTATCTTTCCAACTCAGTGAATATGAATTCATTTTACTTTTTTATTTTTTTGAGATGGAGCTTCGCTCTTGTCACCCAGGCTGGAGTGCAATGGCACAATCTTGGTTCACTGCAACCTCTGCCTCGCAGGTTCAAGCGATTCTCCTCCCTCAGCCTCCTGAGTAGCTGGGATTACAGGTGCACGCCACCACGCCCAGCTAATTTTTGTATTTTTAGTAGAGACGGAGTTTCACCATGTTGGCCAGGCTGGTCTCGAACTCCTGACCTCAGGTGATCCACCCGCTTTGGCTTCCCAAAGTGCTGGGATTACAGGCGTGAGCCACCGCTCCTGGCCCAGTTTTTTGTTTTGTTTTGTTTTGTTTTGAACTATTGCAATATATTCCAGAGTATAAATGTGTTACAGATCATCATGATCTGTTTGTTGTTCAGTTAATAAGGCAAGGAGCAAAACATTGTGCTAAAGTGGTCTCATTTTTATAAAAATTATATCTACATATTTCCCATTAAGAACTCCTTTGTTTTATTTTATTTTAGTTCAGTTTTTTTGAGACAGGATGTCCTGTCACCCAGGCTGGGGTGCAGTGCCACGATCTCAGCTCACTGCAGCCTTGACCTCCCAGGCTCAGGCAGTCCTCCTACCTCAGCCTCATGAGGAACTGGGACCACAGGCATCTGCCACCACGTCCAGCTAAATTTTTTTTTATTTTTTGTAGACATGAGGTCTGTGTTGCCCAGGCTGGTCTTAAACTCCTGGGCTCAAGCGATCCTTCCACCTCAGGCTCCCAAAGTGCTGGGATTACAGGCATGAGCCACCGCACCTGGCCCCATCTATTACTTTTTCTTTTCTTTTCTTTTCCTTTTCTTTCCTTTTCTCTTCTTTTTTTTTTTTTTTTTTTTTTGAGACAGGGTCTCACTCTGTGGCCCAGACTGGAGTGCAGTGGTGCGCTCTCGGCTCACCACCGCAACCTCCGTCCCACAAGGCTCAAGTGATTCTCCTGCCTCAGCCTCCTGAGTAGCTGGGATTACAGGCGCATACCACTGCAGCCTGGCTAATTTTTGTATTTGTAGTAGAGACAGGGTTTCACCATGTTGGCCAGGCTGGTCTTGAACTCCTGACCTCAAATGATCCACCTGCCTCGGCCTCCCAAAGTGCTGGGATTACAGGCGTGAGCCACGACACCCAGCCCTATTACTTTTCAATAACAAAAATTAATAAAGAGATTTCTAAAATACTGAACAGTATATGGCTTTACTTTTCAAACTAGAATTCTTATATTTTTAAATTTAAATTTTTTTAATTTATTTATTTATTTATTTATTATTTTGAGATGGAGCCTCGTTCTGTTGCCCAGGCCGGAGTGCAATGGAGCGATCTCAGCTCACTGCAAACTCCACCACCCAGGTTCAAGCGATTCTCCCGCCTCAGCCTCCTGAGTAGCTGGGATTACAGGCGCCCGCCGTCATGCCCGACTAATTTTTGTATTTTTGTAGAGGCGAGGTTTCACCATGTTGGCCAGACTGGTCTTAAACTCCTGACCACAGGTGGTCTGCCCTCCTTGGCCTCCCAAAGTGCTGAGATTTCAGGTGTGAGCCACTACAGCTGGCCTCAAACCAGAATTTTTAAAACGCCACTTACATGGAATATACACACTGGATTTTCCCAAACAAGAGCCCCTCCAGGCTGACTTCCCTAAATGGCTTTTCAGCAGGCCCCGGAAAGCTTCTCGCCCCACCCTGGGCACACATTGGAACAGCTTGTAAACATGTCAAGGAAATTGGGGATTCCATCCTCATCTGCTCATAAAGTCAGGTGTCCTCAGCCAGGCGCGGTGGCTCAAGCCTGTAATCTCAGCACTTTGGGAGGCTGAGGTAGGTGGATCACTTGAGGTCAGGAGTTTGAGACCAGCCTGGCCAACATGGTGAAACCCCATTTCTACTAAAAAATACAAAAATTAGCCAGGCGTGGTGGCGGGCGCCTGTAATCCCAGCTACCCAGGAGGCTGAGGCAGGAGAATCACTTGAACCTGGGAGGCAGAGGCTGCAGTGAGCCAAGATCGCGCCATTGCACTCCAGCCTGGGCCACAGAACGAGACTCTTAATCAAAAAAAAAAAGTCAGATGTCCTCACCAGCAAGTCGATGGTGACTTAGTTGATAGTGATTGGGATTCTCTGAGAGAAGCAGAGACAGCACTGACTTCTCAAAAGGCCCACCACACTGAGCCTCAATGTGCCCCTCTATAAAATGAGAGTTGTAACAGTCCCTATCTCATAGCATAGGGCCCTGTTCTTTTTTCTTTCTTTCTTTGTTTTTTTGAGACAGTGTCACACTCTGTTGCCTAGGCTAGACTGCAGTGGTGCAATCACAGCTTACTGCAGCCTCAACCTCCCAGACTCAAGTGATCCTCCTGCGTCAGCCTCCCAAGTAGCTGAAACCATAGGCATGTGGCACCACACCTGGCTATTTTTTTATTATTTGTAGAAGCAACAGGGTCTCACTATGTTGCCCCAGATGGTCTTAAACTCCTGGCCTCAAACGGTCTTTCTGCCTCGGCCTCCCAAAGCACTGGGATTGTAGGCATGCACCACCACACCCAGCTTCCTATTCTAAGAGCTCAGGAAACTGTGGACTTTCTAATTATGAATCAGGGATATTCTTGATCCTGTATAATCAGAACCAAATGCAGAAATAAACTTCCTGCTGAGGCTGCAATCGTCTCTAGTGAACCTCAATGTCAAGTGTTTGGGGCACTACCCATCCTCAACACTCACCAAAGGGACCCTCATATATGCATTTATAAAAATAAAGTCCGGGCGCGGTGGCTCATGCCTGTAATCCCAGCACTTTGGGAGGCTAAGGTGGGCAGATCACTTGAGGTCAGGAGATCGAGACCAGCCTGGCCAACATGGTGAAACCCCATCTCTATCAAAAATATAAAAAATTAGGCCGGTCACGGTGGCTCACACCTGTAATCCCAGCACTTTGGGAGGCCGAGGCGGGCGGATCACGAGGTCAGGAGATTGAGACCATCTTGGCTAACACAGTGAAACCCCGTCTCTACTAAAAATACAAAAAAAAAAAATTAGCTGGGTGTGGTGGTGAGTGCCTGTACGTAGTCCCAGCTACTCAGGAGGCTGAGGCGAGAGAATGGCGTGAACCCGGGAGGCGGAGCTTGCAGTGAGCGGAGATCACGCCACCGCACTCCAGCCTGGGTGACAGGGCAAGACTCCGTCTCAAAAAAAAAAAAAAAAAAATTAGCTAGGTATGGTGGCGGGCACCTGTAGTCCCAGCTACTCGGGAGGCTAAGGCAGGAGAATTGCTTGAACCCAAGAGGTGGAGGTTGCAGTGATCCAAGATCGCACCACTGCACTCCAGCCTGGGCAACAGATCAAGACTCCATCTCAAAAAAAAAAAAAAAAGAAAAAAAAAGTCACACTTGAAAATGCTTGGTGCGGCCGGGCATGGTGGCTCATGCCTGTAATCCCAGCACTTTGGGAGGCCGAGGCGGGCGGATCATGAGGTCAGGAGTTCGAAACCAGCCTAACCAACATGGTGAAACCCCGTCTCTACTAAAAATACAAAAATTAGCCAGGCATGGTGGTGTGCGCCTGTAATCTCAGCTACTTGGGAGGCTGAGGCAGGAGCATGGCTTGAACCCGGGAGGCGGAGGTTGTGGTGAGCTGAGATTGTGCCATTGCACTCCAGCCTGGGCAATAAGAGCAAAACTCCATCTCAAAAAGAAAAGAAAAGAAAATGCTTGGTGCTTTTACTGTGAGATGATGAGCCCATGAACTCAGCATATGTTAGCGTGAATATGTTTCTGGCTGAGGATCTTTAAAGAATGTTTGTGGAGGCCGGGTGCAGTGGCTCATGCCTCTAATCCCAGCACTTTGGGCAGCCCAGGCGGGTGGATCACAAGGTCAGGAGTTCAAAACCAGCCTGGCCAATATGGTGAAACCCCGTCCCTACTAAAAATACAAAAATTAGCTGGACGTGGTAGCATGTGCCTGTAGTCCTAGCTGCACAGGAGGCTGAGGCAGGAGAATCCCTTGAATCCAGGAGGTGGAGGTTGCAGTGAGCCAAAATCGTGCCACTGCACTCCAACCTGGGCAACAGAGCAAGACTACGTCTCAAAAACAAAACAAAACAAAACAAAACAAAAGAATGTTTGTGGAGTTTATGCCAATTGATATGCATAAAATCAGTTTTTTTCCTTTATTATTATTATTTATTTTTTGAGATGGAGCCTTGCACTGTTGCCCAGACTGGAGTGCAGTAGTGCCATCTCGGCTCACTGCAACCTCCACCTCCCGGGTTCAAGTGATTCTCCTGCCTTAGCCTCCCAAGTAGTTGGGATTACAGGCACCCGCCACCACGCCCAGCTAAGTTTTTGTATTTTTAGTAGAGATGGGGTTTCACTATGTTGTTCAAGCTGGTCTCAAACTCCTGACCTCATGATCCACCCACCTCGGCCTCCCAAAGTGCTGGGATTACAGGCGTGAGCCACCGCGCCCGGCTATATATTTTTTTAAGACAGAGTCCCATTCTGTCACTCAGGGTGGAGTGCAATGGCAGGATCATGGCTCACTGCAGCCTCAACCCCCCAGACTCAAGCGATCCTCCTGCTTCAGCCTGCCAAGTAGCTGGGACTACAGGTGCATAACACTATAACTGGCTAATTTTTAAATTTTTTGTAGAGACGGAATTTTGCTGTATTGCCCAGGCTGATCTCAAACTCCTAAGGCTCAAGTGATTCTCCTACTTCGACTTCTCAAAGTGCTGGGATTATAGGCATGAGCCATTGTGCCTAGCTAGTTTTTTCCTTTAAAAACCACACTGCTGACCAGGCGCAGTGGCTCACGCCTGTAATCCCAGCACTTTGGGAGGCCAAGGCAGGAGGATTACCTGAGGTCAGGAGTTCGACACCAGCCTGGCCAACATGGTGAAACCCCGTCTATACTAAAAGTACAAAAAAATTAGCCGGGTGTAGTGGTGCACACCTGTAATCCCAACTACCCAGGAGCTGAGGCACGAAAATCCCTTGAACCCGGGAGGCGGAGGTTGCAGTGAGCTGACATCATTCCACTGGACTCCAGCCTGGCCGACAGAGCGAGACTGTCTCAAAAAAAAAAAAAAAAAAAAAAACCCTGCAAAAGAATTTAATGGCATGAAAAAAATGCTTGGGAAATTGTGACATGAGAAAAACAGATTACAATGTAGCATGCCAAGTATGATTCCTTCCCTGATAAAAATATAAATATGTGCATGTTTGCATTTTTTTTAAAAGAAAGTCTTCCAAAGGTTATTGAGGAAGAGGACACATTTGCAGGGGATCTTTACTTCATTCCTTGGACATTTTGGTATTTTGCAAATATTTTATGATGACTATTGCCTTTGTCCTCTAACAAAAAATCAAGAAATATATCTTAGTTAAAATGTCCCTGCTGGACATAAAATGTACATTGAGAAGAGAATTATCCTACTAAATATTTTCAAACTTTATCTGAGCAGTTAAGGTGTCCGGAATTGGTGGGTTATTGGTCTCACTGACTTCAAGAATGAAGCCGCGGACCCTCGCGGTGAGTGTTACAGCTCTTAAGGTGGCGTGTTTGGAGTTTGTTCCTTCCGATGTTCGGATGTGTCCGGAGTTTCTTCCTTCTGGTGGGTTCCTGGTCTCGCCGGCTCAGGCAGGAGTGAAGCTGCAGACCTTCGCGGTGAGTGTTACTGCTCATGAAGGCAGTATGCACCCAAAGAGTGAGCAGCAGCAGGATTTATAGCAAAGAGCAAAAGAACAAAGCTACCACAGCACGGAAGGGAACCCCAGCGGGTTGCCGCGGCTGACTCGGGCAACCTTCTTTTATTCTCTTATCTGGCCCCACCCACATCCTGCTGATTGGTCCATTTTACAGAGAGCCGAGTGGTCTGTTTTGACAGGGTGCTGATTGGTGCGTTTACAATCCCTGAGCTAGACACAAAGGTTCTCCATGTCCCCACTAGATTAGCTAGATACAGAGTGTCCACACAAAGGTTCTCCAAGTCCCCACCAGAGTAGCTGGATACAGAGTGTCGATTGGTGCATTCACAAACCCTGAGCTAGACACAGGATGCTGATTGGTGTGTTTACAAACCTTGAGCTAGATACAGAGTGCCGATTGGTGTATTTACAATCCCTGAGCTAGACATAAAGGTTCTCCACCTCCCCACCAGACTCAGGAGCCCAGCTGGCTTCACCCAGTGGATCCCGCACTGGGGCTGCAGGTGGAGCTGCCTGCCAGTCCCACGCCGTGCGCCCGCACTCCTCAGCCCTTGGGTGGTCGATGGGACTAGGTGCCGTGGAGCAGGGGCGGCGCTCGTCGGGGAGGCTCAGGCCGCACAGGAGCCCACGGGGTACGGGGAGAGGGGAGGCTCAGGCATGGCGGTCTGCAGGTCCCAAGCCCTGCCCCGCGGGAAGGCAGCTAAGGCCCGGCGAGAAATTGAGCACAGCAGCTGCTGGCCCAGGTGCTAAGCCCCTCACTGCCCGGGGCCGGCGGGGCCGGCCGGCCGCTCTGAGCGCGGGGTCCACCGGGCCCACGCCCACCCGGAACTCGGCGCTGGCCCGCAAGCACCGCGCGCAGCCCCGGTTCCCGCCTGCGCCTCTCCCTCCACACCTCCCCGCAAGCTGAGGGAGCCGGCTCCGGCCTTGGCCAGCCCAGAAAGGGGCTTCCACAGTGCAGCAGCGGGCTGAAGGTTCCTCAAGTGCTGCCAAAGTGGGAGCCCAGGCAAAGGAGGCGCCGAGAGCGAGCGAGGGCTGTGAGGACTGCCAGCACGCTGTCACCTCTCAGTAAGACAGGTCAGGGCTGGGCACAGTGGCTCACGCCTGTAATCCCAGCATTTTGGGAGCTGAGGCAGGAGGATTGCTTGAGGCCAGGATTTCCAGACCAGCCTGGCCAACATAGTGAGACCTCATCTCTCCAAAAAATTTAAAAATTAGCTGGCCATAGTGGTGCGCACTTGTAGTAACCGCTAGTCGGGAGGCTGAGGTGGGAAGATCGCTTGAACCCAGGAGGTAGGGGCTGTAGTGAGCTGTGATGGTGCCACTGCATTCCAGCCTGGGCAATAGCAAGACCCCGTCTCAATAATAATAATAATAGGCCAGGACTTGCTAGATGGGAGGCCGGGGTTTGACCTGACCTCTGACCTCTGGGCAGTCAGGTAGGTAGGCCGCCATCTCTGACCCACATCTGCCACTTGGCTTTCGGGCTCCATCCTACCATATACCTGCAGAGTGTGGCTCAGTCAGACCGGCAGCAGCGTGGCCTCACCCAGGCGGGCCTGCCTGCAGGACAGGTTTGTCCGCCCCAGCCCCCAAACTCAGAGGCCGGCTCCTGTGGGTAAGAGGGGAGCAAAGAGGTCAGGGCTATGTCAGGGCCCGGACCCCTTGAGGGACAGGCAGCCATTTGATGGCTGTTCCCCCCACACCCCAGGTGACTGCATCCCTCCTCAGCCTCTAACCCTCCACGGCTCTCCAGCGCCCTCCTCACCTCGCACTGAGGGCCCGTGTGGCTTGGCCCCTTGCCACCTCTCCAGGTATCTCTTTCTCTCTCTTGCTCCACTGAGCCAAGCTCTCTCTCTCACCATCTGAGATCACAGAATGGAAATAAGAAACTGTGTTATATAGCAATCAAGCCAGGCACATGCCTCTGACTACATCCACTTTTGCTTACACTCCTTCCATGAGGGCAAGTTGGTTCTTTTTTTTTTTTTTTAACTAAAACGTAAAAACACACACCCCTGCCCTTTCCTCAGGTGTCCCACGCCCACCAATTCCTCCTCTCTGGTCCCCGCGTCCTTGGCTGGTGTTAGAAAAATGGCTACAAGCTTCCTGGGAATCAGATAATAAAGCTTACAGGAACTCTTCCCAGATTTAAAAGAGCTTAATAAATAAATAAATAAAGCTTACCTTCTAGAGGGGAAAATAGATAAAACCAATAAGAAAAACACATGTTAGAGGCTAATAAGTGCTAAGGAGAAAAATAAAAGAATGAAAGACAAAACAAAAACCTAGCCGGGCGGGGGGGCGCGGTGGCTTACGCCTGTAATCCCAGCACTTTAGGAGGCCAAGGCGGGAGGAACGCTTGAGGAGTTCGAGACCAGCCTAGGCTACATAGTGAGACCCTGTCTCTACAAAACAATAAAAAAATTTTTAAAAATCGCTGGCCATGGTGGCAAGCACCTGCATCACAGCTGCTCAGGAAGCTTAGGCAGGAGGATCACTTGAGTATGGCAGTCGTCGCTGAAGTGAGCCAAGATGGCACCACTGACTCTGTCAGCCCAGATAACAGTCTCAAAAAAAAAAAAAAAAAAAAGATGACTGGGCATGGTGGTTCACACTTGTAATCCCAGCACTTTGGGAGGCTGAGGCAGGCAGATCACCTGAGGTCAGGAGTTCGAGACCAGCCTGGCTAACATGGCGAAACCCTGTTTCTACTAAAAATACAAAAATTAGCTAGATGTGGTGGCATGTGCCTGTAATCCAAGCTACTCAGGAGGCTGAGATAGAAGAATCACTTGAACCTGGGAGGTGGATGTTGTAGTGAGCCAAGATCGTGCCACTGCACTCCAGCCTGGGTGGCAGAGCAAGACTCCATCTCAAAAAACAAAAACAAAACAAAACAAAGCAAAAAACGGTGAGAGGGCCTGGTGCCCCCTCTGGAATGTTTTTCATTGTCTAGGTTTGACACTGTGCTGTGCCATCACGTGTGGGGCTGGGGAAAGTGCAGATTCCGGGGCACACGCCTGCCCTTGGAGCAGGGATGGAGTCAGCTCCATCTATAGGGTCTGGTCTGGGAGGAGGGAGAGGGTGCTTGCCCAGAGCAGGCTCAGACCCTAAGCCTGAGCCTAGGGAAGGGTGAGCCGACCCTGGAGGCAAATGGACCACAATCCCCCCTCCCCATCAACCTTCACCAGCGATTCCGGGATAAATGACACAGACAGCACTGAGAATTCCATGGTAGTCGTTATTATTACTGTTGTTTTTATTAATAGCAGGGGCCCCATCACTTACCTGTGGGTTATCAATTTATTACCTCTCAGTTCCATTTGTCATCTGGTGCCAGGTTAGGCTTTGTCAATAGAGGGCGCTGGAGAGCCACTGAGGAGCCAGGGCCCCTCTGCCTCACTCCAGGGCTTTGTGTTCTTCCTACTGCGCTGTGACCAGCAGGTGGCTGCTATGCTCCACATTATAGGGAGTGACCTCCACTGCCACCCTCTCCTCCTTCTCCCTCCTCCTCCTCCCTCCTCCTCCCTCCTCCTTCTCCCTCCTCCTCTTCCTTCCTCCTCCTCCTCCCTCTTCCTCTTCCTCCCTCCTCTTTTCTTTCATCCCTCTTCCTTTCTCCTCCTTCTTCCTTCTCCTTCCTTCACCCTCCTCCTCTTCCCTCCTCCTTTTTTCTCTTTCTCCTCCTCTTTCCTCCTCCGCCTTCTTCCTCCTCCTCCTCCTTCTTCCTACCCCTTCTCCTCCCCCTTCCCCTTTCTTTTAAAAGACGGGGTCTCAGCCAGGCACAGTGACTCACACCTGTAATCCCACCTGTAATCCCTCACTTTGGGAGGCCAAGACAGGAGGATCACTTGAGCCCAGGAGTTCGAGGCTGCAGTGAGCTATGGTAGCACCACTGGACTCCAGCCTGGGCAATAGGGGGAGACTTTGTCTGAGAGAGAGAGAGAGAGAAAATGAGAATCGCACCGTGTCGCCCAGGCTGGAGTACAGTGGCAGGACCATAGCTCTCCAGTGCCTTCTTGAGTCTAGCTAGGGACTTGTCACTTAACCCAACAGATCTATTTAAAACATGAAGTAGAATCATTGTTTCTCACAGAATCAGCTGCCTTCTCAGATCCTCTACAAATGGAAACAGAATCATGCAAAACAGGGAAGGTAAAGGGACAAGAAAATGGTCTTTTTGAAGAGCTGCTCCCAGCCCTGCTGGACAAAATGACCAAAATAGGATCCCTGGTATTAAAGTTCCTCTCATAAAAATCCATTCAGAAAATTGAGGACACTTTGGGAGGCTGAGATGTGAGGATTGTTTGAGGCCAGGAGCCTGGGCAACAGAACAAGGCCCTGTCTCAAAAAAAAAAAAAAGAAAAGATACATATATATATATCTGTACCCAGAGTCAAGACAAGCAATATTTGTTGTCTAAAAACAACTCTGGTTCAGGGTACATCAGTTAACTTTTTTTTTTTTTTTTTTTTGAGATGGAGTCTCGCTCTGTGTCCCAGGCTGGAGTGCAATGGTGCGATCTCAGCTCACTGCAAGCTCCACCTCCTGGGTTCACGCAATTCTCCTGCCTCAGCCTCCCAAGTAGCTGGGACTACAGGCACCCGCCACCACGCCCAGCTAATTTTTTGTGTTTTTAGTAGAGACGGGGTTTCAGCGTGTTAGCCAGGATGGTCTTGATCTCCTGACCTCGTGATCCGCCAACCTCGGCCTCCCAAAGTGTTCAGATTACAGGCATGAGCCCCCACACCCAGCCTTTTTTTTTTTGAGACAAGAGTCTTGCTCTGTTGCCCAGTCTGGAGTGCAGTGGTGCAATCTCAGCTTACTACAACCTCCACCTCCTGGGCTCAAGTGATTTTCTGCCTCAGCTTCCCAAGTAGCTGGGATTACAGGCGTGCGCCACCACACCTGGCTAATTTTTGTACTTTTTGTAGAGACAGGGTTTCACCATGATGGACAGGCTGGTCTCGAGCTCCTGGCCTCAAGTGATTCTCCCACCTCAGCCTCCCAAAGTGCTGGGATTATAGGTGTAAGCCACCACGCCCAGCCCAAGACAGATACTTTAAGAAAGTAAACTGGCCAGGACAGTGGCTCACACCTGTAATCCCAGCACTTTGGGAGGCCAAAGCAGGCAAATCACTTGAGGTCAGGAGTTTGAGAGCAGCCTGGCCAACATGGTGAAACCCGGCCTTCACTAAAAATACAAAACTTAGATAGGCGTGGTGGCAGGCACCTCTAAATCCAGCTACTTGGAAGGCCAAAACAGCATCATTTGAACCCAGGAGATGGAGGTTGTAGCGAGCCAAGATCCTGCCACTGCACTGCAGCCTGGGTGACAAAACAGGGCTCTGTCTCAAAAATAAAATAAAATAAAGAAAAAGAAAATAAAGAAGGGAACTTAGGTTAAGTGAGGTCATAAGGGTGGGGCCCTGATCCCTGATGTCCTTATAGAAAGAGACACCAGGAGTGCACACACACGGAGGGAAGGCCATATGAGGTCACAGTGAAAAGGTGGCCTTCTACAAACCAAGGACAAATGCCTCAGGACAAACCAACCCTGCTGGCACCTTGACTTTGGACTTCCAGTCTCCAGAACTGTGAGAAATAAATGTCTGTTGTTTAAGCCCCCTAGTCTGTGATATTTTGTTACACAGCCCTAGCAGACCATTACATTCAGTCTCTTCTTTGCTTCCCACTGTGTCCTTTCTACCAAGCACCATGCCTAGCACATAGTAAGTACCCCCAAAAAGATGCACAAACATCATCGCCTCCTGTGGGAAGCTGTCCCTCACCCTTCTCCACTCCTTCTCCCCTTAGCTTAAGTGCCTCTTCTCAGCTTCAGTTCCTACACTTTCCACTTGGCTCTTGAAGAATATGTTTTGAGGTCTAATTCCTCTCTAGCAGGTGAAATGTTTGAAGGCAGGGGCTGGGTCTTCCCCAGGGCTCAGCACCAATGGCATGCACCATCAGAATTTTTTGTTTTGTTTTTTTGAGATGGAGTTTCGCTCTTGTCACCCAGGCTGGAGTGCAGTGACCCAATCTCAGCTCACTACAACCTCTGCCTCCTAGGTTCAAGCGATTCTTGTGCCTCAGCCTCCTGAGTAGCTGGGATTACAGGCGCCCGCCACCATGCCCGGCTAATTTTTGTATTTTTAGTAGAGATGGGGTTTTGCCATGCTGGCCAGGCTGGCCTCCAACTCCTGACCTCAAGTGATTAGCCAACCTTGGCCTCCCAAAGTGCTGGGATTACAGGTGTGAGCCACTGCGCCTGGCCAGGAGTTTAATAAATATTTGAGTGAAAGTAAGTTTCTTGACCTTGACGCATGGGCCCTAGAGAGCTAGAAGACCTGAATTCTAAGCTTCATTCCTGTGCAACTGTGGACACTGAGCCTCAAATGTAATCATGGTCTGGGGTTTTTCCAGAGATCAAAGCTTGGGGAAAGTCCTTTGTTCTCTGAAAGGTACAGGGTTATTTTCACATCTGTTATGAACACTCGTGCCGTTGAGCTGAGCTCCTGAGTCTTAGTCAGCTGCCTGGCTCCAGGTGGACTTCCTGCTGTACCTCAGATATACTAAGCTCACTCCTGCCTTGGGGCTTTTGCGCTTGCTACTGCTTCTGGGAACACACTGCCCCCAGGCTTTCCCATGATCCCTTAATTTTCAGGGTCTACACCACAGCCAAGGCAGATGACACTGATTGCAAGGAAACAACTCGGTTACAGGGCATTGGGGAACAGAAGAAATGCCACTATTCGGCTCACGCCTGTAATCCCAGCACTTTAGGAGGCCGAGGTAGGTGGATCACAAGGTCAAAAGATCGAGACCATCCTGGCCAACATGGCGAAAACCCGTCTCTACTAAATATACAAAAATTAGCTGGGCGTGGTGGCCCGCGCCTGTAGTCCCAGCTACTCAGGAGGCTGAGGCAGGAAAATCGCTTGAACCCAGGAGGCAGAGGTTGCAGTGAGCCGAGATCGCGCCACTGCACTCCAGCCTGGAGGGCAGACTCCATCTCAAAAAAAAAAAGAAGAAGAAATACCACTGCTCTATTAGTTCATTTAATCCCCTCAATGACTTTGAGAGGTACACACTTTTTTTCTTTTTTTTTGAGACAGGTTCTCACTCTGTCACCCAAGCTGGAGTGCAGTGTTGCAATCATGGCTCACTGTAGCTTCTACCTCCTGGGCTCAGGTGATCCTCTTACCTCAGCCTCCCCAGTAGTTGGGATTACAAGTGTGTGCCACCACACCTGGCTAATTTTTGTATTTTTTGTAGCCATGGGGATTCGCCATGTTGCACAACCTGGTCTTGAACTCCTGAGTCCAAGCAATCCTCTCACCTCAGCCTCCCAAAGTGCTGGGATTACACATGTGAGCTACCACGACCGGGAGTATGTACCTTTTTTTTTTTTTTGAGATGACGTCTCGCTCCGTCACCCAGGCTGGAGTGCAGTGGTGCAATCTCAGTTCACTGCAACCTCCCCCTCCCAGGTTCAAGCGATCCTCCTGCCTCAGCCTCCCGAGTAGCTGGGATTACAGGTGCCTGCCACCACACCCAGCTAATTTTTGTATTTTTAGTAGAGATGGGGTTTCACCGTGTTGGCCAGGCTGGTCTTGAACTCTTGACCTCAGGTGATCTGCCTGCCTCGTTCTCCCAAAGCGCTGGGATTACAGGCATGAGCCACTGCACTCAGCCACTCAGCCCTTTTTTTTTTTTTTTTTTTTTTTTGAGACATAGTCTCACTCTGTTGCCCTGGCTGGAGTGCAGTGGCATGATCTCAGCTCACTGCAACCTCTGCCACCTGGGTTCAAGCGATTCTCACGCCTCAGCCTCCCGAGTAGCTGGGATTACAGGCTTGTATTTTTAGTAGAGACAGGGATTCACCATGTCGGCCAAGCTGGTCTCGAACTCCTGACCTCAGGTGATCCGCCCACCTCGGCTTCCCAAAGTGCTGGAATTACAGGTGTGAGCCACCATGCCTGGCCAATATGTACTATTAATATGCCCATTTATGATATGACCATTTAATATGCCCAGATGAAGAGATTAAGGCCCAGAGGGGTTAAGCAATTTGCCAAAGGTCTCACAACTAGTAAATAACAGGGCCAGGATATGATGCAGACAGTTTGGATCCAGCATTCAGCTACCTAGGCTGCAAGGCTCTCTGCTTCTCAGTGTACAGTTAAGCTTAGTTAGTGTAGGATCTGGCATGGGGAGTTGCTCAATAAGCAACTGAAGGCAGGGGCTTTTTATTTATTTTTCTACTTCTTTCAGACATTTAACTCTCCAAATCTTACAGTCCAACCCCCCAAGCCAAGCCAACAACCCTTCCTATACCATCTTGCCAGAGCCCAGGGTCCCTCACTCCATCTTCTCATGCCTTCCTGGCCCATAAAAAGGATTCAATAATTTGTAGTAATTAGCTGGGCATGTTGGCATGTGCCTGTAGTCCCAGCTCCTCAGAAGGCTGAGGCAGGAGGATCGCCGAGGCTAGGAGTTTGAGGCCACAGTGTGCTACGATCGCACCTGTGAATAGCCACTGCACTCCAGCCTGGGCAACACAGCAAGACCCCATCTCTAAAAAAACAAAACACAGGAAACCTGTATTGTAGACCAGCTTATTAAAACAGAAAGAAAATAACCAGGTGTGGTGGCACATGCCTGTAATCCCAGCTACTCGGGAGGCTGAGACAGGAGAATCGCTTGAACCTGTGAGGCAGAGGTTGCAGTGAGCCGAGATCGTGCCATTGCACTCTAGCCTGGGCAACAGAGTAAGACTCTGTCTCAAAAAAAAAAAAAAGGAAAAAATATGAATAATAAAAAATTGTAGCAATTATCACTAGGGCTTCTCAGTGAGAATCAGTGAGAAACTCCAAAGGTTCTGAGGCTGTAAAGTATATTCCCAACCACCTTTAGGGTCAAAGTTGGGACAAGATGAACTAACTGTAAATAAGGCTTGTTGAGTGAGAGGACTTCTCAACCAATCCAACCCAGGATCTACCAGACAAGCACTTCCTGAAGGTAATGTGGTTCAGGGGTGATCTCCTGGGTCAGGCAGATCTGGGTCTGAATTCCAGCTTCGGTTACTCCTCAGGGAGTAACCGAAGCTGGATCCGCCCGCCTTGGCCTCCCAAAGTGCTGGGATTACAGGTGTGAGCCATCAAGCACCCAGCCGGTTTTTTTTTTTTTTTTTTTTTTGAGATGGAGTCTTGCTGTGTCTCCCAGGCTGGAGTGCAGTGGCGCAATCTCAGTTCACTGCAACCTCTGCCTCCCGGGTTCAAGCGATTCTCCTACCTCAGCCTCCTGAGTAGCTGGGATTATAGGCATGCGCCACCATGCCCAGATAACTTTTGTATTTTTGGTAAAGATGGGGTTTCACCACGTTGGTCAGGCTGGTCTCGAACTCCTGACCTTATGACCCACCCGCCTTGGCCTCCCAAAGTGATTGGATTACAGGCGTGAGCCATCATGCCCGGCCTCGTTTCTTCATCTTTCAAATAGGAAAAACACAGTGTGAGGTGTGATGAAGAACTCAGGCTTGGATTCAGGTCTTGCATCATTCTACTCCTTGCTCAGCCATGGACTAGCTGTGTGAGCTGAGATGAGGAGCTTCACCTCTGTGAGCCTTGGCTGCCTATTCCAATGCGTGTTGGCGTCATTCTGTTTCCTATAGTGGCTGGGGATTCCCTGGGACCATGTGTGTCTGCACTGTGGTCACTGTAGTTGGCAGGATGGAGGCAGTGTATAAAAATGTTTAGGAGCTTAGGCTCTGGAGTCAGACTGCAACAGGCCTAGTTCAAATTCCAGCTCTGACAATTACTCCCAGTGAGATCTTAGGAAAATCAGTTTCTTCTCTGAACCTGTTTTTGTTTTTTTGTTTTGTTTTGTTTGAGACGGAGTCTTGCTCTGTTGCCCAGGCTTGAGTGCAGTGGCGCGATCTCGGCTCACTGCAACCTCTGCCAGGTTCAAGTGATTCTCCTGCCTCAGCCTCCCCAGTAGCTGGGATCACAGGCATGTGCCACCATGCCCAGCTAATTTTTTTTGTATTTTTAGTAGAGACAGGGTTTCACCATGTTGGCCAGGCTGGTCTCGAACTCCTGGCCTCAAAGGATCCACCCGCCTCATCCTCCCAAAGTGCTGGGATTACAGGCATGAGCCACTGTGCCAGGCCAAACCTCAGTTTTTGTATCTGTCAAATGAGAATAATAACAGTAAATATCCGATAGAGTTTACTATGAAGAGTCAATCTGATGATGTAGGTAAAGCACTTAAAACTGGTCTGGGGCCTGGCACAGTGGCTCGTGCCTGTAATCCCAGTACTTTGGGAGTCCAAAGCAGGAGGATCCCTTGAGCCCAGGAGTTTAAGTCCAGCCTGAGCAACATAGTGAGACCATCTCTACAAAATAATAATAATAAATAATAAATTAATTAATTAGTGATGCATGGTGTTGTGCACCTGTAGTCCCAGCGACTTGGGAGGCTAATGTGGGAGGATCCTTTGACCCCAGGAGGTCAAGGCTGCAGTGAGCCATGATCCTGCCACTGTGCTCTAGCCTGGGCAAGAGAGCAAGACCCTATCTCAAAAAAAAAAAAAAAAGCAAAGATATTATGAGACTGATTTTTTAAATACCTTTCTCTAGGCCAGGTGCAGTAGCTCACGCCTGTAATCCCAGCACTATGTGAGGCCGAGGCAGGAGGATCACTTGAAGTCAGGAGTTCGAGACCAGCCTGGCCAACATGGTGAAACCCCGTCTCTACTAAAAATACAAAAATTAGCCGGGCATGGTGGCAGGTGGCTGTAATCCCAGCTACTCGGGAGGCTGAGACAGGAGGATGGCTTGAACCCCGGGAGGTGGAGATTGCAGAGAGCTGAGATCGCACAACTGCACTCCAGCCTGGGCGACAGAGCAAGACTCTGTCTCAAAAATAAATAAATAAATAAATAAATAAATAAAATACCTTTTTGTACATGTCAGTCCATTTTCCCAAAACCAGGGCCAATGTGATCAGACCCCATCCCCATCTACAAAATCAATCCTACTTAATCATAGTGTAGCTTGAAGGTTGGGCTCTCACCACAGCAGGGTTCGAGTTCCAGCAATGCCCGTAACTGCTGCGGGACCCTAAATAAACGACTTCACCTCTTTGACCCTCAGAGGTTAACCTGGCATAGTAATCGCCTCCCTCACGGGGTTATTTAGGTTTCAACGAGTTGATGCACAAGCGTGGCACATGGAAAGGGCTCGGTAAACACGAGGTGCTATTACTCCCACCACAGTGCCAGTCCTTCTCCCTTTTTTACTTTATTTTTTATTTTTATTTTTTGAGATGGAGTCTTGCTCTGTCGCCCAGGCTGGAGCGTAGTGGCGCCATCTCCGCTCACTGTAACTTCCGCCTCTCGGGTTCAAGCAATTCACCTGCCTGGGCCTCCCGAGTAGCTGGGGTTACAGGCATCCCCCACCACGCCCGGCTAATTTTTGTATTTTTAGTAGAGACGGGGTTTCACCATATTGGTCAGGCTGGTCTCGAACTCCTGACCTCAGGTGATCTGCCCGCCTTAGCCTCCCAAAGTGCTGGGATTACAGGCGTGAGCCACCACGTCCGGCCCCTTCCCCCATTTTAGCGGTTTCGCTCCCTATCGGGGCCAGGGACGCCTCAGGCTGTCTCGGTCAGGACCTACAGCTCCGGTTGTTGTCCCAGGCTCTTCCGCGAGGTGCTCTCCTGTCTCCTGACCACCCCCATTCCTCCCCACTCCAGCTCCTCAGCGAGCGGCTGCGAAGGACGCGCACAACAACACTCCGCGCAGCGGGAAGGTACCGAACTCGCATCGCAGCCTGAAACTGCTCAACTAAGCTCCCGCCCCGCTGCTCTCTGGTCAATCTAAAGCGAAGACGAGCCTTAGGGCCAATCAGAAGCGACAGCGGTGGAGTCATGCCCGCCTGCTTGAGGCGCCCTGGCGTCTCATTGGCTATGCTTGAGAACGAATCCCAGGCTAAGCCACTTAGAAAGGAGCGGAGCCAGCCAATCAGCGGTGCAACCGCCGCGGGGGCCGGGCCAGAAGCCCCGCAGACAAGCACCTCGGGAGACTGGCGAGGGGCGAGCTCGCAGCTTGTTAGCCCCGAAGCCCTGCCCAGGGGGAAACCCTGCTGGAGGGAGTCTAACCCCCGGGCCAGTTAATGTTGGGGCAGCGCAATCGGCCGTTCCCTCTGCGGTATGGTTGGAGGTGGGAGTGCTGACACGTCCGCGCGCAGTTACTCCTGGCTGAGCATACAGTCGAGGTGGCAGTGGGAATTGGAAGTGCAAGTGTCACGCTGCCAATCACGGGGCAAGGCACTGCCCCCCTCTTGTGTCTTTCCTGTCCCTGTACACTTCCAGGCTTCCAGGCGAGGCAGAGTGAGCTGTGCCAGCAATCGTGGTGGAGTGGGACAAGAGAGAAAAGGGAGCTGTTCACAGGCACCGAAGCCTGGCTGGCTCTTTTTTTTTTTGAGACGCCGTCTCGCTCTGTCTCCCAGGCTGGAGTGCAGTGGCGCGATATAGGCTCCCTGCAATCTCCGCCTCCCGGGGTTCAAGCGATTCCCCTGCCTCAGCCTGCCGAGTAGCTGGAATTACAGGCGCCCGCCACCACGCTCAGCTAATTTTTGTATTTTTAGTAGAGACGGGGTTTCACCATGTTGGTCATGCTGATCTCGAACTCCTGACCCCAGGTGATCCGCCCTCCTCGGCCTCCCAAAGTGCTGGGTTTTCAGGCGTGAGCCACCGTGCCCTGCCTGGCTGGCTCTTTTATTTTATTTTTATTTATTTATTAGAGACAGGGCCTCACTGTGTCGCCCAGGCTGCAGTGCAGTGGTGTGATCATAGCTCACTGCAGCCTCGACCTCCTGGGCTCAAGCGATCCTACTACCACCTGGACCTCTCAAAGCCCTGGGATTACGGGCATGAGCCACCGTGCCTGGCCTTGGCTTGCTCTTACGGGCCTCCCAGCCAATCAGGTGTGGCGGCAGCCTACACACCCCCTACACACCTCACAGATGGTAAAGGGTTGAGAGAAAGGTGACAGGGTTTGCAAATGGGAGCTACTTAGGGTGGCAAAATAGAAGCAAGAAAGGCAGGTCAGGCACGGTGTCTCACGGCTGTAGTTCCAGAATTTTGGGAGGCCCAGGTGGAAGGATTGCTTGAGCCCAGGAGTTCGAGGCTGCAGTGAGCTATGATTGCACCATTGCACCCCAGCACCGGCAACAGAGGGAGACCCCGTTCATAAAATAAAAATGAAATAATAATTTTTTAAAAAGCCGGGCGTGGTGGCTCACGCCTGTAATCCCAGCACTTTGGGAGGCCGAGGCGAGTGGATCACGAGGTCAGGAGATCGAGACCATCCTGGCTAACATGGTGAAACCCCATCTCTACTAAATGTACAAAAAATTAGCCGGGCGTGATGGCGGGCGCCTGTAGTCCCAGCTACTTGGGAGGCTAAGGCAGGAGAATGGTGTGAGCCCGGGAGTCGGAGCTTGCAGTGAGCAGAGATCGCGCCACTGCACTCCAGCCTGGGCGACAGAGCGAGACTCTGTCTCAAAAAAAAAAAAAAAAAAAAGGACAGTAGTACTCCTGAGCACTTGCTGAGGGAGCCTCCAGGGCTGTTCAGGTGAAGGAGAATCAGGGTCCAGTCTCTTCGTGGAGAGAGTGGGAAAAGGCAGACTCCACAGCAGATCAACGCTGGGGCCCGGCTGGAAATCAATGAAATCTCAGCCTAAGAGGCCTGAAGCCTATGGACCAATGAGACTCAAGGCTCTGCCCCTTCACAGCCAATCAGCTGCGGGTCCGAGGCAGACGCGCGGGAGTGGCGCTGTCCTAGGTGCCTCCCAGGCTGCCCAGCGTGCTCAGCTGGCCTGAGCGGGAGAATGCGGCCCGCGCTGCAGCCAATCAGCGTCCGCCTCAGGATCCAGGGGTGACCACGTGCGGGAGCGTTGCGTCCCTGGCCTCGCTCCATTCCCCACTTTTAACGGTCACTCGGCCTTAAGCCGTCCTGGGTGTATGTGAGGCTGAAAGGGAAGGAGGAACAGGGTCTGGGCCGGTGAGTGCCATAGTTTTTCTTACTTTACTTTCTTGGGCTTGGGCCCGGCCCAGGCAAATCTGGGGTATGGGGGCTTGACTGGACCTCGTTGATGATTGGGAAGTGCGGGTTGAGGGCTTTAGCCCTTGGGGCTTTCCTCTGCCTTTGAGAGGCTGGAAATGCAGCCTCCTGGCCACCTTTAGGCCTAGGTTTGGCAGAGGCTAAGCCAGCTTGCTCTCTGAGTTGGTCCACGGCCCCCGAGGCCAGCCTGAGTAGGAAGGGTGTTGTGGGGAAGTTGGAGGTCCTTAACTCTGCATGAGGTATGGCCTCCGGACAATGAGAGCTTATCAAGGGTCTCTGGACTGAGCCTGGATCCGGTGACTGAAAGGAGAGGCCTGTGGATCTCCAAAGGTTATGCAGGGGCTGGGCGCGGTGGCTCACGCCTGTAATCCCAGCACTTTGGGAGGCTGAGGCAGGTGGATCATTTGAGGTCAGGAGTTTGAGACCAGCCTGGCCAACATGGAGAAACCCTGTCTCTACGGGGTTTCTAAAAAAAATTACCTGGGCGTGGTGGCACACGTCCGTAATCCCAGCTACTCAGAAAGCTGAGGCAGGAGAATCGCTTGAACTCATTGAACTCAGGAGATGAACGTTGCAGTGAGCTGAGATCACGCCATTGCACTCCAGCCTGGGCGACAGAATGAGACCCTGTCTCAAGAAAAAAAATGAAAAGAAAAAAAAAGTTATGTAGGAAGTCACTGGCCAAGAGATGAAACTAGTGTGCACATGAAGGTTTCCTGGGGTCTTTGGAGCCAGCCTGGGCTGGGAGTGAATGTTCTGGACTCCAGGTTGAGATGTTCTTGGCAGATTTCCCAGTATGGAGTCCAGGTTGGATGATGTGGCCAAGAGGTTAGGCCAGTAATCCTCTGGAGATTCTAGGGAGAAGGATTCTGAATCCCAGCCGAGCTGTTTGCGCTGGATGAAGTATTATTGCCTTGTGGTGGCTCTGTACAGAACTGGGATTGGGTGGCCAGGCGTGGTGGCTCACACCTGTAATCCCAGCACTTTGGGAGGCTGAGGTGGGTGGATCACCAGGTCAGGAGCTCGAGACCAGCCTGACCAACATGGTGAAACCCTGTCTCTACTAAAAATACAAAAATTAGCCAGGTGTGGTGGCAGGTGCCTGTAATCCCAGCTACTCAGGAGTCTGAGGCAGGAGAATCCCTTGAACCCACGAGGCGGAGGTTGCAGTGAGCAGAGATCGCACCACTGCACTCCAGCCTGGGCAACAGAGCAATGCTCTGTCTCAAAAAAAAAAAATTAATTAAAAAAAAAAAAAAGCAGGGCCAGGCGTGGGGGCTCACATCTATAATCCCAGCACTTTGAGAGGCCAAGGCGGGCGGATTACCTGAGGTCAGAAGTTTGAGACCAGCATGACCAACATGGAGAAACCCCATCTCTACTAAAAATACAAAATTAGCTGGGCGTGGTGGCACATGCCTGTAATCCCAGCTACTAGGGAGGCTGAGGCAGGAGAATCGCTTGTACCTGGGAGGCGGAGGTTGCGGTGAGCCGAGATCGTGCCATTGCACTCCAGCCTGGGCAACAAGAGCGAAACTCCATCTCAAAAAAAAAAAAAAAACTGGAATTGGGTCATGTCTGGAGCTTTTCATTCTCCCTGTCCCACTCTTTCCCATGCCTGTTCTGATAATTCCTAGAAGATGAAGATATCAGGCTGTAGGTGCGGGGCAGGTGCATGGGGAGGATGAACATCGTAGTGGAGCACAGGAAGAGGTGTGTGAGATATTCTCCTCTTTAGGAAATCACCCAGGTTTTTGGCAGGGCGTGGTGGCTCACACCTGTAATCCTAGCACTTTGGGAGGCCGAGGCAGGTGGATCACCTGAGGTCAGGAGTTCAAGACCAGCCTGGCCAACGTGGTGAAACCCCATCTCTACTAAAAATGCAAAAAATTAGCCGGGCATGGTAGATGCCTGTAATCCCAGCTACTTAGGAGCCTGAGGTAGGAGAATCACTTGAACCCAGGAGGCAGAGGTTGCAGTGAGCCGAGATCGCGCCACTGCACTCCAGCCTGGGCAACAAGGGCAAAACTCTGTCTCAAAAATAAATAAGTAAATAACATAAAGGAAATCACCCAGGTTGTCTTTACTGATGATCTTTTTTATACTCATGGGGCAGGGTGTTGATACCTAGTTTCATTCAGCTGTTCAGTGGTATTTATGCTTTCGGAGTGCCTTCAGTACACCCAGAGTTCTTTAACCAGGGGTGAGGGTGCAAGGAGTGGCTTATGAGTGGACTTCAAGGAAGTCTAACCCCGAAACCAGTTAATATTGGGGCAGCTCAATTGGCCATTCCCTCTATGGTGTGGTGGGGGCCCGGGGTGCTGGCACATGAAGTGTGCAGTTAATCCCAGCTCGGCAGACAGCCACCAAGCATGATGGCACATGCCTGTAATCCCAGCTACTCAGGAGGCTGAGATAGGGGGATGACTTGAGCCCAGGATGTCAAGACTGCAGTGAGCCATGATTGTGCCACTGCACTCCAGGCTGGGTGACAGAGCAAGACTGTGTCTCTAAAAAAAAAAAAAAAAAAAAAGAACAATTAATGGTATGCATGTATATTATGAGGAGGGGAGGGTAAAGAATAAGCTAGACGATAGTTAACCTCTCCAGCCATGAGGCTCAGAGTAATCTGTCAATCTCTTGTCATGCATTCATATGCCAAGTGGTATAAGTGTCTACCATTTTCTTTTTTTTTTTTTTTTTCGAGATGGAGTCTTAGCTCTGTTACCAGGCTGGAGTGCAGTGGTGTGATCTTGGCTCACTGCAACCTCCGCCTCCCGGGTTTAAGCAATTCTCCTGCCTCAGCCTCCCAAGTAGCTGGGATTACAGGCACGTGCCACCACGCCCAGCTAATTTTTGTATTTTTAGTAGAGACGGCATTTCACCATGTTGGCCAGGACGGTCTCTATCTCTTCACCTTGTGATCCGCCCACCTCGGCCTCCCAAAGTGCTGGGATTACAGGCGTGAGCCACCGCACCCGGCCTGTGTCTACCATTTTCTAATGTCAACAATTGGTCCCAGGCTGGGTGGCTCACACTTGTAATCCCTGCACTCTGGGAGGCTGAGGCGGGTGGATCACTTGAGGTCAGAAGTTTGAGACCAGCCTGGCCAACATGGTAAAACCTCATCTCTACTAAAAATACAAAAATTAGCCGGGTGTCGTGGTGCGTGCCTGTAGTCCCAGCTACTCAGGAGGCTGAGGCAGGAGAATCTCTTGAACCTGGGAGGCAGAGGTTGCACTGAGCCAAGATCGTGCCACTGCACTCCAGTCTGGGTGACAGAAGGAGACTCTGTCTCAATAAAAAGAAGAGTTAGTCCCATGGGTGACATTCTGAACCTGATGGTGACTCCCTAAGAGATTTAGAACCATTGGAATAAAGTAGGTTCCTATATTATTTATGGGGCCTGGGCAAGATGACAGAGACTCCCTCGTCTCTTCCCATGCCTGGTGTTGGCCCATACTTCAAGGTGTCTCACATTCTAGCCTGCACATCCAAGCTCAGTCTACAAATCCCTTACACAAAATCAGGGTCTAGCGTGTGTGTACATCAGTCAGAGTCCACTCTCATGAATACAGGCCTGGGGTTGAGTCCTGTGTAGGGGGCCTCAGAGTCATTTGGTCCAGGAAATCCAGGGTGCTGAGTTCTCAGAGCATGGTCCAGAAGTGAGGTGGGAGCTCACAGTTCCGGGTAGGCACTTTCTAGATGCCTTTTGACTCAGCCTATGCGAAGGGATACAGCCAGAGGAGGTCCAAATGGGACCCTTTGCCCAGGTTTAAGTCAACACTAGTATTCTGTACTGGTCTTGAAACAGCCCCTGTGAGGAAATTGAGGGTCTTGGAAGACTTAGCTCCATATGAGTGCTGAAGAGAAGGGCCATTCACTGTGAAGGGATGCAGTGAAACCTGTTTTCCAACTTCTAGTCTAGTTCTTTTTCCAGTTAATCCACAAAGTGTGTGCTATGAAGGGGCTAGATTCAGCTCACCTGGGTATGACTATAGCTGGTTCTTGGATCATATAGAGCACAAATTTAAGGGAAAAAGGGAACTAATTCACTCCTTGTGGTGACTCTTTTCTGGAAGTCTTGGATGTACTTAACCAGAAAGACGGAACATCTTTTTTTTCTTTTTTCTTTTTTCTTTTTTTTTTTTTGAGACAGAGTTTCGCTCTTGTTGCTCAGGCTAGAGTGCAATGGCGCGATCTCGGCTCACCGCAACCTCCACCTCCCGGGTTGAAGCGATTCTCCTGCCTCAGCCTCTCGAGTAGCTGGAATTACAGGCATGTGCCGCCACGCCCAGCTAATTTTTTTTATTTTTTGTAGAGACAGGGTTTCTCCATGTTGGTCAGGCTGGTCTTGAACTCCCGACCTCAGATGATCCGCTTGCCTCCACCTCCCAGAGTGCTGGGATTACAGGTGTGAGCCACTGCGCCTGGCGAAAGAGTAAACATACTTAAAGTTCATGTAAGATTTGGATAATCGCTCTTAATCTATATAAAATGCTGTGGGGAATTTAACCACCTTCATTTGTGGAAAGAGATGGGTTCACGGGAAGAGTGGCGAGTTCACAGAATTTTTCTAAATTGAATCTTGTTCAACTTGGCTTGGGAAGAGGGCTTGATATTTAAAATAAGTGAAATAGAGGGAGAACTTTTTCACAAAACAAATGATCATCCCTCCCATTGGTCTATTCTGATGGTTTGATTTTAATTATAATATTTAAGGAGAATTGGTATTTGTGTTGCTGTGTTGACATTGTTACATCAAGCTGGGTTGTGCCTCAAGAAGTTCATGATACAAGGATTTCTGGGAAGCTTTGACTTTGCAGCCAGGGTGTGCCCCGAGCCCCTTGCACATTTTTCCCTTAGTGTCCCATTGGTCAAGTCTACCAGTAAGAATAAGAACTATCAGATTTCAGGCCAGGCGTGGTGCCTCATGCCTGTATCACAGCATTTTGGGATGCCAAGGCGGGCAGATCATGAGGTCAGGAGTTCGAGACCAGCCTGGCCAACATGGTGAAACCCTGTCTCTACTAAAAATACAAAAAATTAGCCGGGTTTGGTGATGCACACCTGTGATCCCAGCTACTCGGGAGGCTGAGGCAGGAGAATCACTTGAACCCAGGAGGCGGAGGTTACAGTGAGCCGAGATTGCGCCACTGCACTCCAGCCTGGGCAATAGAGCAAGACTCTGTCTCAAAAAAAAAAAAATCAGATTTCAAATTTTATTCAGTAATACGAGTATTAGGCCGGGCATGTAGGCTCACGCCTGTAATCCCAGCACTTTGTGAAGCCGAGGTGGGTGGATCACCTGACATCAAGAATTTGAGACCAGCCTGGCCAACATGGTGAAACACCATCTCTAATAAAAATACAAAAAATTAGTCAGGCATGGTAGCAGTTGCCTGTAATCCCAGCTACTTGGGAGGCTGAGGCAGGAGAATTGCTTGAACCGGGAGGCGGAGGTTGCAGTGAGCCAAGATAGCGCCATTGTACTCCAGCCTGGGCAACAAGAGTGAAACTCTGTCTCAAAAAAAAAAAGAAAGTAATATAAGTATTAAAAAGGACTGAGAGGCTGATATCATATTGCCTTTTATCACATACTCCCCTTCCAATCATGCCCTACCTAATCTCTCTACCTGCTCTACCCTCTGGCAGGACACAGGCTTGTGTCTGCATAACCTGTTGTTTCTTTGCTCTTTCCAGAGAGACAACTGCAGATGATTCCTACCGAGTCAGCCCAGGAAGAGGAAGGGGGGGCAAGGTTTTTGAGTCTAGGGAGGGGGAGTACTTTTAAGAACAGCAACAGACCAGGCATGGTGGCTCACACCTGTAATCCCAGCAGTGGATCACCTGAGGTTAGGAGTTCGAGACCAGCCTGGCTAACATGGTGAAACCCCATCTCTACTAAAAATACAAAAAAATTAGCCGGGTGTGATGGTGCATGCCCGTAACCCCAGATACTTGGAAGGCTGAGGCACAAGAGTCGCTTGAACCCAGAGGCAGAGGTTGCAGTGAGCCGAGATGGCGCCACTGCACTCCAGCTTGGGTGACAGAACAAGACTCTGTCTCAAAATAAAAACAAAACAGCACCAGCAGTGTCCCTACTCTTCCAAGTCAAAGTGCTGTCTGCTTCTGCCATCTGTGCTCAGTGCAGGATGGCTTGGGTTGCACTGTCAAGAATGCAGGAAGAGGCTAGAGAAGTGCTCAGGGTGTCATCAGCATAAGGGTTGCAGTGCAAAGGGCCCTGGAGATAATTCTAGGAGGCGGTCTCTAAGGGGATATCCTTAGGTGGGGTTCCCCATTCTTGGGGGCTTTTGTTCACTGAAAGGGGAGTTCCCTTGCCCCTCCTCCCTTTTAGGTTCCCCGAAAGCCCACTGATGCTCCCTGTCAACTATATTTGGCTTACACAGAATGCTGCCCTTTGAGCAGTCTCCAACTCTCTCGATCATCAATGAGCAAACCAGCGGGGGAGCTGAGTCACAAGCACATGATGTGGGGCTGGAAAGCGAGGGGGCCACACTCAGAGGGGTGACCATGTAATCGTCCAGACCCCTGTACCTTTCCTCATCCCTGGGGCTAGTCCCTCAGGGCTTTCCGCACTCCTTCCTTGTCTTGAGGGACTCTGTATTTCTGTGTTGGAGGAAGGGTGTTTCCCTCTGCGTACATACATATCAGAGGGACTGATGCTTTATGTGTCTTTTATATGGGTGTGGTGGTGTGAGGAATTGGAAAGCTCAGAAATGGAAAATAGTTAACGTTCAGAGTAGCAGATGAACACAGCTCTCACATTTGCATTTTCCCTTTCGTTCTGACTCATCTTCCCCTCTCCCCACCCTGTTGCCCCTCCACCAGCCTCACCCATTGACACACCCTGTCTGATCTAGGAAGGGTTAACATGTGCCTGCACCCATGTGGAGGGAAGGCGTGGTAGGCCTGGAAAGAGAGAGTGGGAGGCTGGTCTGAACATTCGAGGGTCCTGGAGCCAAAGGAAGAAACGGGAGCTTAGGGACAGTATTTGCATCTAGGAGGGGACAAGGACTCTTAGATCCTTCCCCCTTAAGAGAAGCCTATGGGAGGCCGGGCGCAATCCCAGCACTTTGGGAGGCCGAGGTGGGTGGCTCACTTGACATCAGGAATTCGAGACCAGCCTGGCCAACATGGCGAAACCCTGTCACTACTAAAAGTACAAAAATTAGCCGGGCGTGGTGGCGGGCGCCTGTAATCCCAGCTACTCGGGAGGCTGAGGCAGGAGAATCGCTTGAACCTGGGAGGCAGAGGTCGCAGTGAGCTGAGATTGCGCCACTGCACTCCAGTCTGGGAGACAGAGCGAGACTGCGTCTCAAAAAAAAAAAAAAAAAAAAAAAAAAAAGAGAAGCCTATGGGGAAGCCGACTGTGCCTTGTCACCAGAGCAGCTTACCAGTACCTGACTTGTTTATCTTCCAGTCATTTACTGTGTATCTAATATACGCCAGGCACATATCATAAATGCTTTATCCGCTGGGCGCAGTGGCTCACGCCTATAATCCCAGCACTTCGGGAGGCCAAGGCAGGCGGATCATTTGAGCCCAAGAGTTCAAGACCAGCCTGGGTAACATAGTGAGACCCCTGTCTCTACCAAAAATTCAAAATTAGCTAGGCATGGTGGCTCAAACCTGTAGTCCCAGCTACTCAACAGGCTGAGGTGGGAGGATCATGTGAGCCCAGGAAGCTAAGGCTGCAGTGAGCCGTGATCGTACCACTGGGCAACAGAGCAAGACCCCGTCTCAAAATAAACATGTCATCAAAATTTGTTGGATAAATGAAAATTTTGCTATAGGATCAGGGATAAGAGAATAATAAGAAACAGAAAAAGAAAGTTGAGCCTCTAAGACCCCATCCCTTCCCCAGATTAAAGAGTTCTGAAGTGTGAAAAGAGGGGAAACCTCCGGGGACCTTGACCCCTTGGGCAGGAAGTGAAAGAAACCCAAGTCCTGATTTCAGAGAAATGTCATTTGTCATCAGCCCAAGAAAAGGAGATTTTTCTCTTCGAAGACCACCACACGTCCTTCCTGGGGTTGCCCCTTTCAGAGCTTGATGGGAGGATCTGAGTCACTCACACACCCACCCCCAGGTCATTCCCAGGCAGCAAATGAGGCTTCCCAGTACCAAGTCAGGGAGAGGGAGGAGGCCAGCTTCTGGCTCCTCCACCCTATTCTTGGGATCCAAATGTTTCAATCCTTTTTACTTCTGCAGCTGTGTGCTCTGCCGTCATCTCTAAGAAACAACCATACCACTGAATGCTACTGTGTACTTACAAACCACACTCATATTCGTCACGTCATTTCATCTTCACCCCCACCTCCAAATGAGGTAAGCAGATATTATGCCTATTTCATGAATGAGGTTACTGAGGCCCAGAGAAGTGACTTGCCCAAGGTGACTCAAATAGTAAATGGCAGAGATGAAACTCAAAGGCAGGGCTGATTATTCCAAGGTCCTTGCTGCCACAGATACACTTCTTTGACTCTAGGAGTTCACAAACGAAGTGAGGAGACAGGAGGCTAGGGGCAGAATGTGTGCATTCTGGAGGTAGAGGGGGTGGTCTCTCCTGCAGGCAGAAGGCAGAGGCAGGGTTAGAAAACCACACCCCTTCGGGGGGACTGTGGCAGACTGATACTTGGGACATCCAATGGAGGCCTGTGAGGTCAGGGGCGGGGCTAGCTCCAGGGGGGGCCCCAGGAGCCCCAACAGTAGTTCAGAGCATGCGGTGTCCTGGAAGAAGCTACAAGCGGTGAGTGATAGCCTCTCTCCAGCTGAGGCCTTCTTCCCATCACAACTCTTTCTGTCTCCTCCCTGCCAACCTAGAGCCCTCTCCCTGAGGTGTCCAAGTGCAGCCCTCCCTGCCCCAAGGGCCCTTGCTCACAGGGAACCTGCACCTAGGACTCTGCCTGCTGGGTGCTAAGACACTGAGGTTCTGGTTCTCTTCGTATCTGGGTTCCCAGCTCTCTTCTTAAAAGCCAATGTGGTGGTTTTGATGTGTGAGAAACTCCTGCCTGGTTGGGTGCTGTCTTTCTATTCTTCACTTTTTGTCTTATGAAAAACAAATTAAACCATCTCCTTACCCAAATCTTGAGAGGAAACAGCCTCCCTGTCTCCAGTCCCCACGTCCTTTCCTCCCATCTCCTCAGGAGTCCATTCTCCAAAAGGTCTCTCCATCATTGGGTCAGGAGCCTCCTCTCCTGTGGCTTCTGCACCTGCTCTCCTCTTTCTCTGGATGGGAATGTCTGGTTCCTTCCCTGAGGATGTGTTCTAGAAGCTTCAGCTTCACAGTGATGACTGCCGGATGCCTTAGCGCCTGCGCTCCTGCAGCCAGGATCCCTATCATGCTGCCCTCTCTGCCTTTCAGGAGCGATGGGCTTTTGGGGGAGGACCCACTAGCTTTCTAAGCTCTCCCGTGAAACTGTGTCATGCTCCATCCCTTAGTGCCGGCGTTGACTGGGTTTTGTGGTGATCCTTGTCTGGAATGAAGAAAGCCTGGCTTGCGCAGAGGTGTTTCCCTGCAGAGGGGCTTGGAGAAGCAGAAGTGGCAGTATCTGCTATCTTTTACGTCAGAGACTGCCAACTGGCAGACTTCCCGCACGCCTGTCTTAAACCCACTACTAGATATTTCTGTTAACTGACTGGCCCTTGCTCTTTAAGTCCTGAATTTGGTCTGATTTCCATTCTCTCGCCACCATGCCTACCTGCTATGATTCTGGATAAGCTCCAATCCTCTCTTGGGTTACTTTATTTGCTCACTCAGGACAGAGGGCTCTGATCTAGGACCAGCAACTCACACCCTCTCCCCTCACATCCACAGGCTTGAAATGAGATGAGATGTTCCTCCCTCCCCTTTCAACCATGGACCTCACACTGTGGACTTCCTCTTAGAGCCTCTGAGTTAGGTACCCAAGCCAAGGCACAATGTCCCTGCCCCCCATAAGACTGCCCAGCCCCTATGGCTCTGATCGGCTGGTACAGCTAGCAGCCAGGCTCCGGCCAGCACTCTGTGATACTCTGATCACCGTAGGGAGCCAGGAGTTCCCCGCCCACAGCCTGGTGCTAGCAGGTGTCAGCCAGCAGCTGGGCCGCAGGGGCCAGTGGGCTCTGGGAGAAGGCATCAGCCCTTCTACCTTTGCCCAGCTCCTGAACTTTGTGTATGGGGAGAGTGTAGAGCTGCAGCCTGGAGAGCTAAGGCCCCTTCAGGAGGCGGCCAGGGCCTTGGGAGTGCAGTCCCTGGAAGAGGCATGCTGGAGGGCTCGAGGGGACAGGGCTAAAAAGCCAGATCCAGGCCTGAAGAAACATCAGGAGGAGCCAGAGAAACCCTCAAGGAATCCTGAGAGAGAACTGGGGGACCCTGGAGAGAAGCAGAAACCAGAACAGGTTTCTAGAACTGGTGGGAGAGAACAGGAGATGTTGCACAAGCACTCGCCACCAAGAGGCAGACCCGAGATGGCAGGAGCAACGCAGGAGGCTCAGCAGGAACAGACCAGGTCAAAGGAGAAACGCCTCCAAGCCCCTGTTGGCCAAAGGGGAGCAGATGGGAAGCATGGAGTGCTCACGTGGTTGAGGGAAAATCCAGGGGGCTCTGAGGAAAGTCTGCGCAAGCTCCCTGGCCCCCTTCCCCCAGCAGGCTCCCTGCAAACCAGCGTCACCCCTAGGCCCTCGTGGGCTGAGGCCCCTTGGTTGGTGGGGGGCCAGCCTGCCCTGTGGAGCATCCTGCTGATGCCGCCCAGATATGGCATTCCCTTCTACCATAGCACCCCCACCACTGGAGCCTGGCAGGAGGTCTGGCGGGAACAGAGGTGAGTGGCGGGGTCTAGTGCTCTGCCTCCAGGCTGGGAGGGCATGGCCCAGGAGGGGCAGCCCTGCTGGGTGGAAGGGCACTGCATCTCTACTGCACAGTTCCTGAGCTGGGGAAGAGACAAGAAGCTGCTGCCACAGGGCACGCCAAAGCCCAGCCCCCGGGGGAGGACTTGGGATACCCCCTCTTCACGAAGGGGCCAGGCTCCCAGGTTTAGCCAAGGCTGTAACTCTTCCCCACCCCATCCCAGGATCCCACTGTCCCTAAATGCCCCCAAAGGGCTCTGGAGCCAGAACCAGTTGGCCTCCTCCAGCCCTACCCCAGGTAAGCCCCTCGCTGTCCTGCATACACCTGTAACATGGTGTCTTCTCTGGGCTGGGGCTCGAGGAGTCCAGCCTGAGCAGGGCCCCTACCTCCCACTGTTCCTTCCAGGTTCCCTCCCCCAGGGCCCCGCACAGCTCAGCCCTGGGGAGATGGAAGAGTCTGATCAGGGGCACACAGGTGAGTCGGGCGGGGGCACTCGTGCCTCAGCCCCACTGTAGCCCTTGATTTCCTGCCTGAATGGTACAGTGAGTTGGCGCTGGGATTCCTGGCCCTGCCCTCCTTTGCCTTCTCTGTCCCCACAGGCGCACTTGCAACCTGTGCGGGTCATGAGGACAAGGCAGGCTGCCCACCTCGCCCGCACCCTCCCCCGGCCCCTCCTGCTCGGTCTCGGCCCTATGCGTGCTCTGTCTGTGGAAAGAGGTTTTCACTCAAGCATCAGATGGAGACGCACTACCGAGTCCACACAGGTATGGGCGCCCTGCCCTGTGTGAACTGTCGGCTTTCTTCCCAACTCCGCTCCTGAGTCTCCACCTGTGTGCCCGGTTCCCGCGCAATCCCCTAGCCCCGTGGCCCGATCCACCCCTAACTTGGCCAGCTTTCGCCGCCTTCTTCCTTCCTTCACCGGCCTCCCCTTCCGACCGCTCTAGGAGAGAAGCCCTTCTCCTGTAGCCTTTGTCCTCAGCGCTCCCGGGACTTCTCGGCCATGACCAAGCACCTGCGGACACACGGGGCCGCTCCGTACCGCTGCTCCCTGTGCGGGGCCGGCTGTCCCAGCCTGGCCTCCATGCAGGCGCACATGCGCGGTCACTCGCCCAGCCAACTCCCGCCCGGATGGACCATCCGCTCCACCTTCCTCTACTCCTCCTCGAGGCCGTCTCGGCCCTCGACCTCTCCCTGTTGTCCTTCTTCCTCCACCACCTGACGGGGTGTCGGTAGCGTCTTAGCCAAGAGTCCAATTAAAGAACGAAAAGCGGGCCGGCTCGGCTTCTGACCTGGCACCGCTGCTACGGCGGCCTAGCAAATTCCGCCCCAGAAGCGCCCCAGGAAGGGCGCCGAGTGCCCTCTCCTGGACGATCGCGGGTCGCAGAAGCCCAGGCCAGCGAGCCCTACAGAGTGAGGACACTGAAGTGTGCAGGAGCGAAGGTTAACAGTAGGGGAGATTGTCGATCTCATCACCATAATAAAGAGTTTCCTGTGCCCTCCCTTCAGGACTAGAAAGCCGAGTTTAGTCTGTGCACACCCCCGCCCACGCCCCTTGTCCTGTAGCGGCCCCTGGTGGCCCTGCGTCCGCTGTCCAGCGGGATGGACACTTCTTCCACCCCCGAGGCGCCCCGTCCTCCCCAGGAGGCAGCCGGCCCCGAGGACTCGGTGTCCGGGCACACCTTGCGGCATGCCGGTCCTGGACTGGTGGGGGCTGTGCGACCGCAAGTCACTCGCCCCTTCCACTGCAATCCACGGCGCGCGGAGTCTGATCTGGGAACGCTCGGCCCGGGAGAGAGAGGAACGCGTGCTCCGACCCTGCTTTCGGCCACCCGCCTCCTCTCCGGGAGCACACGGACCCCGAGACCGCGGCCTCTCCGGCGTCTTCCCTCCACACCGTGCCAAGCCGCCGCCAGGTCGCGCCTGGAACGGAGACTGACTATGCTTTCCACCGCTCCTTCTCCAGCCCACGCCTCCTGCAGCCGCGAACTGCATTTCCCAGGGCCTCGGGGGTCCCGGGGCCCGAGCCCGCGGCACCCTGGGAGTGGTAGTCCACGCGGGCCGCCGGCCTAGCCAAGAACAATGGGAGGAGCCTGGGGCTAGGACCACACCTCCCGGAGACCCGGCAACCCGCTTTCCGGGTCCTGGCCGGGAACCCCGCCGTCCCGGCCCTCGCGCCCTGGCTGCCGGCGGAAGAAGCGAGGCGTCCGGACTACATTTCCCGGAGGCCCCCGCGGTTCGCCCCTCTGCGGCCGCGACGCGGGGGTCTGTGCTCCCCAGGTGCGGTCCGAGGGCGCCGGCCGGCCGCGGACTCCCTCTCCCGTGGTGCCCTGCGCGTGGCCGGCCCGGCCCCCGGTCTCCCGCGGCGGCGCTGGTTGTTGTCGTGCGCCGCGGCCGCCCCGCCCCGCCCCCGCTCTCTCCCCTCCCCCCGGCCCTGCGCACGGGCCGCCCCTCCCCCCGCCTCCCCGGCCCCTCTCACGGTGCCAAGATGGCGGCGGCGGCGGGCGGCGGCAGTTGCCCCGGGCCTGGCTCCGCGCGGGGCCGCTTCCCGGGCCGGCCGCGGGGCGCCGGCGGGGGCGGGGGCCGCGGCGGACGGGGCAACGGGGCCGAAAGAGTGCGGGTAGCTCTGCGGCGCGGCGGTGGCGCGACGGGGCCGGGCGGAGCCGAGCCCGGGGAGGACACGGCCCTGCTCCGTTTGCTGGGGCTCCGCCGGGGCCTGCGCCGGCTCCGCCGCCTGTGGGCCGGCCCGCGGGTCCAGCGGGGCCGGGGACGGGGTCGGGGCCGGGGCTGGGGCCCGAGTCGAGGCTGCGTGCCGGAGGAGGAGAGCAGTGACGGGGAATCCGACGAGGAGGTGAGGCGGTTGGAGGCGTCCCCGGCGCCGGGTGGGGCGGAGGCCGGGGCTTCCAGGGGTCTGGGTTGTCCCGGGGGCGGCGTGGGCAGGCCGGGTCCTCAGGGTTCCTTCGGAGAGACGGGGCACGGAGGGAGGGCGGCTGCATGCAGCTTCCGGGGGAAAGGGCCTCTGGAAGTGGGTAGAGAAGCCCCGGCTGCAGCCAGGCACTCGCGCCCGATGTCGGTCCCGCTGAAGTGTCTTGGGCCGATCCTTTTCGGCAGCTGGCAAAGCTAGGGCGGTGGAGGTTTGGGCGAGGAGGCAGTGGGGACTGCATGTCCAGCCAGTCGTGGTTGACAGCGGCAGCGTGGCCTTGGCAGACAGGTTGGAGCTGTCTGGGCTCTTACCTGTGGGCCGCCCCGCCGGGCCTCGCAACCTCCTGGTTTCTCCAGGGCCCCAGTTTCTCTTGGCATCTCAGGTAGAGTGGTGGAGGGCTTCCTCTTGGGGCTCGGGTTGAACAGGAGTGGGATGAAGGCCGGGACTGGGCACTCTAGCAGGTCAGAGCTCAGCTCAGGATTTCTCCCCCAGCCTTTCAGAACAGGCAGGAAGGTGTGGGTTGCGTTGCCCTGGACGGTTAATAACAACCTGAGAGCTCGCAGTGGAGCCTGTACGAAAGCCATCTGATGCCCTCCCCGCCCCTTCACTTGCGGGCCCCTGTTCCCAACTTAATGCAGAAATAAATTGTGGCCCGAAAGGGTGTCAGTGGAGGTCCCACTTTGGTCTGAATTGGACTCTGAAGGAATCTGAGTATGGGGCCTGCTGCCTTTCCTGAGGAGACCCTGTCGTCTTCTCTCTTGGGCCAGTGAACCATGGCTTTGGCTGTGCTGGTGTGGTCCGGCACTGGGGATCGGAGTTCGAAATACCTGGCGCCTCCATCCCTAGGGAGAGACCCTCTCTTCCACTACCCGCGACCTTTGAGTCTTTTTCGTTCTTTTTAAATAGGCAGGGGTATGCTAAGTGGGAACTGGGGATATTCCTCGATACCTCAGATGGAACGAGGGCTTTGGCACTGACTGCTGTTTCTCCCCTCCACCCCGGTCCCCTAAATCAGGAGTTTCAGGGTTTTCATTCAGATGAAGATGTGGCCCCCAGTTCCCTGCGCTCTGCGCTCCGATCCCAGCGAGGTGAGTGACGGGGGAACTCCACCTCTTTAGCGTCACAGGAATTTATCCTCGCCCTTCGTGTCAGCTCTTCCCTGTTCAACTAGCCTCTGTCAGTTGCCGAATGTGTTCTGTGTTCAGAGTCCAAGCTAGTCTGGGCAGCGGGGGAAACACACAAGCAAGACTTAGTCCCTGCCCTCCTGGAGCGCCTTCCTCTGTGTGTAGGGCTGGCTTGATCCATCTCCCCACAACTATTCTCCTTTTAGGTCGAGCGCCCCGAGGTCGGGGTCGCAAGCATAAGACGACCCCCCTTCCTCCTCCTCGCCTAGCAGATGTGGCTCCTACCCCCCCAAAGACCCCTGCCCGGAAACGGGGTGAGGAAGGCACAGAACGGATGGTGCAGGCACTGACTGAACTTCTCCGGCGGGCCCAGGCACCCCAAGCACCCCGGAGCCGGGCATGTGAGCCCTCCACCCCCCGGCGGTCTCGGGGACGGCCCCCAGGACGGCCAGCAGGCCCCTGCAGGAGGAAGCAGCAAGCAGTAGTGGTGGCAGAAGCAGCTGTGACAATCCCCAAACCTGAGCCCCCACCTCCTGTGGTTCCAGTGAAACATCAGACTGGCAGCTGGAAATGCAAGGAGGGGCCCGGTCCAGGACCTGGGACCCCCAGGCGTGGAGGACAGTCAAGCCGTGGAGGCCGTGGAGGCAGGGGCCGCGGCCGAGGTGGTGGGCTCCCCTTTGTGATCAAGTTTGTTTCAAGGGCCAAAAAAGTAAAGATGGGACAATTGTCCTTGGGACTCGAATCAGGTCAAGGTCAAGGTCAACATGAGGAAAGTTGGCAGGATGTCCCCCAAAGAAGAGTTGGATCTGGACAGGGAGGGAGCCCTTGCTGGAAAAAGCAGGAACAGAAGCTGGATGACGAGGAAGAAGAGAAGAAAGAAGAAGAAGAAAAAGACAAGGAGGGAGAAGAGAAGGAAGAAAGAGCTGTAGCTGAGGAGATGATGCCAGCTGCGGAAAAGGAAGAGGCAAAGCTGCCACCACCGCCTCTGACTCCTCCAGCCCCTTCACCTCCTCCACCCCTCCCACCCCCTTCGACATCTCCTCCACCCCCACTCTGCCCTCCACCACCACCCCCAGTGTCCCCACCACCTCTACCATCCCCTCCACCGCCTCCTGCCCAAGAGGAGCAGGAGGAATCCCCTCCTCCTGTGGTCCCAGCTACGTGCTCCAGGAAGAGGGGCCGGCCTCCCCTGACTCCCAGCCAGCGGGCGGAGCGGGAAGCTGCTCGGGCAGGGCCAGAGGGCACCTCTCCTCCCACTCCAACCCCCAGCACCGCCACGGGAGGCCCTCCGGAAGACAGTCCCACCGTGGCCCCCAAAAGCACCACCTTCCTGAAGAATATCCGGCAGTTTATTATGCCTGTGGTGAGTGCCCGCTCCTCCCGTGTCATCAAGACACCCCGGCGATTTATGGATGAAGACCCCCCCAAACCCCCAAAGGTGGAGGTCTCACCTGTCCTGCGACCTCCCATTACCACCTCCCCACCTGTTCCCCAGGAGCCAGCACCAGTCCCCTCTCCACCACGTGCCCCAACTCCTCCATCTACCCCAGTTCCACTCCCTGAGAAGAGACGGTCCATCCTAAGGGAACCCACATTTCGCTGGACCTCACTGACCCGGGAGCTGCCCCCTCCTCCCCCAGCCCCTCCACCTCCCCCGGCCCCCTCCCCACCCCCTGCTCCTGCCACCTCCTCCCGGAGGCCCCTACTCCTTCGGGCCCCTCAGTTTACCCCAAGCGAAGCCCACCTGAAGATCTACGAATCGGTGCTTACTCCTCCTCCTCTTGGGGCTCCTGAAGCCCCTGAGCCAGAGCCTCCTCCTGCCGATGACTCTCCAGCTGAGCCTGAGCCTCGGGCAGTGGGCCGCACCAACCACCTCAGCCTGCCTCGATTCGCCCCTGTGGTCACCACTCCTGTTAAGGCCGAGGTGTCCCCTCACGGGGCTCCAGCTCTGAGCAACGGGCCACAGACACAGGCTCAGCTACTGCAGCCCCTGCAGGCCTTGCAAACCCAGCTCCTGCCCCAGGCACTACCGCCACCACAGCCACAGCTGCAGCCACCGCCGTCACCACAGCAGATGCCTCCCCTGGAAAAAGCCCGGATTGCGGGCGTGGGTTCCTTGCCGCTGTCTGGGGTAGAGGAGAAGATGTTCAGCCTCCTCAAGAGAGCCAAAGTGCAGCTATTCAAGATCGATCAGCAGCAGCAGCAGAAGGTGGCAGCTTCCATGCCGGTGAGTGTGGTCCCTGGGCCCAGCGGCACACCCAGCCATCCAGCCTCCATTCTTTGCAACCCCCTAACCTTCCGCCTCCTTGGACACTTTCCAGCATTGCGGGGAACCCTCAGAACCTGCCTTTCTGTGATCCCCCACCTTCCTTTGTTCCTCCCCAGACCTGGCCCTTCTCTGTGCTAGTTCCCTGTCCCTATCTTCCTTTTTTTTTTTTTTTTATTTTTGAGACCGAGTCTCACTTTGTCCAGGCTGGAGTGCAGTGGCGTGATCTCGGCTCACTGCAGCCTTTGCCTCCCGGGTTCAAGAGATTCTCCTGCCTCAGTCTCTCGAGTAGCTGGGACTACAGGTGCCCATCACCACGCCTGGCTAATTTTTGTATTTTTAGTAGAGACAGGGTTTCACCACATTGGCTAGGCTGGTCTTGAACTCCTGACCTCGTGATCTGCCCGTCTCGGCCTCCCAAAGTGCTGGGATTACAGGCATCAGCCACCACACCCAGCTCCCTGTCCCTATCTTTCCTCACTGTCCAGCCCCTGACCCTGTTTATTCCCTGCCAGCTGAGCCCTGGAGGGCAGATGGAGGAGGTGGCCGGGGCTGTCAAGCAGATCTCCGACAGAGGCCCTGTCCGGTCTGAAGATGAGTCGGTGGAAGCTAAGAGAGAGCGGCCCTCAGTATGCATCGGGAGGAGGGCCCTGAAGAAGACTGGCGGGAGGAGTGGGGCTGCGGGAGCGCAAGCTGCCCACACACACTCCGATTTCTCCCCCAGGGTCCCGAGTCCCCTGTGCAAGGTCCCCGCATCAAACATGTCTGCCGTCATGCTGCTGTGGCCCTGGGTCAGGCCCGGGCCATGGTGCCTGAAGATGTCCCTCGCCTCAGTGCCCTCCCTCTCCGGGATCGGCAGGACCTCGCCACAGAGGGTAGGTGGGGAGACTGGACAGCCATGTCAGGTTTGGGGATGACCCCACACTTGGGTGACATGCACCAAGAGCCTAGGAGAGAGGGAGCCAAGTCAGGTGCTCAGGGGTTAGGTGGCAAGTGGGCTGGAGTGCTAGGTCCTAGAGCAACTTCATTTGGGGGCACCAGGAACCTGGCGCTGTGAGAAAGCGAGAGCCAGGTTGTGGGAAAGCAGGGAAGTGAGGTAGAAGCCTGGTGGCTTTGTGGCTCCATCCCCTCCTCCCTGCCTGCTGCAATAGATACATCATCGGCGTCCGAGACTGAGAGTGTCCCGTCACGGTCCCGGCGGGGAAAGGTGGAGGCAGCAGGCCCTGGGGGAGAATCAGAGCCCACAGGTTCTGGAGGGACCCTGGCCCACACACCCCGGCGCTCACTGCCCTCCCATCACGGCAAGAAGATGCGCATGGCTCGATGTGGACACTGTCGGGGCTGCCTACGTGTGCAGGACTGTGGGTCCTGTGTCAACTGCCTAGACAAGCCCAAGTTTGGGGGCCCTAACACCAAGAAGCAGTGCTGTGTGTGAGTAGCTGGGGCGTGACCTCATTCCCGTGGTTGTTGGTCCCCTAGGCTTCCTACCTCACTCCTCTTCTGCCTGGCCAGAGCAGTGGGGTTGGCATTCTTGTGGAGAGCTTCCTCTCTTCCCCCAGACCACCAGTCCCCTACCCTGGTGACGTGCTGCTCCCCTCCCCAGATACCGGAAGTGTGACAAAATAGAGGCTCGGAAGATGGAACGACTGGCTAAAAAAGGTGACGAGCTTTAAGGAGCATTTCTTCTCAAAACCGTGTTAGAGTTTGTGCTGTGGAGGGAGCTGTTTTTCTTTGCTCTCCTCCCTTGCAGCTCACCCTCTCCATCTTCTCCGTTGTGTGCTTTCATAGCTCCTGCGTTCATTCCCTGCCCCGCTTCTTTCTGGCTTCTCTCCCAGTGTCCCATGTCCCTGGCTGAGCTCAAATCCTACTAAGTCCCCTGTTCCCGCAGGCCGGACGATAGTGAAGACGCTGTTGCCCTGGGATTCCGATGAATCTCCTGAGGCCTCCCCTGGTCCTCCAGGCCCACGCCGGGGGGCGGGAGCTGGGGGGCCCCGGGAGGAGGTGGTGGCCCACCCAGGGCCCGAGGAGCAGGACTCCCTCCTGCAGCGCAAGTCAGCTCGGCGCTGCGTCAAACAGCGACCCTCCTATGATATCTTCGAGGATTCGGATGACTCGGAGCCCGGGGGCCCCCCTGCTCCTCGGCGTCGGACCCCCCGAGAAAATGGTGCGAACTGCTTAATGCTTTCTCTGTTGATCATTTATTTGGTCTTGTGTCTTTTGTGTAGGAGGGACAAGGCACCCAGACCCAGGGCTCTGTCAGTCTGATAGAGAAGGTGGCTGAGGGCGGAGGAGGAGACAGTTTTTAGGTGGATGTACAGAACTGGCCTATGAGGTTCTCAGTGAGCCTAATGAGTGAGACTTAAGGGTCATCCTAGGCCTGGTGCAGTGGCTCACACTTGTAATCCCAGCACTTTTGGGAGGCCAAGGTGGGAGGATCACTTGAGCCCAGGAGTTCAAGACCAGCCTGGGCAACATAGTGGGACCCCATCCCTATAAAAGCAAAAGTTAGTTGTATGTGGTGGCACGCATCTGTGGTCTCAGCTGCTCAGGAGGCTGAGGCAGGAGGATCGTCTGAGCCTGGGAGTTCAAGGCTGCGGTGGGCTATGGGTCACGCCACTGCATTCCAGTCTGGGCAACAGAGCGAGACCCTGCCTCAAAAAACAAGAAAAAGAATCGTCCTGGCGGGTCTTGGTTAGTTAAAGAAGGCCCTGGGAATCCAGGTAACATTTGGGGTTGTAGAAGAAGAGGGGCGTGGAAGGGGAGTGACCTCACTGCTCATTGTGTCCTGCCTAGAGCTGCCACTGCCAGAACCTGAGGAGCAGAGCCGGCCCCGCAAACCTACCCTGCAGCCTGTGTTGCAGCTCAAGGCCCGAAGGCGCCTGGACAAGGTCAGCACGGCCCGCTCCGAGAGCCCCTTCCCTCCAGGAGCTACCTGGCAAGTCAGAGTGACAGACACACCTGAGTGTCGTGGTGTGTCCACATGAGAGGACAGGCCCTGAGGGATGAGGCGGGCCTTGCCTGTCTGGAAAGCAAAGGGGTCTGGATCAGGGTCTGGGTCCAGTAGGCTGGGGGAAAGGCGGTGAGGAGAGGAGTCTGCATCACGGCCAGGCTGGCAGCTCTGAATTCCCCCACCTTTCCTCCCCAGGATGCTTTGGCCCCTGGCCCCTTTGCTTCTTTTCCCAATGGCTGGACTGGAAAGCAGAAGTCTCCCGATGGTGTGCACCGCGTCCGTGTGGATTTTAAGGTATGGCATTGAGTGGGGCGAGTCACAGAGCCTCTGGTTGGAAGAACCTCGATGACTGTGTCATCGAGAAGCCAGGTGGGTCTGCCTTGTATGCCTGGCGGCCCTCTGATCCTGCATCCTCTCTTCCCCCAGGAGGATTGTGATTTAGAGAACGTGTGGCTGATGGGGGGCCTGAGTGTGCTCACCTCTGTGCCAGGGGGCCCCCCGATGGTGTGCTTGCTGTGTGCCAGCAAAGGACTCCACGAGGTTAGATCTCTGCCTTTCTTCACAGACCCCCAGCTCTCTGTCGGTCCTCACGGCCTGATTCCTTGGGCCCTCTCAGCTGGGTCTCATCCCTTGGCCCTCTGGCCTCATGCTATGCCCATCATTCACTCCTTTACCCTGTCCCCAGCTGGTGTTCTGTCAAGTCTGCTGTGACCCATTCCACCCATTCTGCCTGGAGGAGGCCGAGCGGCCCCTGCCCCAGCATCACGACACCTGGTGCTGCCGTCGCTGCAAATTCTGCCACGTCTGTGGACGCAAAGGTCGTGGATCCAAGGTTTGGGCCCAAGGGCTGGCCAGGGTGGGTGGAGGCCTGAAGGTGAGGGCATCCCTGTGCCAGCAGGTTTCGCCATCTCTGTCTCCACATCCAACAGCACCTCCTGGAGTGCGAGCGCTGCCGCCATGCATACCACCCGGCCTGTCTGGGGCCCAGCTATCCAACCCGGGCCACGCGCAAACGGCGCCACTGGGTGAGAGATGAGGTTCACCCACTTGCTTTGTCTCTAATGAATATCACCACCACCCCCAAACTTGCTCTAGGCTGGGGCTCTCAGGAGGAGCAGAGGTTGGGGATCCTCTTAAGAATTGATTAGTAATGTTTCCTCTTCAAAAATTTCACATAGGTCAGATTTATATTCAGAATTTGCATGGAGTGGTTTTAGGGGCTTATGAATCTCACATTCCGTGGGCTCAGAATCCCCTGCTATAGCCTGATGTCCTCTCCTGCCCTCATGTTCCTCCTCCGTGTCTGTCCTGCGTGTTTTCTCCTCTTACCTGTCCCTCCTTGCCTGCTTCCTGCATATCCCCAATTCCTCCTCGCCCGTCTCCCGCTCATGTTGCTCCAGTCCAGTGCCTGGTTTTCCCCTAACATCGCCCTGCTCCCCCAGATCTGTTCAGCCTGTGTGCGCTGTAAGAGCTGTGGGGCAACTCCAGGCAAGAACTGGGACGTCGAGTGGTCTGGAGATTACAGCCTCTGCCCCAGGTGCACCCAGCTATATGAGAAAGGTGGGGACCGGGCAGGGGAACTGGATGCTGGGGGCCACAGGGGAATGGCCAGGCTCTTTTACAGGCTTTAGCACAGACCCTCTTTTCTCATGGCTTTCCACCTTGTAGCTATGGGACTATCTCTTCAACTCAGGGAACTCTTCCACAGGAGTCCATCCAGTATGTAAAACAGGGACACATAGCTCCTCTGAGGGTGGTGGGAGTGGAAGGCCTGGGACCCCACTGTCTTGGTGTCTGAGGTACTTCCTGGAACCTCACGTCTCCATTGAGCGGTTTGGAAGCCTTATTCAGGCAGTACATTAGCAAGGCCCTGTGTTCTGCAGAGTCTGAAAAGAGGCCTCATCCTAAGGCCGAGCACAGTGGCTCACGCCTGTAATCCTAACACTTTGGAAGGCTGAGGCAGGTGGATCACCTGAGGTGAGGAGTTTGAGATCAGCCTGGCCAACATGGTGAAACCCCATCTGTACTACAAATACAAAAATTAGCCGGGCATGATGGCGGGCACCTGTAATCTCAGCTACTCGGGAGGCTGAGGCAGGAGAATCGCTTGAACCCGGGAGGCGGAGGTTGCAGTGAGCGGAGATCTTGCCACTGCACTCTAGCCTGGGTGACAGAGCAAGACACTGTCTCAAAAAAAAAAAAAAAAAAAAAGCCTCATCCTCAAGGAGCTTTTAGGGACTAGTAGGGGCCCAAAACAGGGGCATAGTGGAGGCAGCTAAGGTACTGCTAATCCTTGAACAGAGACACTCAGGGCTGAGTGGGAACTCCAGCACCTCTGACTCCTTCTCTTCCCTTTCTCTAGGAAACTACTGCCCGATCTGTACACGCTGCTATGAAGACAACGACTATGAGAGCAAGATGATGCAGTGCGCACAGTGCGATCACTGGGTGCATGCCAAGTGCGAGGGGCTCTCAGGTGAGTCAGTGGAGCACCTGGGCTGCAGCCTCAACCCTGTGGGGACCCCTGCCCCCACCACAGGCCCCAAGAGGACTGGTGGGCTAAGGGTCCTTGCTGGCCTAGGGGCTGCTGGGAGCCCTCACATCCTCTGAAACCACTTTTCCCTTTCCCACTTGGCTATCCTAGATGAAGACTACGAGATCCTTTCAGGACTGCCAGACTCGGTGCTGTACACCTGCGGACCGTGTGCTGGGGCAGCGCAGCCCCGCTGGCGAGAGGCCCTGAGCGGGGCCCTCCAGGGGGGCCTGCGCCAGGTGCTCCAGGGCCTGCTGAGCTCCAAGGTGGTGGGCCCACTGCTGCTCTGCACCCAGGTCTGGAGGGCCCTGGAGGCAGGATGGGCCGGGGCTAGGCCCACCCCCAGCCCTGCTAACTTCCCCGCTTTGCAGTGTGGGCCAGATGGGAAGCAACTGCACCCAGGACCCTGCGGCCTGCAAGCTGTGAGTCAGCGCTTCGAGGATGGCCACTACAAGTCTGTGGTGAGTGGTACACCAGGAGGAGCAGGTGGGTGGCAGGAGGAGAGGGCTGGAATTGTGCAGAGGGGACTCAGTCTCTGACAAACCCCCTTACAGCACAGCTTCATGGAGGACATGGTGGGCATCCTCATGCGGCACTCGGAGGAGGGAGAGACCCCGGACCGCCGGGCTGGAGGCCAGATGAAGGGGCTCCTGCTGAAGGTGAGCTCTTCCGGGGATGCTTGTGGGGTGGGGGAGTGGGACCTTCAGACCCTGCCCCTGCCAGCTCTCCTGGGGAAGCTGGCTCTTCTCATCCTGTTAACCCACTCCCCAGCTGCTAGAATCTGCGTTCGGCTGGTTCGACGCCCACGACCCCAAGTACTGGCGACGGAGTACCCGGCTGCCAAAGTGAGCAAGGCTGGGTAGCAGAAGGGAAGCCGGGGAGTGAGGGCAAGGCCAGGGCATGCAGGGGCCACGCTGGGCTGAGAAGAGATGAGCAGAGGTAGGGTCTGGAGCAGAGCTGGAGAGGAGGGTGGTGGAACCCAGGTGAGATTCCCTGGTGGTTCTAGACTAGCAAAGCTTTGTTTCTGCTTTGTGCAGGGGAATGCTGGGGACAAAGCAGTGAGCGAATCAGATTGGGCTCTGCTTAAAGAGCTCATTGTGGAGCCGGGCAGGCACTGAAGACCCAGATGGTCAGGGCAGTGATGGAGAATACCAGGGGGCGGTGGGGGCCCGGAGGGGTACCTGCTGGAGCCGAGGTGTCAGGGAAGGCTTCCTGAAAGAGATGGCATTGGAGCAGAGCTGGGGAGGAAGAGTATTGCAGGCATGAGGAGCAGCATTTCGTATGTCCAAGCTGGCACAAGAGGGCCTGGCTTATTTGGTGGACTGAGAGAAATTCCACATAGAGAGGGAGTAGCGGGTGTCATGGCGAGTTCAGGCTGGTTTGTGGATGGGCCCCCGTTCAGCTGCCCTTGTTGGGCACATCAGCTGCTAACCCTGCCTGTCCACAGCGGAGTCCTTCCCAATGCGGTGTTGCCCCCATCCCTGGATCATGTCTATGCGCAGTGGAGACAGCAGGAACCAGAGACCCCAGAATCAGGGCAGCCTCCAGGGGATCCCTCAGCAGGTACTGGGAAGTGGGGGTCCAGAAGCCAGGGCCCTGTGTTGGTGGCCTGGCTCCGGGTCCTGATTCTTAGACCTCCCTTCACATTTCCTCTTCAGCATTCCAGGGCAAGGATCCGGCTGCCTTCTCACACCTGGAGGACCCCCGTCAGTGTGCACTCTGCCTCAAATACGGGGATGCAGACTCCAAGGTGAGGGCTGCTCTGTGACGCACCAGGTTGTGGGGCCTGTTCCCTGGCCTCCCCACATCATGCCACTCCTCTTCTGCCCCAGGAGGCGGGGCGGCTCTTGTACATCGGGCAGAACGAGTGGACACACGTCAACTGTGCCATCTGGTCGGCGGAAGTCTTCGAGGAGAACGACGGCTCCCTCAAGAATGTGCATGCTGCTGTGGCCCGAGGGAGGCAGATGGTGAGGGCGCGGGCGCAGAGAGGTGGACAGCTCTCTGGCTCTTGGGGAGGCCTCCTCCGGTGCAAACAGCTCTTACTTCACATTCCCTACCTGGCATCCTTTCACTGCCAGGCTGAGGTCTCTTGGTTGCCCTGGGACGTTGGTGCTGATGGCAGCTTTTTCCTATGTGGGCCCTCTGGCTGTAATCTGGGCCTGAAGTGTGGGAGTCTAAAAGTGAGAAGAGTGCCCATTGATTGAACCTGGGCTGCACGCTTTCCATGCTGGGTGGCGTTGAGCTCTCACTACATCCCCGTGAGGTTAGAATTCCCCCACTCCTCACAGTGGTGCCTGGGCCAGGTACAGAGAGACCTCAGGCACTCTCGGGCATTGGGGTGGTAGAGATTCCCACTGCGGGGGTATCTGTGAGGATGAAAATAACACAACCTCCGCCTGAAAACTGTGACAAAGATAATCACACTAATGCTATCAGCAAGTATTGTCATTCTTGCTTCAAAGAACCAGAGAGAGTTTGGTGTGCACCTGGGCCTGGATGCGGCTGGGGAGAGGCTGCGCCTAGGGAGAGCCTTTGCCGTGCCAGGCTAGACAGGGACCCATGCAGACTCAGTGACAGTGGTGCCTGGCGCCCAGCCCCAGCCCTGGCTTCTCCCCTGAGCTGCCCTCCCCTACGCAGCGCTGCGAGCTCTGCCTGAAGCCTGGCGCCACGGTGGGCTGCTGCCTGTCCTCCTGCCTCAGCAACTTCCACTTCATGTGTGCCCGGGCCAGCTACTGCATCTTCCAGGATGACAAGAAAGTCTTCTGCCAGAAACACACTGATCTCCTGGATGGCAAGGTGGGCCAGAACTGTGGGGTACACGGTTCCTTCCCCACCTCTCTTCCTGTTCACTTAGGGACCCCCGTGGCCCCCAGGCCTGGCCCTACTGCCTCTCAGTGTCTCCTCATCTGTTTTCCCAGAGGCCTTTAGGCCAAGCCCCTGACTGTTCAGACTTCCCTGGCATCCACCTCCCCCACCAATGCAGCCACCTCACTTTGCCACCCCCTCTTCCAGGAAATTGTGAACCCCGATGGTTTTGATGTTCTCCGCCGAGTCTATGTGGACTTCGAGGGCATCAACTTCAAGCGGAAGTTCTTGACGGGGCTTGAACCCGATGCCATCAACGTGCTCATTGGTAAGCTGCCTGCTCTCCGCCCTGTCCTCCTACCCTGTCCTGCCTGCCTCTCCTGACCTCCGCTTTGCACCACAGGTTCCATCCGCATTGACTCCCTGGGTACTCTGTCTGATCTCTCGGACTGCGAGGGACGGCTCTTCCCCATTGGCTACCAGTGAGCGGTCGGGGTGATCCATGGGGCCAGGGGACTCCATAGCTGGATCCCATTTCCCAAGCATCCTAACCGTCTTATCCCACATGCCAGGTGCTCCCGTCTGTACTGGAGCACAGTGGATGCTCGGAGGCGCTGCTGGTATCGGTGCCGAATTCTGGAGTATCGGCCATGGGGGCCGAGGGAAGAGCCAGCTCACCTGGAGGCTGCAGAGGAGAACCAGACCATTGTGCACAGCCCCGCCCCTTCCTCAGGTGTGGCTTTGGCTCTGTCTTCTTCCTGAATACCGCTCTCCCTAAACAAACCTACAGATCTCTGTTCCCCGCTCCCTTTTGGAAAGTCCAGGAGGCTTGCTTTTGCTTCAGTTGCTGTAATGTAACGGCAGCTCGCTTACTGCCATGCCTTGTGTGCCAGGGGCTGTGCCCGGCTTTTCATGGGAAGTGAGGTGGGGAGAGCGGCACGCTGCCTACTTGAGGTGGGGTACTGGCTTTTGGACGACTGCAGGGAGTAGAGTGCTTACAGCTCCCTAACTTGGGGCACTGTGCTCATGGAGCGCTCTCCAGTGTCGCCATACTACACCTTGAAGGGGACAGTGGCTGAACACAGTAACATGCTAGGGAAGCTGGAATTGGAACTGCATCTGCTCAGCTCCCAAACCGGCCCCCTTACAGCCACACTGGCTGTGGGATGTGGCTGAGAGCTGGATGGCACAGGGCAAAGAATGGGCTTGGAGATGGGGGAGAGGTTATTGTGGGCAGAGCAGGAGGCAGAAGAGATTTGGATGGTAGGAAGGGCTTTATTCCAGGTTGGAGCATGACAAGAAGTGGACAGAGGAGGAGGGTACACCCATCCCGTCTGGAAACCAGGGAGTTTTGGGTGGAGGAGGGAGATCAGTTTGCAGAGGTTGGGTGGAGCCAGGTAATGGAGAGCCTCCGGGCCGGGGCGGGCGGGAGCGTCTGATGTGGCTTGGATGCACCAGGCAAGTAAGAAAGTGGTAGGACTGGCCGTGCTGGAGGGAGGGCAGTTCCCCATGGCGTGCAAAGCCTGCAGCAGAGGCAGAGAGGAGATGGCAAGGAGCGAGTGGGGAGAGGCCCTGAAGGCCCCCTGGCCCAGGTGTGTGCAGGTTTTGCCAACTCCACGGTGGGTTTAGCCTGGGTGGTCACTGGAAACTGGGGCCTGTTGTGACTGGGTCAGGGTCGGGGACCTGGGAGGCATAGTGGCTCAGGATGAGAGCATGTGGGCAGGCTTTGACACAGAGCCCCTACCACCCCAATGCCATTTCTCGCCTCTTCAGAGCCCCCAGGTGGTGAGGACCCCCCACTGGACACAGATGTTCTTGTCCCTGGAGCTCCTGAGCGCCACTCGCCCATTCAGAACCTGGACCCTCCACTGCGGCCAGATTCAGGCAGCGCCCCTCCTCCAGCCCCCCGTTCTTTTTCGGGGGCTCGAATCAAAGTGCCCAACTACTCGCCATCCCGGAGGCCCTTGGGGGGTGTCTCCTTTGGCCCCCTGCCCTCCCCTGGTGAGCACCGGGCATGTGGGGGTTGGGGGTGGAGCCGCGGAGGTGGGAGCTGCTGGTAACACCAACCCTCCCCCCACAGGAAGTCCATCTTCACTGACCCACCACATCCCCACAGTGGGAGACCCGGACTTCCCAGCTCCCCCCAGACGTTCCCGTCGTCCCAGCCCTTTGGCTCCCAGGCCGCCTCCATCACGGTGGGCCTCCCCTCCTCTAAAAACCTCCCCTCAGCTCAGGGTGCCCCCTCCTACCTCAGTCGTCACAGCCCTCACACCTACCTCAGGGGAGCTGGCTCCCCCTGGCCCGGCCCCATCTCCACCACCCCCTGAAGACCTGGGCCCAGACTTCGAGGACATGGAGGTGGTGTCAGGACTGAGTGCTGCTGACCTGGACTTCGCGGCCAGCCTGCTGGGGACTGAGCCCTTCCAGGAAGAGATTGTAGCCGCTGGGGCCATGGGGAGCAGCCACGGGGGCCCGGGGGACAGCTCCGAGGAGGAGTCCAGCCCCACCTCCCGCTACATCCACTTCCCTGTGACTGTGGTGTCCGCCCCTGGTCTGGCCCCCAGCGCTACCCCTGGAGCCCCCCGCATTGAACAGCTGGACGGCGTGGACGACGGCACTGACAGTGAGGCTGAGGCGGTGCAGCAGCCTCGGGGCCAGGGCACGCCTCCTTCGGGGCCAGGAGTAGTCCGGGCAGGGGTCCTTGGGGCTGCAGGGGACAGGGCCCGGCCTCCTGAGGACCTGCCATCGGAAATTGTGGATTTTGTGTTGAAGAACCTAGGGGGTCCTGGGGATGGAGGTGCTGGCCCTAGAGAGGAGTCACTCCCCCCGGCGCCTCCCCTGGCTAATGGCAGCCAGCCCTCCCAAGGCCTGACCGCCAGCCCAGCTGACCCCACCCGCACATTTGCCTGGCTCCCAGGGGCCCCAGGGGTCCGGGTGTTAAGCCTTGGCCCTGCCCCTGAGCCCCCCAAACCCGCCACATCCAAAATCATACTTGTCAACAAGCTGGGGCAAGTATTTGTGAAGATGGCTGGGGAGGGTGAACCTGTCCCACCCCCAGTGAAGCAGCCACCTTTGCCCCCCACCATTTCCCCCACGGCTCCCACCTCCTGGACTCTGCCCCCAGGCCCCCTCCTCGGCGTGCTGCCCGTGGTCGGAGTGGTCCGCCCTGCCCCGCCCCCGCCACCCCCTCCCCTGACGCTGGTGCTGAGCAGTGGGCCAGCCAGCCCGCCCCGCCAGGCCATCCGCGTCAAGAGGGTGTCCACTTTCTCCGGCCGGTCCCCGCCAGCACCTCCCCCATACAAAGCCCCCCGGCTGGATGAAGATGGAGAGGCCTCAGAGGATACCCCTCAGGTTCCAGGGCTTGGCAGTGGCGGGTGAGTGCGGGTGCTGAGGCTGGCAGAGCAGGCAAGGGGGCAGATGGGCGGGAGATGCGGCTCATCCTTCTCGGGCTCGCCCTCCCAGGTTTAGCCGTGTGAGGATGAAAACCCCCACAGTGCGTGGGGTCCTTGACCTGGATCGGCCTGGGGAGCCCGCTGGGGAAGAAAGTCCTGGGTGAGTGGCCAGGCCCCTCTCCCTGGAGGGTCTGGGACCTCTGTCCTTCCCCTTCCTGACAGGTCTCTTCTCGCAGGCCCCTCCAGGAACGGTCCCCTTTGCTGCCACTTCCGGAAGATGGTCCTCCCCAGGTCCCCGATGGTCCCCCAGACCTGCTGCTTGAGTCCCAGTGGCACCACTATTCAGGTAGGGACCGGCCTTGCCCTCTCCCTCCTTGCCTGTGCCTGGCTCAGCTGGGTGACTCACAGATGCAAAATCAGCCCTCTTTCAAAACCAGTATCTACTCCCAGGGGCCAAGCCTGAGGCTCGGTGCTAGAGTTAGAGATGACCTTGGGGAGCCTCTGGCCTTGTGGGAGAAACAGACATGGAAATGACATTTCGCCTCTACGTGGGATCCTTTTAAGGGTCTTTGTCCAGCATGCCCAAGAGCCTAGGGGAGGGCCTCAGAGCCTAGCCTGCCAGGAGCTGAGAGAGAGCTTCCTAGAGTAGCCAAAGGTGAAGTTCTAGGATCATCTAGAGGGAATGCAGCCCAGCTAGCACCGAGATGAGGGTCAGGGACAGTGGGAAGATCAGAAGAGTGGTGTCCCAGAGGCCCAGGGAAGGGAGTCGTCACATCTCAGCTGCCACAGAGACTGCCAGGCCTGTGGAGTCTAGCGTTGGTGTCCAGTGAGAGCAGGTGGCACAGGGTGGGGCGTTGTGTCCAAGTCCAGAATTGAGACCATGGTTGAAGAAGGCAAAACAGCCCAAGCACTTGGCCAGAGTTCAGCTAAGGATCGGGAGCGGGAGGTGGGCGAGCAGCGTGGAGGTGCTTGGTGTGAGGGCCAAGACAGCGGAGCCATGGATGGCAGGGAAGGGCAGGCTGGGATGGAAAAGGCAGTGGGAAGAGGCCTGGTGGCTGGTTTTGAACTGGTGACCTCTGAGGTAAAGGAGAGGAGGGAAAGCAGGTGTTTATGCAGAAACTGTAATACATGGGGTGGAGGCCCCTGGAGGAGGCTTGGCTGATGGACTCCTTGAAGCTGGCGGTGGAGTGGTGGAGTTTTCTGTTGGTCCCTGAGGGCAGTGGCTGGGGGAGTGGCTGCGGCCAGGTAAGCTGGTGGTCGAGCAGCCTGAGGCTGGGATTTTGTGGTGGCCCAATCCTGTCCAGATGTTTGGATTTTCTCATGACACACAGCTCAGTTGCTGAGCTGGGAAGCAGAGTGACGTGGATTGAGAGTGCTTAACTCAGAGGCTGCTTATGTCTCAGAGATGACATGAGAATATGGCAGTGGCCTTAGGAGGTCCCTGTCCTCAGGGATCAGACCACATTTTGGTGCGGGACACAGACATGTTAGCAAGGGCAGGTTAGAGTGGGCACTGAGAAACCGAGCAGTGAGAGCACCTGCCAGGGTCCTGTGGTCAGTCCTGCTGTGTTTGGGAAACTGGAAGTGAGGGTTGGGGGACACAGGGAAGAAGTTGACAGAGGTGGACTCTGGGGCACTGAGGCCTGGAGAAGACGGGAGTCACACGGCAGGAGTGTTGCTTTAGAGTCTCCCTTGGGGCAGGGGAGGTGGGGCAGGGTGGCCTGGAGAGGTGACATCGGGAGAGTGTGGCCATGTGGGTTTTGCCTCTCCTAAAGCCTGTTCCACTCAAGCTTTTGTGCCCCCAACCCCCAGTGGTCAGTCCCCAGCCCACACCTGCTTGAGCAGCAGCAGCGTTTGGTGCAGCGGATCCCTCCCGCCTTGAAGCATTGTCTTCCCGGCTTCCAAGGCTGCTCCTGCTCTCACCTCTGGTCCTGCCTCCTTGCTCACAGCTGTCAGGCTAGATGTGTCCCGGGACCCTGGCCTTGACTTCTGTGTATGCTCACTCCCAGGGGCTCCCTTCCAGCTTGGTGGCTGTCCTCCCGTCTGTGTTCTGATTGTCTCCACATTGCTCTCTCCAGCCTAGACCCTGTCCCTGAACTGTGGCCTCCTCCATCCTGTCCTGCTGCCTGCCCACCATCTCCACCAGCAGGTTGCAGGGGGAGGTTTCTAAGAGGCCTCTCAAAGTCAGCCTGTCCCAAACTGAGCCCTCCACCTGCACGCCAAACCCATTCTTCTTTTGCCTTCGCTGTCTCAGTCCACAGCAGTTTTATCCTTCCAGGTGTTCAAGCCCAGCGTTGTCCCGACCCCCATCCCCCTTCTTCACATCCACATCTACTACGTCAGCATATCCCGTCTGCCCTGTTTAATCTATTAACCCTCGAGAAATCCCCTAAATAGCTCATAACATACAGTGTACTTGGCTCTGTGCATGTGAGCCTATATAATAATATATTTGTAGCTGGGCACAGTGGCTCACGCCTGTAATCCCAGCACTTTGGGAGGCCGAGGCGGGCGGATCACCTGAGGTCAGCCTGGCCAACATGGTGAAACACCATCTGTACTGAAAATACAAAAATTAGCCGGGCGTGGTGGTGGGCGCCTGTAATCTCAGCTACTCGGGAGACTGAGGCAGGAGAATTGCCTGAATCTGAGAGGCACAGGTTGCAGTGAGCCGAGATCACACCATTGCATTCCAGCCTGGGAGACAGAACGAGACTTTGTCTCAAAAAATGATAATTTTATGTTTGTAACAGTTACAGAAATTTGCTGCATCTAAAAAAAATAGATGTGCAAAATACAATTCTCCAGTATTTTAAATTTTGTGTGAGAAACAGAATAATGACAGGTAGATGGGATGTATGGTACACTGGGTTTGAGTGAGCCATAGGCGTGTCCTGAAGAGCCAAAAGGCCCCAAGCCTCTGTGGAATGCTTTTGTACCCAAGAAGTCCTGCAGAAGAGGAGCCGCAGGCTCCTTAGGGGAAGAAATGTCCATTCTGCAGGGCTCACTGGGTAACTGGAGCAGAAGGAGGGCCATTAGACCCTAGTATCTGTGTCTGCGCCTAGGGGTGGAGAGAGTGGTGTCTGCTGGGAGCACAGCGGGGCTCAGGGGCTTTTGAGTCCGGGAAGGGTGATCTTCACTCCAACCTGCTTCTTGGGACCAGGTGAGGCTTCGAGCTCTGAGGAAGAGCCTCCATCCCCAGATGATAAAGAGAACCAGGCCCCAAAACGGACTGGCCCACATCTGCGCTTCGAGATCAGCAGTGAGGATGGGTTCAGCGTTGAGGCAGAGAGCTTGGAGGGTGAGTGGGGGGAGTGCAGTGGCAGGAGGGAGAGTGTCCATAAAACACCATCCTGACTCAGCTCTGGCTCTGCTGTCTCCCCAGGGGCGTGGAGAACTCTGATCGAGAAAGTGCAAGAGGCCCGAGGGCATGCCCGACTCAGACATCTCTCCTTTAGTGGTAAGGAGTGGGCCCCACAGGGGGCAGGGAGCTGGATGTCTCCCCGAGGGCACCATGGGCCCTCCACATGACAGGTGTGTCCTCAACATCTCCCCTCAGGAATGAGTGGGGCGAGACTCCTGGGCATCCACCATGATGCTGTCATCTTCCTGGCCGAGCAGCTCCCCGGAGCCCAGCGTTGCCAGCACTATAAGTTCCGTTACCACCAGCAGGGAGAGGGCCAGGAGGAGCCGCCCCTGAATCCCCATGGGGCTGCTCGGGCAGAGGTCTATCTCCGGTGAGAGGTCTGGGGTGTGATGCCTGGGTCAGGGCGCCCCTATGAGAGCTCTTGAGGGTGGGAGTTAACTGTAGAGGTTGGAAACTGAGGCCTGGGGAGGAGACACTAGGTCACTTGAAGAGTTATTTCTAGAGTTAGCCAGGCTCCGTGGCTCATGCCTGTAATCCCGCCACTTTGGGAGGCCGAGGCAGGAGGATCGCATGAGCCCAGGAGTTGGAGACCAGCGTAGGCAACATGGCAAAACCCCATCTCTAAAATAAAAATTTAAAAAAGTTATTTCTAGAGCTGACATCAGAAAAATGAACCCCACCCATTTCCCTGTTAGCTCTGTCTTCAACAGTATATTCCTCCTTCCCCTGCTGCCACCTGCAGGAAGTGCACCTTTGACATGTTCAACTTCCTGGCCTCCCAGCACCGGGTGCTCCCTGAGGGGGCCACCTGTGATGAGGAAGAGGATGAGGTGCAGCTCAGGTCAACCAGGTATGGAGTGTGAGCTGGGGGGCGGGTGGTGGTCTGGAAGGGTCTTAGAGAGTGAGCAGGGGTGAGAGAGGTCATTCTGAGCACCAGCCTGGGTGACACTGCTGTCCCTCACCAGACGTGCCACCAGCCTGGAGCTGCCCATGGCCATGCGTTTTCGTCACCTTAAGAAGACGTCCAAAGAAGCTGTGGGTGTCTACAGGTGAGTGGGGTTGGGGGGGAGGATGCCCCTTGGGTGGACGGACAGGTGCACTGGGTAGGGGGTACTGTCTGGTTTCTGTCCCCCTCCCCCCTGAGTTCCCTGTTCATCCTGCCCTGCAGATCAGCCATCCACGGGCGAGGCCTGTTCTGTAAGCGCAACATCGACGCGGGGGAGATGGTCATCGAGTACTCTGGCATTGTCATCCGCTCGGTGTTGACTGACAAGCGGGAGAAGTTCTACGATGGGAAGGTGGGCTCCCAGTGGCTGTGGGAAGACAGTGGGTGAAGCGAGCCTGTCCGCGGGGACAGAGCACCTGATCTCCCCACCTCATCCCTGCAGGGCATCGGGTGCTATATGTTCCGCATGGATGACTTTGATGTAGTGGACGCCACGATGCATGGCAATGCCGCCCGCTTCATCAACCACTCCTGTGAGCCCAACTGCTTCTCTCGGGTCATCCACGTGGAGGGCCAGAAACACATTGTTATCTTCGCCCTGCGCCGCATCCTGCGTGGTGAGGAGCTCACCTACGACTACAAGTTCCCCATCGAGGATGCCAGCAACAAGCTGCCCTGCAACTGTGGCGCCAAGCGCTGCCGTCGGTTCCTTAACTGAGGCCGTGGCTGCCCACCACGACCCCTCACACCTCCTGCTGCCGTCGCTGCCATCTTGCCCCTAGCCTGGGGGCTCCCTAGCCCCTCCCAGAGCATCTCACCCCCACCCTCATGTTCAGGGTGGATGTGGGCATGCAGGTGACAAGGGCCCTGCCTCCACCCCTCCAGCCCATCCAGCAATCGCCCCCTTTCTGCCCTGGGGGCCCAGGATGTAGATATTGTACAAAGGTTTCTAAATCCCTTCTTTTCTATGCACTTTTTTATTTAAGAGGTGGGGTCCCAGGTGGGAACCCCCCCACAATAAAGTCTGTCAATGTTTGGAGAGGTGGTCTTCCCATTTGTAGGCTGTGGGGGCAGGTAGGAACCCCACTTCTACACACCCACCCATCATGACCCAAGGAAGTTCATCAGCCTCAACAGGTAGGTGAGGCCATCATTCAGAATTAGAAGTCAGTCATGGGGTCTGTTACGGCTTCAGAACAACACAACACAGCAACTGTCTGTAGCAGGGTTGTTTCCCAGAGGGGATTCTGGTGGCCCAGAGGCACCTGGGGTCAGCCCTCCCACATGTGGCCCTGTGTGTATGTTGGAATAGGCCCTTCTAGGGCGAAGAGCAGTGAGGCTATCTGTTGGGTCTTTGCCCAATTAGGATTGTACTTCAAGAAGTACTTCAGTGCTAATTGTATACTGGGCTTAGTAGTCAGCAAAGTTCTTTATTGGGTGTTAAGCCCAGCAAACCCCAGATGAGCCAAGCTTGGACAGCACCCGCAATGCATCTGCCCGCCCTAGCTGGGCGAGGTGTGTGCCAAGCTGGCCCAGGGAGGCAGAGGGCTCCCTTGCCACCACCATCTCAATCAGAGCCCGCAGCGGCGAGCGACTCGGCCTCAGCGAATAGGCAAAGGTGGACCAGGCAGCAGGCAGCCCATATCTTGCGGCCAGGTGTCGAGTAGTGCCATGGGCCATACCCCCACCTGGCCCAGGCTCAGGGTCCAGCAGTACAATCAGCTCTTCCAGCACCTCCAGCTCATCCAGGAGGCGAGACAGGGGTTGTGACGCCAGACTGGACAGTTCTGGAAGAAAGGGGAAGGGTAAAGGTGCGGAAGAGCGGGCGTCCAGTCCACCTTCCCTGCCCCGGGGCTCCTCCAGGACTAACCCCTGCTCAGGAGTGGAAGTAGTGAGGCCTCCTTCCATGTGTCCCCTGTCTCCAGGGCGCCTGGGGAGGACAGATGCGAGGAGGAAGGGGTGTGGGTGTTGGGGACTCCGCAGACCAAGCCAGGATAGGGATAGGGGTCGGCTTTCTCCTTGGGCCAGCAGAGATGCCAGAGCAGAATAAACAGGAGGATCGCTATCACCGCCAAGGTCAGGAGCAGGACCAGCACCACGAGCGGAAGGAAATTCGGCCAGGCCTGCTGAGGGACAGGCTCAGGGGTCCTCCAGGCAATGGAACTTGCTGGTGAGCTGCGCTCCTGGGAGCTAGGGGCGCCTGGGTTTCCAGGTGTGAGGGGGCAGTGCCCCTTGGCAGGGACCGGCCTCTGGGGATAAGGGGTTGGAGTAAAGCTGGAGGCCACACTCCACTCCTGCCCGCTCCCAAACCTCCCAACTTTATATCCTTTAATGGGGCCACATCCCATCTGATACGGTATCTGATAAGGTAGTTGGGCCCCGCAAGGCCCAACTACCTTAACCTAGGACCTCCCGACCCCTGCAGGCCAGCCACCTCCTGAAACCACGGCCCCACCCCTTACGTGGGGCTACGCCGGCTCCCTACATCTAGGCCCCCCACCTCCAGCACGCCCTTGCCCTGCCGGGAGTCCCATCTGCACCTCTCTGCAGCGCCACGGGGTTCTGCCCCCGCCCGCGGCGGGAGTAGGGGTCACGGCTCCGCCGCCGCAGGGGCTACATAGCTCCGCGCCGTCGGGGTTGCACTGCCCAGAAGAACACTTTCGGAACGGGGGCGTTACGAAATCGCCGTGGTCATTGAGTCCGCAGTTTTCCCGGAACTCATAGTCTAGCGGGAAAGCTGCGCTCCAGTGCGGCCGCCTAGCCCGCCCCTGCGCGGGCAACGCCCTCTCCCTTCGCCCTATCCCAGCGTGCCCCGCCCCTCCAGGACGCTTCCAGCCTATTAGCGTGCGCCCCGGTCTTGTCACTTTTCTCCGGGCTCGCCTTTTCACCCCCCTCCAGCCTGCTCCGCACGAAGCTCCGCCCACTCCCGGCTTCTCTACATAAAGCCCACCCTTTCCACGCGGCCCCTATCCCGCCTCTCCAGCCATATCCATTCGCTGTTGCCCTACGGTAGCCCGCACTATCTGCACAGGCTCTGCCTGCCATCCCTGTCTGATCTGCATAAGGCCCACCGCTTAGACCCCTAAGCAAGCCTCTCTGGCCCGTAGCCCACAGACCTCGCCCCTTCCCCGCTCCCTATCACCTGCAAGCTCCGCCCAAGCAAGGCTCGGTCTCGGATTCTCACCCGGGCAGGGGGGCGGCCCGAAGCGTTGCAGGCAGCTGCTGCAGCACTTGTTGTCTGGGTTCCAGTATTCAAGGCGGCCGCAGTACTGGGAGGCTTCCGGCGGTGGCGCCAGGGCCAGAAGCAACAAGGCCGTCAGGAGGCATCGTCCAGGCCCCATCTGGGGGGCCGTGATAGCGGGACTTCCAAACACAGCGCCTCTGCTACACTTTCCGGGGAAATCGGGCAGAAGAAAGGACGCGGTGATGTGGGGGAACAGAATTCTCACGCCTCTTCGGAAGCCGGGAATCTACCCCCGAGCCCTCATCCCCCAACTGAGCCGGTTATCAGAGAAGCCCACAAGGCCACTAGGGGACTAACAGGGCTGCGGATCTAGATTGCAAGAATGCATATCCCACCTCTGCCGTGTCCTCACCCACCCACCCTCCCTTTTCCATCCCTAAAATAAGACAATGATAGCACCTGTCTCATAGGGTTATTGTGGAGAATTAGAACCGTCATTAGAAGTAAAGCAGGGGCTGGGTGTGGTGGCTCATGCCTGTAATCCCAACACTTTGGGAGGCCAAGACAGGAGGATCACTTGAGCCCAGGAGTTCGAGAGATCAGCCTGGACAACAAAATGAAACCCCATCTTTACAAAAAAAAAAAAAAAAAAAAAAAACAGCAAAGCACTTTGCCAAGTGCAGTGGCTCACGTCTGTAGTCCCTGCTACTAGGGAGGCCAAGGTAGGAGGATTGCTTGAGCCATGAATTACAGACCAGCCTGGGCAACACAGCAAGACCTCATCTCTAAAAACAAAAAAAACTGGCCGCCGGGCGCAGTGGCTCATGCCTGTAATCCCAACACTTTGGGAGGCCCAGGTGGGTGGATCACCTGAGGTCAGTAGTTCAAAACCAGCCTGGCCTACATGGTGAAACCCTGTCTCTATTAAAAATACAAAATTAGCCGGGCGTGGTAGCGCATGCCTGTAAATCCCAGCTACTTGGGAGGCTGAGGCAGAATTGCTTGAACCTGGGAAGTGGAGGCTGCAGTGAGCTGAGATCGTGCCATTGCACTCCAGCCTGGGCAACAGGAATGAAACTCCTTAAAAAAAACAAAAACAAACTAAAGTGCTGAAAACAGCACCTCACATACAGTAAACTCAGTGTTTAAGTGTAAGGCATTACTAACTCCCATCACAATTCGGCAGGCACGGAGGAGTCAGCCCCATACTGGCTGGAGACCACCTCCCAGCACCTCACCTCACCTTTGAATCCTAATCTCCTTGGGGCTAGGGCTCCTCCCACCTGCCACAACCAGGTCTCTCCCCCTTGAATAAGCCTCAGATGGAGGTGCTAAGGTTTTCAGCACAAAGGTGTCCCCACCCTACCAGTACCGTTAGGGTCCTGGGTCCCAAGCTGGCCGTGCCAAGTTCCTCAGCTGAAGTTGTGGCCAGGACCCAGTCTTGTTTCCCCTTTTCGTCACATGTGTGGGTGGAGGGAAATGCCAAACCACAGCAAAAGCAAGTTGATGCCGAAGTGAAACACGCAGCTTTATTAAGACAGGGGCGGTAGAAGAAGGTCTCCATGCTGAACAGATTACATTATGGAGCCCGGGAGCCTGGGAAGGATGGGGCAGGAGAGTGAAGGGGGCTTTGAGGAGAGGTCCTGCCAGGAACATCTGTCCCTGTTGGGGGTGAAGGGTAAGGGGGCCAGGGCCTCAGAAGCGGCCATGCCAGTGATCAGGGGAACACCGATGGTTCCTCTCTCGGGGATGGTGGCCAGTATGGAACCTCGGGGGTGACCTGGGAATAGGAGCGTTGAGAGTTCTGTTAGAACCCTGAGGAGTGGTGCAGAGATCCTGCAGGCCTGCCTCTCTGCTCTGGGATGAGGCAGGAGGGTGCTGAAATAACTAGAGTTCTAAGACACGACCTCAGTGGCCAGTATCAGGGGAACTCAGTGGCCAGTATCAGGGGTGGCAATCCAGGCTGGTCGTGGATTAGGGGTTCAGGCTGGTTTGGGGATTGGGACTTAGGTACTGGTCTCCAGATGGAGCTCAGAACTACTCTTAGGGTATAAGAGTCTTGGGAATGACCGGGCGCAGTGGTTCACGCCTGTAATCCCCACACTTTGGGAGGCCGAGATGGGTGGATTACCTGAGGTCCGGAGTTCGAGACCAGGCTGGCCAACGTGGTGAAACCCCATCTCTACTAAAAATACAAAAATTAGCCAGGCATGGTGGCAGGTGCCTATAATCCCAGCTACTTGGGAGGCTGAGAAAGGAGAATTGCTTGAACCTGGGAGGCAGAGGTTGCACTGAGCCAAGACTGCGCCTTTGCACTCCAGCCTGCGGAAGAAGAGCAAAACTCCGTCTCAAAAAAAAAAAAAAAAAAAAAAAAAAAAAACAGTCAGCCGGGAGTGGTGGCTCACGCCTGTAATCCCAGCACTTTGGGAGGGTGAGGCAGGTGGATCACGAGGTTAGGAGTTCAGACCAGCCTGGCCAAGATGGTGAAACCCCATCTCTACTAAAAACACAAAAATTAGCCGGGCATGGTGGCAGGTGCCTGTAATCCCAGCTATTTGGGAGGCTGAGGCAGAGAATTGCTTGAACCCGGGAGGCGGAAGTTGCCATGAACCAAGATGGTGCCAATGCACTCCAGCCTGGGCAACAGAGTGAGGCTCCATCTCAAAAAAAAAAAAAAAAAAAAAAGATTCTTGGGAACGTGGTTACTGGGGCTTAGGGTTAGGCTCATCTGAGGATATAGGGGCCTTAGGACATGAGGAGACATAGCAGGCTGGTCCTGAGGTACCTGCGCCTGGGTCCCCGCCCATAGAGCTGCCTCTGGAGGTTCTGGGAAATGGGCCGCAGATGCATGAAGTTGCAGAAGCCACCTCGGGTACATTCCCTGCATAGAGGGTAGAGAGATGGAGGAAGCCATTGTCACTGACAGCCCCTACCACGCATTCAAAGTCTGGGATTCCAAGTGCCCATCCCACCCTTGAACTACCATACCCCATCTCATACTGGCGACAGCATGACTCCCGGAAGTCAGTGACAGGAGACAGCTCACCGTGCACAGCCTGCCCGTTGAACCAGCGGTTACTGAGTTCAGCCACGGCCCGCTCTCCATCCTCCTCCCTCCGGAACTGCAGGAAATGTCAGTCAGGGTCAGCAGGAGAACTCAGAGATCTTCAGGGGACTCACTACCCGCTCTGGGGCTGGACTGGATTTAGTGATGAAATTCAAGCTGAGAGCCTACAGTGGCCACCATCAGGCATTGAAACGCCTCCACTTCTGGGCCCTAAGTGGGGGGCAGCAAGCACCTTGACATAGACGTTGCCCACGAGGTGGTCCCCAAGGTTGTCGCACACATTCATCTCTTCAATCTCCCCATACTTCTCCTGCAGTTCTGTGAACACCTCCTGTGGAAGACGGGGAGGAACTCAGCTGAGCTCCCACAAGAAACCCCATCTGCCCCTACCAACCCTCACCTCGAAGAAGCTATCATAGTGCTCCTGCACCTCCACGTCACTCACATGACCTGGGGTGGGGGCGGGCAGGGTGGAATCAGAGTGTAGCCTACTGGGGGCTGTTCACCTTGCCCCCAGGCCTGGTCCCTTACTCACAGTGTGATCCGTCTGCAGTTTGGGCTGTGTTCTGTGGATTCCGGTACAGGTTGAGCAGCACTATGGTCTGCACAGAATTTAAAAGGGGCGGGGCCTGAGCTCAGAGGGCAGGGCTGCATGAACAGAGAGTGAGGCATGAAGGTTGGGGGTGGAACCTTACACCCCAGCCTAAGCATCATGAGTGCATCGGCGATCCTTTGCCCCTAAGAAACCAGAAAAGGGATGGAGGGGACTGGCAAGGATGAACAGCGGGATGGAAGGGACTGGCAAAGATGAACAGCCGCCGTGTGTAGCCTGTACGCATGGGGGCGCGACCAAGTTCCCGGGAAAACGGCACGAAGACCGGTGGGAGGAGCCTGCAGAAAGGTCCAATGAGAAAAAAAGCCGGGCGGTGGGGAGGGACTCAGGAACCCGGAATAGGCGGGACATGGTGACGACGGCCCCAGAAGGGGAAGGGCCAGGGAGCCGTTAACCCCCGAGGCTCCGTGCCGGGTCTCACCTGGCTGAATGTCGGCTTGTTGTGAAGCCGGGAGCACCGGTCCCCGTGCCGGCAGACCCCGATCTTAAAGTAAAAAGAGCAGTTAACCCTGGAAAAGGTGCAAAGACAAAGGTGAACCGAGGGCCGGGGAAGCTGGGCACCCCAGAAACACCGCCCCACCACCCAGGACCCCAGTACCCCGGCCCCGACCCCCCGAGAGTCCACTCCCAGCGCCCGTTCTCACTTGTCCTTCTCAGTCCCGAATATCGAAGCTAAATATTCAGCCATTTTTACCCAAGCCCTCCAGGTCTGGCTGCTCTTACGTCACTTCCGTTGCTTAGGAGCACTGGGAAGTGTAGTTCGTTGCCCTCTCCAGGCGCTTACCAAGCGCTCGGAAACGCCCCAGGGCGCTTGCGCGTGGGAGGCGCGCGCCCTCCCCATAGACTCCCCGGTAGGAGTTCTTTTAACAGCGCATGCGTGCAGTGTTGCCTCGCCCAAAGAAGACTACAATCTCCAGGGAAACCTGGGGCGTCTCGCGCAAACGTCCATAACTGAAAGTAGCTAAGGCACCCCAGCCGGAGGAAGTGAGCTCTCCTGGTGAGTTGGGGGTCGTTTCGCCCACCCTAGTAAATATAAAGAGCTCTTTAATCCAGCCAGCTTACTAGTGGGGGTGGGGATGCCCTGCTTTCAGCAAACCGACCTTTACATTTATCTCTGATTTGTTCTAATAGGGGCGTGGTTGTTCGTGATCCTTGCATCTGTTACTTAGGGTCAAGGCTTGGGTCTTGCCCCGCAGACCCTTGGGACGACCCGGCCCCAGCGCAGCTATGAACCTGGAGCGAGTGTCCAATGAGGAGAAATTGAACCTGTGCCGGAAGTACTACCTGGGTAAGGCAGATCGCTAGGGTCCCAGGAGAAGAGAGGGGACTGGACTAGAGCACCCGAGGGAAGAGGGCCTCGGGGCCTGGATTCTTAAGTCTAAGAGATGAAGGACCTGCGAACGCCGACTCCTGGATTTGAGTGGGGAGGGCCTGGGTCCTGAGGAATGAGGAAGCTGGGGCCTCAATTTCTGGATCCCAAGAGAGGAGGGGGATTGAGGGCCTGGACTCTTGGGTCCTGTGAAAGAGATGGTTGAGGAATCAGATTCCTGGATCCCAAAGAGGAGCCAGATTCCTGAGTCCCTGACAACAGAAATCTCCATTTGAACTTGGGTGTGGGAGAGTTTCTTCCAAATAGATCTCGGTGGGAGTTGGAGAAGATCTTCATTGCCTTATGAGGTTTTGGGGTTTGTTTGTTTGTTTTTCTTTCTCCCTAGGGGGGTTTGCTTTCCTGCCTTTTCTCTGGTTGGTCAACATCTTCTGGTTCTTCCGAGAGGCCTTCCTTGTCCCAGCCTACACAGAACAGAGCCAAATCAAAGGCTGTGAGTCTAGAGCACAGAGGAGGGAGGCCAGTGGCAGGGGAGAGGGGGAAGCGGGGAATCTTGGTGGGAAGGGACAATGGAGGATCCAAAATGTTGGGGCTCTGGGTGAGAAGGGAAGGCTGGTCTAGGGAAGTCTGGAGAGCAGCCGGAGGCCAACCCTTCCAGCTTCTGTTTCCCATGACAGATGTCTGGCGCTCAGCTGTGGGCTTCCTCTTCTGGGTGATAGTGCTCACCTCCTGGATCACCATCTTCCAGATCTACCGGCCCCGCTGGGGTGCCCTTGGGGACTACCTCTCCTTCACCATACCCCTGGGCACCCCCTGACAACTTCTGCACATACTGGGGCCCTGCTTATTCTCCCAGGACAGGCTCCTTAAAGCAGAGGAGCCTGTCCTGGGAGCCCCTTCTCAAACTCCTAAGACTTGTTTTCATGTCCCACGTTCTCTGCTGACATCCCCCAATAAAGGACCCTAACTTTCGATACTGACTTCCTGGGATCTTTTAGAGGTTGAGGCATAAATGATTATTAATATTTAAAAACATCTGTTGAGAGCTTTGTACGAGGCTTAGTATTTAGACATGATGTACATTTTTTACAGTGCATACTACTCATAATCTTCTGAACTAGGAACTTTCCTGCTCAGGAAACTATTAGATGAGAAACTAAGAAAGGAATAGTGCTTCCATTTCTTTTTCTTTTTTCTTTTTTTTTTTTTTTTTTGAGACAGAGTCTTGCTCTGTCAGCCAGGCTGGAGTGCAGTGGTAGGATCGGCCTAGTGCTTCCATTTCTAGGGGCTGTTATCCTGTACTGGTAGTCGTGAATTCAAAAATATAACTTTCCTACTGTGGGCTGCAGTATTCTCATCAGAAGTGTAGATCACGATGCTACTTCCTGGGATTTATCTGGACCAAGACGTGTGACAAATGGAAGTTTCCCGTTTTCTGAAGGAAGTGTTGTCTGCAAAAATAAAAATAGTCAAGAGCTTTCTCAGAGAATCCTTCCTTGACCATCCATCTTATTTAAAATTCAATCACCACCTTGATATTCCTATGTCCCTTTCAGGCTACACTTTTTTTGTGGGTTTTTTTTTTGGGGGGGGAGAGGGGTTTGTTGTTGTTGTCTGTTTGTTTTTCTAGATGGAGTCTTGCTCTGTCACCCAGGCTGGAGTGCAGAGGTCCGATCTCGGCTCACTGCAACCTCCGCCTCCCGGGTTCAAGCGATTCTCCTGCCTCAAACTCTCGAATAGCTGGGATTACAGGCGCATGCCACCATGCCCGGCTAATTTTTGTATTTTTAGTAAAGACTGGGTTTCACCATGTTGGCCAGGCTGGTCTCGAACTCCTGGTCACAGGTGATCTGCCTGCCTAGGCCTCCCAAAGAGCTGGGATTTACAGGCGTGAGCCACCATGCCCCGCCCAGATCATATTCTTTCTCCTATTACATTTCACTTAAAATTTACTTGTTTACTGTTTATCTTCCCTCCTTTAAAAGATAAGCTCCATTAGCGCAGGGATTTTTGTCTATTCTGTTCCTCAAGGTGTCTCCAATGCCTAGAAGAGTGCCCGACACACTAATAAATATTTGCAAAATGAATGAAGTTGTACCTGCAAAGAGATTAACAGATACCTGGCACCTAGCGAGTGCTCAGTGAGAGGGAACCCAACGTTATTTTACATTAGTCTTCCTCTTAGGGATGAAGGGACCCCAACGGTTGGTTAAATCCGGTAAAGAGCTAACTTGGTGTTGCTCAACCCTTCTCACACTACAAGTCCCGGGAAGCCTCGCGATGCCCTAATCCTTTGTTTCCCACCGTGCCCCGCGCGGCGCAGGCGCTGTTACTCAGGGTGAGTCTGGGAAGCTGGAACTACACCTCCCAGGAAGCTAGGGGGTAGATGGTTTGTTTCCGGAAGCAAAGCCCCAGGTGGGTGGGACCTAAAGCTGGGAGACTACGGAGGCAGCTCTCAATTGGTCAGGATGCGAGATTGACGGCTGCAATAACTAATAGGAACAAGCTACTGCCGAAGGGGCCCGCCCACAGAAGGGTGGTGGCCACGGTCCAGGCTGGACACAACCAAAGGCGGAGGACCCGTGGCCCACGAAGCTCATCTTTGAACTGTCCCCGCCTTCTCCCGCCTTGACTTGTGACCCTAGGCCCTTTGGGGCGCCTCTGACCCAGCTAGCCAGATCCCGGACCCAAACCATGTTCCCTGTGAAGGTGAAAGTGGAGAAATCAGGTGAGGACCCTGACGTCGGGGGCCTGTCGGGACCATCGGGTTGACAGGGTGTGGAGTCCCGGTGGAAGGGAGTATCGCGGAAAGGGGACTGCACGACTTTTCCCTGAAGCCCACCTGACAATCGCTGTATCAGGCAGCGAGCGTTGCCTGCCACCTTCACACCCTCCCGGTGTGCGCTTGAAGTCGCTTTGAGATTGAATGGGGTGGCTCGGGCAATGACGTGCGTGGTAGGACATGGGGAATCCTGAGCCGGTAACTCTGAGAAGGGCCCTTTTCTTTCCTCTTTTTTTTAATTTAAATTTTTAAAATATTTAAATAGAGACGGAGTATCGCTATATTGCCCAGGCTGGTCTCGAACTCCTGGTCTCAAGCGATCCTCCCGCCTTAGCCTCCCAAAGTGCTGAGATTACAGGCGTGAGTCCCCGCGCCCAGCCGAGAAGTTCTCTTTTCTTGGCTTCCCCTCAGTTTCCCCATTTCCAGCAGTGATCAGAGTCACACATCTTGCTGTGAGCCTGAAGTACAGGCACTCTTAATCCTCACAGTCACTATATTCCAGTAATCCTAGAAAATAGGAACTGTGGTCAATGGGTGAAGCTTAGAAAGAGGAGAGAATTTTGGGTTGGGGCGGAGCTGACCGGATCCCAGGCCTGGCATGGTAAGGGCAGTGGGAGGGGTGCAGAATTTAGACAGAAAGATAATAGTAAAATGATGTAGGATGTCCCATGGCAAAAGTGTTATTAAAACAAAGTGGGAGGCTGGGTGCGGTGGCTCACACCTGTAATCCCAACACTTTGGGAGGCCGAGGCTGGCAGATCACTTGAGGTCAGGAGTTTGAGACCAGCCTGGGCAACATAGCGAAACGCTGTCTCTATAAAAAATACAAAAAAAAAAAAAAAATTAGCCAGGTGTGGTGGCACAAGCCTGTAGTCCCAGCTACTCAGGAGGCTGAGGCAGGAGGATCGCTGGAGCCGGGGAGGCGGAGGTTGCAGTGAGCTGAGATCACACCACTGCACTCCAGCCTGGGTGATAGATTGAGACCCTGTCTCAAAAAAAAAAAAAAAGAAAGGAAAAGAAAAGAAAGAAAGAAAAGAGAAGTGGGTGTGACCACAAATGATGGTGAGGGAAGGTGTACACCTGTGAGTGCCAGGCTGAGGAGTGCAGACTCCACCCCTGGGTGCTGTGGAGTCATGGAAGTTTCCAAGCAAGGGAAGATCAGGGTCAGGTTTGTTATTTTTCAGGAAGATTCCCCTGGCTGCCTTGTGGAGGGTGTATCAGAAGGGGGACACTGAGGCAGGGAGCCAAGGGGGAGCAAAGGACAGGACCAGGATGGGTAGAGTAGGGAGGAGGTGGGTGGGAGAGACACTCGGGAGGCCTAGTGGACAGGCCATGGGGTTGGTGGGCTGGGTAGGGGAGGGAGAGGGGTATCCATGGTGAGGTACAGGGAGGGACTTGGGGACAGTGAGGCGACCCTTGAGAGGGAGGCTTCAGGCCCAAGTCGGGGGTTCAGGAGAGAGGCTGGGCCTGAGGAGAGTTGTGGACGTGATCCGTACCCTCTGCATCTGCCCAAGGCTTTGCTGCAATCTCAGCTACTCCCTTCCCCACCCTCACTCTGTCTCTCCTCTGAGCTATGTTTGAATCCCTGTGTCTCCTGGGCTTCTCAGGAAGTCCCTGGACTGGTCAGGCAAGTTCCCAGGTGTCCCCTCCAGGCTCTGAGCACTAGAGCCAGAGCTCCCACCAGTCAGAAAGGCAGAGCAAACACCTCTCAAAGGTAGGAGGACAGCGTAACATCATCACTTCCTCAAGTTCTGTGATGACGGGAGGCAGCCACAGGCTAACTGGGCAGGAAGGTGGGCCTAGATCTCATTTCCCGAGGGGGAAAAAAAAGCCCAAACAGGATGTTTTAGGTGAAATCTCCCAATTTTGGCTGGGTGCGGTGGCTTCTGCCTGTAATCCAGCACTTTGGGAGGCTGAGGCAGGTGGATCATGAGGTCAGGAGTTTGAGATCAGCCTGGTCAATATGGTGAAACCCTGTCTGTACTAAAAATAGAAAAAATTAGTTGACCATGGTGGCACGCGCCTGTAGTCCCAGTTCTTTGGGAGGCTGAGGCAGGAGAATCACTTGTACTCAGGAGGCAGAGGTTGCAGTGAGCCGAGATCACGCCACTGCACTCCAGCCTGGGAGACAGAGCAAGACTCCGTCTCAAAAAAAAGAAAAGAAAGAAATCTCCCAATTTTTAAATGTCAGCTCATTCAGATTGAATTCAGATTTAAAATTATACCACTGTTGGCCGGGCATGGTGGCTCACGCCTGTAAGCACTTTGGGAGCCTGAGGCCAGCAGATCACTGAGGTCAGGAGTTTGAGACCAGCCTGGTCAACGTGGTAAGACCCCATCTCTACTAAAAATACAAAAATTAGCCAGGCGTGGTGGCGGGCGCCTGTAATCCCAGCTATTTGGGAGGCTGAGGCAGGAGAATCACTTGAACCTGGGAGGTGGAGGTTGCAGTGAGCCAAGATTATGCCACTGCATTCCAGCCTGGGTGACAGAGCAAGACTCCGTCTCACAAAACAGAAATACATTAATTAATTAAAATAAAATTATACCACTGCCTCAACCAGATTCTGCACTCAGGTTGAGCCTCTGTCTCATAACTTCAGCTTTGGAACCAGACAGCCTGGGTTCAAATCATCAGCTCTGCAATTTCTTTGCTGTGTGCCTTTGAGCACGTGGCCTAACATCTCTGTGCCTCAGTTTCATCATCTTTAAAATAGGAATAAAAATCATATCTATCTGAGCTGGGCTCTATGGCATGTGCCTATAGCCCCAGCTACTTGGGAGGCTGAGACAGCAGGACCGCTTGAGCCCAGGAGTTCAAAACCGGACAACATCGTGATATCCTTTTTCAAGAAAAAAAAAAATCACATCTACCTCTAAGGGTTATTGTGATAATTCAGTGGGTTATTATTTGTAATATATAGCATATTTAAACCTTGCCACTGGGACAGGCACAGTGGCTCACACCTGTAATCCCAGCACTTTGGGAAGCCGAGATGGCTCACCTGAATCTAGGAGTTCAAGACCAGCTTGGTCAATATCATTAAGACTCCATCTCTATACAATTTTTTTGTAATAAATTTATATTATATTAAAACACATTTTTTTAAAACCCAAAAGGCTCATAAGGTAAGGTGATTGGCCTTACCTCCTGTCACAGAGCAATCACGTGGGACAGCTCTGGAACTCAGAGCTCTGGGCATCACTCCAGCCATCTCTGCCTGTTGCACCCTTTCAGGCTGCCTGGGCCTGGCTCTGAGATTGGCCAGGGCAGAGGACACGCACGCCCTTCCCTGGCCCAGTCAGCTGCCCACCTAGCTGGGGCCTGGGAGCTGACTCCTGCTGGGTCCTCTCTTGCCCCAGAGCTGGAGATGGCCAAAGCCCGGAACCAACTGGATGCTGTCTTGCAGTGTCTGCTGGAGAAGAGTCACATGGACAGGTAGGCCAGCGTGGGGTCACAGGGCCGGGCACCCTGGTGGGTTGGGCCCTCTGATCCTGGGTGGATTGGGTGGGACCCCACAGGCTGACTTGGGGAGGAAGGTGCTTAATGGGGAGGCTGCTCGGTGCCTTCCTTCTCTGGGGCCCTGGAACCCTGAGCTGAGAGATCTCTTCTGCCTCTAGGGAGCGTCTGGATGAGGAAGCTGGGAAAACACCCTCAGACACCCACAATAAGTGAGTTTTTCTGATTGGATTTGGAGTTGAGAGTTCGTGGTTGGTAACTTCTTTCCTTATCCAAGCCCTGACCGCTCAGCCCAGCGCTACCTCCATCGTGGCCCGGACCACTCCACCTGTACAAAGACCCTGTGGCAGGAGAAGCTTAGGTCCCCCCGTGGTTGCCACCTAGACCCCCATGGGTATGGGTGGGACAAAAGGCCCAAGAGGCAAGTGGGGTTCATGTGAGCATCTCAGGTTTGATACCAGTATCCCCAGGGTGCCCTCTGCAGGGTTTTGCACAGGCGTTTGTCTGAGGGTCAACTGTCTTTCCCCACAGGGACTGCTCCATCGCAGCCACTGGCAAAAGGTAAGGTGGCAGGGTCCCAGCCAGCTGACTAGAGGCTCCCAGCTCCTACCCCAGTCCTGACACTCCCTCTCCCTACGCAGGCCATCTGCCCGCTTCCCCCACCAGCGGAGGAAGAAGAGGAGGGAGATGGATGATGGGCTGGCTGAGGGAGGGCCGCAGCGATCCAGTGAGTAGACAGTGGCCCTAGAGGGTCGGTAAGGAGCCAAGGGCCTATGCAAGGATGCTCACACACCTCCCATCCCCACCTTCCCAGACACATATGTGATCAAGCTGTTCGACCGGAGCGTGGACTTGGCCCAGTTCAGCGAGAACACGCCACTGTACCCAATCTGCCGCGCCTGGATGCGCAACAGCCCCTCTGTGCGCGAGCGTGAATGCTCTCCCAGCTCACCCCTGCCCCCGCTGCCTGAGGATGAGGAGGTGGGATGGGTAGTGGGTCCCAGCCCAGCAGCCTGGTGCCAGGGCAGTGGGTGGATAGGCTCAAAGGATCCTGCCCCTAAGCTAGTGGGATAGACAGACACAGGTCCCTCACGTGAATCCTGGATCAGGCTAGGCACACAGATGTGCACTCTTAGGTTGGGGTGTGGATCAGAGTCCCTAGGGAAGACATACGTAACCACCTGGCCTGGGAGACAGGGAACAGGGTTACCCTGGACAGTTAGATGTGGACCTCCAAGATCAGGGGTTCCCAAGAGCCGAGGGGCTAGACAAGGGTCCTTAGTACAGACAGAAGTGGCCACCAGGCCTTGAGGAGCAGGGGCTGGGCAGGAATGGATGGGAGTCTATAAGCCATCTGACCCAGCGGGGTAGACAAGGGTCCCCAGGACAGACATATAGGACCCTTCAGACATATAGGACTGTCAGAAATGGACAGAGCTTCCTAGGTGGCACAGACGTGACCCCCTAGACAGGATTCCCTGAGGCAGGCAGACGCGACTCCCTGGGCTGACAGGTGTAGATGGAGTCTCTGGGCTGGATAGGAGAAGACAGGGGTCCCTGGGGCAGGCACACTTGACCCGCTGGCTGGTTGAGGTGTCTGCCCTTCATACATGCCTCCTGTCTGAGTCCCTTAGCGAGCCCCTCATGCCATTTGTTGCTGGGAAAGGCAGGAGGGATGAATGTGGATTCCCAGCCCCTCTGCTTTGACTCTCTTGGGCCTGGCATGGGGCCCTTGTGTCCCCAGGGCTCAGAGGTAACCAACAGCAAGAGTCGTGATGTGTACAAGCTGCCGCCACCCACACCCCCGGGGCCACCCGGAGATGCCTGCAGATCCCGCATCCCATCTCCACTGCAGCCTGAGATGCAGGGCACCCCTGACGATGAGGTGAGTATGCCAGGCTGGCCCAGGGTTATGGGGCACATGCGGTAGGGCTCAGGAATGGCCACTCAACCTGGCCTGTCTGTCCATGCAGCCCTCTGAGCCCGAGCCCTCACCCTCCACACTCATCTATCGCAACATGCAGCGCTGGAAACGCATCCGCCAGAGGTGAGCGTCCCCCAGCCTGCTTGCCCCTCGTAGGGCCCTTTGCAACTGCTGAGTCTCCCCTCTGCCTCCCCAGGTGGAAGGAGGCCTCTCATCGGAACCAGCTTCGTTACTCAGAAAGCATGAAGATCCTACGAGAGATGTACGAACGACAGTGATGTTCCCAGGTCCCCCCACACCAGTAAACATCCCCCAGCTCCACACTGGTGTCTGCTCCGGTCCCTCCTTCCTGGCCCAGGCACAAAGCAGTTGGCAGAGCTCTAGCACATTTATTGGGAGAGTAAGCCTGGGAAAGACTAAGGGAGTGGTGGCAGGGAGAAAGGCTGTGGGGAATCAGAGCGGGTGCTCAGTTGGGTCTTGAAGGAGAAGAGGAGGAGGGTGGGAGGTGGGTTGCCGAGGATATCTGGTTGAAGACTTGGGGGTCAAGACAAAGGGACTTAGGGGGATGGGGTCTGGTTAGAGTTGGGGAGGGGGCCTAGGACATCCGTGCAGAGTCTGGGGAGGTTGGGGTGGGAGAGTCTGTACAGTTTGGTGTTGGGTGTTCTAGTTGGCCTGGTGTCCAAGAGTTGGGGCAGTCGAAAAAGGGTTCCAGAGTCTGGTGTGGCTGGCTGGGGTTTCACGGCAGAAAATGGGCTGGAGGGGGCAGTTGTAGACTGTCTGGTTGCAGGGGAAGGATCGGGTCTTGGGAACCAGGCCTGGATGGTCTGGAGTGGGAGGTCTGTGCAGTCCAGGACGTTTGGGGGGTGGGGGGATTGTGCCTGACTGGCCTGGGGTTGGGGGAGGGCTGTCTACACCATAATTTGGTGTCAAAATAGGGAAGGGATGGAAATGTAGTACCCGGATGTCTTTGTAGAGGACTCAGAAGGAAGTAGAGGAGGGGTCTTAAGTGGGGCTATATGCCAAGAAAGTGGGTCGGTGGGGCTGAGACTGTCGGCTGAGGGTTAGGGTAGTGCTGGTAGGGTCTGGAAGCCGGGGAGTTGTCGGTGTGGGGTCGGAAAGCTGGAGGGGGTGTGAGAGCGAGGGTGTCAGTGGAAGGGTCTATGTTATCAAGGCAGTGTCCAGGATGGAGGTCAGGGCAGAATCCAGGAGTGGGTGAGAGGACAGTCCTTGGCGCACTCGGGACATCTGGCTGGGCGGAGTCAGATCGGCTTTAATAGAGGGAGCCTGAGGAGGCTCCCGGGGTGCGGGCGCGGCCCAGCCCCCTCCTACTTGGCTGCGGCTGGCGGTGGGGCCTGGGCCGACGCTGGTGCGGCCTGGATGGACAGGACGCCCTCGGGGGACAGCGCGGACGTCACGGCAGCCGGATCCACGCCAGGCGGCAGGCGGTAGCGACGGTGGAACTCGCGCGCGACGAATCCGTGCTCATCCTGGAGGGGAGGGAGGCTTGAGCGGCCCCGCCCCTCCGGCCCGGCGGCGAGCGTACCCGCTCCAGCCCCGCCCCACGCCGCGGCTCACCGGGCGCTCCTCGTGGCGCGCGTGCACCTCCACGTGTTCGCCCACCACCTTGACAGCAATTTCCTCCGGCGAGAAGTGCTTCACGTCTAGCAGCACCGAAAAGTGGCCGGGGTCCGTCGGCACCTGAGCGCAGCGGGCGCGGGCGGGACTGTCATTGGGCTGGGCCAGGCTCCAGGACCCACCCAGGGAGACCCCACCCCCGTCGGTTCCGTGCCGCGGCTCACTCTGGCCTCCGGAGTTGAGCAGTCAGCTCTCCTACTGGGAGTCACCCAGGACCTCTTCACCCTGAACAACAGGGATACGCCCTCCCCCTGTAATATCTGGGATTGCCCTCTCCCCCGCAGTGATGAGGCTCCCTTCCCCTGCAAGGTCAGGAACCTCTGCCCTCCCCCGGTGTCAGCGAATCCGAAGTCATCGTGCCCCCCAGGGCACTGATTCCCCAGCTCCCTCCTCAGAGCCCCGGGTCCCTTCTCCGCCAGCCCCGCCAAACTCGCCAAGATGCCCCTTTCCCCGTCTCCAGGGTCCTCTGCCTACTCTCCCACTCGAGTCACGGGACCTCGGCAGCTACTGGTAGCCTTCCCCCACTTCAGAGTGGCCGGGAACCCTTCCTCAAGTCGCAGGGCCCTCTCCCCTCCTCTTCTGGAGATATCGGGCCACCGCACACAGTCTCTCAACTCTTCCCCGAGACTAAGAACATTCCTTCCCCTCAGGAGTCACTGCCCGCCTCCTTTTCCCCAGATTTCCCGGATCACCAGCCTCCTTCAGAGTAAGCAAGACTCCCCTTAGAGTGACCCAGGCCTTCCATTCTCTGGAGAGCTGAGAGCCCCCCACCCCGCCCCCCACCTAAGAGCGACGGGGACCTCCCACCCGCTGCAGTGTGCGGGCCTCAGATTCCCATTGACTCCGGAAGCCCTTCGGAGCTGCGGACTCTCCACCCCGCCCAAGGCCAACGAACATTCTCTCACATGTTCCCACCCCAGGCTGCCCCAGACCCCTGGCAATGGAAGTGGTCGAGTTCACCCCTCCCCAGGCCTGGCACCTGGGCGACGGGCAGCGCCACGCTGGGTGCGCGCAGGTAGTAGGGGGCGAGCGTGGTGGGGCAGAGCGCAGCCAGCTCGGCCTCCAGCAGCCCCTCGCCGAAGCGCTGGTCAAAGAGGCGTCCGGGCGCCGAAAGTCCGGGCAACGGGGCCGAGGCGCGGCGCAGCCAAGACGGCTGCACAGGCACAGGGATCTCCATCCTGCTCCTCCGCGTTGCAGTGCCCCTGCGTGCGCAGCCGCTCATTTATAGTGCGCCCTGTGCCGGCCCCTCGGAGGGCTGCCCAGGGACACTGGGACCGTGGCCAGACCCGGCCATTAGGAGAGCCTTATTTAGAAACCCAAACAATGACTTGGCCATTTATTAAGCGCCTGCTGGATGCCTGGCAAATGCTGTCAAGAAGGTGACATGAAGATTCCCCAATTTCCAGAAGAGGAAACTAAGGCTGAGGAGGGGGAGCCTTGCGGGTGTGGGGAGCACAGCGTGGTGATTGGGGCCCAGGACCCAAGAGGCCCACGGAAGAGTTTCCAGTCCCTTTAATCCACTGCCTCCCCCCTGGCAGCTCTGAGGATGACGCAGATGGAGGTCTTTAGGAGCAGATTCCTGGAGAATGCGGTAGCCCCGCCAGGATGTCAGGAGGACATAGAACAGGCCCTCCCTACCCTTATCCTCAGCCAGACCTTGGGCCCAGTCCCCCGGCAGGCCGGGCCTAATTCTGTGCCTCTGACTCAGCCTCTGGTGCGCAGAGGCCAGGGGGCGCGAGCATGAACAGTTCAGGCTGGCCCCCCGGGGGCCGCGCGCTGGGGCTGGAAATAGCTCATTTTGATCCCGCTACCTCGGCCAGGAGCCCAGACCTGGCAACTGATGCAACCAGCTGCTCCTGCAGCAAGAAAGAAGTTAGATGACCGTTGGGACGGACTGATTGGCCCAACTGATGGAGGAATAGCGGTTAGAGAGAGGGCAGAGCGCGCCCCCCCCCCAACCCGCCCCACTGCCCCTGCAACAGAAAGAATGGTAGTTAGACCGGGGTCGGGACAGGACTTCTGCAGCAAGAAGGCGCTTAAAAAGCGGGACTTTTAAGCGAGGGTACTTTAGATCACCTCCTAACCGCAAGCCCAGCCTCAGATCCTTCCCATTGGTGCACGGTCTTGCCAATTACTGCTACACTCGGCAGGTTCTCCAATCAAACACGCCCTGTCGGGCAGGCAGTCGTCCCAGCCAATCCTGAAACACCTCCCTCCGGGTACTTCTGTTTCCTCTCTTTCATTGGTCGCCTTGGAGGCCGCTCGCCTCCGGCGCGGGCACAGAGAGGGGCGGGGCTGATAGGGCGTTGCTAAGCGACGGAGATGCGCGCGGGGCCTGTTGGGTGAAGGAGCAGAGCGGCCGGAAGCGCGGAGGGAGCCGCGGGATGGACCGCAGGTGAGGCCGATCGCTCTTCCAGGGACTACAGGAGGCTGGGGAGGACCAACGGCGAGAGCAGCACAGCCTAGGACGGGCTGGATACGGTCTGGAGTCGCTAGGGCTCCACCGCACTGGAACTACAATTCCCAACATGCTCCACAGCCGTTGGCCTCTCCAGCCGTAGCCGTTAGCATCCCGGGGGTCCCCTAAGAGTCTTATGTTCCTCTCTGAGTGGGCCCCAAGGAATTATTGCCTCTAAAGGTGTCCAAGAAAGGCTTGAGATCTGAATTTCTTCATTTTGAAATGGCCCCCAGACACGCCTGGGCGTTGTCTTTGAACTTTCTCGCGGAGGCGGAGCCCAGTGGATCCTGGGGCTTGTAGTCCATCTACCCTTTGCCTTCGTGTCCCCCAGGAATGTATGGGAAATGCTCGGTGATATAATCCAGCCGCGGTTCTTTCTTTCTTTCTTTTTTTTTAAGACAGAGTCTCTCGCTCTGTTGGCCCAGACTGGAGTGCAGTGGCACAATCTTGGCTACTGCAACCTCTGCCCCCGGGTTAAAGCAATTCTCATGCCTCAGCCTCCCAGGTAGCTGGGACTACAGGCACCTGCCACCGCGCCTGGCTAATTTTTTATATTTTTAGTAGAGACGGGGTTTCGCCATGTTAGTAAGGCTGGTCTCGAACACCTGACCTCAAGTGATCCACCCGCCTCGGTGTAATCCCAAAGTGCTGGGATTACAGGCGTGAGCCACCACGCCCGGCGAGCCGCGATTCTTAACCTGAACTCCACTTCGCAATCACCTGGGACGCTGCGGAAAAGACACGGAGGCCCAGCCCCACTAATAGATATTCTGATTCTGTTGGTCTGGAATGGGAACCGCGCGCCTGTAACGTTGAAAAGCCCCTCCTAGACTGGATCCAGGGTTGAGAACCACCGGCTGTCAGTTCCTGAGTTGCTCCCTGTTAAGACTGCTCCAGGGGCGGGCTCCCAGGACTCACCCTTCCACTGTCGATATCCTGAATGTGCAACGGTGCTTCATGGAAATGACAGTCCGTCTCCTCCAGGAATCTATGGGAATTGTCTGGTTCTGCCCTCCTCTAATGTCCCCCTCCCCAGGGCTGCGGCGAAACCACGTGCTGCCTGAACCCCACTTTCCTCTTGCAGCCTGCCAGTTTTCTCCATTCAAGATAGTCCCTTTGGAGATGCGCCCCTGGGTCGAAGCCACTACTGGCCATCCCAGAGCCAGACCTGGTGTCCCAAGGTGAGGACACCCCTCAAAGAGTGCTGAGTGCCAGCCCAGTAGCAAGAGAATGACCTTTAGAGGGTAGGAAGACATGTGATGAGAGATAGGGATGAGAGATTTAAGAGACAGCCCCTTGTCCCCTCCCCACGGCCCTGCCCTTGTCCCCCTCTCTACCACCTGGATTCCCCATCTGAGCCCCCATCACACTAGGTTGTTATCATTACAGGATGTGTTTCCTCCCCTCTGGACTGAGACTTTGTGTGTGTCCTGGTTCCCCTGCAGGGATGACCCATGAGACCTCACACTTTTTCTTCTTGTGCTCTTCCCTGATCTTAGACCCTGAGCCCATCCAGGTCTCAGAGATCCAGGCTCCCACAAGCTCCCAAGGCTCTAGCCACAGGTCCCAACTCCCCTGAGCTGTTTGAGGAGTCCTGGCCATCCAGTTCAGGGACCCCCTCCCTGCCCAGCACCACTGAGGGACAGATGTGGGCCTCCCCAGCACCCACCCTGATTGACAGCGGGGACTCCGTGGTGGCCAAGTAAGTACCAGCAGCCCTGGGGGAAAAAGAGGCTTTGGGTTAGAGGGAGGGAGAAGGCATGCAGTAATAATCATCATGGCCAGAGCTGTTTCTGCAGCACTCTTTTAGGACCAGGCAGTTTATGTGTGTTAAGAACTCTGGTGCTAGACTGCCTGAGTTCAAATCCCAGCTCTGTCATTTAACTCTCTGTATGATCTTGGCCTCAGTTTCTTTATCTCTTTTTATTTATTTATTTATTTGTTTAGAGACAGGGTCTCGCTCTGTTACTCAGGCTGGAGGTCAGTGGTACAATCACAGCTCACTATAACCTCAAACTCCTGGGCTCAAGCCGTCCTCCCACCTCAGCCTCCTGAGTTGCTGGGATTACGATGCATGCCACCACACCCAGCAAACCTCCCACCTTGGCCTCCAAAAAGTGCTGTGATTACAGGCCAGACGTACCATGCCCAGCCTCAGTTTATTTATCTCTAAATTGGGTGTTTTGTTTTGTTTTGTTTTTGTTTTTGTTTTTTTGATGGAGTTTCACTCTTGTTGCCCAAGTTGGAATGCAGTGGCATGATCTCGGCTTACTGCAACCTCTCCCTTCTGGGTTCAAGTGATTCTCCTGCCTCAGCCTCCCAAGTAGCTGGGATTACAGGTGCCCACCACCACACCTGGTTAATTTTGTGTATTTTTAGTAGAGATGGGGTTTCACCATGTTGGCCAGGCTGGTCTCAAACTCCTGACCTCAGGTGATCCACCTGCCTCAGCCTCCCAAAGTTCTGGGATTACAGGTGTGAGCCACTGCCAGGCCTAAATTGGGCATATTAATAGTACACATCCCCTAGGGCTGTTTTGAGCTTTCAGTGAGTTACTATATATAATGATCTCTAGCAGTGCTTCTCACATAGTCACCACTTAGATTTGTAGAATACAGGTTCAGCTGCTGTAACAAAGAGTCCCAAATTAATTATGGCTGAAACAAGATAGAATTTATTCCTCCCTCACCTGCAGTCCAGGCAGAAGCCACCAGGGATGATGTGGCAACCCGTAGTTGAGGTGTCAGGGACACAGGTTACTTCTGTCTTGTTGCTGTCCGAACTCTAGGCCGTTGCCCTTTCCTTCATGGTGCAAAATGGCTTTCAACCACATCAGCTTTCCAAAATCACATTTCATACCCTGTTTGTCAAGAACTTAGTCACGTGGTCACAAGGCTACAAGGGTACCTGGTAAATATAGTCCATAGGAGACTGGCTGTGTGCCCAGCTAAAAGTTACATTCCTGGCTGGGCACAGTGACTCATTCCTGTAATCCCAGCACTTTGGGAAGCCAAAGTGGCAGGATCCCTTAAGCCCAGGAGTTCCTGACCAGCCTGGGCAACATGGCAAGACCCCGTTTCTACTAAAAATACAAAAATTGGCAGGGCTGCAGTGGCTCACGCCTGTAATTCCAGCACTTTGGGAGGCCAAAGTGGGTGGATCACCTGAGATCAGGAGTTTGAGACCAGCCTGACCAACATGGTGAAACTCCGTCTCTACCAAATTAGCCGGGCGTGGTGGTGCATGCCTGTAATCCCAGTGACTTGGGAGGCTGAGGCAGAAGAATCACTTGAACCAGGAGGCAGAGGTTGCAGTGAGCCAAGATCACGCCATTGCACTCTAACCTGGGCAACAAGAGCAAAACTCCGTCTCAAAAAATAAACTAATTAATTACAAATAAATAAATAAATAAAAATACAAAAAGTAGCCGAGTGTGGTGGCATGCACCTGTGTCCCAGCTACCCAGGAGGCTGAGGAGAGAGGATTTCTTGAGCCCAGGAGTTGGGGGCTGCAGTGAGCTATGATTGCACCACTGCCCTCCAGCCTGGGTGACAGAGCGAGACCCTGTCTCAAAAACAGTTATGTGACTATATAAGAAAGAAAAGCAGATATTGAGGGATAGCTACCAGGCTCTGCCATGGTGCTTGGTAAACGTTGGCTGCTATAATTATTCTTATTATTATTTGGCTCTCCTCACTCCACTCACCTCCTATCCCCTGATGTTCACAGGTATATAAACAGGTTCCGCCAGGCTCAGCCCACCAGTCGAGAGGAGCGCCAGCCTGCAGGCCCAACCCCAGCTGACTTTTGGTGGCTGCAGTCTGACTCTCCAGACCCCAGCAGTCAAAGTGCAGCAGGTACCTCTTTCAGTGCCATCCACTACTCCCACCCCTAAACCTTTGCTGATCAATGCCCCCAGCAGCCACTCCTCCTGGCCCTCATACCTCAACTGGGGCTTCTCAGCAGGAGCCAACAAACCAGAAGGAAGACCCCATACAGCTGTCCCTACTGCGGTCAACGTGACCAGTGCATCCCATGCTGTGGCTCCCCTTCAGGAAATAAAGCAGGTGACATCCCCATTCACTCCCTCCCTTGGGTGCCTGAACTGACAACACCAGCCCTAGGACAGAATTAGAAGATCAGGAGCAGTGGCTCACACCTGTAATCCCAGCACTTTGGGAGGCCAAGGTGAGAGGACTGCTTGAGGCCAGGAGTTCAAGACCAGCTTGGGTGACATGGTGAGATTCTGCCTCTACTAAAAAAAAAAAAAAAAAGAGAGAGAGAGAGAGAACCAGGTGTGGTGGTATGTACCTGTAATCCCAGCTACTTGAGAGCCTGAGGCTGGAGGATGGCTTGAGCCTAGGAGTTCAAGGCTGCTGTGAGCTATGATCATGCCACTGCACTCCAGCCTGGGCAGTAGAGCAAGACCCTGTCTCTATTTAAAAAAAAAAAAAAAAAAAAAGCCTGGGCACCGTGGCTCATGCCTATAATCCCAGCACTTTGGTAGGCTGAGGCAGGCAGATCACGAGGTCAGGAGTTCAGGACCAGCCTGACCAACATGGTGAAACCCCGTCTCTACTAAAAATACAAAAATTAGCCGGGCGTGGTGGTACACACCTGTAATCCCAGCTACTCAGGAGCCTGAGGCAGGAGAATTGCTTGAACCCGGGAGACGGAGGTTGCAGTGAGCCAAGATAGCGCCAGCGCACTCCAGCCTGGCGACAGCAAGACTCCATCTCAAAAAAAAAAAAAAAAGAATTAGAGCTGATCCCCATTTCAAGGAAGCTAAAACAGAAAAGGAGGATTTGCTGGCTAATGTAATTGAGAAATCCAAAAGTAGATGTTTCCAGATATGCCTGGATCCAGGTGTTTGAATAATGTTGGGAGAGACCCAACTCTCTCTGGGCTCCATGCCCCCCCTTTTTTTTTTGATACAGAGTCTTGCTCTGTCACCCAGGCTGGGGTACAGTGGCGCCATCTCAGCTCACTGCAACCTCCGCCTCTCGGGGTCAAGCAATTCTTCTGCCTCAGCCTCCTGAGTAGCTGGGACTACAGGTGCATGCCACCACACCCAGCTAATTTTTTTGTATTTTTTTAGTAGAGATGGGATTTCACCGTGTTGCCCAGGCTTGTCTCGAACTCCTGACCTCCGGCAATCCGCCCACCTCAGCCTCCCAAAGTGCTAGGATTATAGGCGTGAACCACCAAGCCCGGCCTTTTTTTTTTTTTTTTGAGACGGAGTCTTGTGCTGTCATCCAGGCTGGAGTGCAGTGGCGCGATCTCGGCTCACTGCAAACCCCGCCTCCCAGGTTCACGCCATTCTCCTGCCTCAGCCTCCCGAGTAGCTGGGACTACAGGTGCCTGCCACCACGCCCGGCTAATTTTTTTTTGTATTTTTAGTAGAGATGGGGTTTCACCATGTTAGCCAGGATGGTCTCCATCTCCTGACCTTGTGATCCACCCACCTCGGCCTCCCAAAGTGCTAGGATTACAGGCATGAGCCACCGCGCCCGGCCTTCTTTTTTTTTTTTTTTAATTAGATAGGGTCTTACTCTTAGGCTGGAGTGCAGTGGCACAATCATGGCTCACTGCAGCCTTGAACTCTTTGCAACCTTCGCCTCCTGAGTACCTGGGACTACAGCATGCGCCACCATGCCCAGCTAATTTTTTGGTTTTTTTGTAGAGATGGGATCTTACTTTGTTGTCGAGGCTGGTCTCGAAGTCCTGGGCTCAAGCAATCTTCCTGCCTCGGCCTCCTAAAGTGCTGGGATTGCAGGCGTGAGCCACCACGCCCGCCTCTGTGCTTCTCTTTTTTTGGGCTCAGTCCCAGGCGGGCTTTCCCCTCACAATAGCCAGGATGGTCCTTGGGGTCTCTAGGCTCCCATGGTCCTGGCTCAGTGACTCCAGTGGGAAGTGGGGGCTTTTCGAATTGCTCCATCAGAAGCCCCAGGGCTCACTGTGATTCACTCATCCTTGAGCCAACCACTGTGAACCAGAGGATAGAATGCTCTGATGAAGCAGCTCTGATCTGGGAGGTGGGATCCATCCTCCTCCAACCATGATTTGTCCATGAAAGGTGCTAATCCACCGGGCGCGGTGGCTCACGCCTGTAATCCCAGCACTTTAGGAGACTGAGGTGGGCGGATCACCTGAGGTCGCGAGTTTGAGACCAGCCTGACCAACATGGAGAAGCCCTGTCTCTACTAAAAATACAAAATTAGCCGAGCGTGGTGGCGCATGCCTGTAATCCCAGGTACTTGGGAGGCTGAGGCAGGAGAATTGCTTGAACCCAGGAGATGGAGGTTGCTGTGAGCCGAGATCGTGCCATTGCACTCCAGCCTGGGCAACAAGTGAAATTCAATCTCAAAAAAAAAAAGAAAAAAAAAAAGGTGCTAATCCAAAGGGGAAAACTGGGTCTCTCCTCCCTGAGGAGGAGGAGCAGATCCTAAGCTGGCATGTGAGGTTACCAAGGGCAGTACAACCTGCATTCCAGGCCCTCTGTTTAGAACCCCCTTCCCAGCAGCCTTTGGGTTGGGGCTGGCGTCTGACCCTGTCACCCTGCAGAACCTCCACACATGGAACTCATCCCTGCTGGACCTGGAGACGCTGAGCCTACAGAGCAGAGCTGCCAGGCTGCTCAAACGCAGGTGCCCGCACCCCTGCCCCCATCACCCTTCCTACTGCGGCTCCACGTGGCCCAGGTCTCGAGACCTCCATTGCCTCACTCCTGCCTTCTCCCTGCAGCAAAGCCTCCATCTCCTCCTCCTCCTCCCTCAGCCCCAGCGATGCCAGCACTTCCTCATTCCCCACCAGCTCTGATGGCCTCTCTCCCTTCTCGGAGACCTTCATCCCTGACTCCAGCAAGGGCCTTGGCCCCAGGGCACCCGGTAAGGGCTGAGAGGCAAAGACTGAGGGCAGCCTGGGTGCAAATCCCAACTCTGCCACTGACCAGCTATGGGACTTTGGGCCTCTCTGGGCCTTGTTTCTCCAGCTGTAAAACAGGGATAAGGCCAGATGAGGTGGGTCAGGCATGGAGGCCGAGGCGGGCAGATTGCCTGAGCTCAGGAGTTTGAGACCAGCCTGGCCAATGTGGCGAAACCCGGTATCTACTAAAAATACAAAAATTAGCCACGCGTGGTACATAATGGTGCATAGTGGTGCATGCCTGTAGTCTTAGCTACTCAGTAGGCTGAGGCAGGAGAATCACTTGAACCTGGGAGGCGGAGGTTGCAGTGAGCCGAGATTGCGCCATTGCACTCCAGCTTGGGCGACAGAGAGAGACTCCATCTCAAAAATAAATAAATAAATGGTGCCATCATAGTCCAATTGCTGGGCTCAAGCAATCCTATAACCTCAGCCTCCTGAGTAGCTGGGACTACAGGCATGCACCACTATGCCCAGCTAATTGTTTTTATTTTTTTATTTGTTGAGATGAGGGTCTCACTATGTTGCTCAGGCTGATCTCAAACTCCTGGGCTCAAGCGATCCCCCCACCGCCTTCGCTTCCCAAAGCACTAGGGTTATAAGAATGGGCCATTCGTTATGCCCAGCTGGTTGTTGCAGTTTTGAATAGGGAAGCCAGGGAAGGTGACCAAGATCTGATGGATGTGAGAGAATGCACCGTGCGATACATGAAGGAAGAGCATTCCAGGCAGAGGGAACGACAGGTGTAAAAGGCAAAGCCTTCGCCTTTTACCGGGAGAGAGGTGCAGCCAAGGGAGGGTTCTTAAGTACGAGAGGCCTGGTCTGACTCAGGTATTCACAGGCTCCCTCTGGCTGAGAGTAGGGAACAGATTTGGAGGAGAGTAGAGAGACCAGGGAGGCTATTTAAGAGTCCAGGTTGGGTGAGTGGGGCTGGAGCAGGGTGAGGGCTGTAGCGGGTGGGGGAGTGGGTAGATTCTGGGGAATATGTCTTCTGGTCACTGCTGTAACTCCAGTGTCCAGAACGGCTCAATAAATATTTGTTGAATGAAACCAGGCACTGTGACTCACGCCTATAATCCCAGCACTTTGGGAGGCCCAGGTGGGATGATGATGGCTTGAGCCCAGGAGTTTGAGACCAGCTTGGGCAACAAAGCAAGACCCTGTCTCTACAAAAAAATAAAAATTACCCCCGTGTGGTGGCACACGCCTTTTGTCCCAGCTACTCAGGAGGTTAAGGCAGGAGGATCGCCTGAGCCCAGGAGGTCGAGACTGCAGTGATCGCACCACTGCCCTCCAGCCTGGGTGACAGAACAAGACTATATATATATAATGAACAAAGACTTGAATGATGACAGATGGAGAAGACCAGGAGTGCTCGCTCCCCTGACTTTGACCCCTTCCCCTCTTCCCACCCCAGAGAGGAGCTGGGACAGTATCTGGAGAGCCTGTCTGAGTAACCCCCTGCACAGTTGGAGGGCGTGTGTGCAGGCTGTCCTGGGGTTGCTGATCTCCCTGGCCCCTGCCTCACCCTCTCCTCTCTACCTCCCCCTACAGCATCCCCGGCACCAGCCCAGGCCCAGACCCCCACCCCTGCTCCAGCCCCAGCCTCCTCCCAAGCACCCCTTCGGCCAGAGGATGACATTCTGTACCAGTGGCGGCAGCGGCGGAAGCTTGAACAGGCTCAGGGAAGCAAGGGTGACAGAGCTTGGGTGCCGCCTCTGACCCCTGCCCTCCGCACGTTGGTGAGCCGAGGGAGGGAGGAGCCTGGGGGGAGCTGGAGGAGGGGCTGGGTCTGAGGGGGACTGAGGACCCTCCACCCTCTCTCTCTCTGTCTCAGATCTCTCTTATCTGTCTACAGACCTCTCCTGCTCCAGTGGAGACCCTCAGTTCTCTGGGGACCCAGCCTAACCATGTCCCACTGTGGAGCAGTGTGGCCCAGCCTGGTCCACCAGAGGCCTTCTATGTGGAGAGGCCTCCTTTTCCCTCAGTGTCCTCTCCACACATCTTTTGGGCCCCCAGCTCCCACGGGTTCTTCTGGGCCCCACAGTCTGGGCCTTGGGTATCCCTTGGGGCTGTTCCTCCCACGCAGCAGGCCTCCACCCTAGCACATCTGGGCTCTACCCTCGCGCCCCCGGCTTCCCTGGCCTCCACCCTCGAACCCCCGGCCTCCACCCCAGCTCCCCTGGCCTCCACCCTTGCACCCCCAGCCTCCACCCCGGCTCCCCTGGCCTGTACCCCTGCACCTCCAGCCTCCACCCTCGCATCCCCAGCTGTCCCCCAGGGCCTGCCCATCCCTGACCCAAGCAGCTGTGCCCAGCCTAAGAGCCTGGGGCCCAAGTCTCGGAGGAGCAGAGCCCCTCGCCCAGAGGCTGCCGAGCAAGTCCCTGCAGCTGGCCAGGGACCTGGCCCTCAGCTCAGGGGTGTCCTGGGCCAGGTAGTGGCAGCTCGGCTGTTCCCTGACAGCCTGGAGGACACGCCTCCTCACTTCGAGGGCCCCCCTCCACCCAAGGCTGGATCTCCGAAAGTCCAGGCCACACAACCCCAAACCAAGGTCACTCCCCCTCCATCTGAATCCCAGTGTCGGGCCAAGGCCGAGTCTCTGAAAGCCAAGGCCTTGCCGCCCGCAGCGGGGTCAGTGATACGGAAGAGCGAAGCCACTCCTTCCCCTGGAGCCTGCCTGCAGCCCGAGGTCCCACTCTCTCCAGCTGAGCAGGCAACCACAGTCAAGGCCTCGCCGCCAGCCTTCCAGGTGGGGTCTCCGGAGGCCCTGGCCCCGCCCCCGCCCGCTGCTGACCACGCCCCCTCGGAGGCCCTGCTTGCCCAGGCCGCCCTGCTGCTGCAGGCTGCAGAAGGTGATGCCCGCGCCCTCCTGGATGTTGGAGGCAGGCCAGCCCCCTAAGAGGCCGGCCCCTTGGAGCTCATTCTTTTCTCCCCGGCCCAGACTCCGACGGCAGCGAGTTCCAGGACGATCCCGTGCTGCAGGTGCTAAGAGCCCATAGGGCAGAGCTGAGTCGGCAGAAAAGGTGACCGACCCTCCATCCCCAGAGTCTATGACACTGGGCCCCGGAGACCTCTGAGACCCGGTTAGGCATCCAGCCCTCCTCATCCCCTGTCCCAGCAGTCCGTCCACAGCCCCAGATTCTAAGCCTGAGCACATACCCCAGCCTCTGCTCTCCCGGCCTTTCTCCAGGGAAGCGGATGCCCGATTATCGTTCCTGTTGGACCAGGCTGAAGACCTGGGATCTTGGTCCCCTCCAGCCGGGTCGCCCCCTAGGTCCCCAAGGAGGCTGCTAAGAAGGGAAGGAGATTCCCTGGAGGCCAGAAGACTTTGAATTGTACAGATTCTATTTTACCCAGTGAGGCTCTTTTTTTTTTTTTCATACAGTTACTGGTTATCTGTGAGAAAGGGGTTGTTTGGAAAGGCCAAGGGGTCATGCCAATTTAAGGAAATGCCCCCCATCCTCCGCTGCCCCATGGCTCTGCCCTGCCCCCCACCCCTTCCTGACCACGGAAACAAGATCTCCTTTCTGGTTATATCTTCCTTGGGGCAGAGGGAGTTTCAGACAAGACTTCTGGCAAGACTGGGACCCACCTTATCTGGCTTCACTCAGGAGCCCTGGCTCAAATGGACCAAAGGACTGCCCTCCACGGAGGAAGCTACTAGGGTCATCAGAGTGTTGGATGATGGTCAGGCTATAGCCCACACATGCTTGAGCAGCAGCAGCATCTGGTGCAGCTGACCCCTCCCTCCTTGAAGCACTTTCTCTCCCTGCTTCCAGCCCTTCTCTCTGCACCTCTCTGGTCAGGCCTAGTCACTAGCCCAGCATGTCAACTTTGGCATGACCCAGGGCCATGGCGTTGACATCTCTATCTGCACCCACCCATAGGTGCTCTTGTCTAGCTTAATGACTCTAAACCCCGTCTCTATTCTGATAATCCTCAAATTTCTGTCTGTAACCTAGACCTGGCCACGAAACCTTGGGCTCCTACCTCATTACCATTTCTACCCAAGGGTTTAAAAGACATCTCAAATTCCATAGGTCCTAAATGGAGTTTCCAATCTTTCCCCCTAGGCGTGCCTCTCCCCAGCTTCTTTTTTTTTTTTTTTTTGGATGGAGTCTAGCTCTGTCACCCAGGCTGGAGTGCCATAGTGTGATCTCGGCTCACTGCAAGCTTCGCCTCCCGGGTTCACGCCATTCTCCTGCCTCAGCCTCCCGAGTAGCTGGGACTACAGGTGCCCGCCACCACGGTCGGCTAATTTTTTTTGTATTTTTAGTAGAGACGGGGTTTCACTGTGTTAGCCAGGATGGTCTTGGTCTCCTGACCTCGTGATCCACCCGCCTCGGCCTCCCAAAGTGCTGGGATTGCAGGCGTGAGCCACCGTGCTGGGCCCCCCCTCCCCAACTTTCTTCGGCTCTGTCCTTTGCCGCTCAGACCAAAAACCTTAGAGTTGTCTTTGACTTCTGTCTTTCCCTTCCACCCACAGTTAACCAGGAAATCCTGCCATCTCCGCCTTTATTTTATTTTATTTTTTGAGATGGAGTTTCACCCTTGTTGCCCAGGCTGTAGTACAATGGCATGATCTCGGCTCACGGCAACCTCCACCTCCCGGGTTCAAGCGATTCTCCTGCCTCAGCCTTCTGAGTAGCTGGGATTACAGGCACCTGCCACCACGCCCAGCTAATTTTCTTTGTTTGTTTGTTTGTTTTGAGACAGAGTCTTGCTCTGTCCCCCAGGCTGGAGGGCAGTGGCACGATCTCGGCTCACTGCAACCTCTGCCTTGCAGGTTCAAGCTATTCTTCTGCCTCAGCCTCCCTAGTAGCTGGGACTACAGGCGTGTGCCACCACGCCTGGCTAATTTTTGTATTTTTAGTAGAGACGGGGTTTCACCATATTGGCCAGGCTGGTCTCAAACTCATGACCTCGTGATCCTCCTGCCTCAGCCTCCCAAAGCGCTGGGATTACAGGCATGAGCCATCATGCCTGGCAATTTTTTGTATTTTTAGTAGAGACGAGGTTTCACCATGTTGGCCAGGCTGGTCTCGAACTCCTAACCTCAGGTGTCCCACCCACCTCAGCCTCCCAAAGTGCTAGGATTACAGATGTGAGCCACCGCACCTGGCCTCCACCTTTAAAATCTATCCAGAATTCAACTGCTTCTCCCCTTCTACTGCTCACACCTCAATCTAGGCTGTCATCACCTCCTCTCTGGACTGTTGGAAAACTTAACGGTTTTTATAAACCTGATATTCTTTGACACACTTGCCATCAAGAGGCAGAGTCTATGTCCCTTCATCTTGAAACTGGGCCCCTCAACAAATAAAATGCAGAGGAAGTGATGCAGCTTAACTTCTAAAGTGCAGTTAGAAAAGATGATTTCTCAGCTGGGCATGGTGGCTCACGCCTGTAATCCCAGCACTTTGGGAGGCTCAGGTGGGCAGATTACTTGAGGTCAGGGGTTCAAGACCAGCCTGGCCAACATGGTGAAATGTCTCTACTAAAAATACAAAAATTGGCCAGGCATTGGTGGTGGGTGCCTGTAATCCCAGCTACTCAGGAGGCTGAGGCAAGAGAATTGCTTGAACTCAGAAGGCAGAGGTTGCAGTGGAAAAAAAAAAAAAGATAATTTCTCTCTCTTTCTCTCTCTCTCTGACACTTGCTTTAGAGGCTACATTAAAAAAAAAAACTAGTTGCCATGCTGGGGAGGGGTTTGGGTTACACAGGTGTATGCACTTATGAAACTTAGTGAAGTGTGTGAATTTCATTGTATGTAAAGTTTACCTCAAAAGAAAATATTGAACGCCAGTTAAAGATACGCCTGTAATCTGACTTCTTTGGGAGGCCAAGGCGGGAGGATCACTTGAGGCCAGGAGTTTGAGACTACCCTGGGCAACACAGCAAGACCTGTCTCTACAAAAATAAATAAGTAAATAAATAGCCAGATGTGGTGGCACACGATTTGCAGTCCCATTACTAGGGGCGGGGAGGGGCGCTGAGGCAGGAGGTTTACTTGAGCCCAGGAGTTCAAGGCTGTATTGTAGTGAACTAAGATCATGCCACTGCACTCCAGCCTGGGCTACAGAGCTAGACCCTGTCTTTAAAAAAAAGAAAAGAAAAAAAAAAGTATGTACACTGAAATATTTAGGGAACAATAAACCAATGTCGACAATTTATTTTGAAATGCATCCAGAGATGAGTTGGATTGATGGATAAATAGTGTAATAGGTAGATGTGAGATAAAGCAAATACAGCAAAGTGTTCATGGTAGGATCTAAGTGGCGGATATGCGGGTGTCCACTGTAAAATTTTTCAACTTTGCTGTAATTTAGAAACTTTTCATGGCCGGGCGCGGTGACTCATGCCTGTAATCCCAGCACTTTGGGAGGCCAAGGCGGGCGGATCACGAGGTCAGGAGATCGAGACCATCCTGGCTAACACGGTGAAACCCCGTCTCTACTAAAAATACAAAAAATTAGCCGGGCGTGGTGGCGGGCGCCTGTAGCCCCAGCTACTCGGAAGGCTGAGGCAGGAGAATCACTTGAACCTGGGAGGCAGAGCTTGCAGTGAGCCGAGATTGCGCCACTGCACTCCAGCCTGGGTGACAGAGCGAGACTCCGTCTCAGAAAAGAAACTTTTCATAATAAAATGATGGAGAATATATGATTGGGGTTGTTTTGATATCTGCATTTACAAAATGGAGGGATAAGATGGATTTCTAGTAACTTCTGTATGTCACATGGTAAATATAATATTTGTTTTCAACCTTTCTTTCTTTCTTTTTTTTTTTTTTTTTTTTTGAGATGGAGTCTTGCTCTGTCACCCAGGCTGGAGTGTAGTGGTGCAACCTCGGCTCACTGTAACCTCTGCCTTCCAGGTTCAAGTGATTCTCCTTCCTCAGCTTTCCGAGTAGTTGAGATTATAGGTGCATGCCACCTCACCTGGCTAATTTGTGTGTGTGTGTGTGTTTTTAGTAGAGACAGGGTTTCACCATGTTGGTCTGGCTGGTCTCGAACTCCTGACCTCATGATCCACCTGCCCCGGCCTCCCAAAGTGCTGGGATTACAGGTGTGAGGCACCGCACCCGGCCTGTTTCTAACCTTTCTAAGCAAACCATACATTTAAATGAAATCAGAGTGGGCACAGTGGCACAGGCCTGTAATCTCAGCACTTTGGGAGGCCAAGGCGAGCAGATCACTTGAGGTCACGAGTTAGAGACCAGCCTGGGCAATATAGTGAAACTCTGTCTCCACTAAAAATTAGCTGGGCCTGGTGGCGGGTGCCTGTAGTCCCAGGTGCTCAGGAGGCTGAGGCAGGAGAATTGCTTGAACATGGGAGGCGGAGGCTGCAGTGAGTTGAGATGGTGCCACTGCACTTCAGCCTGGGCAACAGAGTGAGACTCCATCTCAAAAACAAACAAACTAACAAAAAAATGTAATTGACAAGAAAAATAGCTGTTTAGATATAAGGAGAAATAAAAGATACTATAGTAGCAGAACCTGATCTAGCTGGGTCACGGGTGGGGTCTAGAAGCATTCCTGAGGAAGTTACACTTAAGCTGAGACAGGTAGAAATTATCTAGTTAACAAAGGGCTGTCCTAATTACTCTAGTTGGATAACCGCTCCCAAAACTTAGTGGCATAAAACAATTATTTTATTATGCTCATGGATTCTGAGAGTCAGAGGTTTGGACAGGGCTCATATGGGGACAATTTTTGTCTCCTCCATGATGTCTGGGGATTCACCTGGAAAGACTCAAAGGTGACTTGATAGACTTGATGGCTGTGGAGTAGAATCCTCCAGAACTTCTTCCGTGGTCTTCTCCCAGTCTGACTGGGACTATTGACTAATGCCTATACATAGCTCCATTGGCCTGGGCTTCCTCAAAGCATGTCTGCTTCAGCATAGTCACACTTCGCATATGATGCACCATGGTTCTACAGCTCATTCCAGTGGACGAGAACATTGGTCAAGAAGCTGCATTGCCTTTCATCACATAGCCTTAGAAATCACCGTGTCACTTCCACTGTTTTCTATTGGTTGAAGCTATCCTAGTCCCACCCAGATTCATAGAAAGCAATCATAGAGTCCGCGTCTTGATAAGAAGAGTGTCAGAGAATTTGCAGCTGTTTTAAAATCACTGCAGGACCCCATTCTCCATGATGTGATTATTACACATTGCATGCCTGTATCAAAACATCTCATGTGCCCCCTCAATATATATACCTAAATATACCTGTTATGTACCCAGAAAAATTAAAAAATAAAAAAAAAAATCACTGCAGGGGTTGATGGGGAAACACTAGACAGAAGGAATATCGTGTGGGAAATCCCTGTGATGAGAGTGAGGTCAGCAAATTTAGTACATAAGTAACTGCACATTCACCTCTCCCTCAGCACTCCCTTTCACCAGCCCTTGCTTAATTATTCTCCATAGAATGAATCACCTTCTAATATTTTTTTTTTTTTTCAGACAGAGTCTTGCTCTGTCTCCCAGGCTGGAGTGCAGTGGCAAAATCTCGGCTGACTGCAACCTCCGCCTCCTGGGTTCAAGCAATTCTCCTGTCTCAGGCTCCTGAGTAGCTGGGATTACAGGCACACGCCACCACACCTGGCTAATTTTAATATTTGTATTTTTAGTAGAGACGGGGTTTCAGCATATTGGCCAGGCTGGTCTCGAACTCCTGACCTTGTGATCCTCCCGCCTCGGCCTCCCAAAGTGCTGGGGTTACAGGCGTGAGCCACTGTCCCCAGCTTTTTTTTTTTTTTTTTTTTTTTTTTTTTGAGACAGAGTCTCACTTCAACACCTAAGCTGGAGTGCAGTGGCGCGATCTCGGCTCACAGCAAACTCTGCCACCTGGGTTCAACCCATTGTCTTGCCTCAGCCTCCCAGGTAGCTGGGATTACAGGCACGCCCGCCGCCACACCTGGCTAATTTTTGTATTTTTAGTAGAGACGGGGTTTCTCCATGCTGGCCATGCTGGTGTCGAACTCCTGACCTCAAGTGATCTGCCCGCCTCGGCCTCCCAAAGTGTTGGGATTACAGGCGTGAGCCACCACGCCTGGCCTAATATTCTATATTTTGTTTAATGTTAATTTTGTTCATTGTCTTCTCCCAGTAGCTTTTGAGCTCCAATGTGGGCAGGGTATATTTTCTCCTGGTTTGGTTGTTGATGTATGTACAAATTGATTAGAGTTTGAGTGAATGAATGAATGAATGAATGAATGAACAGACCAAGACCCTCTGAGATGAGAATTTGTTGAGGGCATGACTAAGGAGAGACCCTCCTGTGAAGGGCGTTATTACAGTGTTATCTGGGCATGCTCAGTATTAGCAGGCTCCATTGGGAATGGCTTTATGGGGGGCATAAGCATGATCTGGCATTTCCCCCTAAGCATTTTCCTAGAAAAAAAAAATCAAGGCTGGAGATTGGCCCGTAATAAGCAGTAGAAGGGGAAACAAGAAAATGTCCAGTGGGCAGGGGAGGCCAAATCGCAGAAAGCCTCGGGTTACGTCCTAGGCAAGGTATATGAGGCAACGAGAAACGTCCATGGGCGGAGCGTCCTCGGCATTATGTGAGCGGGGTCGGGATCAGGACTGAAAAGGTGAGACTTGGGACTGGGACTTTGAAAAGCTGCTTAAGGAACTGGGCACTGCTCTGAGGCCGTGGGAGAATCCAATTAAGACTATCAGGGGCTGGCTGGCGTGGTGGCTCACGCCTGTCATCCCAGCGCTTTGAAAGGAGGCTGAGGAGGGAGTATCTCTTGAGCCCCAGAGATCAAGACCATCCTGGGTAACATAGTGAGACCCCCATGTCTAAAAAAAATTAGCCAGGCGTGGTAGCGCACGCCTGTAGTCCCAGCTACATGGGAGGTATCGCTTGAGCCCAGGAGGTTGAGGCTGCAGTAAGCCACGATTGCAGGACTGCGCTCCAGCCTGGGCGACAGAGTGAGACCCTGTCTCTTAAAGAAATAAAAATAAAAAAGTCAGAAGAATGGACACTGGGAGTGGACGAAAGGTAGGGTCCATTGCTTGGTGTTGGAAGTGTCGGAAGCAAAGCATAAAGAACCTGGGGGCTTGTCTCAGGAGGGCGATGACAGCCAATGAAAAGCAGTCATGGGCGTGGCGCTGTCAAACTTCGAGGGGCGGGACCGAGGACACAGAGCCGGGGCGGAGCCCAAGGTGAAACCAATGAGAAGCCTCCGGGTGGGCGGGGCATCGGCCTAAGGCCAAGGGCGGAGCCAATGAGAAGCAGCGCCGCGTTCCCGCTGCCCCCCGCCCCCGTGGGGCGCGCGCCGGAGCCACGGGCAGCCGTTAGGGGCGGGGTCTGCAGCCGCCCGCGCGCGGCTCGCGCCCTCCCCTTTGTGTCGCCATGGCGGCGGCAGCGGCGACGAGAACGGCGAGCGAGGGGTCGAGCGCGGCCGGGGCCTGAGGAGGCTACGCGACCATGGTGGTAAGGGTCCCACGCGGCCGTCAGCCTGTCCGTCCGGATGTCAGTCTGTCCGTGCGCAGCCCCGCCCCGCGCGCCCCGCCCCCGGCCCCGCCCGATCCCGCGGCCTGTGCTTCAGCCGTGGTCCCTCCCGTCCTGCGGCCCCATCCCGGGTCCCAGCCCGTACCTCGACCCCGCCCCCTAAGCGCGCATCCCCGTCTTCCACGCCCTGGATGGGGTGACAGGGACCTAGGGCCTGGGCTGGGAGGAGGCGGGGCTAGTCCAGGAAGGGACCCGCGCCACCCAAGTGGCCCCTGCAGGGGCCTCCTGAGGCTCCTGGGTCCTTCCCCAGCTCCCATCCCAGCACCTTCCTCGGCATCCTTCTGCCAGCCCTCAGCCCTCCCCGGCGGAGCCCCCTCCTCCTCCCCACAGCCCCTTTCTCATTCCCGAGCCCCACCCCCCACCCGCTCCATCCCCAGCCTGACCCTTTTCTTCTCCTTCTCCCTCATTTTCACCCTATCCCAGTTCCTCTCAATCCCCCCCGCCCCGCATCAGTCTGAGCCTTTGCCTCGTCTCTCCAGCCACTCCTTCCTTACTCCACCCCAACAGGCCAGCACTGTACCTCCCTTGATCCTCGGGTCTGCTCCATCTCCTTGTCCTCATCCCCCTCCCCCACCATTTCCCTCTCCCACCATGCTGCTCCCGCTCATTCATCCATTCATTCCCTCACTTAGCAGACATTCACTGAGACCGCCTCTGTGCAGGCCCCACGCTCCAGGCACAGAGAGAGTCAGCTCCCATCCTGCCTTGGGGAACCTTATGGGCTGGAGGGGGACAGACCCTGAGGGTGAGACCCTGAGGGTGACTGGGGGTTGCAGGGACATGGAGCAGGGAGACGCTACAGCCCAGTGAATCTGTCTGGCAGCTGGTTAATTTATTCATCAGATTTTACCCAGTCCCTGCTGCGCGCGACTGGGCTGGCACTGGGGACCCAGAAAAGAATCAGGAACAATCATGTCTGAACACCAACTCAATGCCCAGCTCTATGCTGGGGAGCTCAGTCTGGGGCCCTCCTTCTGGGAGGCCGGTCATAGTCCAATGAGAGAGATGAACTTGTCACCACCAGTGCCATCTCAGAGTGATCAGAGCTGTGAAGGGAGAAGCTCTGGTCAAGGCATGGAACCTGGGATGGGGGAACCTCAGGGGATGGAGAGAGTCCAGAGGAGATGCCAGGTGCAGCCTGAAGGGTCAGGGAGAACTTCCTGGAGGAGGGCACATGTGAGTTGGGACCTGAGGGGTGGGAGTGAGGATGAATGTACCCAGGGAAAGGTGGGGCGAGTGTTCCAGGCTGAGGGAACAGCCTTTGCAAAGGCCTAGAAGGAAATGAGAAGAGGGTGCTTTTTTTGGACTCTTAGAAGTTCAAGAGCTCTGAGAGTGGGGGCAATGGGAAGAGATGGGACTGGAGAGGTAAACAGAAATCAGCTCAGGGAAGTCTCGATTATCAGACCAGAGAATTCAGACTTCGTCTTGAAGACAACAGGGAGTCATTGAAGGCCCAGGATCTATGGAGAAATAGAGCCAGATTTGTGTTTTCTGAAAACGATCCAGGCTATTGCGGAAAAGCTGGCAGGAGGGGAGAGGCTGGAAGCAGGAAGGCTGATGAGATGGGAGTTGTGATTGTCTAGACAGTGGTAGGAGATCACTGTACTCTGCAGGGGCTACGGAAGGGTTTTCAGCAGGGAGAGATGGGACCAGCATGCTCTCCATCCTGTTGCCCCGCCTCACGTCTGGCCCCTGCTTCTCCAGTCCCCCACCCCAGACCACACACGAAGAAGCAGTCCTGTCCTCAGCCCAGCCCTCACCTCCCCCGACCTGCCATCCTGCTTCATGCTCAGGGCGGTGTGTGGAGCGCCCGGGGCTCTGGACCCGCGCTGCCAGATAACAATGCTCTCGTTGTCTCTTTGCTCCCATCTCTGGGGGCCTCTGATTCTTTCTGCTCTACAGGCACGCAGCACTGACAGCCTGGATGGCCCAGGGGAGGGCTCGGTGCAGCCTCTACCCACTGCTGGGGGGCCCAGTGTGAAGGGGAAGCCTGGGAAGAGGTGAGGGTGAGGGAGGAAAGGGCTCAGCTAGGAGCTGGGGAGACTCAAGGAGCTGCTGGTGACGCATCCCCTGTCTCCCAGGCTCTCAGCTCCTCGAGGCCCCTTCCCGCGGCTGGCTGACTGCGCCCATTTCCACTACGAGAACGTTGACTTTGGCCACATTCAGGTATGGGGGCTTTGCATTTGCACCCAGGAGGGAAGACAATATCCTACCCAACCTTGCAACGATATCAGGTGCTTTGCTTCTGAAACTTATCCCTGTGACTGGCTGCTGCACGCGTCTGAGCAGTCAGTAGCAAAAGTTGCAGGAGCCACAGCAGATGGGGAGAGCTGCTCATTCATTCATCCATTTGTTCTTTTATTCATTCAACAACAACTTTTGTTAGGTATCTGCTCTATGTCAGGGACCAGGACATCACCAGGCCCTGTCCTCGGGGAGGTCCAGAAGGGAGTCACAAACCCGTCCCTAGATAGTGCCATCCCCAGGAGGTCAGGACTGGGACAAAAGTCCACCTGGGCCTTGCTTTCCCTCTGCAGCTCCTGCTGTCTCCAGACCGTGAAGGGCCCAGCCTCTCTGGAGAGAATGAGCTGGTGTTCGGGGTGCAGGTGACCTGTCAGGTGAGGCCATCCCGCCTCTCATCTAGCCTGAGAGAATGGCCACTGTAGTCCTCAGCTCGGTGTCATGGGGCCCCTGCTCCCTTCTGTCCCTCTGCTCCCACAGGGCCGTTCCTGGCCGGTTCTCCGGAGTTACGATGACTTTCGTTCCCTGGATGCCCACCTCCACCGGTGCATATTTGACCGGAGGTTCTCCTGCCTTCCGGAGCTTCCCCCGCCCCCCGAGGGTGCCAGGGCTGCCCAGGTAACCTGCTTGTTGTCTCAGCCCCTGCCTCATGAGTGTGTCCTCATCCACAGTGTGAAATCATCAAGGCAGCGGGATAGAGAAATATTTAAATACTGGTATGGCCCAAGTCCCAACCAATCTGAATGAATGGAGAAGCCTTAGAAACGTAGTAGGCTTCTGCTACATTTAGCTTTGCTAAGTTTTAGGATCATGGGGAGTTCCAGGGGGTCCCATGGGAGGGTCACCATGGTCATGCCAACCAGGGTACTCAAGAGCTTGGCCCAGCCTGCTTATTCATTCATATGCCCATATCTCAGTACCTAACAGCTGAGCAGCACCCATGTGTTCAGGATGAACTTCAGCCCAGAGACGAGCTAGGGCAGTGTGGGAGGGCAGTGGGCTCTCTCACGTCCACTCACAGAGGCCCACTCTGACAACCTGCCCCCAGATGCTGGTGCCACTGCTGCTGCAGTACCTGGAGACACTGTCAGGACTGGTGGACAGTAACCTCAACTGCGGGCCTGTGCTCACCTGGATGGAGGTGGGCCTGGGCAGGGGGCTTGGAGATTCCGAGTGGGTGAGGGGGTGTCTGAGGGGCGAGAAGCAGCCTCGGTGTGTGTGTGGGCATAGAAAAGAAAGGAGCCAGAGTGGAGGAGGCGTTGATATTTTAGTGTCTGTGTGGGCGCATGCCTGTGAGAGAATGTGTGTGAGCATGTGTGTGTGTGCACGTGTGTGTGTTAGCAGGTGTTCGGCTTTAAGGATACAAGGGTTTAAATGTATATCAGTTAGAAATGGGTTGGGCTGTAACTCACAGAACACCTGGCTATGAGTGGCTTAAACCAGAGGGGTTTTTTTTCTTTTCTTGAGATGGAGTTTTACTCTTGTTGCCCAGGCTGGAGTGCAGTGGCATGATCTCGCCCACCACAACCCCTGCCTCCCAGGTTCAAGTGATTCTTTTGCCTCAGCCTCCTGAGTAGCTGGGATTACAGGCATGTGCCACCACGCCCGGCTAATTTTATATTTTCAGTAGAGACTGGGTTTCTCCATGTTGGTCAGACTGGTCTCAAACTCCTGACCTCAGGTGTTCCGCCCACCTCAGCCTCCTAAAGTGTTGGGATTATAGGCATGAGCCACTGTGCCTGGCCTCTGGCTAATTAAAAAAAAATGTTTTGTAGAGACAGAGTTTTGCTATGTTGACCAGGCTGGTCTTGAACTCCTGGGGTCAAGCAATTCTCCAGGCTCACCCTCCCAAAGTGCTGGGATTACAGGCGTGTGCCACCACGCCCAGCACAGAGAGATTTTAGATGGCAACCGTGTGGCATCTGCTGTGGAGGATGAAGGTGCAGAGGTGGATGGGGAAGCCTTCAGGTGGGGAAGCCTTTGGGTGGGAGAGTCCTGGGACATGTGAGGGGAAATAAAGGGGTTTTTCTTAGAGGTTTCCCCACCCGCAGAGGGTGCCAGGGCTGCATCCCTACAAACAGGAATCTAGGTGTTTGACCAATAGCTCTGAGTGACAGGGGCTCTTGACGGGGGCGGGCAGTGGCCTCACCCAGCGCGGAGGAGCTTGGTATGCCTGCACTAACACCGTCTTCTGACCTGTCCTTGCCACATTCCACCTCTATTTCAGCTGGACAATCACGGCCGGCGACTGCTCCTCAGTGAGGAGGCGTCACTCAATATCCCTGCAGTGGCGGCCGCCCATGTGATCAAACGGTATACAGCCCAGGCGCCAGATGAGCTGTCCTTTGAGGTGAGGCTGTGGGGAAGCAGATTCCAGCTGGGCTCCCCACACCCCCTGCTCCTTCTGACCCTTCTCTTCCCACCCGCCCTCTCCCAGGTGGGAGACATTGTCTCGGTGATCGACATGCCACCCACAGAGGATCGGAGCTGGTGGCGGGGCAAGCGAGGCTTCCAGGTGAGTCCAGCTGGGCGCGGACAGGTGGGGCTGGGGTACCTGCCAACTGGGGTGGCCCAGCTACTGACCCTGACCTTCCTCAGGTCGGGTTCTTCCCCAGTGAGTGTGTGGAACTCTTCACAGAGCGGCCAGGTCCGGGCCTGAAGGCGGGTAAGTGCCATGGATGGATGGGAGGTGTGGGGAGGGGTGGGAAGGGGTGGGGCCTCCTGCGTCTTTTGCCTCCCACTCATCCCTTCCACCCCATTTTTCGCCTAGCAGATGCCGATGGCCCCCCATGTGGCATCCCGGCTCCCCAGGGTATCTCGTCTCTGACCTCAGGTAATAGAAATAGGCGGTCAGGTCCCAGCCCCTACCCCACCAGGCCCCTGGCCATGCTGACCCCACAAGACCTGCCTTTGCCCTTTGCCCCTTGCCCCCACAGCTGTGCCACGGCCTCGTGGGAAGCTGGCCGGCCTGCTCCGCACCTTCATGCGCTCCCGCCCTTCTCGGCAGCGGCTGCGGCAGCGGGGAATCCTGCGACAGAGGGTGTTTGGCTGCGATCTTGGCGAGCACCTCAGCAACTCAGGCCAGGATGGTGAGGCCGGGGCCCACCCACCCCACCCGTCACACCAGGGCTGCGGCCCACCCAGCCCTGACCTTGCTTTCTCCCAGTGCCCCAGGTGCTGCGCTGCTGCTCCGAGTTCATTGAGGCCCACGGGGTGGTGGATGGGATCTACCGGCTCTCAGGCGTGTCTTCCAACATCCAGAGGCTTCGGTGAGGGCCCTTAGCCAACCCTGTCCTTCCACAGGCACTCACCCAGCACCTCCACTCCAGCCCCGTGCTGCATGCTGGGGACACAGTTACCAGGAGTCAGGAGTGGCAGGATCAAGGCTGGGGTCAGGGACAGCTCTCTTGAGAGTAGAGTTAGCAGTCTAAGCGAGGACTATCTTCACCGAGCACCTGCCACGTGCCAGGCACTGTTCTAGGCACTGGGGACGCAGCAGTGAGTGAGACAGCCAGAAACCCCTGCCCTCATAGGGCCCATGGGCTAGAGGAAGAGACAAACAGGGGAGGGATAGAGTTCACCAGAAGATGACAGGTACTATGGAGGAAAACAGATTGGGGTAAGGAGGATGGCGACGAAGAGCCAAGAGGGAGGCCTGCAGTTTTGGATGGCAAGGGCAGAGCCACCTCATGCGAGGGTCTGGAGGAGGGGAGGGGCAGGCCATGCAGAGGGAGCAGCAGGGCAAAGGGAACAGCAACAGGAGGCCATGGCCAAGGAGTCCCCGTGCCAGCGCAGGCAAAGCCTTCATGTTAGGGTTTTGGCTTTTACTATAAGTGAAGGGGGAACCGCAGGAGGGCTCTGAGCCGGGGCGGGGTCTAGAGGCGGGGAGGAGCCAGGCGAGATCTCGGCCTGCAGGAGGCTGAGAGGGGAGTGCTTGAAGCCTGCAGGGGGGTGGCCAAGAGGGAGGCAGGAGGTGGCAATGGGTGGGAGATTTTACCACAGGCAGTGGGGCCCCACCAGAGAATTGGGAGTAGCAGGGTGCTGGGATTTTGTCCACATTTTCCAGTGCCCTCTTACAGCCAGGAGAATGGCAGCTGCATGGTAGGAGCTGCTCATGCTCTGGAGTCAGACAGTCTTGGGTAGCTGCAGGCAGAGGCACCTCTGTCTGAGCCTCAGCATCCTCCTCTGTAAATGCGGCACCCTTCTCTTTGCCACACAGGCTTGCTGGGGAGTTCAGTAAGGTTCTGCCTCTGAAGAGCCCAGTGTAGGACCTGGGGAAGAGGGTTCCATCCACCTGCGGGCACTTGGGGGTAGGGGCAAGGGGAGCATGGCCACGTGAGCGAGCCCCTCTGACCTGGATCTTCCTCCTCCTTGACACGGTGGTCTCAGGCACGAGTTTGACAGTGAGAGGATCCCGGAGCTGTCTGGCCCTGCATTCCTGCAGGACATCCACAGCGTGTCCTCCCTCTGCAAGCTCTACTTCCGAGAGCTTCCGAACCCTCTGCTCACCTACCAGCTCTATGGGAAGTTCAGTGTGAGTAAGGGAGCTGGCGGGACGGAGGGGGCCGGGACGCCTCTGGCCCAGACCTCATCACACCTGCCCACCATCTCAGGAGGCCATGTCAGTGCCTGGGGAGGAGGAGCGTCTGGTGCGGGTGCACGATGTCATCCAGCAGCTGCCCCCACCACATTACAGGTAAACCAGGAGGGGCAGGGCGGGACTTGGTGGGATTCCAAGGGGGTTGAGGCTCAGGTGCCCCCTCTGCTCCCACCCCCAGGACCCTGGAGTACCTGCTGAGGCACCTGGCCCGCATGGCGAGACACAGTGCCAACACCAGCATGCATGCCCGCAACCTGGCCATTGTCTGGGCACCCAACCTGCTACGGTGAGCTGCTTGCTCGCCTGCCTGCCCCTCAGGTCTTTCCCCAAAACCACCCCAGGAACCCGCCCAGCTTTTCTTTTGTTTATTCATCGAATACGTGTCTATCAAATACCTCCCATGGACCTGGCCCCGTCCCTAGCACTGGGGACCCAGCACTGAGCATGGCCCTGTCCTCCTGGGACTCATGTTCTCATGGAGGAGATGGACCATGAACATCAACAGGAAAAATACAGAGTAAAGTCTGATGGTGATGAGTGCTGAGGAGGAGAGAGGAGGAGGGAAGGGCAGTGTGCAGGGTCAGGGCAGTGTGAAGTTTTTAGCGAGAGTGGCAAGGGAGGCTTTGGCAGGTCTTCTGTGGCCAGCAGCAGAATAAGCCTGGAGGATTTGATGGTGAACGAGACAGGCATGATCTCTCCCCTGCCGGAGTTCACAGTCTTCTGGGGGCACAGATACATAAACAAGTAAAACAGGTGGTATGTCAGAGGACGGGCGTAAGATGTACGGAGAAAAATAAACGAGAAAGGCCAGGGGTACAGAGAAGGGAGTGTACAGTTTTGAATAAAGTGGGTGAGGAAGACTGCACTAAGAAGGCAATATTTGAGTCAAGACCTGCAGAGGATGAGGGAGGGCCCCAGGTGCGCACGTGGGGAGTGACAGGCTGAGGGAACGGCAGGTGCAGACATCTGGGCCTGGGCCGGTGCCTGGTGTGTTGGAGGAGCTGCAGGGAGGCCGGTGTGGCTGGAGCTGAGTGAGTGAGGGGCTGAGGGAGAGGAGATGATGAGGTCAGAGAGGTGACGGGGACCAGACAGAGGGGTGACTCACAGGTCATGGGTCACAGTGAGGACTTTGCTCTTGCCTGGAGCGAGGTGCAGCCAGGGCAGGGCTCTGAGCCAGGCGGGCCCTGATGGAACTCAGGTGGTCTCAGGCTCCCTCTGGCTGCAGGTGGGAGCATACTTTAGGGTGGGGACCGGAAGGAGGCTCTGGGATGTCCAGGCTGGGGGAGATGGAGGCTGGGCCAGATGGGGGGCAGTGGAGGGGGTGACAGATTGATTGTGGGAGTTAAAGAGGGGGGCTCAGGGCAACCCCAAGGTGTTTGGCCAGAGCCACAGGAAGAACCACACTGAGATGGGGAAGGCAGGAGGGGCGGGTCTGGGGGAAGGTTGAGAGCCCAGCGAGGCGTGATCAGTTTGAGGTCAGAGGTGTTGAATAGACAGTCACTGCCTCCCCTGGCTCCCCTCATTGCCCTGCCAGAACCTGCTGGCTGGGCTCAAGGCACCCAGCCTCCCTCCCGCTCCTCCCACCCAGGTCCATGGAGCTGGAGTCAGTGGGAATGGGTGGCGCGGCGGCGTTCCGGGAAGTTCGGGTGCAGTCGGTGGTGGTGGAGTTTCTGCTCACCCATGTGGACGTCCTGTTCAGCGACACCTTCACCTCCGCCGGCCTCGACCCTGCAGGTATGCCCTCCCACCCCCTGAGGTCCTGGCTACTGCCCACCACGATCAGGGCTGCAGGGGGAGGGCAGGTGGGCTCCCAGTCCCGTCCCCACCCCACTGAAGCTGGGCCTCCCTCCGGCTCCTTGAGGATCCCGCCCCGGCCTCTCCCTCCCCGCGCCCCCCTCCTTCTCATTTCAGCTCCTCCGCTCAGGATTCCCACCTCTTGGCCCGGACGCCGCTCTTCCTTCACCCCTTGTAGCTCCTGGGGGCGCTTGGGGCCATGGGTCCACCTGGGAGGAGGTGGGAGGTCCCCAGACTTGACCCCGCCCCGGCCCCACCCAGACTCCCCGCCCTGCCCCGGACCCCAGCCCAGTCAGGACTCAGCACGTCGGAGGGCCCTCTGGCCCGAGGTAACTGAAGCCAGAGCCGCTGCCCTCGCTGGCTGCCGGGAGCTGCCTCCTCATCAGCTCGTCCCGCCCCGCCCTCCTCCCACCTGCCTGCTGCCCGCCTGCTCCCGCCTGATCCGCCCCGGCCCCCTGCCTTGCCAGCCCGGGTGGGCATGCTGCGGGGCCGGGGCTTGGGCTGTGGCGCTTGGCTTTGCCTGTGGCCTTGGGCGGCCCCAGAGCTGACAGCTGCCCCCTTTCCACACTCCCCAGGCCGCTGCCTGCTCCCCAGGCCCAAGTCCCTTGCGGGCAGCTGCCCCTCCACCCGCCTGCTGACGCTGGAGGAAGCCCAGGCACGCACCCAGGGCCGGCTGGGGACGCCCACGGAGCCCACAACTCCCAAGGCCCCGGCCTCACCTGCGGAAAGGTGAGTGGGATGCTGGGGGTGGCGAGGGGCAGGTGGAGGCCTGGTTCCTCAGACGGCCTCCTGTTTCTCCCCCAAACCGCAGGAGGAAAGGGGAGAGAGGGGAGAAGCAGCGGAAGCCAGGGGGCAGCAGCTGGAAGACGTTCTTTGCACTGGGCCGGGGCCCCAGTGTCCCTCGAAAGAAGCCCCTGCCCTGGCTGGGGGGCACCCGTGCCCCACCGCAGCCTTCAGGTGAGAGGCTGAGCCATGGGCTGGTGGGCAGCGATGGTCGCTGGAGTGCCCTCCTACCTCTCCCTCTCCTGCAGGCAGCAGACCCGACACCGTCACACTGAGATCTGCCAAGAGCGAGGAGTCTCTGTCATCGCAGGCCAGCGGGGCTGGTGAGCAAGGCGGGCAATTGGGGGGCGCTACCTGTGCCCATGTGGAGCCGGGAGGAATTGGGGCCCTGGTTTGGCCTCCAAATTTTATACTTCACATTTGGGGGCCCTGGGGCTTTTGAAAAATTTAACCTGGCCTTTATGTACAATGAGTTGGATACAGTATCACCTTTGGTTCATCACACACTGAACTTAACTTACTCATTGGTCCATGACGGGCCCTTTAAAAGTCTTTATTATTCCTGTTGAACATTTTAAAATAATATCATGGACACCCATGAACCCAGCAGCCAGAACTAGAGCAGCCCCATTCCTTCTCCCCTTCGAGTTCCTCCCCACTGGAGGCATCCTCTCAATTTGCAGACTACCCTGCCCTTGCTTTCCAGGTCTGATCATACACAGGTGTGTGTGTAAGGATCATACTGCTCAGTTCTAGCCATTTTGGAAACTTGATTTAAAGGGCGTTGTAAGAAAGGGATGCCGCACTGTATGGGGAGCTTGGCTTTTTCTCCATCGCTACCTCACAGCCCGCCGCGCTGCTGGGTGCTGCTCTCCGACCTCTGCGGGGGGCTGCTTATCCACCCCACCCAGCCGTGCCTCTGGGGGCTCTTCTGAGCCACCGCGCCATCCTCACACTCCTGGGGTACTGCCCTCCCACATACCCAGGAGCCCAGGTGCTGTCCTGCTGGCTCAGCAGCTGTATGTGAATCTGTTGGTCTCGTGCTCACAGCCTGTGGGGCAGCCACAGGGCCTTCGTGCTTTGGGCCGGAAGTGTCCTCTTCATGGTCTCCACTGTCAATCTGAACAGCTCTTCCTGGCTTCACACTACTGTGGCCCTCTCCAGGAGGCGCCTCTTCATGTCCTTTCCCCAGCTTTCTGTGGGGCTGTGCGCCCTGTTCTCAGGGATGGTCTCACTGACCCCACCCCTCCAGGCCTCCAGAGGCTGCACAGGCTGCGGCGACCCCACTCCAGCAGCGACGCTTTCCCTGTGGGCCCAGCACCTGCTGGCTCCTGCGAGAGCCTGTCCTCGTCCTCCTCCTCCGAGTCCTCCTCCTCTGAGTCCTCCTCTTCCTCCTCTGAGTCCTCAGCAGCTGGGCTGGGGGCACTCTCTGGGTCTCCCTCACACCGTACCTCAGCCTGGCTAGATGATGGTGATGAGCTGGACTTCAGCCCACCCCGCTGCCTGGAGGGACTCCGGGGGCTGGACTTTGATCCCTTAACCTTCCGCTGCAGCAGCCCCACCCCAGGGGATCCCGCACCTCCCGCCAGCCCAGCACCCCCCGCCCCTGCCTCTGCCTTCCCACCCAGGGTGACCCCCCAGGCCATCTCGCCCCGGGGGCCCACCAGCCCCGCCTCGCCTGCTGCCCTAGACATCTCAGAGCCCCTGGCTGTATCAGTGCCACCCGCTGTCCTAGAACTGCTGGGGGCTGGGGGAGCACCTGCCTCAGCCACCCCAACACCAGCTCTCAGCCCCGGCCGGAGCCTGCGCCCCCATCTCATACCCCTGCTGCTGCGAGGAGCCGAGGCCCCGCTGACTGACGCCTGCCAGCAGGAGATGTGCAGCAAGCTCCGGGGAGCCCAGGGCCCACTCGGTGAGTCCTCAGCCTACCCCACCCCTGTCCCCGCCAGCTGTCACTGACTCTGAGGGCCTGGCCCCAGCTGAACCCCTCTCCATTCATTTATATAGGTCCTGATATGGAGTCACCACTGCCACCCCCTCCCCTGTCTCTCCTGCGCCCTGGGGGTGCCCCACCCCCGCCCCCTAAGAACCCAGCACGCCTCATGGCCCTGGCCCTGGCTGAGCGGGCTCAGCAGGTGGCCGAGCAACAGAGCCAGCAGGAGTGTGGGGGCACCCCACCTGCTTCCCAATCCCCCTTCCACCGCTCGCTGTCTCTGGAGGTGGGCGGGGAGCCCCTGGGGACCTCAGGGAGTGGGCCACCTCCCAACTCCCTAGCACACCCGGGTGCCTGGGTCCCGGGACCCCCACCCTACTTACCAAGGCAACAAAGTGATGGGAGCCTGCTGAGGAGCCAGCGGCCCATGGGGACCTCAAGGAGGGGACTCCGAGGCCCTGCCCAGGTCAGTGCCCAGCTCAGGGCAGGTGGCGGGGGCAGGGATGCGCCAGAGGCAGCAGCCCAGTCCCCATGTTCTGTCCCCTCACAGGTTCCTACCCCCGGCTTCTTCTCCCCAGCCCCCAGGGAGTGCCTGCCACCCTTCCTCGGGGTCCCCAAGCCAGGCTTGTACCCCCTGGGCCCCCCATCCTTCCAGCCCAGTTCCCCAGCCCCAGTCTGGAGGAGCTCTCTGGGCCCCCCTGCACCACTCGACAGGGGAGAGAACCTGTACTATGAGATCGGGGCAAGTGAGGGGTCCCCCTATTCTGGCCCCACCCGCTCCTGGAGTCCCTTTCGCTCCATGCCCCCCGACAGGCTCAATGCCTCCTACGGCATGCTTGGCCAATCACCCCCACTCCACAGGTCCCCCGACTTCCTGCTCAGCTACCCGCCAGCCCCCTCCTGCTTTCCCCCTGACCACCTTGGCTACTCAGCCCCCCAGCACCCTGCTCGGCGCCCTACACCGCCTGAGCCCCTCTACGTCAACCTAGCTCTAGGGCCCAGGGGTCCCTCACCTGCCTCTTCCTCCTCCTCTTCCCCTCCTGCCCACCCCCGAAGCCGTTCAGATCCCGGTCCCCCAGTCCCCCGCCTTCCCCAGAAACAACGGGCACCCTGGGGACCCCGTACCCCTCATAGGGTGCCGGGTCCCTGGGGCCCTCCTGAGCCTCTCCTGCTCTACAGGGCAGCCCCGCCAGCCTACGGAAGGGGGGGCGAGCTCCACCGAGGGTCCTTGTACAGAAATGGAGGGCAAAGAGGGGAGGGGGCTGGTCCCCCACCCCCTTACCCCACTCCCAGCTGGTCCCTCCACTCTGAGGGCCAGACCCGAAGCTACTGCTGAGCACCAGCTGGGAGGGGCCGTCCTTCCTTCCCTTCACCCTCACTGGATCTTGGCCCAACCAAATCCCTTGTTTTGTATTTTCTTGAACCCCGACCACTACCCCAGGTTTCTAACTTTGTAACTTGCTTCTGATGTGGGTCCCTAACCTATAATCTCAGCTTCCCTACCCTGGACTGAAGGGTCTGCCCATCCCCCCACCACCCTCCATCCTGGGGGCCCTCGCACAAATCTGGGGTGGGAGGGGCTAGGCTGACCCCATCCTCCTCTCCCTCCAGGAGCCCCCAGCATGTCCTGACCTGTGCACGGGGATGGGGGGACAACTCCTACCCTTCTTTCCCCACATGCCCCACTAAACCATCTGACAACATTAATGAATAAAATGGTGAAAATGTGGCTGCTGAAGTCGTTCTGGGGCCAAACTCAGTGAGTGAAGACAGACAGAGGGGGCACTTTATCATTCTATTTCCTTTTGGGGAGGCACCAAGGCAGGAGTTACTCCTGGGAGCCTCTGAGAGGTGGTATCTGCAGAGAGGGGAACCATGGGCACCCTGGGAGTCTAGGTCAGGAGTGGGGCTCAGGCTGGGCTTTTCTCCAAGCTGACATCCTTTTTGTAGCTCTGCTATGATCTCCTCCAGCAGGTCCATCCTGGGGAGCAGTGAGGCACAGGTAGACCTAGGGTTACCTCAGGGATAAAGACCTAGGGTTACCTGGGGTCCTCCCATCCAAGGCCTCGGGTCTCACTTCTGCAGGCTGGAGAAGAGACCTCCTCTAGTCAGCTCAGTACCGGGTGCCTGCAGGAGAGAAGGCTGGAGCTGCCACCTGGTAGCCATGGTGCTCCAGCGGGCCTGGGAGGGCAGATGGGGCACAGGCTGAGCTCGGGGTCCTCTGCTTAGCCTGCCCTCGTGGCCTTCCCTGCCAGCAGCCTCCCAGTGTGTGGGAAGCCTCCCTGTGGGTCAGCAGGCTGGGGATGGGCTCACAGGGCTGGGGCTCCAGCAGAATAACCCTGTGTGTGCGCCGCAGCAGCCCCTGCAGGGCTGGAATCTTGGCTGAGAGCTTCCTCAAACTGTTCCGCAGAGCTCTGGGTCCCCAGCAGGGAGGCTGAGTCCTAGAGGCTGGAGTTGGAGTGCAGGGAAGGGCCCTGGGGGAAGCAGGGTTGGTTAAGGGTCATAGGTGAGTGAGGGGACAGTTGGGCGACCCTAAAGTTCCCTGGTCAAAGGAGAGGCAGCCAGGGAACTTCGGGTTGGTGACTCCTGGAGGGCGGGCGGAGGGGGTCACAGGTTAGCAGTGGGACAGTTGTGCAGGGCTCTGGGGGTATCTGTACTGTTGAGCTGGGCTCCAGGCAGCAGTGCAGGCTGACCCTGGCTGTGGGGCTGTGGCCAGACCCAGGGCTGGGTCCTGGGCTGGGCCCAGAGCTGCTGCCTAGAGTCAAGCTGCTGCCCAAGTTCCAGGCTGCACCCCTTGGGATCCTGCTGTGGTCTCTGACCTCAGGAGTCTCAGGCCTGCAGAGAAGGATGGCAGAGAGCTGGCATGGGTTGCCCAGGTGTCCCACAGCTCCCTTGGTCCCCCACAGCCCCGTCCTGGCTCCTACCTGGCATGGGATGGGGCCTGGGGACATCACAGGGGCCACAGGCCTGGGTGTGGTCTTGGCTCTGTGAGCCACTTGATGTACAGTTTCTCTGTGGGGACAGACCAGTTGGTCAGCACCTGCCAGCATCCCTTCCTTGCCCTCTAACTTGGTGGGGAACCCTGGGGTGCAGGGGATAGCGTGGTCCACTCCATTGGGGAGCTCACCTCAGGAGCCACGTCCTGTGGACCGGAGGCTGGGTGTGGGGACACAGGCTTGCCTGGGGTCCCATGGCCACCACCCACCCCCTGCTGACCTGCCCTGTACCTGGGCCGGGGCCTCCCGCAGTAGGTATCGGGTACTCTGCAGGCTGCCCCAGCGGTCAGCAGGTGCTAGGCCTAGCCCAGCTCGAATCAGGGCCTGGTAGGGTGCTGGCACCCGGGGCTCCAGGGCCGGACTCTCCCCTGCCTCCAGCTTGGCCTTCACCTCAGGTCCCCCTCTCCCAGCCCAGGGCAGCTCTCCTGCCAGGAAGCACAGTTAGGGACCCAAGCGGGAGGGTGCCTTCATGGGGTGGGGCGCAGCCACTCACTCACCAGTGAAGACCTCCTGGATCAGGATGCAGAAGCTGTAGAGGTCTGAGGTGGTGGTGGGCATGTCACCGCAGATCAGCTGAAGTGGCAGCCATGGGTGTAGTTCAGGGGGCGGGGGAAGCCCTGGGCCTGGGCCTCCCCAGGGGTAGCCCTTCTGCTGCCTGTGGAGCCCAAGGGCCCTGGTGAGCCGACGGCTGCTGGACAGGGACCTGCACCCGCCACCAGACAGGAAAACTGAGACCCCAGGTCACACAGCCCAGCAGTGGTAGGGCCAGCACCTAGCTCCTATGCCACTCACAGTGCCCCTCTCCACCCCCACCTCCTCCCTGGGGTCTACAAGACACCACTGCCCATGGCCACGGAGGCTGGAGAACAGGGAGGAGGGGAGCGTGCAGGCCCGAGTCAAGGGGCAGCAGGCAGGGCAGGCACTCACCTGGGCCGCAGCCAGCGCTGGCGTAGGAGGCGCCTGTGCTCCAGGTGGCCCACTTTAGCCAGGCCTGGCTGCACCAGCTACACGGTGTGAGAGCTGAAGCCACTGTGAGCTCGCCAGTGGGCCTGCAGGAACAGCAGGGCCTTTAGCACCTGCTGCAGCAGGGGGCCGGGGCGGCAGGCCCAGCACAGTCCCAGGTGCCTCCTCACTTGGTCTCGGTGGGTGCAGCACCCCCTGCAGGGAGCCCAGCCACACAGGCTCAAAGAGAAGGCACAGCCCCGACAGATCTGCAGAGGGACTCAGTGCCATCAGCAGCAACAGGCCAGGGTGGTGCAGCTTGCTGGGCAGGAGGACAGCAGGCCACTCACGAGCAGGCCCCAGCCACACAGGGTGGGAGATGCTCCTGGGCCCAGACTGCCCACCACGTGCCAGGGCAGGCAATCTGCACCTGCCATCAGACAGAGGAAAGACTGATCCCAGGTCACGCAGCCCAGCAGTGGGAGGGCCAGCACCCACCGCCTACCTCATCCTGGTGCCTTCCACACCCCCACCTCCTCTCAGGCCTACAGGGCATTGCACACACAACTGGTACCCACCCACTTTCCAGTGGGGGGATCGCCCCAGCAGAAGGGCTCCATGCCGGGTGCTGGCCCAGAAGTGAAGATTCTGGCCATGACTACGGCCACACACCCTTGTCTTCCGTGGGAGGGCCAACAGGAGGCGGGGCTGGGGGCTGGCACAGGTACCTGCAGTGCTGAAGGTCAGCCAGTAGCACATCTGTCTGGGTTCCAGGGGCCTTCGGCTGCTGCACAGTCATTTTGTGACCCATCCACAGGAGGCTGGAGAATAGGGGCGGGGCAGTACAGGCCTGAGACGAGGGGGCTTTCCCTGGGAGGGGAGCAGGAGAGCTGGCAAGGGCACAGCGGGGCTCTCACTTGGCCATGAGGGTGGGGAGCTGCTCTCATAGGTGCAGTCAGGCTCTCCCTGGGCTGCCAGCAGCTCCTTGGGGTCCACAAGGGGGATGCCCGTTACCAGCCCCGGTGGCCACAGGCTACTCAGCTAGGGACAGGCAGGATCATGAGGCACGAAGAAGACAGGGGTGGTTCCCACTCCTACAGCCACTCCTGCTTACCTGACCAAACCCCAAGGCCGGGACTTGGGAGGCTCTCCTGATCTGTGCTAGCCTCAGCATCCTGGGGTGGGGGCAGGCCGAGGGTAAGTCTGGGGTGGCTGGGAATGGTTGGGCGGGTGGGCTTCAGGATGTGGACGGTTACCTGTCTGCCTGCATCAGCCTCAGGGAGGACAGGGAGCCAGGCGGGCTGTTCCCAAATCTGGCCTGCAACTGGTCCAGAGATGCCATGGGTGGCAACTCACCGTCATGCACGAACGCTGATATGTGGGCCCGGCAGAGCTGCAACAACTCCAGCAACTGGAGGAGGGCACGTAGGGTGAGGCCTGATGGGTGCCGGCCCTGATCCCTCACTCCCACCAGGGCCACTGCTCACCTCCCAGTTCTGCTTGGCCCCACCCTGCTCAGCCCAGTCTTGTGGTGTGCGACCCCGCTGGTCATGCAGTTGCAAGTCACCCCCTGCCTGCAGCAGGGGCACCATCACTAAAGAAGGCGCCTGCAGGCACGGGGGTGCTGCCATCCAGGCAGCGGTTAGAGCAGAACAACGCGGTGGGAGTCGATTAGGGAAGGGACTGAACAGGGACAAAAAGGGGCAGGATGGGGGCCCTGGGGGATGGGAGGAGTCACCATGTCATGGGAGGTGAATATGAGGATGGGAGGGGTCACATGAGGGCAGGATGGGGTCTTTAGGGAATGGAGGATCACTACGAGCATGGAGGCACTGGGAGAATGGGAACAGTCACTGGGGAATGAGAAGGGGTTAATTGAGAGAATAAGGAGGGTTACTGGGGGGACAGGAGGGTCACCAGGGAATGGAAGAGGCATCTCGAGGGAGAGATGCCTCAGGGGAAGAGAGCCCTAGCTCTCAGGCTTTCTGGGGCTCAAACTTGGGCCCCTGGGGATGGGGGGCATCACTGGCTGGCCAGCCACTGGTTGGGCTTGGCACCAAAGGCCAGCAGGAGCTGCATGGCAGAGCCGTGGCCCAGCAGCGCCGAGAGGAAGAGCGCTGTCTGCCCCTCAGAGTTCTCCCCGTCCACCTGGACACCTAAGGGGCAGGCAGGCTTAGGACGCCCCAGGCCCATACTCCTGGGTTGGAGGCCTGAGGGCCGCTAGGCAAACACCCTTGCCAATTCCCATCCTCCACAGCCCCTCCATGACTGGATGACTATGGACCCCAGGTTCCATCTCTGTGTCCTGGAACCCCTGCCCTCCAGCTGCTGAGGACCATGCCTCGCAATCCACCTCAACACAGTGCTCCCCAAATCATTAAGTCCACAGAGTTGAAACAAGGGGTGACATCTGCCTGCTGTGCAAACATCTATCCCCCAACCCAGGGGGATCAAAATCACACAAAGGTCCCCATGGGCCAGGAGGAAGTGGATTTCAGGGGACTTTGACTTCCAGGAGCCTTGCGCACTGGCCGGGACAGGCGGACTCCACCCAGCTGTGACTCAGTGTGGTACACACAGGTCCCATGAGGCCAGCACTCAGCAATTCAAGTAAAGCAAACTCTGGATTTTATCAGATCTCTCAAATTTTATTTATTTTAATTTTTAATTTTTTGTAGAGATGGGGTCTCATTATATTGCCCAGGCTGGTCTTGGACTCCTGGGCTCAAGCAGTTCTCCTGCCTTGGTTTCCCAAAGTACTGAGATTACAGGCATGAGCCACCATGCATGGTCTCAATTTTATTTTTGAAGCCTGCATCTAAGGGCTCAATCCAGTTGGCAACCCCCTCCATGTCCTTACCTCCAGGCCTCCGCCAATCCCCTCCCCAACCATCTTCCTGCTCAGCTCCCCCTCCCAACCACTCACTCCTGCCCCAAGCCCTGGGTCTCCAAACCCGTCATTCCCCAGTTCCTCTTCCTCCAGCCCCTACCCCAGGTAGAGCAAATGCATGGTATCCTTGTCCTTGCACTCCTGTGTCCTTGGCAGACACGGCTAATTATTCATGCACTGGGCCCAACCCAGCGTGGTCTCTGCCACAAAACCCCTCCAAATGTGGACCTTCAGGAATCTCTGAATACCAGATTTGCGGCATTGCATTTGACTCATTAGCTCACTATCTTTTACAACAGCATCTTAACTGCCTTTCTGCACTCATCCTGCCCCACAGAGGCCTTTTTTTTTTTTTTTTTGAGACAGAGTCTCAATCTGTTGCCCAGGCTGGAGTGCAATGGCGCAATTTCGGCTCGCTGCAACCTCCGCCTCCCAGGTTCAAGTGATTCTCCTGCCTCAGCCTCCCAAGTAGCTGGGATTACAGGCGTGTGCCACTATGCCAGGCTAATTTTTTTTTATTTTAGTAGATTAGGGGTTTTGCCATGTTGGCCAGGCTGGTCTTGAACTCCTGACCTCAGGTGATCTGCCCACCTCGGCCTCCCAAAGTGTTGGGATTACAGGCATGAGCCACTGTGCCCGGCCTTTTTTTTTTTATTTTAAAGACAGAGTGTTGCCAGGCATGGTGGCTCACGTCTGTAATCCCAGCACTTTGGGAGGCTGAGGTGGGCAGATCACCTGAGGTTGGGAGTTCAAGACCAGCCTGATCAACATGGAGAAACCTTGTCTCTACTAAAACTACAAAAACTAGCCGGGTCTGGTGGCACATGCCTATAATCCCAGCTACTTGGGAGGCTGAAGCAGGAGAATCACTTGAACCCAGGAGGCGGAGGTTGCGGTGAGCAGAGATCATGCCACTGCACTCCAGCGTGGGCAACAAGAGTGAAACTCCGTCTCAAATAAATAAATAAATAAATAAAATAAAATAAAGACGGAGTCTCACTGTGTCACCCAGGCTGGAGTACAGTGGTGCGATCACAGCTCACTGCAGCCTTGACCTCCTGGGCTAAAGTGATCCTCCCACCTCAGCCTCCTGAGCAGCTAGGACTACAGCACACTCCACAGCACCCGGCCCGAGGTCTCTTCTTAAAACACAAATCACTTTTAAGGACTAGATAATCTTATATGAGTTGTTCCAAAGAAAAGAAAAATAGAAAAAGAAGGCAAGGCTCATTTTATGAGGCTAGCAGGACCTTAATTCCAAAACTAGATGAAAGTTTCCAGAAACAGAAAGTAAGATTATATATCAATTGCATATATATGCAAAAACTTTAAATAAAATAGAATAGATTTATCCCCATAAAGCAAGGATGATTCAACATAAGAAAATCTATCAGCTGGGTGTGGTGGCTCATGCCTGTAATCCCAACACTTTGGGAGGCTGAGGCAGGTGGATCACCTGAGGTCAAGAGTTCGAAACCCCTTCTCTACTGAAAATTCAAAAAACTAGCCAGGTGTAGTGGTATGCGCCTGTAATCCCAGCTACTCAGGAGGCTGGGACAGGCGAATCGCTTGAATCTGGGAGGTAGAGGTTGCAGTGAGCAGAGATTGCACCATTGCACTCCAGCCCGGGTAACAAGAGTGAAACTCTGTCTCAAAACAAAAAAACAATTAAAACTAGTAAGCAAGTTCAGAAAGTGGCCTGAAACACAACCAACTTTACAAAAATCAAAACAGAAATTGTACATTGTTAATTTAATGGGTTATTGTTTTGAGACAGGGTCTCACTCTGTTGCCCAGGCTGGAGTGCAGTGGCCTGATCAAGGCTCAGTGCAGCCTTGACCTTTTGGGCTCAAGCAATCCTCCCTGCTCAGCCTCCCAAGTAGCTGGGACTACAGGCATATGATGCCACCACTCCCTGGTAATTTTTTTAAAATAGAGATAGGGTCTTGCTATGTTGCCCAGGCTGGTCTCAAACTCCTGGACTCAAGCAATCCTCCTGTCTCGGCTTCCCAAAGTGCTGGGATTATAGGTGTGAGCCATGTGGAACAGGTTGCCCAGCCTAATTTAATGTTAATTATGTTAATTTCCTGCTTACAATGCCAACAGTTTCCTATCACACACACAAAATCCAACAAAACTCACACTCCTTTAGAGGCCCTTAACTGTGTGGACTTGTGGCCACTTCAGCCTCACGTCTCTCCAAGTCCTGCTGCTACTCATACATGGGCAGTTCATTTTGACTTCAGAGCGTTTGCACAGCCTCTTCCATCACTCCCCACTTCTTTTTTTTTTTCTTTTGAGACGGGGTCTCGCTCTGTTGCCCAGGCTGGAGTGCAATGGCACAATCTCAGCTCACTGCAACCTCTGTCTTCCGGGTTCAAATGATTCTCCTGCCTCAGCCTCCCAAGTAGTTGGGATTACAGGCACATGCCACCATGCCTGGCTGATTTTTGTAGTTTTAGTAGAGACGAGGTTTCACCATGATGGCTAGGCTGGTCTCAAACTCCTGACCTCAAGTGATCCGCCTGCCTCGGCCTCCCAAACTGCTGGGATTACAGGCATGAGCCATTGCACCCCACCATCTCTCCCCACTTCATTTCACCTTTTTTGCGTGGCTGACTCTTATACTGTAAGACTCAAGCATCCTCCACCTGAAAGGCCATACTGTCTAGGGTCTCATCCTCATCCCACTGCATTTCATTCCCAATGGTCCAAGGGTCATGTTCACCCTTAAAGCCCCATCAGGGACCACAGAGCTCGGGACACAGTCGGTGTTCGGTACCACTGCTGACTGGCCAACTGAAGCCACACCCTCCATACAGCTCCTTGATCCTGCCGCCACAGATGTACCTGCAGCCAGGCCCTCACCTCTCCGCAGGAGCCTGGCCGGGCCCCATCCTGGGCCCCCAGCCACAGCCAGGTGGTGCAGACGGCCCACCTGGGTGTCTAGATCCCTCTTGGAGCCCAGCTCCACTGGGAAGCGCGAAAGGGCTGCGAGGGCATCTGTGGGCTGCGGCTCAGTCGGCTCCTGGGCAGGGATCCGCTAGGGGGGTCTCATCAGGGAAGGGGGATGTGAAGGACTGGAACTTTGGGCACAACAAAACAATGAAGACAGAGCTGGCTGGGGGTCCTGGGGGCGCAGTCTAGACGGGAACGGGATTTAGGAGGGGTCTGATGGGAAGGGAGGTGGCTGAATGAGAAAAGGGGGTGGCTCTGGGAGGGCGACACACCAGAAGGTCTGGGGTCGCAGGGAGGCTGAGAGCTGAGGGGGATCTAAGGCAATCGGGAGTCTGGGAGGGGGCTTAGGGCTGGGGTCGGGCGTGCCAGGGTGGCAGAAGGGCTGCGAGGATAGGATCCGAGCTTGGGAAAGGAGTCGGAGGGCTCAGGAGGAGGCTCTGAAGGCTGCGGTGGGAGGATGAGGCGCCTGTGGTTTAGGATCTGAGAGGCGGTGAGAGGGGTCATGGGGAGGCTCTAGGGACAGCGTCTGTGGGGTCCGTGGGGTGGATGGGGTCTGAGGGCAGCGGGCGCGCTCTGAAGGAGGAGAGGGCGCTGATGGCAGGATCTGCCGACTGTGCGGGGGTCCGCGGGTGGGACGCGTGGACTAAGGACTAGGGAAGTGTCTGTGTGTTGGGGGTGGGGGCTACAGGCTGGGGAAGGGGGCTCTGAGGACAGTGTCTGGGGCTGGGGAAGGGGTCAGTGGAATGGGGAAAGGGTTCGCTAAAGGGGCGGGCAGGGGTGTGGTCTGAGGGCCGCGGAAGAGAAGGACAGGGTGGGAGGGGCCTGAGGGCTGGGGGAAGGGTCTGAGGGTGATCTGAGGGCCCAGAAAGCTCTGGGAAAGTTCTGGGCCCACACCCCAGTCCTGGTGGCTTTGCACTCACCGTTGGGCTAGATAGTGGTCGCCACCTGACTGCCACATGATCCGGCCGGCTGTATGAGCGGGAATCCGAGGTGCTTGAGCACCAGTGGCCTCCCGCAGCGCCTGCGCAGTAGCATCCCCTTCCCCAACACAGCCCCAGCCACTCAGCCTGGGCCCCACAGCCCTGACCAGTCGGGGCTGTCACTGTCTGAGGACGGGGCTGTCTACCCACACCGGACTAAGCCCTGTAAGGCAGGGCCTTGGGTCGTTCTTGTCACTGTTGTGTTCACAGCGTTGTTCACCCCAGAACCTAGCTCAAAAGAGGCCTCATTCAGTGCTTTTATTCTCACTCTGTCGCCCAGGCTGGCGTGCAGTGGCGCGATCTCGGCTCACTGCAACCTGCATCTCCCAGGTTCAAGCAATTCTCCTTCTTCAGCCTTCCGAGTAGCTGGGATTACAGGCGCACGCCACCATGCCCGGCTCATTTTTGTATTTTTAGTAGACACGGGGTTTCACCATGTTGGCCAGGCTGGTCTCAATCTCCTGACTTCTGCCCGCCTCGGCCTCCCAAAGTGCTGGGATTACAGGCATGAGCCACTGCACCTGGCGTTTTTCTCAGACAGGATCTCACTCTGTTGCCCGGGCTGGTGTGCAGTGGCAAGATCATAGCTCACTCCAGCCTCCACCTCCAGGGCTCAAGCCAACCTCCTGCCTCAGCCTCCCAAGTAGCTGGGACTACAAGCACAGGCCACCCACCACACCTAGCTAATTTTTTTTTTTTTTTTTAAGATGGAGTCCTGCTCTGTCGCCAGGCTGGAGTGCAGTGGCACGATCTTGGCTCACTGCAACCTCCATCTCCCAGGTTCAAGTGATTCTCCTGCCTCAGCCTCCCAAGTAGCTGGGATTACAGGCGAGTGCCACCACGCCTGGCTAATTTTTGTATTTTTAGTAAAGACAGGGTTTCACCATGTTGGGCAGGATGGTTTCGATCTCTTGACCTCGTGATCCGCCGGCCTCAGCCTCCCAAAGTGCTGGGATTACAGGTGTGAGCCACAGCACCTGGCTAGCTAATTTCTTTCTTTCTTTTTTTTTTTTTTTTTTTTTTGAGAGATAATGGGGTTTCACTATGTTGCCCAGGCTGGTCTCAAACTCCTGACCTCAAGCAATCCACCTGCCTTGGTCTCCCAAAGTGCTGGGATTACAGGCATGAGTCACTGCACCTAGTTTCATTCAATGCTTATTAACTGAGAGAATGGCTTGGCTCTTTCTTCTGTCCCTCCCTCGCCAAGTGGCCTGGGCCGAGCCCCTTGACTTCAGTGCCTTGGTGTCTGCTCCCCATGTGTGCCCTTCCTTTAGGCATCCCCTGGGATGAAGAAAGTTCTGCATCAGTCACTGGCCAGACCCAACCCAGGATGGTCTGCCTCAGAGGTGAGGGAGGCTTCCTTAGTCCTCCGTCAATGCCCTGGCTATGCTCAATGGGTGTCTAACGATCTTTTTTTTTTTTTTCTTTTCTTTTTTTTTTTTTTTGAGACTGAGTCTCACTCTGTTGCCCAGGCTGGAGTGCAGTGGCGTGATCTCAGCTCACTGCAAGCTCTGCCTCCTGGATTCATGCCATTCTCTTGCCTCAGCCTCCCGAGTAGCTGGGACTACAGGCGCCTGCCACCACGCCCGGCTATTTTTTGTATTTTTAGCAGAGACGGGGTTTCACCATGTTAGCTAGGATGGTCTCGATCTCCTGACCTCGTTATCCACACGCCTCGGCCTCCCAAACTGCTGGGATTACAGGCGTGAGCCACCGTGCCCGGCCTCTTTTTCTTTTCTTTTCTTTTTTTTTTTTTAAACACAGTCTCTTGCTGTCACCCAGACTGGAGAGCAGTGGTGCAGTCATAGGTCACTGCAGCCTCAAACCCCTGGGCTCAAGTGATCCTCCTGCCTCAGCCTCCCGAGCTGGGACCACAGGCACGCACCACCATGCCCTACTGATTTAATTTTTTGTAGAGAAAGAATATTGCTATGTTGCCCAGGCTGGTCTTGAACTCCTAGACTGAAGCACGCCTCCCACCTCGGCCTCCCAAAGCGCTGGGAGTATAGGCGAGAGCTACCACTCCCAGCCTAACGATCTCTCTTGAACTGCAAAACCCCTAGCTTGGGCTGGCTGAGGTCAAGATGAGCCCTTCCCCAAGGAGGCGGCGTCAGTGCAGGACAGCAGCTTAGGCAGCACCTAAGGACTTTTATTGACCACATGACCCCCTCAGGGGTGCTAGTGGGGTATCCTTCGGCATCCTGGCAGCAGCCGCCGCCACAGTTCTTGGCTGAGCAGCTCCTGTTCCCTGCGGGCACCCTGAAGCACGCTCCGGTTCTCCTGGGCCCTCCGGATCAGGTAGGGGATTACCTCCTCCAAGGAGCCATAGGGAATGGACTTATACACTACATAGCCGGCCTGCCCTGCAGGGAGAGTGGGTTTTGTTTTTTCGTTTTTGGTGTTTTTCTGAGACAGAGTCTCGCTCTGTTGCCCAGGCTGGAGTGCAGTGGTGCAATCTCAGCTCACTGCAAGCTCTGCCTCCAGGTTCAAGCGATTCTCATGCCTCAGCCTCCAGAATGGCTGGGATTATAGGCGCTTGCCACGACGCCCGGCTCATTTTTGTATTTTTAGTAGAGATGGGGTTTCACCATGTTGGCCAGGCTGGTCTCGAACTCCTGACCTCAAGTTATCCTCCTGCTTTGGCCTCCCAAAGTGCTGGGATTACAGGCGTGAGCCACCATGCCCAGCCTGGAGTGTTGACAGGGTATGGGCTTGGGCTGGGGGGACACTCCCCAGTCCCCACCTGGAACAGAGACTTCTGTTTCTGAGAACATGGCAGATTAAGTGAGTTGGATAAAATTTCTAACTGAAAAAGCTAAAAGTCCTGGAGCAAACTTTTTTTTTTCTCTCTTAGACAGGGTCTAGCCCTGTGGCCCAGGCTGGAGTGCAGTGGTGTGATCACGACTCACTGCTGCTTTGACCTCCCAGGCTCAAACAATCCTCCCACCTCAGCCTCCTGAATAGCTGGGACCACAGGCATGCACCTCCACGCCCAGCTAACTGTTTTTATTTTATCTCAATTGATTAATTAATTAATTAATTAATTTTGAGACAGAGTCTTGGTCTGTCGCCCTGGCTGGAGGGCAGTGGCACAATCTCAGCACACTGACCAACCTGGCCAACATGGTGAAACCCCGTCTCTACTAAAAATACAAAAATTGGCTGGGCATGGTGGTGCGTGCCTATAATCCCGGCTACTGGGGAGGCGGAGGCAGGAGAATCACTTGAACCCAGGAGGCGGAGGTTGAAGTGAGCTGAGATCGTGCCACTGCACTCAAGTCTGGGCGACAGAGCCAGACTCTGTCTCAAAAACAAAATAAATAAGCTGGGCGTGGTGGCTCACGCCTGTAATCCCAGCAACTCTGGGAGGCCAAGGCAGGCAGATCACCTGAGGTCAGGAGTTTGAGACCAGCCTGGCAAACATGGTAAGACCCCATCTCTACTAAAAATACAAAAATTAGCTGGGCGTGGTGGCAGCCGTCTGTAATCCCAGCTACTTGGGAGGCTGAGGCAGGAGAATCGCTTGAACCTGGGAGGCAAAGGTTGCAGTGAGCCAAGATGGCACCACTGGACTCCTGCCTGGGTAACAGAGCAAGACTCTGTCTCAAAATAAATAAATAAATAAAATAAAATAAAAGAGAAAATGAGAACCCAGAGAGAGAAGAGACACACAGCAAGCCACTTCTGCCCCAAAAGCAAAACCGAGGTGCTATCTGATGAATTCACAGAGTTGCGGGGGGACATTGAGTCAGTCTTCAAGCCTGAGGTGAGAGTTATAAGGGAGAACTTCCCCAAGTTAAGCTGGAACCCAAAAATCTACACCCTTAGAGTAAGAGTTAATAAAAAGTCAACCCTGCAACCTTCCCCCAGTCCCAGGAAATGGTCTTGGCCATAAACAGATCAAGGAAGAAAACAGAAAAATCCACCTCTGCGAAGTTGGGGCTATGGGTTAACCCCCTTATGTATTTGCAGCTCAAATTTGTGCCAGTGGGGTGTTTCAAGAAACCTCAAGCTATGAATTTAGGATAAAGTGATTTCGTTCTGCTTAGCACCTGGCAGAAGGAAACATTAATTACCTGGTGTCAGGCCCTGAGGAGCAGCACAGTAAAGATAACAAAACACACAAGAAATAATACACCATGATCAAGAACCAGCAGAAATGACAGACGGCAGACACAGAGACACAGCCTTGGAAGGCCCACAGACACTGGAATGACAGATCTCTCTGGAAGGATCTGGAGGCTGGGCCTTGGTTGGGAATAGGAGAAGGGCTCTGGCTGGGAGGGAGTAAGGCCTGGGGCTTGATGGGGGTGGGGGAGCCATTCACATACCCAGTGCTAGAGAGACGTGGTCACACATGCCCAGAAGTTGTCCGAAACAGACAGTCCCATCCAGAGGAATGCCCAGCTCCCACATGCTACAGAAAAGGCCACATCATCAGTCCAGACTGTGGCTGCATCTACAGCTTAAAGTCAGCCACTATGCACCCATATGGCGGCTCCAGTAATTCAAACATTGAAGTATTTCCAAACTCAATGATACATAATAACCAGTCCTTTGCATTCCTTGAAGGTCCCCCAGTGACTCCCAGCCAGTTCCCTGGAGCCCTCAGACCTCCTCATGCCCCAGCAAATAAGGGGCAACGTCTTGTCCATCTGGGACCTATAAGGACTTACAGGTATAGCAGGGGTTAATGTGTTTGTTTGTTTGTTTGTTTTAAGAGGTAGGGACTTGCTTTGTTACCCAGGCTGGAGTGCAGTGGCTCAAGCACTGCTCACTGCAGTCTCAACCTCTTGGGCTCAAGTGATCCTTCCACCTCCGGAATAGCTGGGACTACAGGTGTGCGCCACCACACCCAGCTGTTTTTTTTTTTTTAATTTGTTGTAGAAATGGGGTCTTGCTGTGTTGCCCAGGCTGGTCTCAAACAATCCTCCACCTTCGCCTCCCAAAGTGTTGGGATTATAGGCATGTGCCAACCATGCCTGGCTATAAATATTTTTAAAATTCTCCCCAGAACACCTCTGTCCATCTCTGGCATTTGAGCAAAGGAGAGGAAGGGAGGGCCCTTTTGTGGGCACCTATTTCCCGCCCATCCCTCCACCTCATACCGCTTGGTTGCCTGGCGAACAGATTCCTCATTGTGGGAAGCCACCATGAGGTGGCACATGGGGCCATGGCGGGCCACGTGCGTCAGCATCAGTTCCAGGCAGCGGCTGTAACTGAAGGGAGATGCTCTGTTCAGCTCACCTGGTGAGCGAGGGTCAGGCCCCAGCGACTGGGGTGGGTGGGGTGCTCCTAAGCAAGGGGTCTCTGGAACCAGTACTCTGTTCCATCTGCACCAGTTGTAAGGGACATCACTTCTCTGAGCCACTTTCATCTTCTGGGGTTTTTTGGGGGTTTTGTTTGTTTGTTTTTGAGATGGAGTCACTCTGTTGCCCAGGCTGGAATGCAGTGGCATGATCTCAGCTCACTGCAACCTCCACCTCCCAGGTTCAAGGGATTCTCCTGCCTCAGCCTCCCGAGCAGCTGGGATTACAGGCGTGCACCATCACACCCGGCTAATTTTTGTATTTTTAGTAGAGACGGAGTTTCGCCATGTTGCCCAGGCTGGACTCGAACTCCTGACCTCAGGTGATCTGCCCGCCTCAGCCTCCCAGAGTGCTGGGATTACAGGCGTGAGCCACCGCACCCGGCCCCATGTTAATCTCTTGTCACTGTGAGTTTCCGAGCAACACTGTTGTGAGGATGGAGTGAGATAAGGGGGATATGAAGTCTTTGGGACAGTGGCGGCGGTCTCACAGGAGAGGGTCGCATCACATGCACAAGATGACATTTCCCCAAGGTTATCACTGCTGCATTGTCAACAGAACATCACTAGCAACAGCCCAAATGTCCATAAATGGGGAACTGGCTAAGGAAATTGTGGTACAGAGAAGATAGTGCTCTATCGCGCAACTGTGAAAAGGAAGGAAGACACTGTCTGGGTACTGATATGGAAGAGGAAATAGATTGGCAAACACCTTGCAAGCATGCTGCAGGCCACGGGCCACGCTATGTATTTCACATCCTCTGTGGGTCTTCCCTATCGCCCCCCAGACCTGTTTTCTACCCTTCTCTGCCCCTCAGGAAGCTGACACTTTTGCCCCACATCCCCCATGGAGTCATGTGCAGGAAGGAGTGTGGGTGTCTCACCTCGGCCCCTCCCTGCTCACCCTGACTGTGTTCTGTGTGTGGCCACAGCTCCCTAAGGTGGCCCCTCTCCTTCAACTACAGCATAGGGGTCAAAATAGCTTCCTAATAGCTTCCCTGACTTTGCCCACACTTCCTTTTCGTTTTGTGTTTTTTAGAGACTGGGTCTCACTCTGTTGCCCAGGTTGGAGTGCAGTGGCGTGATCTCGGCTCACGGAATCCTCCAACTCCTGGGCTCAAGCGATCCTCCCACCTTGGGCTCCCAAAGTGCTGGGATTACAGGTGTGAGGCCCTGCACCTGGCCCCTGACACTTCTATAAACAGCCTCTTCACCACATTTCCTTTAGTTAAAACCCTTTGTGCAGAATTCTGTTTGCTTTGGAGAAAGCTAATCACTCATCTAATTCCCACATCAACTCTGGGAGGCAGATGTTCTTATTCCATTTTAACAGAGTGGGGAGACTGAAGCTGAGAGGGGTTCTATCTCTTGTCCCCAGGTCACACAGCTAGAGGTGGCCAGGCTGGGATTTGAACTCAGGCTGTCTGATGCTCCAGAGCCCAGGCTCCTTATCGGTAGGCTAGTCTGCCTTTAAAATGCACAGTTGTGGCTGGACATGCTGGCTTACGCCTATAATCCCAGCACTTGGGGAGGCCAAGGCAGGAGGGCTGCTTCAGCCTAGGAGTTCAAGACTAGCCTGGGCAACATAGGGAGACCCCGTGTCTACAAAAATAAAAAAATGTGTTGGGTATGGTGGTGTGCGCTGGTGGTCTTAGCTACTGGGGAGACTGAGGTGGGAGGATGGCTTGGGCCTGGGGAGTCAAGGCTGCAGTGAGCCAAGATCGCACCACTGCACTCCAGCCTGGGCGACAGAGTGAGACCCTGTCTCAAAAATAACTTAAAAAACAAATGAAAAAAGCCAAATATACAAGGGCACATATTGTATGATTCCATTTATAAGATTGTCTAGAATAGGCAAATCCACAGAGACAAAAAGTAGGTTAGTGGTTTCCAGGGGCTGAGGGGAGGAGGGAACAGAAGGCAGCTGACTGCTCATTGGTATGAGGTTACTTTTTGGGGTGATGAAAATATTGTGGAATCAAAGAGTGGTGATGGTTGCACAATTTTGGGAATATACTAAACTCCACTGAATTGTACATGTTAAAATTGTGAATTCTATGATACGTGAATTATATTTCAATATTTAAAATAATAGTGCAAATTATTATTATTATTTTGAGATGGAGTCTCACTCTGTCGCCCAGGCTGGAGTGTAGTGGCTCAATCTTGGCTCACTACAACCTTTGCCTCCTGGGTTCAAGTGATTCTCCTTCCTCAGCCTCCCAAGTAGCTGGGATTACCAGTGCAAGCCACCACACCCGGCTAATTTTTGTATTTTTAGTAGAGACAGGGTTTCACCATGTTTGTCAGGCTGGTCTCAAACTCCTGACCTCAGGTGATCTGCCTGCCTCAGCCTCCCAAAGTGCCGGGATTACAAGCGTGAGCCACCATGCCCGGCCATAATTTTTTGTGTTTAATGTTTTTTACAGATGGGGTCTTGCTATGTTGTGCAGATTGGGCTCAAACCCCTGGGCTCAAGCAATCTTCCTGCCTCAGCCTCCCAAGTAGTTGGGATGACAGGTGCACACCACTGTGCCTGGCTTGGTGCCAGTTAAGCTGATGGTACACAAACGTGCCCTGGAGCCCCTGCAGATCTTGGACATGAGCCTGGATTCCAAGCGTGGCTAGGCCACCTGCTCTGTAGCCTGGCTGAGTCCCTGTGGCCCCCAGAGAAGGTACCAAGAAGTAAAGATCTAAGGAGGTGAGGGATGGGGCCATGCCACTGTCTGCAGTGGGAATGTCCCAGGCAGTGGAAACAGGATGTGCCAAGCCCCTGGGTAACATGGAGGAGGCCAGTGTGGCTGTAGTGGAGTGAGGGAGAGGAAGAGAGGGAGGGAAAGTTAGGGAAGTGACAGGGAGCATGTGGGGCTTAGAGGCCACTGTAAGGATTTCTTTTTGTTTTGTTTTGTTTGTTTGTTTGTTTGTTTGTTTGTTTTGAGACAGATTCTCGCTCTGCTGCCCAGGCTGAAGTGCAGTGGTGCAGTCATGGCTCACTGCAGCCTTGAACTCCTGGCCTCAAGTGATCCTCCCACCTCAGCCTCCTAAGTGGCTGGAACCACAGGCATGTGCTACCACACCTGACTATTTTTAAAATTTTTTAGAGATGGGGTCTCCCTGTGTTGCCCAGGCTGGTCTCCAACTCCTGCTCTCAAGTGAATCTCTAGCCTCAGCCTCCCAAAGCACTGGGATTACAGGTATGAGCCACTGCACCCAACCACTAGGTGTTATTATTTCCTGCAGAGGCCAGCTGGCCCGGGCCTACCTCTGACTGGTGGCCTCATAGTCAGGCTGAGTGGGGTCTTCCATCCCATGGAGCTGGGCCACCGCTCTCTCCTTGTCCAGATATGCACCTCGTACCAGCTTCACTCCGAAGGCCAGGCCGGCCCTGTGCGCAGCCTCTGCATCCCTCCCCAGCCGCTCGAATGTGTCCTATAGGGCACGCAGGCAGGTTCTGGTAGGTCAGGGTGTGGGGACCCCAGCCTGTACCTCCTGGAACACACTGCACACCTTTAGACAGGCCTGGTAGGTGTTCCACACCCAGGGCCCGCCTTCACCCGGGCTGTTCCAGCGCACAGCCAGGGCAGCCACCAGCAGCGAGAGCGCAGGGTTCAGTGAGGTGTACTCCGCATCCACCAGGAGCCGCACGTGCTGGGCCCGGGCATACTGATGGCGACAGAGACGACGGTCAGGGCCCCGGGTGTCCAGCAGGGGCAGTGGAGCCAGATCCCAGCAGGAGGGGTTACCTGTGCCACCCGATGCAGGCGGCTGAGGGAGGCCCGGAGGTGCTGGTTCCAGCAGGAGGGGTTACCTGTGCCACCCAATGCAGGCGGCAGAGGGAGGCCCGGAGGTGCTGGTTCCAGCAGGAGGGGTTACCTGTGCCACCCGATGCAGGCGGCTGAGGGAGGCCCGGAGGTGCTGGTTCTGCTCAGCATTGAGGCAGGAGACCTGGAGGTTCTAGGGGGCAGCAGGGGAAGTGGGGAAAAGCTTATAAGTTGCTAGAAATCTAAAAATGAGCAATATCAGTTAGGTACTATTTATTGAGGGGGTTATGAGCCTAGAATCAGGGCTCGAATCCAGGCTTCACCACCTACTGTGTGACCTTGGGCAAGTTATGTAACCTTTCTGGGCCTCAGTTTTTGTTTGTTTGTTTTTTGAAACAGAGTCTTGCTCTGTTGCCCAGGCTGGAGTGCAGTGGCATGATCTCAGCTCACTGCAACCTCTGCCTCCTGGGTTCAAGTGATTCTCCTGCTTCAGCCTCCCGAGTAGCTGGGATTACAGGCGCCCGCCACCATGCCCGGCTAATATTTGTACTTTTAGTAGAGACAGGGTTTAACCATGTTGGCCAGGCTGGTCTCGAACTCCTGACCTCAAGTGATCTGCCCACATCGGCCTCCCAAAGTGCTGGGATTACAGGTGTGAGCCACCGTGCTCAGCCCTCCCTGCTACTCTTTGAACACGAGGGCACCTTCCCACCTCCAGCCCTTTACCTGCTCCCATGTTTCCTTCAAGTATTTGCTCTAATGTCACTTTCTCAACATGGTTTTCCCACCTATACATTGGCAACTTCTTTTCCTCTTCCTCAGCCTTATTTTCCCTTACTTGTTACGTACTGACTTTTGTTTTGCTGAGACGGGGTCTTGCTGTGTTGCCCAGGCTGGAATGCAGTGGCACGATCATGGCTCACTGCAGCCTCCACCTCCCCAGCTCAAGCAATCCTCCTGCTTCAGCCTTCCAAGTACCTAGTACCACAGGCACCCACCACCATGCCGGGCTAATTCTTTACTATTTGTAGAGTCAAGGTCTTCCTATGTTGCCCAGGCTGGTCTCAGTCTCCTGGACTCAAGCGATCCTCCCACCTCAGCCTTCCAAAGTGCTGGGATTCTGACTTTGGTTTTAATTATTGTCTCTTGCCCCTGACTTGCAAGTAAGTGCCTCGAGGTCAGGGATTTTGCCTTCATGCTTCCTCGGCCCCTAGCACCGTGTCTGGAACAAGATAGATGTTCAGCAAACACTTCGGGAGTGGATATGCTTGTAACATGGAAATAAGAACCGTTTCTAACTCACAGTCTTATGCAGATTCATCTGGCTGAATGTGAGCTGCTGGTGACTCCAGGGAGTCTGGCTGGGTTCAAAGAAGTTGGGAAATGGAAGAAAGAGGAACAGGTGGGGCTGAAAGCTTTATTATATCCAACAGGGTCGATACAGATGACATAGGCCTGGGCTTGCTCATGGAATCCCACCTGGAGGCAGGTTGGGCTGGAAGCTGCAACCTTCCGCATGGTGGGGAGAATGCTGCCTCCTGGAGAAGGGAAGACCTGGAGGCAGCAGCCTGGTTTCCTCCTCCCCTGTCAGAGGATTGTCTCCTGCTTGACTTGGGGCGTAGTCTTAGGCCCTCAGGGAGCTATTTCAGACACCCACCAAATATTTAACTCATTTAATATTTACCACTCTCTAATGTACCAACTGTTATTATCCCCCCATTTTCTAGATGGGGAAACTGAGGCACAGAGCAGGGAAGTCACTTGTCAAAAGTCACACAGCTAACTCAGGGCAGACCTGAGGTTTAAACCTCAGCCTTTCCAGAGCCTGGGTCTTTCTCTCTTTTCTCCCTCCCTCCCTCCTTCCCTCCCTTCCTTCCTTCCTTCTTTTTTTTTTTTTTTTGAGATAGATCTCACTCTGTCTCCCAGGCAAGAGTGCAGTGGTGCAAGTTCAAGTGATTCCCCTGCCTCAGCCTCCTGATTAACTGGGGCTACAGGCACGTGCCACCACTTCTGGATAAGTTTTATATTTTTAGTAGAGATGGGGTTTCACCATGTTGCCCAGGCTGGTCTCAAACTCCTGACCTCAAGTGATCCAGCCCCACTTAGCCTCCCAAAGTGCTGGGATTACAGGTGTGAGCTACAGCACCTGGCCCTTTTTTCTTTCTTTCTTTATTTCTTTCTTCCTTCCTTCCTTCCTTCCTTTCCTTCCTTCCTTCCTTCCTCCCTCCCTCTCTTTCTTTCTTCGCTCTCAAACTTGCCAGCTCAAGCAATCCTCCCACCTTAGCCTCCCAAGTAGCCAGGATTACAGGTGCCTGCCACCACACCCAGCTAATTTAAAGGAATTTTTTGTAGAGATGAGGGTTTACTATATTACTCAGGTTGGTATTGACCTCCTGGGCTCAAGCGACCCTCCTGCCTTAGCCTCCACACCAGGTGTGCACCAGCACACAGGCTGATTTTTTAATTTTTTTGTAGAGATGAGATCTCACTATGTTGCCCAGGCAGGTCTCAAACTCCTGGGCTCAAGTGAGCCTCCAATTTCAGCCTCCCAAAATGCAGATTACAGGCATGAGGCACTGCACCCAGCCTGTTTTAATCCTTAAAACCACTGAGAAGTTGCTGTCACTCTCCCTACAGGAATAAACTAAAGCTCATGAAGAGGTGAACTCCTTACTCTCCAAAGCTGATTTTCTGAACCATGAAATCTTGTTTCTATGTGTTCTCTGACACACTTTAAAAATTACAAATAAGGCCAGGTACAGTGGCTCATGCCTGTAATCCCAGCACTTTGGGAGGCCGAGGCACGTGGATCACGAGGTCAGGAGTTAAAGACTAGCCTGGCCAACATAGTGAAACCCCATCTCTACTAAAAATACAAAACTTAGCTGGGTGTGGTGGTGTGCGCCTGTAGCCCCAGCTACTCAGGAGGCTGGGGCAGGAGAATCGTTTGAACCCGGGAGGCGGAGGTTGCAGTGAGCCGAGATCGCACCACTGCACTCCAGCCTGGGCAACAGAGCCAGATGCCGCTTCAAAAAAAAAAAAAAAAAAAAAAAAAAACGCTGGGCGTGGTGGCTCACGCCTGTAATCCCAGCACTTTGGGAGGCTGAGGCGGGCGTTTCACCTGGGGTCAGGAGTTCAAGACCAGCCTGGCCAACATGGTGAAGCCTCATCCCTACTAAAAATACAAAAATTAGCCAGGTGTAATGGCAGGCGCTTGTAATCCCAGCTACTCGGGAGGCTGAAGCAGGAGAACCCGGGAGGCGGAGGTCGCAGTGAGCAGAGATTGCGCCACTGCACTCCAGCCTGGGCAACAGAGCAAGACTCTGTCTTAAAATAATAATAATAATAATAATAATAATAATAAATAAATAGATAAACAAATAAAAATTACAAATAAAAAAAGGTTAGAAAAAGAAACATCAGCATGTCCACTATAGCATTGTTTGGGAGGGTGGAGACACAGAGGCCACCCAGGGGTTCACCCCAGGAGAGGTAAACCATGCAGCAGCTAGAATCAACTATTGGAAACAGTGGGGGCCGGGCATGGTGGCTCAGCCCATAATCCCAACAATTTGGGAGGGTGAGGCAAGAAGAATTTTTTTTTTTTTTTTTGAGACGGAGTCTTACTCTGTCACCAGGCTGGAGTGCAGTGGCACGATCTCGGTTTACTGCAACCTCCGCCTCCCGGTTCAAGCGATTCTCCTGCCTCAGCCTCCCAAGTAACTGGGACTACAGGTGTGTGCCACCACGTCCAGATAATTTTTGTATTTCTAGTAGAGACGGAGTTTTACCATGTTGGCCAGGCTGGTCTTGAACTCCTGACCTCCAGTAATCCATCCGCCTCAGCCTCCCAAAGTGCTGGGATTACAGGCGTGAGCCACTGCCCCCGGCCATGTTCTAAATCTTGATAGGGATTTGGATTGCTCAAGTGTGTGTATTGGTTAAGGTTCATCAAAGGGCACATTTACAATGTGTGTAGTTCATTGTTTTACCTTGAAAGAAAAAAAGTACTGCGAATAATTATTGGGCTCTAATTAATGAGCCCATTATTCATATCCTGAAGCATTTAGGGGGAAAACATGTCTGCAATTTACTTTGAAATGCACCAAAAAATAAGATGGATTGATGGATGGATAGAGGAATAGAGGGATAGATATGATTTAAAGTGAGTATAGTTAAAGGTGGCGGGGGCATGGATGTTCATGTACAATTCTTTTTACTTTTCTGTATATTTGAAAATTTTTATAATAGAATATTGGGGAAAATATGCCCCCCACGAATGGTATACACCTGGCAAAACAAAATCATAGAAACAAAAAGATATGCATTATACAAGACGGCAGGCTGGGTGTGGTGGCTCACACCTATAATCCCAGAACTTTGGGGGGCTGAGGCTGGGGGATTGCTTGAGGCCATGAGTTAGAGACCACCCTGTGCAATACAGTAAGACAAAGAGAAAGAGAGAGAGAGAGAGAGAGGAGGGAGGAGAGAGAAGGAAGGAAGGAAGGAATAAAGGAAGGAAGGAAGGAAGGGAGGGAGGGAGGGAGGGGAGAGAAGGAAAAAGAAAAGAAGGAAGGAAGGAGAGAGAGCAAAAGAGGAAGAGGAAGGAAGGAGAGAGAGAGAAAGAAAGAAAAAAAGATGGAGTAGGGTTGAAAGAGAATGTGGAGATAAAAAGGAATTAATGATTGAATGAACAAACTAAGACCCCATTGGCCTAATCAGAACTTACACCCAGCCAGCTCACACCCATGCAGCTGTGTTGACTGAGAACACACTGATGTACCTCCTTCTAATTGATAAACAGCTTCTATCCCAATCCCTCCTCTGAGAGCCTCCAGCCTCCAGGCTCCTCCCTGAGAACCCAGATGACCCTGATTCCATCCATTTCAACCATGCCTGGGAGCTACAGCTGCACTTCTGCTGGCTGTTCCAAGCCTGGAGGTGGCCGTAGCATTTTGAACATCTGGCGTGCGGTGTGGCCGCATCTAAGTCCAAGGCACTCTGTCCCCGACAGTCCCGCTTGAGATCCTTACCTGCCCAGAGTCCATAGCTTCAGCCAGCCTCTCGGGGCTCAGCTCCAAGGAGGCTCCTGGCCTTCTGACCCACGAGGCTAGCTCCTTCTGAAATGGGGTGGTAGGCGGGGTGGTGAGGGGAGCCCGATGGGCAGCCGCGCCCTCCCCGCACCCCCGTCTTTGCACTCCTTACACAGAGCCGAGTACTGGTCAGCGCCGTCACCTTCAGCTGCATGAGGCTGGCCTCAGCCAGGCTGGGGGGCTCCAGGAGGCCCCGTGACAGGTCCACACACCGCAGCATAGCACCGAGGTTCCCCTCATACCACGCCTCACTGCCCAGCCAGCAGGTGTCAGGGCCCGAACAGCAAAGCCCCTTCCTGCGTCCTCCCAGCCTCCCTGGGCCCTGGCTCCCTACTCACCCACTCTTGGCAGCAGAGTCCGGCTCCTCCTCAGTGGGCACTGCCAGCAGTGGTCGGAGGCTGAGGGTCCGCAGCTGCTGCACGCAGCCCTTCACCTCCTCTGCTGTCTCACCAGCCACAAACTGCCCATAGACGGATGCTCGGAGAAATGCGCCTGAGAGCCGGGAGCCCAGGAGTCGCCGAGACCAGGCCTGGAGCTGGGTGACAGGGAGCGAGGGCTCAGCGCCAGGCTATGAGGAGCCTCCAGGCTGGTCCTCAGGATCACTGCTCACCAACAGCCCGTGAGTGACGAGTGGGGGCCAGGCACACAGCCGGAGAACCAGCAAGGCCCGTGTCAGCTCTCCTGTGCCCTTAAGGTGGAAGGCCCCGCCATCAAAGCTCAGGGACTGCCAGCCCCTGGAGGGGGGACCAGCTTGGGAACAGAGCACGTAACAGGTCCGGAGCATCCTGGGTCCCTGGCTGCCTCCACACCAGGGAAGGTTCTCTGGAGGCAGCAAGTTCACCAACTGCCCCTTGCCCAGACCAGGGGCAGTGACTGATTAACTGGGCAAAGCCTCAGGATCACAGGCTCCTTGGGGGCAATTAATTATTAACAAATGGGGACAGAGTTCAGAGTAACGGAAACGGGAGGTGAACCCCAGTAACAGCCCCCAAGAATGCTCAGCACAACAGCCTGCACTTATTAGGTAACCACCATGTGCTGGGGAAAGCAGGGGCTCCGGAGCAAGGATCCCTGGGCTCAGGACACCGGGCTTTGTGATCCAGGACAGGCTACTTAATCACTTTTGTGGCAATTGCTTCCTCTTAAAATTGGAAACGCTGTAGTGTTATTGAATACATTTGAAAATACGGTTCTCACGTTTGTAATCCCAACACTTTGGGAGGCCAAGACCGAGGAGTTTGAGACTACCCTGGGCGACATAGTGAGACCCCATCTCTACAAAAAATACAAAAATTAACTGTGTGTGGTGGCACACACCTGTGGTCCTAGCTACTCAGGAGGCCGAGGAAGGTGGATCTCTTGAGCCTGGGAGGTCAAGGGTGCAGTGAGCTGTGATTGTGCCACTGCACTCCACCCTGGGTGACAAAGTGAGACTCTGTCGCCAAAAAAAGAAAAAAGAAAAGACAAATAACCTATATAACCCAGCTGTTCCATGCTAAGTACATATCCTAGAGACCTTAAACATGGACAGCAGGAAACATGTACAGGAAAGAATGTTCAGAGGAGCAGTGTCTGAACTACCCAAATGTCCATCAAAAGGAGAATGGATACATATATGGTGGTGTAGTTATGCAATGGAATACTATACAGTAATGAAAAAGAATGGATACTGATACACACAACTGTGTGGCTGAATCTCACAATGTCAAGTGAAAGAAGCCAGACACCAAACAGGGCAAGCTGTATTATTCTTTTTTTTTTTTTTTTTTTTTTTTTTTTGAGACACAGTTTCACTCTTGTTGCCCAGGCTAGAGTGCAATGGCACAATCTCAGCTCACTGCAACCTTCACCCCCCGGGTTCAAGCGATTCTCTTGCCTCAGCTTCCAGAGTAGCTGGGATTACAGGCATGTGCCACCACGCCCCACTAATTTTGTATTTTTAGTAGAGACAGGGTTTCTCCATGTTGGTCAGACTGGTCTTGAACTCCCGACCTCAGGTGATCTGCCCGCCTCAGCCTTCCAAAGTGCTGGGATTACAGGCATGAGCCACTGTGGCTGGTCTATACTTTTCAATAAATATAAAAGCAAGGAAAGTGAAACTGCAGTAAAATGTTGGGAATACATGCGTGGGTGGTCAAACTATGAGGACAAGAAAAGTAAGGACATGATTATCACAGAAGTCAGAGAGGTGGTTGATTGTGGGGGATGGGAGGAATTGTAATGGGGTAGAGGGATATGGGGACTTCTATATCCTATTTTCTTTTTTTAAAATGGAAACCATATGTCTTAATTTTTTTGTTTTGTTTTGTTAGACGTATCCTTGCTCTGTCACCCAGGCTGGAGTGCAGTGGTGCGATCTCGGCTCACTGCAACCCCCATCTCCCGGGTTCAAGTGATTCTTCTGCTTTAGCCCCCTGAGTAGCTGGGACTACAGGCACCCACCACCACACCTGGCTAATTTTTGTATTTTTGTAGATATGGGGTTTCACCATGTTGGCCAGGCTGGTCTTGAGCTCCTGACCTCAAGTGATCCACCCTACTTGTCCTCCCAACATGCTGGGATTACAGGCGTGAAGTCCTAGGTCTTTTTTTTTTTTTTTTTTTTTTTTTGAGACAGAGTCTTACTCTGTTGCCCAGGCTGGAGTGCAGTGGCACGATCTCGGCTCACTACAGCCTCTGCCCCCGGGTTCAAGCAATTATCCTGCCTCAGCCTCCCGAGTAGCTAGGATTACAGGCGTCTGCCACCGCGCCTGGCTAACTTTTGTGTTTTTAGTAGAGTCACGGTTTCACCATCTTGGCCAGGCTGGTCTTGAACTCCTGACCTCATGATCCACCTGCCTTGGCCTCCCAAAGTGCTGGGATTACAGGTGTGAGCCACTGTGCCTGGCAGTGGCTTCTAGGTCCTAGGAGTCCTAGGTCTTAACATGGATGATGATTCATAGTTGTTCACATTGTAAGGTTTTTTTTGTTTTGTTTTTGAGACAGAGTCTTGCTCTGTCTTCCAGGCTGGAGTGCAGTGGGGTGATCACTGCTCACTGCAGCCTCAAACTTCTGGGCTCAAGCAATCCCCCCACCCACCACCTCCACCTCCCAAGTAGCTGGGATTACAGGTGCATGTGATCACACCGAGGGTAATTTTTAATTGTTTTTTTGGTAGAGACAGAGTCTTACTATGCTGCCTAGGCTGGTCTTGAACCCCTGGACTCAAGCAGTCCTCTCACCTTGGGCCTCCCAAAGTGTTGGGATTTCAGGCATGAGCCACGGCACCTGGCCCTCACATTGTAAGTTTTTTTTTTTTGAGACGGAGTCTTGCTCTGTCCCCCAGGCTGGAGTGCAGTGGCGCAATCTTGGCTCACTGCAAGCTCCGCCTCCTGAGTTCATGCCATTCTCCTGCCTCAGCCTCCCGAGTAGCTGGGACTACAGGCACCCACCACCACGCCCGGCTAATTTTTTGTATTTTTAGTAGAGACGGGGTTTTACCATGTTAGCCAGGATGGTCTCAATCTCCTGACCTCGTGATCCACCCGCCTCGGCTTCCCAAACTGCTGGGATTACAGGCGTGAGCCACACTGCGCCCGGCCTTGAAATTTTTATTTATTTTCTTATTTATGTATGTATGTATGTATGTATGTGTGTATTTATTTATTTATTCATTTTTGAGACAGGGTCTCACTCTGTTGCCCAGGCTGGAGTGCAGTGGCACAATTTCGGCTCACTGCAGCCTCAACCTCCCAGGCTCAGGTGATCCTCCCACCTCTGCCTCCCAAGTAGCTGGGACTATAGGCACATGCCACTATGCCCAGCTAAATTTAAAAAAATTTTTTTTTCCTTTCTTTTTTGTGATGGGGGATCTCACTCTGTCACCCAGGCTGGAATGCTCCAGCATGATCATGGCTCACTACAGCCTCAAACTCCTAGGCTCAAACAATCCTCCTACCTTGGCCTCCCAAACGCTAAGCTTATAGGCATGAGCCTCTGTACTTGGCCTGCCTTTTTTTTCTTTTCTTTTTTTTTTTGGCTCCATCTTGCTCTGTTGCCTAGGCTGCAGATGTCTGCTCACTGCAACCTCCGCCTCCCAGGTTCAAGTGATTCTCCTGCCTCAGCCTCCCAAGTAGCTGGGATTACAGGTGTCTGCTACCATGCCCGGCTAATTTTTGTACTTTTAGGAGAGGCGGGGTTTCACCATATTAACCAGGCTGGTCTTGAACTCCTGGCCTCAGATGATCCGCCTACCTTGGCCTCCCAACGTGCTGGGATTACAGACGTGAGCCACCACGCCCAGCCTAGGGCCTCATCCCCAGAAATGTGATTACTGGGTAGGCATTGGGGTGTTGAAAGCTCCCCTGGTGGTTCAAATGTTCACCCAGGTGAAGAGGCACGGCCCCTACAATCGGACACCTTAGCCTCTCTAAATGGGGTCCTCCCTCCCTCTTTGTCTTTTCACTGTCCCTGGAACACACCCAGCTTCCTGCTGTTGCATTTCCGCTGTTCCTTTTCCCTGAAAACTCCACCCTTCCTTCTTTCCCTAATTAACTCCCACCTGCCCTCAGGTGTCAGGGTTTAAGACACCCCCTCAAGGAGGTCTGCCTTGAGCAGCCCCTCCCAGATGAGGGGGAGTTTTACCCTTTCACATTTTAACACCAGCCTTGTAGCTCTTGTCATGTTTATTCGTCTGTGAGTGAAGACTCAGTTTCTCTCCCCACGCCCCTGCTAGACTGTGAACACCATGAGGTCGGGGGGTCACATTTGGTTTTGTCATTAATTTATCCCTACTGCTTAACACAGGACTTATTTTTGTTGAATGGACTTATTTTTGTTGAATGGGTAACTAATTTAATAGATTTCTTTGGTATTTGCTGGACAAGGGACTTATAGATTGCATCACATCAATTCAAGCAGATTCTGGATAAGACCCACCTTTTTTTTTTTTTTTTTTTTTGAGACAGGGTCTCACTCTGTCGCCCAGGCTGGAGTGCACAATGTCGGCTCACTGAAACCTCCACCTCCCGCATTCAAGCATGCTCCTGCCTCAGGCTCCCGAGTAGCTGTGATTACAGTTGCAGGCCATGAGGCACACGCCACCATGCCCGGCTAATTTGTGTGTGTGTGTGTGTTTTTTTTTTTTTTAAGTAGAGACAGGTATTTCACATTGTTGGCCAGGTTGGTCTCAAACTCCTGACCTTGTGATCCGCCCGCCTCGGCCTCCCAAAGTTCTGGGATTACAGGTGTGAGCCACCGCGCCCGGCCTCGAAGTTTTTTTGTTTTTTTTTTTTTAATGAGACATAGTCTTGCTCTGTCACCAGCTGGAATGCACGGCGCGATCTCGGCTCACTGCAACCTCTGCCTCCTGGGTTCAAGCGATTCTCCACCTCTGCCTCCCAAGTAGCTGGGACTACAGGCGCACACCGCCACGCCCAGCTAATTTTTTGTATTCTTTTAGTAGAGATGGGGTTTCACCATGTTGGCCAGGCTGGTCTCGAACTCCTGAGCTCAGGCAATCCGCCTGCCTCGACCTCCCAAACATGGCCTTGGGAATCGCCATGTTTGGGTGGACCCAGTTGGGTGGCCTGCATTTGCATATTAAAGGTTGCCGGCCTGGTTCTAAGAGCTGCTTTAAAAACAAAAACCTCCAGGCCACGCCTGTAATCCCAGCACTTTGGGAGGCTGAGGCGGGCGGATCACCTGAGGTCAGCAGTTTGAGACCAGCCTGGCCAACATGGTGAAACTCCGCCTCTACTAAAAATACAAAAATTAGCCGGGCGTGATGGCGCGTGCCTGTAATCCCAACTACTCAGGAGGCTGAGGCAGGATAATCGCTTGAACCGGGGAGGTGGAAGTTACAGTGAGCCGAGATGGCGCTATTGCACTCCAGCCTGGGCAACAGAGTGAGACTCCGTCTCAAGAAAAAAAAAAAAAAAAAAAGGTAGAAATTAGAGAGTATAGAAGAGAGGCAATCTTGGAAGAAATAATGGCTGAGAATTTTCCAGAACTGATGAAAAATACATATTCACAAAGAAGCAAAGATATCTTAAGCTAGATAAAACAAAAGAGGCCGGGTGTGGTGGCTCGTACCTGTAATCCCAACACTTTGGGAGGCTGAGGCGGGCAGATCACGAGGTCAGGAGTTCGAGACCAGCCCGGCCAAATGGTGAAAACCTGCCTCTACTAAAAATACAAAAATTAGTTGGGCGTGGTGGCACGTGCTGGTAATCCCAGCTACTCGGGAGGCTGAGGCAGAAGAATCCCTCGAACCTGGGAGGCAGAGGTTGCAGTGAGCTGAGATCGCCCATTGCACTCCAGCCTTGGTGACAGAGTGAGACTCCATCTCAAAACAAACAAACAAGCAAACAAACAAACAAACACTAAAGAAATCCATGCCTAAACACATCATACTGAAATGGCAGAGCATTGAAGCTACCGAGGTCTATTATTTATCTTTGCATCCTCCAGAGTGTAGCCTGGACTAGATGCTCCACCAATTCAATTACATCAAGAGGGTGGGTATCCCAGGTTGAGACCACAGACAAATTAAAGGCAAGGAGGTAGAAACAAATATGGCTATAAGAAGGAAAAGCATTTTTCTCACCTATCTGAGGCACACAACCTGGATTGGGGGAAAGTGAAGTTGAAAATGAGAGTGTGGGAGAGGGAGAGACTAGGTGGAGAGAATTTTTGTTTCGTTTTGTTTTAGAGACAGGGTCCTGTTCTGTCACCCAGGCTGTAGTACAGTGGTGTGATCGATCATAGCTCTCATAGCTCACTGCAGCTTTGAACTACTGGGCTCAAGGGATCCTCCTGCCTCAGTCTCCCGAGTTGCTGGGACTACAGGAGTGTGGCACCACAGCTGGGTAATTTTTGTGTTTTTTGTAGAGATGGGGTCTCTCTGTGCTGCCTGGGCTGGTCTGGAACTCCTGGTCTCAGGTGGTCCTCCTGTCTCAGCCTCCCAAAGTGCTTGGATTACAGACATGAGCCACCCACACCTGGTCACTGGGGAATCCTGAGTGCCCTGCAAAACAGAACACAATGGGCTGCTCAACAGTAGCCATGGAAGGTTCTGGAATAAAGTTCCCAGCCGGTCCTTCTGTGGGTGATTGTCCATTTTGTGGTAAGAGGCAAAGGGGCTCTAACACCAGCAGAGAGGCAGAGCCATAGGTGGGAGAGTCCCTCTTATTCTCTCTGGTTGGGTCACCAGGTGACCCCATACCAATCACTGGGATTGAAGAATAAGGTATTCCAGCCAGCTCCAGTGCTGTGCCTGTTTCTGGAGCTTCAAGAGTGCTCAACCAATGCACAAAACCTACCTGGGGCGTGGTGGCTCATGCCTGCAGTACCAGCACTTTGGGAGGCCGTGGCGGGTGGATCACCTGAGGTCAGGAGTTTGAGACCAGCCTGGCCAACATGGCGAAACCTCTTCTCTACTAAAAATACAAAAACTAGCTGGGGGTGGTGGCAGGCGCCTGTAATCCCAGCTACCGGGAGGCTGAGGCATAAGAATCGCTTGAACCCGGGAGGTGGAGGTTGCAGTGAGCCAAGATCGCATAACTGCACTCCAGCAGCAACACAGGTGCACTCTCTCTCTAAATAAACAAATAATTAAAAACAAAATGAAACAAAAAACTGGACTCATGCGTGACTCTGATGGTTCCAGGAGGTGATACATATACAGAACATAGAATGTGAGCTGGCATGTGTTAGGAGCTCATAAATGCTGTCTGTCACTGCTGCTGCAGCGACTCATTGGCTTCCTGTCACCCACAGGATAAAGCACAAACCCATAAGATGAGCTTTGTGGTTTATCTTTGGCCATCTCACTAGCCTTAATTCCTACCACTCCCTGACTTGGGGGTTATTCTCCAGCAACAATTTTAGGGAAATCCCTTCCCACACTGTGCTCCTGGAGTCTTCTTTGTCTCCAGCCCCTGCACAGCTACTTATCCCTTAATACTGGAGTTTGGTGACAGCTTAGGAGCAGAGGACAGTCCAGCCAGTTTTAATCTCCAGCACAGACCTCTCTCCTGAGCTCTGGAACCCAATGTACACACACACACACACACACACACACACACACACACACACACACACACACACATGCTCATTCAGAATCCCCTCATGGATTGGTTCTTCTCAAACGGGACACGACCGCACCCTGGTGGGAGCTTGGGAAATTTGCATAATTGTTTTTGGCTGCAGCATTGATTGGAGGGCATTACAGGCATCTAGAGGCAGGACCAGGAATGCTGGACGCTGAAATCTGCATCCAGAACAGTTTGTAAATGTCTTTGCAGGCGCTTCTGTGCGTAAAATAAGTTTACAGTTATCTGAAATTATTAATATAACACATATACCATACACACAAAATTTTGGTATGGTTTAAAATATATTGACATTTTCTGAAATGAAACTATGATGTAAATTTATTTTTATTTATCTATTTTTTTTGGAGACAGAATCTCGCTCTGTTGCTCAGGCTGGAGTGCAGTGGTGCCATCTCAACTCACTAGAACCTCTGCCTCCCGGGTTCCAGTGATTCTTCTGCCTCAGCCTCCCAAGTAGCTGGGTTTACAGGCCTGTGCCACCACGCCCAGCTAATTTTTTGTATTTTTAATAGAGAGGGAGTTTCACCATGTTGGCCAGGCTGGTCTCAAATTCCTGACCTCAAGTGATCCTCCTGCCTTGGCCTCCCAAAGTACTGGGATTACAGGCGTGAGCCACTGTGCCCGGCTTCTGATGTAAAGAAAGTGAAAATTGTGTACTTTTTTGTTCAGAATGGCACCAATGGTTATACATCATATCAGAAGAATCACAATTCCAACAATGCCACCTATGAGATGTAATGTAAAATTCTGAATGAAGTATAGCACACATAAAGAAATGTGCCCATATCATGTGTTCAGTATGAATTTTCAGGAAGTGACCAGAAAGTAAATTTGACGCAAGTGACACTTGAATAACTAACACCCAAGTCAAGAAAACAACTTCGTAATCCCAGCACTTCGGGAGGCCAAGGCAGGAGGATCGCTTGGGCCCAACCTGGACAACATAGTGAAACTCTGTCTCTACAAAGATAAAAAATTAGCCATGTGTGGTGGTGCACACTTGTAGTCCCAGCTACACAGGAGGCTGAGGTGGGAGGATCGCTTGAGCCCAAGAGTTGGAGGCTGCAGTGAGCCATCATCACACCACTGCACTCCAGCCTGGGAGACAGAGCAAGACACCATATCAAAAAAAAAAAAAAAAAAAAAAAGAAAGAAAGAAAAGAAAACAACATTATGAGGATTCTCACCCCAAGCCTTCCTGGTGCCAGTTTCAATCACCATCCCCCTCTCTCCCAAAGGTAACCAGACTCTTTGTTTGTTTGTTGAGACAGGGTCTGGCTCTGTTGCCCAAGCTGGAGTGCAGTGGTGTGATGATGGCTCACTGCAGCCTTGAATTCCTGGGCTCAAGCAATCCTCCCACCTCAGCCTCCTGAGTACTTGAGGCTACCGTTGCACACCACCATGTCCAGCTAATTTTTGTATTATTTTGTAGAAACAGGGTTTCACCATTTTACCCAGGCTGGTCTCAAACTCCTGGTCTCAAGCAATCTACACATCTTGGCCTCCCAAAGTGCTGGGATTACAGGCATGAGCCCCGGCTCAGGTTATGCACTTTTATAGTCAGTAGTATTAGTAACATGTGGTTGTATCCTTCTCAGTAATTTTTTTTTTTTTTTGAGACAGAGTCTCGCTCCGTCGCCCAGGCTGGAGTGCAGTGGCACGGTGTCGGCTCACTGCAGCCTCCGCCTCCTGGGTTCAAGCCTCCTGAGTAGCTGGGATTACAGGCACGTGCCACCACTCTCAGCTAATTTTTATATTTTTAGTAGACACAGGGTTTCACATGTTGGTCAGGCTGGTCTTGAACTCCTGACCTGAGGTGATCTGCTCACCTCTGCCTCCCAAGGTGCTGGGATTACAGGTATGAGCCACCACGCCTGGCCCCTTCTCAGTATTTTATATCAGGGGGCTCCTTGTGTCAGTTTGTCCCATGACTGGTAGCATCAACTTTGATCATCTGGTGAAGGTGACATCTGTCAGGTTTATCCACTGTGAAATTACTATTTTTCCCCAAGTAACTAATGCAATACATGCTTTTTAGGCTCTACTAATTTGAGTTTCCACCCCTTGCAAATTATTTATTTCCTCCTCAGTTAACTAAAGACCTCATTCAAACTGGTTTAAGAGTGAAGGACATTTAGGCCGGGCGCGGTGGCTCACGCCTGGTAATCCCAGCACTTTGGGAGGCCAAGGAGGGCGGATCACAAGGTCAGGAGATCGAGACCATCCTGGCCAACACGGTGAAACCCCGTCTCTACTAAAAATACAAAAAATTAGCCGGGCGAGGTGACAGGTGCCTGTAGTCCCAGCTACGTGGGAGGCTGAGGCAGGAGAATGGCATGAACCCTGGGGCGCGGAGCCTGCAGTGAGCCGAGATCGCGCCACTGCACTCCAGCCTGAGTGACAGCGAGACTCCGTCTCAAAAAAAAAAAAAAAAAAAAAAGAGTGAAGGACATTTATGGTTGCAACTAACTGAAAATGACATTCAGACTGACCTAAGTGGGGAGGGAAACTGGTAGTCTAGAAGTAGCCCTGACTTCAGGTGTGGCTGGATCCAGTGGCTTGGTACAACTAGGCATTTGTCTTGTTCATCAATATCTGTATAGATTAAGGGGGACTAGATCCGGGGAAGGCAGAAGCAATAGATGTCCGCTACACTGAATCAGAAAAAGGAGAGGAGGAAGTAGGAACTGCATGAAGAGACCCAGCCACAGCCTGCGGTTACTTTGGAGAGCTTCTTCCAAGTGGTTCATGGTGCTGAGCAACCCAGGACCTGGCTTAGCAGCATATTCCTTGGCCACAGTGGTTGGTTCCAGGACAGGCATAAGACCCAGCCTGGGCTGATGAAAGACAGCCCCAGAGCTTTCCAGAACTATTGGCATAAAGAGGCACTCTGGCTGCTGAGCTCATGGGATACCAGCCTAGAACTACAAGTGGTCTTCTCTGTTTCCCAAATAAAGGGTCTACCCGAGAATGAAGCTAGACCTTGCATGGCTATGTTTCAATACTAGGTCTGGCAGTGTCTGAAGCCAACGCTACCCCCTGCAATTGTCAGCTGCAAGAGCCAACAAATTTCCTTTCCTGCTTAAGCCAATGTAGAATAGAATGTTCTAGGTTTTGCAGGGAATGGTGGCTCACGCCTGTAATCCCAGCACTTTGTGAGACTGAGGCGGGCAGATCACTTGAGGTCAGGGGTTCAAGACCAGCCTGGCCAACATGGCAAAACCCCATCTCTACTAAAAATACAAAAATTAATTGGGCGTGGTGGCGCACACCTGTAATCCCAGCTATGCGGGAGGCTGAGGCAAGAGAATCTCTTGAACCAGGAGGCAGAGGATGCAGTGAGCCGAAATAACGCCACTGCACTCCAACCTGGACTACAGAGTGAGACTCTGTCTCAAAAAAATAAAATAAAAAAGAATAAAAATACAAAAATTATCTGGGTGTGGTGGCATACACCTGTAGTCCCATCTACTTGGGAGGCTGAGGTTCAAAAATTGCTTGAACCCAGGAGGCAGGGGTTGCAGTGAGCCAAGATCGTGCCACTGAACTCCAGCCTAGGTGACAGAGATAAACTGTGTCTCAAAAAAAAAAAAAAAAAAAAAAAGGCTGGGCACAGTGGCTCACACCTGTAATCCCAGCACTTTGGGAGGCCGAGGCGGGCGGATCACAAGGTCAGGAGTTCGAGACCAGCCTGACCAACATGGTGAAACCCCGTCTCTACTAAAAATACAAAAAGTTAGCTAGGCGTGGTGGTGGGCGCCTGTAGTCCCAGCTACTCGGGAGGCTGGGGCAGGAGAATCACTTGAAACAAGGAGGCAGAGGATGCAATAAGCCGAGATCGTGCCACTGTATTCGCAGCCTGGGTGACAAAGTGAGACTCTGTCTCAAAAAAATAAAAATAGGCCAGGCGCAGTGGCTCATGCCTGTAATCCCAGCACTTTGGGAGGCCGAGGCGGGCGGACCACTTGAGGTCAGGAGTTCGAAACCAGCCTGGCCAACATGGTGAAACCCCGTCTCTACTAAAATATACAAAAATTAGCCAGGCGTGATGGCAGGCGACTTAATCCCAGCTACTTGGGAGGCAGAGGCAAGAGAACCGTTTCAACCTGGGAGGCAGACGTTGCAGTGAGCAGAGTTCGAGCCATTGCACTCAAACCTGGGGGATAAGAGCAAGACTTCTCTCAAAATAATAATAATAATAATAATAATAATAATAATAATAAAAAATAAAAACAAAAATAAAAAATAAAAATTAAAAAAGAATGTTGTAGGTTTTTTCTTTGAAAAGGAAAAATATACAATTACATGTTGTTGGCTGTGGATTTATTTGAAACAAAAAGAAAAAATATACAATTAGAAAAATTCTACTGTTAGAAATGAAGTCACCTTTTAATTACAGGGAAATCATTTAGATCTTAATGTGTTTATGTATTCCAGTGCTGTGGTGTAAAAACTTATTTTAGTCTGTGCTGATAAAAAATAACATTGTCATACAACAATTGGGGTGTATTTGTAAAAAAGAAAACAAAAGAAAAATAAATATATTGACAAACACGTGAACTAGAAAGTTTTGATAATATGGTTAATCAAGTAGAAGTGTGGTCTGAAGAAAGTCTGTTCTTCATGGAAACAGGTGGGCTTCTCAGCTATCCTGCTATTCAATAGAAAGATGGAGCCAGGCGTGGTGGCTCACGCACACCTGTAATCTCAGCACTTTGGGAGGCTGAGGCGGGTGGATCACTTGAGGCCAGGAGTTTGAGACCAGCCTGGCTAACATGGTTGAAACCCCATCTCTACTAAAAATACAAAAAATTAGCCGAGCCTGGTGGCGGCCGCCTGCAATCCCAGCTACTAGGGAGGCTGAGGCAAGAGAATTACTTGAACCTGGGAGGTGGAGGTTGCAGTGAGCTGAGATCGTGCCATTGCACTCCTGGGTGACAAAGCGAGACAAGAAAGGAAGGGAAGAGAAGGGAACGGGAGGGGAGGGGAGGGGAGGTAAGGGGAGGGGAGGGAAGGGGAGGGGAGGGGAGGGAAGGGGAGGGGAGGGGAGAGGAGGGAAGGGGAGGGGAGGGGAGAGAAGGGAAGGGCAGCGGAGGGGAGAGAAGGGAAGGGAAGGGCAGGGGAGGGGAGGGGAGGGAAGGGGAAAGAGAGAGAGAGAGACAGAGACAGAGAGAGAGAGAAAGACAGGAAAGAAAAGAAGGAAGGAAGGGAGGGAGGGAGGGAGGGATCCTCTTACTGGGCTGTTATTATGAAGCCTGTTTTTAAAATCACTTTTATTGAGATATCATTTATGTACAATAAAAATGCACCCATCTTAAGTGTAAAGTTCAATGAGTTTTGACAAATCTGTGCACCCGTGCAACCACCACCACAATCGTTATATAGAATATTTCCAACACCTCAGAAAGTTCTCCCATGCCTTTTTGCAGTCAACCCTCCTCTCATGGCCCCAGGAAACCTCTGCTGTGCTCTCTGCCACCGTAGATTAGTTTTGCCTATTTTAGAATTTCTATAAACGAAAGCACACACACAGTACATATTCTTTTCCTCTAGCTTCTTTTGATTGTCTGTTTATTTTAATGCTTATGGAGCATACTTATGTTTACATGTGTCATAGTTTATGCCTCCTGTGTTAGATAACTGTCGGAAATAATAAAATAATAGGTAGGATGCAACATGGATTCATAAATTCCACTTATTATTAGCTATTTCAGACGTCATGGAATGCAAAATGAACAGAGTTTTTCATATGTCTTTCCCCACTTCTGAAAACTTTACTTCATGAAGCACTTAGGGACCCTCAGAATAGCATTTTATTTTTTATTTTTATTTTATTTTTATTTTTTGAGACAGAATCTCGCTCTGTCGCCCAGGCTGGAGTGCAGTGGCGTGATCTCAGCTCACTGCAACCTCCGCCTCCTGGGTTCAAGCAATTCTCATGCATCAGCCTCCCAAGTAGCTGGGACTACAGGCATGCGCCACTACTCCTGGCTAATTTTTTATATTTTTAGTAGAAATGGAGTTTTACCATGTTGGCCAGGCTGGTCTCGAACTCCTGACCTCAGGTGATCCACCCGCCTCAGCCTCCCAAAGTGCTGGGATTATAGGCGTGAGTCACCGCACCCGGCAGCATTTCATTTTTGAGACGACGTTTACAATCTGCCCTGTCCTTTTGGAGAAGTTTAGTTTCTAAAGCCAACCCCAGGATGCACCTTGTTTCTACTCTGGTACCAGCTGAACCATCTCTGTCACTCAGCCCCCTCCATGTCCTCTCCTGACACCAAGTCCCTTTGGGTTTTATGGAGCTCACCTAACCAGCTCGGCCCAGGCTGTAATGAGAGAGACCAGTGGAGTGTAAATTCCTGCAGGTGCAGGACAATGGGGTTGAGAGGGCTCTTACACCAGATGTCCCCTCAGCTCGAAGGGCAGAGAATCGGGTTCCAGAGTGTCCAAGTCTCCGGCCACCTGGTCATAGATTCCTCTTGGATCCTGATATGTGTCTTCAGGCCAGTGGAGGTCCCAGGGTCCCTGACAGGCAAAAAGTGGAGTTAGAACCATGGAGAGATGCCCTGTAGGTCTTCATTGAAGATCTGGGGGATACATGCCCCTGCTTAACTTCCCAGAAAAAAGTGTTTTAGCTTTTACTAAAATCCCAACATATACAAAAAAGGAGTGTGATTATAATGAATGCTTATGATGAACCCCATGTGCTTATCACCTAACTTCAACAATATCAGGCTGGGCACGGTAGCTCATGCCTATAATTCCAGCACTTTGGGATGCCAAAGCAGGAGGATTGCTTGAGACCAGGAGTTCGAGACCAGCCTGGGCAACATAGTGAGATCCTGTATCTACAAAAAATAATTTTATTTTTCTTAGACAGGGTCTGGCTCTGTCACCCAGGCTGGAGTGCAATGGCACGATCTTAGCTCCCTGCAACCTCCACCTTCTGGGCTCAATCCATCCTCCCACTTCAGCCTCCCAAGTAGCTGGGACTACAGGCATGCATCACCACACCCAGCTAACTTTTGAATTTTTTTTTTTTTTAAAGACGAGGTTTCCATTGTGGCCCAGGCTGGTCTTGAACTCCTGAGTTCAATCGATCCACCCGTCTCAGCCTCCCAAAGTGCTGGGATTATAAGTCACTGGGATTATGAGCCACTGCACCGAGCCTATAAAAAATATTTTTAAAGAAATTAGCTAGGTGTGGTGGTGAGCGCCTATAGTCCTAGATACTCAGGAGGCTGAGGTAAGAGGATCGCTTGAGCCCCGGAGGTCAAGGCTGCAGTAAGCCATGATCATGCCACTGCACTCCCGCCTGGGTGACAGACTGAGACTATCTCAAAAAAAGAAAAAAAGAAAAAAGAAAAAACCAGTAGCAACCCTTGGTCAATTGATTTCTCTGTATTTCTATCTTGTTCCCCTCCCCGACTAACTGGATTATTTTGAAGCAAGCCCAAGATACCCAATGATTTCATGTTAGAAAAATAATGTAAATGTCAGAAATATAAAACCTTTAGGCCAAGCATGGTGACTCATGCCTGTAATCCTAGCATTTTGGGAGGCCAAGGCAGGTGGATCACTTGAGATCAGGATTCGAGACCAGCCTGGGCAATGGGCAAAACCCTGTCTCTACTAAAAATACAAAAATTAGCCGGGCATGATGGTGCATGCCTGTAATCCCAGCTACTTGGGAGGCTGAGGCAGGAGAATCGCTTGAACCTGGGAGGTGGAGGTTGCAGTGAGCTGAGATTGTGCTACTGCACTCCAGCCTGGGTTACAGAGCAAGCCTCCATCTCAAAAATAAATAAATAAATAAAATTTTTAAAAATGAAAACTTTAAAAGTCCATGTTATCAGGTATGGCAACTGTGGAATGTAAGTTATGATTATATTGTCCTATGAATTTCCAAAACAGTTCCCTAATCATAATAGAAAAACAAAACAAAGCAAAACCAAACAAACAACAACAACAAAAAGAACATGAATGGTAGCCCTAACTGGGGATGTATTTTGTTCTAGGGCTGGGAGAAAATGATTATTTTAGTTCAGCAAACTTTAGAGCAGATTGGCCCATGCTCCAAATATGGCCTGCCACCTGCTTTTTTATACTGCCCAAGAGCTAAGAATGGTTTTTATTTTTTTCTTTTTCTTTTTCTTTTTTTTTGAGACGGAGTCTTGGTTTGTTGCCCAGGCTGGAGTGCAGTGGCGCAATCTTGGCTCACTGCAACCTCCGCCTCCCGGGTTTAAGCGATTCTCCTGCCTAGCCTCCCGAGTAGGTGGGACTACAGGCGCCAGCCACCACACCCGGCTAACTTTTTGTATTTTTAGTAGAGACGGGGTTTCACCATGTTGGTCAGGCTGGTCTCAAACTTCTGACCTTGTGATCCGCCCGCCTTGGCCTCCCAAAATGCTGGGATTATAGGCATGAGCCACCGTGCCCGGCCTGGTTTTTCATTTTTTAATTGTTGGGAAAAAATGAAAAAAGATAACATTTGTGACATAGAAAAATTACATGAAGTTCAAATTACAGTGTCCAAAAATTAAGTTTTGTAGGAACATAGCCACACTCATTCATTTATGCATCGTCTATGGCTGCTTTTACTTTACGGTGGCAGAGTTTGTGTAGAGTTTGAGGAAGACCGTATGTCCCACACAGCCCAAAGCATTTACTACTATCCGGCCCTGTTCGGAAAAAGCGTGCAGCCTCCATCTACGCTTTAGAGAGTGCATATGGTCCAGCACCATGGACAGCGCTTTGCGCCATGCTGGTGAGGAGCTAGGATCTGACAACAGTCCCGGTATCGGAGGTCGTTCACAGAGACAGAAGGAAATCCTTGGCCCAGGAGGTGCCAGAGCATCAGCCAAGGCCACACAGGAAATCAGGGGTTCTGTCCCATCTCCCTAACTGTGCAGCAATGGGTGGGGATTGGCTGGTGGTCAAAGTGCCTGTCTGTTGTTTTTGCCTGTACAGCCACCATCCTCATTTCCCTGTGAGCTCTCTGTCCCTCTCCTACTCTCAGCCCAGTGACCTGAGTGGGGCTGGCCCCTACTCCCTGATCCCATGGTGAACTGGCCCAGGCCTCTCCTGTTAGCATATTCCATCCCCTGACTCAGGGATGTGTTCAGTGATGAGGATGTGACCCAAGCTAGACCAATTAAGTGTCAGCATTGGGCATTTGGGGCCACTGGAAAACAGGTATACTCTTTCTTTGAAGATTTCTAATCTCGTAGGATACAAATCTAGATTTTCTGGGAATATTTTTTCCCTTTCTTTTTTGAAACAGTCTCTCAGGCTGGAATGCAGTGGCACAATCAGGGCTCATGGCAGCCTCAACTTCCCTGGCTCAGGCATTCCTCCTACCTCAGCCTCCTGAGTAGCTGAGACCACAGGCATGCACCACCATGCCCAGTTAATTTTTTAAACTTTTTTTTTTTTTGAGACAGAGTCTTGCTCTGTTGCCCAGGCTGGAGTGCAGTGGCATGATCTCGGCTCACTGCAACCTCTGCCTCCTGGGTTCAAGCGATTCTCCTGCATCAGCCTCCCAAGTAGCCGGGATTACAAGTGTGTGCCACCACATCCAGATAATTTTTGCATTTTTTGTAGAAATGGGGTTTCACCATGTTGGCCAGGCTGGTCTCGAACTCTTGACCTCAGGTAATCCACCCACCTCAGCCTCTCAGAGTGCTGGGATTACTGGTGTGAGCCACCATGCTCGGCTTAACTTTTTTTTTTTTAAAGATGGGGTATTATTGTGTTGCCCAGGCTGGTCTCCAATACCTGGGCTCAAGCAATCCACCTACCTCAGCCTGCTGAGATTAGAGATATGAGCCGTGACCATGCCTAGCCATAAAAACATTTTTAGGGAAGAAATTCTGGGCCCAGCTGGGCCTGATGACAATTGTATGCCTTGATTTTTCAGTTGAATGGGCCCCCAAATTCTCTCTTTCTCTCTCTTTAACCAGTGGAGTAGATATGGCTAATTATCTTTAAAAATTCATGTCTACTTCCTTCCACAGTAGCAGAATTGCAGCAAGGCACATCACTGCTAAGCTAGACCACATTTCACAGCCTCCTTTGCCGTCAGATGTGACCATGTGACTCTCTTCCCACCAGGGGAGTGAGAGCAGAGTGGTGTGCACCATTTCTGGGCCTGGGCCACAAGGCAGGGTTGTGCCTCCTCCACATTCTTTCACCTTTTCCCATGGGTTGAACCCCCAGTGAACTGGCTCATTCATGTAGACTCGGTTGACTTGAGCAGGGCCACTCACGTCTGACTGAAAAAGAAATAGACTGCCTTCTTTTTTTCAGAGACAGGGTCTTGCTCTGTTGCCCAAGCTGGAGTGCAGTGGCACCATCATGGCTCACCGCAGCCTCCAACTCCTGAGCTCAAGGGATCCTCCTGGCTCAGCCTCCTGAGTAGCTGAGACTACAGGTGCACACCTCCATGCCTGGCTCATTTTAAAAAATGTTTTGTAGAGACAAGTCACTATATTGCCCAGGCTCGTCTCAAACTTATGGGCTCAAGCGATCCTCCTGCCTTGGCCTCCCAAAGTGTTGGGATTACAGGCATGGACCATCATGCCCAGCCGACTGTCTTTAAGCCACTGGATCATGGTCAGGCCTCTTTGTTACAGCAGCTAGCTGGCCCTAACTAATACAAGCAATAGGAGGTAGGCTCCCAGCACTAGCCAGGAAGGATGGTTGCTGATGCAAAGCTTCTCACCATCTGCACTTCATCGTAGAGGGGTCCCCAGGCTCCAGACGGGGGGTACGTTCTTTCTACCTCATCATACAAGTGCCCAGGGAAGGCCATATCCTCATCTTCACCTGTGAAACCTGGAGTTGGAGTGGAAGGGAGACACGATCAAGGCACCCAGTCCAGGCGTCGGGGGTACCTCTGAGTGAGGGAATCCTGACATGGTCCTAACTCACCTCGGGAATAAGACACCTCCTCCTGCGTCGGGGGCAGCTGGGGGCTGAAGTCCCTCAGGGAGCGGTAATACGGCTCTGCCTCTGTTGTGCTGACCTGTTCCCCACACGCAAAACAAACAAAGCCCTTTCCATCCTCTGACCCCACTGTGCCCGGAAGGGCAATGATCAACCTGATGCTAACGGCAGGGCTTCAGTCGCCGTCGGTGCCCTGATTGTGGGGTCACCAGGGCCACCCCCACTTACCGTGGAGCTCTGAGTGTCCCGCTCTCCTGTCCACTGGCTCTCCTCATATTCGTTCCTGACTCGGTCCTCTTCCGACCTTCCAGGATGAAGGTGTGGGGGGAAGTTGAGTGCTGCCCCCCGCCACCAGTCTCCCCCAAACCTCCCTCAGAGCCTTCTTTACAGAAAAATATCCCCACTTACCCTGCCTCTGTCTTCTCTGAGATGCCTGAAGGAAACAGGAATAAAGGGCTCAGTGACCCTATGCAAGCCCCCCACCCCGGCCCCAGGAAGACCTTCAGTATGCAGCAACCACAGGGTTCCCTATCACCCTCGGGTCTCCACCCTGGCAGGGAAGGGTCTCTCCTCACCCTCAGCAAGACGCCTGAGTCTCCGCTGCCAGAGGACCCCCCCGACACAGGAGGCATTGGAGAGGAGCAGAAGCCCCCCAAGAGCGAACAGCACAGGCAGCAGGGGCAGCCCCGAGGGTCCTAGGGGTGGAAGATACCCCTCAGTGAATCCCAGACAACAGGCTGTAGGCCAGGGGTGGGTCTCCCCGAGAAAGTGTAGCCCTGACCAAGTCCCTCCCCCAGGGTCAGAGAAACAGATGGGCAGAGGTCTCTGTGCCCACCCTTTCTGCCCACCCAAGGGCAGGTGGCTTCTTTCTTAAGTCAAGCCATTAGCAAAACTTCCTCCGTTTGCTTGAACTCTGCAAACTCAGAACGGAACTCTGGACTCAGGAGGGAGCTTCAGCTCGTTAGCTGGGCACTGAAGACTTTCTGTGGTCCAGCCTCTTCCCACGCCTCCAGCCATGCCCACCAAACTTAGACCCTGGTACTGGACTGTCCAGCCACACAAATCAACCACCAGCTGTTTCCAGAATCACTGAAGCAAATTCACACCTCAGAGCTTTGGAATAGTTAAGTGTCTGTCCTCAAATGTCCTTTCTTCTCAAGCAAACTTCTGTTTGCCTTTCAAATTCTATCTCAAGGTCAGGCGCTGCAGCACATGCCTGTAATCCCAGCATGTTGGGAGGTCAAGGTGGGAGAATCGCTTGAGCCTAGGAGCTCAAGACCAGCCTAGGCAACATAGTGAGGCTGATTCTTTACAAAAAAAATTAAAAATTTAGCAGCATGGTGGTGCATGTCTATAGTCCCAGCTACTCGGGACACTGAAGCAAGAGGATTGCTTGAACCTGGTAAGTCAAGGCTCCAGTGAGCTATGATAGCACCACTGCACTCCAGCCTGGGCAGCAGAGCAAGACCCTGCCTCTGAAAAAAAAATCCCATCTCAAGGACTTCTTTATTTTATTTTGTTTTTTAATTAAGACGGAGTTGGCTGGGCACGGTGGCTCACGCCTATAATCCCAGCACTCTGGGAGGCTGAGGGGTTGGATCACAAGGTCAGGAGTTCAAAACCAGCCTGGCCGATATGGTAAAACCCTGTCTCTACTAAAATACAAAAAATTAGCTGGGTGTGGTGGCAGGCACCTGTAGTCCCAGTTACTTGGGAGGCTGAGGCAGGGGAATCACTTGAACTGGGGAGGCAGAGGTTGCAGTGAGCCGAGATCACGCTACTGCACTCCAGCCTGGGTGACAGAATGAGACCCTGTCTCAAAAAAAAAAAAAAAAAAAAAAGAGTCTCACTCTTTCACCCAGGCTGGAGTGCAGTGGCATGATCTTGGCTCACTGCAACCTCCACCTGCAGGGTTCAAGCGATTCTTCTCCCTCAGCCTCCCAAGTAGCTGGGATTACAGGCGCATGCCACCACACCCGGCTAATTTTTTTTTTTTTTGTATTTTTAATAGAGACGGAGTTTCGCCATGTTGGACAGGCTGTTCTTGAACTCCTGGCTTCAAGTGGTCTGCCCACCTTGGCGTCCCAAAGTGCTGGCATTATAGGCGCGAGCCACCGTGCCCAGCCTCAAATGACTTCTTTCCACCAACTTCCATCCCAGCCAATATCAGGCTGACTTGGCTGCTATATCCCTGAGGACAAGGCTGAACCCCTCTAAGTAGGCATCTGTTGGGCGGGCAATCTCCCCTGTCTTCTACTAATAGCACTTTTTTCCCCTGGGGAGAACAGCCACTCCCCAATCTCAGTCTTGGGTTCAGGCAGGACTCCACAGTGGGCACATGGCCCGGCCTGGAAAATAAGAGTCTCCATTCCTCTCTCCACAGTGATTGTTTAGACACAGGCATTTGACCCAACGTGTGTTTTTAACAAAACATTTAGGACAATTCTACTAGCTGTCAAGAAGATGGAGGTGGAGGAGGGCTTCTCTGCCCCTCTGATTGAAGAAACTCAGAAAGAAGCCACCACAGATGAAGGCAAAGTTGAGAGAGGGTGAGAAACAGATCGCTGGTGAGATTTTTGAGCACCTGAAAGTGGCCACACTTGGAATTTTTTATTTCATATACCAAGACTTTTTCTTTTTTTTCTTGAGACAGGGTCTCAACTCTGTTGCCCAGGCTGCAGTGCAGTGGCGTGAGCTCGGCTCATTGAAGGCTCAACCTCCTGGGCTCAATCAATCCTCCCGCATCAGCCTCCTGAGTAGCTGGGACTGCAGGCATGCACTGCCATGCCTGGCTAATTTTTTTTGTTTTTGTTTTATAGAGATGGGGTTTCACCATGTTGCCCAGGTTTGTCTCCAACGTCTGGGCTCAAGTGATCTACCTGCCTCAGCCTCCCAAAGTTCCGGGATTATAGGCATGAGCCACTGTGCCCAGCCAAGCCATTCTTTTTCGTGTTGACAAAACAGCTGCATTTCTGTCACTTGCAACCTTTTTCTCGGGCTCTGAAGGGGATTTTTTTGCCAAATGGTTGCAATCATCTCCCAGTAGTCACATCCTTGAGTGCGGGGCCTTTCCACACTGACTCTGTGTTGAGCCATGTGACTTGCTTTGGCCAATGAGACACAACTATGACGGAATCAGCTAGTAAATTGCTGCTTTTGACCCCCGTGACCACCTCCATGTGAAAAAGTCAAGAAGAGACACGCGCCCAGTTATCTCCATTGTTCCAACCAAGAGCCAGATGACTATCAGAAGTGTGGGAAGGGGGCAACCCTAGACCACCCAGTCCAGTGGAGCTGCCAGCTGACTGCAGAGATGATTTAAGCCAGCCCAGACCAGCACTGTTCCGCCAGACTCAGAATCATGAGGAAGAATGTTGCTATAAGCACCCATGTTTGGGGTGGTTCATTATACAGCAAAAGCTAACTGATGCAGGCTTCTTACAGGACATGGAGTGAGCTAATTCTTACGGAATTAAACTAAATTTGGAAGAGAAGAAAATTTATCACTCCAGGCAAGAGGAAGATCTAAGAAAAAAAAAATTGGCCAGATGCAGTGGCTCACGCCTGTAATCCCAGCACTTTGGGAGGCTGAGGTGGGTGAATCATGAGGTCAGGAGTTAAAGACCATCCTGGCTAACGCGGTGAAACCTCATCTCTACTAAAAATACAAAAAATTAGCTGGGCGTGTTGGCACGTGCCTGTAGTCCCAGCTACTCGGGAGGCTGAGGCAGGAGAGGAAGCCGGGAGGTGGAGATAGCAGTCAGCCGAGATCGCACCACTGCACTCCAGCCTGGGCAACAAACAGAGCAAGAATCCATCTCAAAAAATAAAAAAATAAAAAAAAAAAATGCCGAGTGCCGTAGCTCATGCCTGTTATCCCAGCACTTTGGGAAGCTGAGGCAGGCAGATCACTTGAGGTCGGGAGTTCGAGACCAGCCTGGCCAACATGGTGAAACCCCGTCCCTACTAAAAAAGTACAACAATTAGCCAGGTGTGGTGGCAGGTGCCTGTAATCCCAGCAACTCGGGAGGCTAAGGCAAAAGAATCGCTTGAACCTGGGAGGTGGAGGTTGCAGTGAGCCAAGATTTTGCCACTTCACTCCAGCCTGGGCAACAGAATGAGACTCTGTCTCAAAAAAAAAAAAAAAAAAAAGAAAGAAAGAAAGAAAAAAGAGGAAGCTCTAAGGAGTCTGCAAGTCTGCAATTCTGCAGGGACAGAACTAAGTCTTTTTTTTTTTTTTTTTTTTTTTTGAGATAGGGTCTCCCTCTGTTGCCAAGGCTGGAGTGCAGTGGCTCAGTCATAGCTCACTGCATCCTCCAACTCCTGGGCTTATGCAATCCTCCCACCTCAGCCTTCTGAGTAGTTGGGACTACAGGCACATGCCACTACACCCAGCTATTTTTTATTTTTGCAAAGATGGAGTCTTGCTATGTTGCCCAAGCTGGTCTCAAACTCCTGGGCTCAAGTGATCACATGCCTTGGCCTCCCAAAGTGTTGGGATTACAGGCGTGAGCGACTGAGCTTGGCCAGAACTAAGTCGTTAAGCAGCTGTGACTACAAGCAGAGGAGGTAGGGTCAGAGACCAGGAGGTTCCATTCTCAGGGGAGCCGGGAGGGATCAGGGGACTGAGGACTTGCCTGAAGGTGGCTCTGTGGGCAGCTGGTCTTCAGGTTCTCCAGAAGGCTGGTGGAGACCTGGGGGGTGGATATACAGATTGTGACTTAACACTAAGAATCTGAGATAAGCTTTAAATATTTCTCAGCCTCTTCTTAAGCCTATTAGATTCATGGGAACTGGTATATGACTGCTTAAGAATATTTCAAAGAGAGCTAGAAATTGCTGATAATAATGACAATACTATTAATAGCAATTCTAATGGTAACGCTAATGCTAAGAATAATTTGTTTTTTGAGACTGAACCTCTCTCTATTGCCCAGGCTGGAGTGCAGTGGCGCAATCTCAGCTCACTGAAACCTCTGCCTCCCGGGTTCAAGCAATTCTCCTGCCTCAGCCTCCCAAGTAGCTGGGACTACAGGCACCTGCCACTATGCCTGGCTAATTTTTTGTATTTTTAGTAGAGATGGGGTTTCACCATGTTGGCCAGGCTAGTCTCGAACTCCTGACCTCGTGATTCGCCCACCTCGGCCTTCCAGAGTGCTGGGATTACAGGCGTGAGCCACTGCGCCTGGCCATTTTTTTTTTTTTAAAGAGACAGGGTCTCACTCTGTCGCTCAGGCTGGAGTGCAGTGGTATGATCATAGCTCACTGCAGCCTCGACCTCCTGGGTTCAAGCTATCCTCCCGCCTCAGACTCCTGATTAGCTGGGACTACAGGCATGCATCACCATGCCTGGCCCAAAAATTAACTGTTGATGAGCACTTTCGGTGTGCAAGGTCCTTTTCACCCGAATTATCAATTTGTTGAGTTAACCAAAAAAGACTTTGGGCTCTCGATCCCTTAATAAAGGTACAAGTTCTAAAGCAAAGGAGGCAAGTGTCATACTTTATGTTTTAGTGTTCAAAGGGAAGACTGGAGTGGGGTGGGGGGAAGAGCAGAGAAGATTGTAGGGGTGAAAAAGTGTCCTTACTTCCATTGAGAAAAAGCCTGCTCTGTCAGGAAGAGGAAAACAGAAAGGAGAAGCTTGCGGCCAGGAGTGGTGGCACACGTCTGTAATCCCAGCACTTTGAGAGACTGAGGCAGGTGGATCACCTGAGGTTAGGACTTTGAGACCAGCCTGGCCAACATGGTGAAACCCTGTCTCTACTAAAAAATACAAAAATTAGCCAGGCGTGGTGGTATGCACCTGTAATCCCAGCTACTTGGAAGGCTAAGGCAGGAGAATTGCTTGAACCTGGGAGGCAGAGGTTGCAGTGAGCCGAGATCATGCCACTGTACTCCAGCCTGAGTGACAGAGCAAGATTCCATTGCAAAAAAAAAAAAAAAGAAAGAAAAGAAAAGAAAAGAAAGAAAGAAAGAAAGAAAGAAAGAAAGAAAGAAAGAAAGAAAAATAAACTGAGCCACAAAGATCTGTGCTATATATTTTTAGAAACTGAGACACTTGCCTATGGTCACACAACTAAGAGGTAGCAGAGAGGGGATTTGAACCCAAGCTTCTCTGGACCAGGCTCTGAAGGATTTACCACTACAATACTGTGCCTATCAGAATTGTAACATATTCATCATATTCAAGGAATTTGTCCTTCTCATCCAACTTGCTGAATTTATTGGAATAAAGTTATCCATAATATTCCCTAATTATCCTCTTAATGTCTGTGGAGTCTGTGGTAACATCCCTTCTTCCATTCCTGTTATTGGTAACTTGTATTTTCTCCCTTTTATTTGTCTTAATCAGATTTATAAATGTTATTGATTTTTTTCAAATAACCAGCTTCTGGTTTCATTGATTTTCTCAATTGTTTTTCTGTTTTCTAATTCATTCATTTCTGCTCTTACCATTATTATTTTCTTCTTTCTGTTTACTTTGGGTTTAATTTGTTCGTCTTTTATTAGCTTCTTTCTTTCTCTCTCTCTCTCTCTCTCTCTTTCTTTCTTTAGATGGAGTTTTGCTCTTGTTGCCCAGGCTGGAGTACAATGGCACCATCTCTGCTCACTGCAACCTCTGCCTCCCAGGTTCAAGTGATTCTCTTGCCTCAGCCTCCCAAGTAACTGGGATTACAGGCATGTGCCACCACACCCGGCTAATTTTGTATTTTCAGTAGAGACAGGGTTTTTCCATGTTGGTCAGGCTGGTCTCAAACTCCCGACCTCAAGTAATACACCCGCCTTGGCCTCTCAAAGTGCTGGGATTACAGGCATGAGCCACAGTTTCTTAAGATGAAAACTTAGAATATGCATTTGAGGTTATTCTCTTAAAAAAAAAAAAAAAAAAAAAACGAAAACTAGTCCAGTCGTGGTGGCTCACACCTGTAATCCCAACACTTTGGGAGACCGAAGCTGGTGGATCACCTGAGGTCAGGAGTTCGAGATCAGCCTGGACAACATGGTGAAACCCTGTCTCTACTAAAAAATACAAAAAATTACAGGTGCATGCCTGTAATCCCAGCTACTTGGGAGGCTGAGGCAGGAAAATTGCTCAAACCCAGGAGGCGGGGGTTGCAGTGAGCCGAGACGGCACCATTGCACTCCACCCTGGGCAACAAGAACAAAACTGCGTCTCAGAACAAAAACAAACAAACAAAAAGTGGCCAAGCGTGGTGGCTCACACCTGTAATCTCAGCATTTTGGGAGGCCAAGGCAGGTGGATCACCTGAGGTCAGGAGTTCAAGACCAGCCTGGCCAACATGGCGAAACCCCGTCTCTACTAAAAATACTAAAATTAGCTGGGCATGGTGGCACTTGCCTGTAATCCCAGCTACTTAGGAGGCTGAGGCAGGAGAATCGCTTGAACCCGGGAGGCGGAGGTTGTAGTGAGCCAAGATCATGCCACTGCACTCCAGCCTGGGTGGCAGAGTGAGACTCCATCTCAAAAATAAAAAATAAGGCCGCGCATGGTGGCTCAGGCCTATGATTCTAGCACTTTGGGAGGCCAAGGTGAGTGGATCACAAGGTCAGGTGTTCGAGACCAGCCTGACCAACATGGTGAAACCCCGTCTCTATTAAGAATACAAAATTAGCTGGGGGTGGTGGCACATGCCTGTAATCCCAGTTACTCAGAAGACTGAGTCAAGAGAATTGCTTGAACCCAGGAGATGAAGGTTGCAGTGAGCCAAGATCACACCATTGCACTCCAGCCTGGGCAACAAGAGTGAAACTCCATCTCAAAAAAATAAAAAAAAATTAAATAATTAAATAAAATAAAAAACTAAAATAAGCACTTAATGCTATAAATTTCCCTCTAAGTACTGCTTTAACTGCAACCTCAAATTTTTATATGTTTTCATTTTCATTTAATTCAAACTATTTTCTAATTTCCCTTGGTCATTAATCACATTCAGATAGTATGGGTTGTGGTTAACGGTTGGTCTCAAGTTCATCTGCCTGAGTTTCAATCTCATCTTTATCTTTTACTAGTTGTGTGACCTTGGACAATTTGCTTAACAGCTATAGGCCTCAGTAACTCATCATAAAAGGGGAATAGTATTGACTTCACCATACTACCCTACACATCCTCTGAGGAATACTCCAACCTGCCCAAGCCTCCCTTCCCACCTGGGGTAGTGATGGGAAGCTGGGTCCCTTTGTCAGCCAGTCCACTGTCCCCCAAGGCATTACTGGCCAGCAGCCAGACCCTGTATCTTGTAGAAGGCTGTAGACCAGTCAGCGTGAAGGTGGTGGCCTGGGGTGGTACGACATCCACATAGTGGAACCCTGGAGTCCCCAGGGCCTCATACCTGCAGGACAGGGGGATAGTAAATTCAGGGAAGTGCCCTAGCCCATTCCCTTCCCTCCTGCCTCGACAAGGACCCACCTGATGCAGAACCTCTGTGGCAGGCCCCCATCAAAGCCAGGCTTCCACTCCAGCCCCACGGAGTGTGGGGTCAGACTCACAACCTTTAATCCTGATGGAGGGTCAGGGCGGCCTATGGGGAGAAAGATGGGAAAGCAGTCAGAGGATACAAAAGAATTCCAGAAGATTCTGTCCAGGTTTTCCCTAGGAATGATTTTAAATATACAATCGCTTCTCATTGTTCATAGCATACTCATGTTCTGTAAGGTCATGGTGAACACTGCTCTGGCAAACACCAAACTGTCCCTGTAATCCCAGTACTTTGTGAGACCAAGTCTGAAAGATGCTTGAGCCCAGGAGTTCGAGACCAGCCTGGGCAACATAGCAAGACCCTGTCTCAAATTAAACATTAAAATAAAAAATAATTTTAAAAAGAAGTAAGTGAAAACAAAACCAAAAGAAACAGCAAAAAAATTCAAGACCAAATGGTTACTTCTATGGAAAATGAAGGGTTAAGTTTCTTTCTTTTTTTTTTTTTCTTTTTTTTTAGATGGAGTTTCACTCTTATTGCCCAGGCTGGAGTGTAGTGGTGCAATCTTGGCTCACTGCAACCTCCACCTCCTGGGTTCAAGCAATTCTCCTGCCTCAGCCTCCCGAGTAGCTGGATTACAGGTGCCCGCCACCATGCCCAGCTAATTTTTCATATTTTTAGTAGAGATGGGGTTTCACTATGTTGGCCAGGCTTGTCTCGAACTCCTGACCTCAGGTGATCCACCCGCCTTGGCCTCCCAAAATGCTGGGATTACAGGCATGAGCCACCGCGCCTGGCATGGTTAGGTTTCTTTTCTTTTTTTTTTCTTTTCCTTTTTTTCTTTTTTGAGATGGAGTCTCGCTGTGTCACCCAGGCTGGAGTGCAGTGGTGCGATCTTGACTCATTGCAAGCTCTGCCTCCTGGGTTCACGCCATTCTCCTGCCTCAGCCTCCCGAGTAGCTGGGACTACAGGTGCCCGCCACCATGCCCGGCTAATTTTCTGTATTTTTAGTACAGACGGGTTTTCACTATGTTAGCCAGGATGGTCTCGATCTCCTGACCTCGTGATCCACCCGCCTCGGCCTCCCAAAGTGCTGGGATTACAGGTGTGAGCCACTGCACCCGGCAGTTAGGTTTCTTTAAACGTCTCATCATAGCATTTGCGTCAAGCAATCAATACATGATTTTTTTTTTTTTTTTTGAGACAGAGTCTTGCTCTGTCGCCCAGGCTGGAGTGCGGTGGCGCGAACTCAGCTCACTGCAACCTCCACCTCCTGGGTTCAAACAATTCTTCTGCCTCAGCCTCCCGAGTAACTGGGATTACAAGCGCATGCCATCACGCCCGGCTTTTTTTTTTTTTTTTTAAGTAGAGATGGGGTTTCACCATATTGGTCAGGCTGACCTTGTGATCTGCCCGCCTCAGCCTCCCAAAGTGCTGGGATTACAGGCATGAGCCACCACGCCTGACTAATCCTGGTATTTTCATACTACTGTTAGGAAGAGAAAGAATTCTGTTTCCTCTGGGAATTCTAACAGACCACTGTGAGGGCCCTTAGAATAAAGCCAACACAGAGACATGCAGACGTAAGAATGAAGAGGGCTGGTCATCACACCTGTAATCCCACCACTTTGGGAGGCTGAGGCGGGCAGATCACCTGAGGTCAGGAGACCAGCCTGGCCAACATGGTGAAACCCCGTCTCTACTAGAAATACAAAAATTAGCTGGGTGTGGTGGCGGGCGCCTGTAATCTCAGCTACTCGGGAGGCTGAGATGAGAGAATTGCTTGAATCCAGGAGGCAGAGGTTGCAGTGAGCCAAGATCGCGCCATCGCACTCCAGCCTGGGTGACAAGAGTGAATCTCCATTTCAACAACAACAACAACAACAACAACAACAAAAAGAATGGAGAGTTGCTGATGGCAGCTGAACCTAGATCCAGAAACCCCTGAAAATCTATTTTTCAGTTACTTGAGCTAACAAGTACCCCCTCTCCATCTTTTTTCTGTTCTTTTCTTTTTCTTTTGCCTTTGTTGTGGGTCTTCCTGAAGATCCAGTCTCCATTAGGATTTTCAGGGCAGGCAAAAACTCCATCCTCACACATACACAGAACTTCCGGTTTCAGAAACATGGGCAGCCCAGGGCCAATCAGGGATGTGGGAATGGATCCAGGGAGCACCCCCTCCCCAACACCCTCACAGCCCCTCCATACTGATGCTGACAAGTTGAATGTTGGTTTGGTCCGAGCCAAGGGCGTTGGTGGCTGTACATGTGAAGAGGGCGTAATCCTGGGCGGCAGACACGTTGGCAATGGTCAGGAGGCTGCTGTGGACACCACCCTGGTGGTATGTGTGCTCCGTGTACCTAGAGAGAAGGTAGGGCACCACTCACCCTTCCATTCACCCAACCACTTATGCTTGGAATCATCTATGCATCCATCCATTAATGTAACCGTCTGCCTATCTATCCATTCATCCATTTATCTTTTCATCCACTCAACCATTCACTCACTCATTCCTCCACCCATTCGTCTTCCTTCTCTGCAGGGACTCAGGGAGGGGAAGTGGGGCTGGAGGTCCAGACCTGGGGCTGGAGTGCTGCCTGGCTGGGCTTGGGCTCACCTGGGATCTTGGAGATCCAGAGGGACCCCGTTTTTTGTCCAAGTGAAAACGATGTTGGGGACACCTCGGGCACGGCAGTGGAGGGTGGCAGAACTGGTGCTGTCTCCAGCTGCAGCCACCTTAGTTAGGGGAGTGGGGTGCTCCACCTGGGGGGCAACTGGGAGGGGATGGGCAGTCAACATGAGCTATGTGGGAGACATGAGGGCTGTGGGTTCAGTGGCAGGTCTTGAAGTCAGGTGTTTGGGTAATACCCACATCTGACAACAAGACGGAGCAGCCGTCGTGCTGGAGGCGCCACCCCATTGTCCACAATGCACTGGTAAGCGCCAGCCTGGGCCAGTTTGGCATGGTGAATCCGCAGGCGCCCCGTTGGTCCCCTGGATATCTTCTCCATGTCATCCAGGCTCTGGTCCTCCTCATCTTCTCCCTGGAGGCCCAAGAGTCCAGAATTGGCCTCCCAGTCTAGCCCCAGATCCATCACTGCCCAAATTGTCCCTTCTGTAGCCTCATTCTCCTAGCCACAATCACCCTCCACAGAGGTATTGAAGAAAAAAAAATTCTCCTGTCATCCATCTATCCATTTACTCAATCCATCTTTTCATCCACCAATCCAGGCAACCACCTACCCATCCATTCACCCAACCACTTATGCTTGGAACCATCTATCCGTCCATCCATTCATTTATCCATCTGCTTATCTCTCCATTCATCCATTTATCTTTCCATCCACTCATCGGTTCACTCACTCATTCCTCCACCCATTTGTCTTCCTTCTCTGCACCCATGTATCCACCCCTGTAGCTCTCCACCCATTCACTCAACTATTCACTCACGCTTGCACACCCATAAATACATGCATCTGTTCAGACATTTACCCAGCTACCTATTTATTCATCTTTCCATTGATCTACCCACCCATCCATTCATCAATTCATCCATCATCCTTCCATAGATATCTTTCCTCTGATGGTGTATCCGTCCATCATCTACCCTCTATCCACTGATTTTTCTCCTTCAATCATCTTCCCACCCATCCACTCACCCATTTATCCATCCTTTCACTTGTCCATCTGTTCCTCCATCCACTCACTCATTCATCCACCTGTTCATCCACTTACCTACCTTTTGACCTATCTATCCATCTACCTACCCACTCGCCTGGCTGTCTAGCCATTTATCCATGCATTCATTTTGCCACCAACAGTTATTCATTCTGGGAGCATGCCCTGGCGAGTATATAGTTATAAGGGTCATACAGATGTATGTGGTCCCCACTCCCAAGGAACTCACAGTCAAGAAACCACAACCCCTTGACCCCACCTCTATTCACCAAAGGCTGGATCCTCACCAGTCTCTCCCAGTTGAACATGCCCGGGAGGATGGGATTGGCATCGACAGTGCAGACTATGTCCACAGAACCCCCGACGTTCACCTCAGTGGGGTCCTGGAGGGCACGGATGGTGGGAGCATCTGGTGGAAGGCAGAGGCTTGGGGAAGACACTTGGGCCCAGACAGGTCTGGGTGTGAGAGGGCCCCAGGTGGGAGGGATGTCTTAGGGGTTCCAGGAAAGTTATGGGTGTGGACACAATCTGCCCTTAATACCAAAGGGTTGGAGGAGAGTTCTCAAGGTTGGTGAGGTTGTCTCCACCCTCCACTATGCCTCTGTGATAATTAGAGTGAGTTGAGTGGGCTTCCAGAATTGTGTGTGTAGCAGGGCTTATACAGTGGGCTCTCATTCCTGACGGGAGCAGCTTCCGTGTCTAGGCGGGCACCCTCTCTGGGCAGAGATTCCACACTGGGTCTCTCTAGTGGGAGGGGTTCCGCAGTGGGCGTGGTTACACCGCGGCTGGGACTTCCAGAACGGGAGGGTTCCAGGATGGGTGGCTATCCCTGGGTGGGCGGAGCTCCCACAATGAGGAGACTCCACAATGGGCAAGGTTCCTTGGGTGGGTGTGGTTTCCATGGTGGGCGGGGCTCACAGTGCACGTCCAGCCGCAGCCGCGCTTCCGCGGTGCCCTCAGAGTTCTGGCAGTGCAGCTGATAGAGGCCGTCGTCCGCGCGGGTCACATTCCACAGATGCAGAGCCCCGCTGGACAGGATGCGATGCCGGGGGCCGCCCGCTGGGGAAGGCCAGAATAAGGGACCTGGCAGGACCTCCCATCCCCGGGACCCCTCCCCATGACCACTTCCCTCACCTGGACTGAGGCGATAGCCGCGGAAGGTCCAGTTGAAGGCCTCGGGGGCGGGGTTAGCGGACACGGACACGGGCAGCAACGCCTCGCCCTGCTCCACCGCGGTCACCACCAGCACCTGCTCCCCCAGGAACTCTGGACGGTCTTCAGAGGGGGCGCCGCAGGGAGTCAAGATTGTTGTTAAGGTTAGGGTCAAGGACAGATTGGAGATCAGGCACAGGTTCAAGGGTTAAAGTTGGGGTCACGACGGGGTTTAAGGTTGTGGACAAGGTAACAAGTTCAGAGCTAAGCTCAGGGGTAAGGTTCGGGATAGAAGTTAGAATACAGTTTAGGAAAAGAGCAGAAGCCAGGGTCAGTTTGAAGGATGGAAACAGGAGTCATGAGGGGGGTTAGGAGAGAGGACAAATGCAAGATGGGAGGAGGCAGGATAGGAGTTGGCCCAGGACCACGGGTCAGGATGAAGGTCGGGAGTTTCAAGTTTCAGGATGGGGTTAATGATAGAGTGATAGTGTCAAAGCAAAGACCCAGGCCAGGTGCAGTGGCTCACGCCTATAATCCCAGCACTTTGGGAGGCCAAGGCAGGAGGATCACTTGAGTCAAGGTGTTCAAGATCGGCCCGGGCAACATAGAGTAATGCCATCTCTATTTAAAATTAAAAGTACAAAAAATCAGCCTAGCATAGTGGCACGCGCCTGTAATCCCAGCACTTTGAGAGGCCAACGCAGGAGAACTGCTTGAGCCCAGGGGTTCAAGACCAGCCTGGGCAACATAGTGAGACCCCGTTGCTACAAAAAGTAAAAATAAACTAGCGAAGCGTGGTAGCGCACACCTGTAGTCTCAGCTACTCGGGAGGCTGAGGTGGGAGTATCACTTGAGCTCAGGAGTTGGAGACTGCAGTGACCTATGATTGCGTCACTGCATTGCAGCCTGAGCGACAAAAAATGAAAGAGAGAGAGAGAGAGAAGAGAAAAAGAAGGAAAAAAAGGTAAGACCCAAGGAGTAGTTTAGGGTCAAGAAGGCATCGAGAGGGGCTTTCAGGCCGGGGCACATACACAGTACGTTGAGGCGATAGAAGGAGCTCACGGTTTCGCGGAGCTCGGCGCTGTGGGCGCGGCAGGTCACGCGCTGGCCATGATCGCGGGATGACACTTGCAGAAGGACGCTCCTGGCGGCGGCGGAGCCTTTGAATGGGGCTCTCCGGGGTGGGGCGGCCACGCCCTCCAGCCTGTGGAACCGGGGTCAAGCCAGGGCTGCGAGCGGAGCCAGAGGCTGGAGAGGCACTAGGCGGGGGCGGGACATGCGTGGAGGGGGCGAGGCCAGACCAGAGAGGGGAGGGATCCCTCGCACTCCCACCTCTCCCCTTCCTTGTCCCAGGACAAGTTGACCGGCGGATTGCTGCTGACGCTGACGCATGTCAAGTTTAAGGCGTCTCCCGGGCGCAGTGCGGATGCGTTGGCCAGGATCGTCACGTTAGTTGGGGGAACTGGGAGACGGGGTTGGAGGAGCGAGACTCAGAGGTTAGGGGCGGCCTGGTCTGCGTCCACCCCGCCTGCACCCCAGGCTCCGCCCAGTCTCGGGTCCCCCACCCCGCCTCCGCCCGCTTTCCCCGGGTCCAGGGTTCGCTGGGTCCCTGCCCCACCTGGCTCTGTCCCTCCCGCCCCGCCCCCGGGCCTCAGCAGTGCGAGCCCTCACACTGCACCGCCAGCTGCGTGGACGCGCTGAGCTGTCCAGCCTTGCACGTGAACTTGGCCTGGTTGTCCGACGGCCCTGTGACCAGCACCAGCTCTCGGGAGAAGGTGCTCCCAGATTTCTCCACGCTGCCGAGATGCACGCGCCGCGACTCCTGCGGCAGCCGCGACTCGGTCACGGTGCGCGAGTCCTACGGGCCGGGAGTGACTGGGGTTCGCAGGCAGCCCTGCCGCTTCCACCAACCCCCAACCCCCCTACCCTGCCCACTGGGTTGGTGCCGCCAGCCCAAACAAAGCCTTTTTCTGATAAGGAGAAGCACTCTCATCAGCACCACCCCCCTAGGGCAAAGCAGTGGGGAGTGGAACTGAGTGACCCCCTCCCTGGAGTCTCTCCCGCCTCCCCGAGTCCCTGTGCATGGCAGTTTTGGGGATCTGAATCCGCCTTCTGTCCCACACCCAACTCCTGCTCTGCCTCTGCAGCCACCTGCAGGCTCTCAGCGCACTCCTCAAAATCTATTTCTGCTGTGTTTACCCAACACCACCTGCAGGAAACTCCCTTGAAATTCCCAGGCCTTTCCCAGAGTTCCTCAGTTCCTTTTCTTAAAATTCCTGCTGTCCCCAAAGATTTCCTTTGAAATTTTCCTTAATTCCAGTGTCTTTCCATAGATTACTTCCTTTTTTTATTATTGCTGCTGCACAAATTAAACTTTCCATAGATTTCTGAATCTTTCCCGATATTATAATATCTTATGATCCCAGTCTTTTAACAGATTCCTTTGTATTGCCCAGATTCTCAGCACTTCCCCAGAATTCCATCCAATTAAAATAAAATTCCATTGTCATTTCTATAATTTCTAGTCTTCCCCCCAAAGTTTTCAACTAGCTCCCTAATTCCCAGGATTCTCCTAGAATTCTATTAGGCTTCTCTTTCATTTTAATGAAATTTCATTTTCTTGCCTCCAAATCCCAAGAGTTCAGTTTAATACTAATGAATTTCCGATAGTCTGTGGAATTACTAGCTTTTCTCCAAATTTTCTTTTCTTTTCTTTTCTTTTTTTTTGAGACGGAGTCTCCCTCTGTCACCCAGGCTGGAGTGCAGTGGCACGATCTCGGCTCACTGCAAGCTCCGCCTCCCGGGTTCACGCCATTCTCCTGCCTCAGCCTCCCGAGTAGCTGGGACTACAGGCACCTGCCACCACGCCTGGCTAATTTTTTGTATTTTTAGTAGAGACGGAGTTTCACCGTGTTAGCCAGGATGGTCTCGATCTCCTCACCTCGTGATCCGCCCGCCTCAGCCTCCCAAAGTGCTGGGATTACAGGCGTGAGCCACTGTGCCCAGCCTTTTTTTTTTTTTTTTTTTTTTTTTTTGAGACGGAGTTTCGGTCTCGTTGCCCAGACTGGAGTGCAGTGGCACAACCTCGGCTCACCACAACCTGGGCCTCCCGGATTCAAGCAATTCTCCAGCCTCAGCCTCTCCAGTAGCTGGGATTACAGGCCCCCGCCACCATGCCCAGCTAATTTTTTGTATTTTTAGTAGAGACAGGGTTTCTCCATGTTGGTCAGGCTGGTCTCTAACTCCCGACTTCAGGTGATCCGTCTACCTCGGCCTCCTAAAGTGCTTGGATTACAGGCGTGAGCCACTGTGCCCAGCCAAATTTTACAGCATTGTTTTTTTTTTTTTTCTGGGATTCAAGTCTTTCCCTAAAATTCCTGACATTTCACCTGAATTCTGAGGGTTTTCACTAGAATTTTCTTTAATTTTAATGAAATTACCTTTTCTCTAGAATGCCTAATCTTGATTCAGAATTCCAATTTTTATCCTAAAATTCTCACTGTTTCCCCAGAATTTTCCTAGGATTCCATTTAATTCTCATAGCATTTGTGTCTTTCCTGATTCCCTGCCAAACCTCAGAATCTTTAGTACTTTTCAAGAAATTTAATCTTTTTCCAAGATTGCCCAAGATTCTGAAGGAGAGAAGGGGCCTGGTCCTTCCCCCACATTCCTGGCCACCCCCATAGCCCTGGCGTGGCACCAACCTTGTACCACATGAGGGAGGGCTCTGGGTTGCCCCCGATAGCCAAACACACCAGCCTCACCCGGGTCCCAGCCCGGAGCTTCTGGCCCTCTGGGGGACCCTCAATCCACAGTTTCTGGGCGGGATCTGGCGGGGAGAGGAAGGAAGAATGACTTTTTCTCTGTGCTGGGTCCTGAGGCTTGGGGGCATTGCTGGGCCAGGGCAGGGGCTCACATTTTACGTTCAGGATGAGCGACTTCTTGAAGGTCTCCTTGGTGAAGGCTTCACTGAAGGCCTCACATGTGAGGGTCAGACCGTTGTCCTCCCGCCGCGCCAGGAATGTCAGGTTGGACATGGAGATGTGACCGCCATGCAGTCCCTGGCAGGGAGTGAGCTTCAGACGTGGGGACTGCAGCACCCCTATCCATCGTGCTAGAGGCCTGAGTCCATCCCAGTCCCCAGCAGGGACACAGGAGACATCTCTACCTCCCCCTCTGTTGGACCCATGGTCCTCAAGGAGAAAGCCCCCCAGGCTGCTGGACCCACCCCTTCCCTATCCACGAGTCATGCCCTCAGCCCCCTCCATGCTCAGACCCAGGAGCCTGGCCCCCGCCTCACATCCATGACTGTCTCCTCCATGGGCAGCAGCTGCCGCCAGCCCAGCCACCATCGTAGCAGAACCCGCGGGCGACTGGACTTGCTGACACAGGAGAGTGTCACGTTCTTGTTCTCAGTCTGGGATGCAGATCCCAAGATAATAATGGCACTAGGGGGAACTGCAGGGACAGAGAAGGAAGACACTAAGCTGGGCTGGATTTCTCACAGACCAGCCCAGACAGAACAGGACTGGAGACAGATGCTGAGATCTTTGGCATCCAGTAGGCATAATTTGGGGGCACACACAGATGGTTCTCTGAGGCACAGACCGACAGGGGGGCAGCTGGCACCAGGACTCACAGGTGACCTGCAGTGTGATGCCGTGCTCCTGGGTCCCTGCAGACACGCTGTTGTGGGCCTCGCAGCTGAGCTGCGCTCCATGGTCTTCTGGCCTCACGGTCATCACCAGCACACTGCGGGCCACCGCCTGGGTGTGCTCTGTGCCCCACGCTGTGGACACCGGCTGGCCATTCTGGAGACAGGGACAGGCCTGGGCCAGCTCAGGACTGGCTCCCAGACCCCACTGTCCCCCCATTCCCCATGCCCGCGTTTGCCCTCACCTTCAGCCACTGCAGTGTGGCTAAGGGATTACCCCCTCGGGCCACGCACGGCAGCTCCAAGCTCTGTCCTGCCCGCACGTGCCCCTCATCCAGGCCTGGCCACTCGATGACAGGGGGTCCTGGAGGGACTGGGGGATATCAGTCACTCAGTGGGCCTGGAGTAGCCCATCCACTCTTTCCAGGCCCCACAACCTGCCTTTGAACCCCCATGTTTCTCTGAGTGCCTGAATTTCCATAATCCCTGTGATCCCCCCACACCCCCCAGTGCCTGCTCCCCATCCTCAGCGCCCTAGTTGGCCCAGTTCTCCACTTACACAGAACATTCACGGTGAATGAGGCCTTGATGGGGGCCTCCAGTGCTGGGCTAGACGCCTCACAGACCAGCAACTGCCTATTATCTGAGCTCCGGGGTGTCACCCTGGGATGAGAAGTCAGGGTTATAGAGTCAGAGTCATCATCTGAAATTTGGGGAGTCAGGGAGAAGAGGTGGGGATGTCACCTCTGGTCCCCACACCTGGTCTAAGTCCCCATGCTGATCTCCTCTGGGATCCAGGGTTCCATGGGAGAGATTTTGGGGGTGAACAGTGAGAATTGGAGCCTAGAGAGCCCCACATCTGACCAAAACTTTAGTGCTTGGGACTCTAGAACTGAGGTTCCCATGAAGTTTTTTTGTTTGTTTATTTGTTTGTTTGTCTTTTGAGACAGAATCTGGCTCTATCACCCAGGCTGGAGTGCAGTGGTACAATCTCAGCTCACTGCAACCTCCACTTCTTGGGTTCAAGTGATTCTCCTGCCTCAGCCCCCTGAGGAGCTGGGAGTACAGGCATGCGCCACCACACCCGGCTAATTTTTGTATTTTTAGTGAAAACAGGGTTTCACCATGTTGACCCAGCTGATCTTGAACTCCTGACCTCAGGTGATCCGCCCACCTCAGCCTCCCAAAGTGCTGGGATTACAGGCATGAGCCACCACCTCTGTTCCCCATGAAGAAGCTTTGAGAGTCAGGATGAAGAATTGGGTCCCAGATGTTCATACCTAGCCCAAGCTTCATGCTTGCATCCCTGGGGTCTGGGGTTCCCATGGGGAAAATTAGGGGTCAAGGTTGGGGGGTTGTTTCAGTTTCCACACCTGGCTGTGGCCTCCACAGTGAAGAGTTTCTGCTGGGAGCCCTCGTTCACGTTTGCAGAGATGTCAGATATTGTCTGTCCACCTTGGGGCAGCAAGAGGGCTAGAGGGGTTCCAGGCTCCCCGCAAGATAGATTCTGGGGAGCATGGCCTGGAAGTCCTCAGGGTGGGTGCGATGCCCCCTCCCTCCTCGTTCTAGAGGAAAAGGGCCTGGGGCAGAGCTGCATCCCCTCCCGACTTTCTGGACTGCCTGAATGCCGCAGTCTTCAGTGCTGGGTCCTGGGCCTCCCCGCTCTTCTCAACTCCTTGCTGGGTTGTACCATGCACCCTATCCCTCAGCTTCTCATGTCTGCACCAGCGCTACTGCCCATATTTCTATCTGGGCCTCAGCCTTGTGCTGGTTGCTGCCGCCCTCGATGTGCCCTCGCATCCACTGGGTCCCACACTGGCCTCAGCATCTCCCCACACCTTCTCCTGGGTCCCCATCCCAGGGATGACATCTTTTCTGGGGCCCTTAGAAGGGTACTGGTCAGGAACACACACCCTTCCCACTCCAGAGGCTTCATGCTGCCCCCTGCCACCCAGTTCACCCACACTCACTCAGGAGAATGGTGATGTCAGGTGCTGGCTTCGCGTCCCCAGACACACAGTTGACCACGTACTCCTGCCCAGCTACCCAGGTGACCATGGTGCCTGCCTCTGGGGTCAGCAGGAGCAGCTTGGGAGGAACTGGTGAGAGAAGGGTCTGGGGTAAGCTTCCAGCACTGAGAAGGACTTGAAGATTGGAGTTCGGTACCCAGAGTCTGGGAGAGGAGAGGCTGGGGGCTTGGACTTCCGGGTTGCGGGGTAGGGGAGGGCTTGAAGCCCAGACTCATGGGTCCTGGGCGTCTCTCACCCATACCCAGGATGGAGAGGATCACTCTGGGAGACACGAGCTCGGGCCCCATCTCAGAGCGGCCGACCTGGCACTCATACTCCGCGTCATCGCTGAGGTCACAGGCCTCGATGTGCAGGTGGAATTCACCTGCAGGGGGAGCCGGAAGTCAGGGCCGCAGCTTCCGCTGGTGGCTGAGGGTCTCAGGCTCTGATCCCTTACCTCTAGCAGGGTCCCCTTCCAGGCGGTACCTCGGGAAGCCTGGGATCCTGGGGTCGGGGCCCAGGAGCAGCCCATCTTTGGCCCATTGCACCGCACTGCCAGGGGTGCTGACCCCACAACGCAGCTCCACTGAGGCCCCCTCCACCACCGTCAGGTTTTCAGGCAGGGCCCAGAAGCCCCGGGGAACGGAGGCAGGAATCGCCAACTGCGCCAGGCCTGAGGACACAGCGCGGTGCAAGGAAAGGGCAGAGGGTTTGTCTAGGGAAGGTAAGTGGGAAATGGGGGCCACTTGGCGCTGGGTACAAGGCTGGGATCCCACTCACCTTCAGTCAGCAGCCCCAGGAGCAGGAGAGAAGCCCTGAGCGTCGTCCCCAGGGCCATCACAGGTCCCCCTACTGTGACCCCCACAGCGCCCGCTGCCAGCCACCTGCGTCTGTCTGGCTTTCTCTGGGTCCCTCTCTGTGTGTCTCTGCCACCTGCTTTTCTTTTTTATCTCTTTCCGTTACTCTCCTCCCTTTCTCGTTTTCCTCTTCCCCTCTTCCCTGTGAGTATCTCTCTCTGTCTTGCTCTCAGTCTCAATCTCTGAGTCTCTTTCTCTGTCTCTTTAAAAAAACTTTTTTTTCTTTTTTCTTTTTTTTTTCTTTTTTTTTTTTTTAGAGACGGGGTCTCACTATGTTGGCCAGGTTGATCTCAGACTCTTTCCTTCAAGCCATCCTCCCACCTTGGCCTCCCCAAGTGTTGGGATTACAGGCGTGAGCCACTGCGCCCAGTCTCTTTATCTTTCCATCTTTCTCTCCTTGTCTAAGCCGTTCTCTCTCCTTTTGTCTCTGTCTCTTCCTCTCTCTCTGTCTCTCTCTCTCTCTCTCTCTCAATCTCTATCTTCTCTCCTGCCACCCCTCACTCCTGCTCCTTGTCTCACTACTCACAGCCTTTCAAGAAGGACCTGCAGCCCAGAGTCCAGCAGGCCAGGAGCCTAGGAGAGCGATGAGGCTGATGCAGGCACTGGCAGAGTCAGCCCTGCTCTCTGACCCAGCTTGAGCTCATTCTCACAGTGCAACCTCCCCCAGGTACCTTCCAGAGCCCCCAGCTCTGGCCTCTGCCCAGCAGGCTCCTCCCAGCTGGCCCAGCTGGAGCATAAAATCCCCTGTCAGCACATGCCAGGCGCGTTCCTCGGTGCCTCCCCAGCCTCCGTGACCCCAGGGCCTGGCTTAGGCTGGGAAGATGGGAGAAGTCAGATCAAGGTGGTCTCCCAGCTCAGCAGGGGAGCAGCCAGCTGGGCCCCCAGCTCTTCCTTGCCCTGATACATGACCTTGGCAAGTCTCTTTCTTTCTTTCTTTCTTTTCTTGAGATAGTCTTGCTCTGTTGCTCAGGCTGGAGTGCAGTGGCATCTCGGCTCACTGCAACTTCCACCTCCCATGGCTTGAACCTCCCAGGTTCAAGTAATTCTCCCACCTCTGTCTCCCAAGTAGCTGGTGCTACAGGTATATAGCACCATGCCTGGCTAATTTTTGTATTTTTACTAGAGACGGGGTTTCATCATGTTGGCCACGCTGGTCTCGAACTCCTGACCTCAGGTGATCCATCTGCCTCAGCCTCCCAAAATGCTGGGATTACAGACATGAGCCACCGCACCTGGCCTCCCTTCCTTTTTTAGTAGACATCAGTGCCTAAATGATGTCAGGGATCTCTGCTGGGGAGGATGCAAGAGTGAGTGTGACAGGCTGGGAGAGTGTGGGAGAGAGGGAAGATATGCATGTGTGTACGTGGGTGTGAGAGTGGGGAAGGTTAGAGTGAACTGCGATCTGTAATAAGCATGTGGAGAGCGTGTGTGTGACAGTGTCTTACGTGGGAGTGCACAGGGTGTGGGCGGGAGTAAAAGGCAGAGTCCAATTCCACCGGCCCCCAGTGTGGGTGCAGTGTGAGCCCAAAGTGGGCGCCCTTTGGCAAGGACTGCATGAGCTTTCTTCTCCCTCTTTTTCTTGCCCTCTCTCCCATCTCTTCTTTCCTTCTCCATGTCTCTCTCTCTCCCTCCCTCTATCTATCTTGATTTATCTTTCTTTCTTTTGAGATGGAATCTTGCTCTGTTGCCCAGGCTGGAGGGCAGTGGCATGATCTTGGTTCATTGCAGCCTCAACTTCCTGGGCTCAGGTGATCCTCCTGCCTCAGCCTCCTGAATAGCTGGGACTACAGGTGCACACCACCACTCCAGCTAATTTTTTAAAATTTGTTTGTAGAGACAGGGTCTTTCTCTATTGCCCAGGCTGGAGTGCAGTGGTGTGATCATGGCTCATTGAAGCCTCAAACCTCCTAGGCTCAAGTGTTCTTTCTGCCTCAGCCTCCTGAGTAGCTGGGACTACAGGCCCGCATCACCACTCTGGCTATTTTTTTTTTTTTTTTTTTTTTTTTGAGAGGGAGTCTTGCTCTGTCACCCAGGCTGGAGTGCAATGGTGCGATGTTGGCTCACTGTAACCTCCGCCTCCCAGGTCCAAGCGATTCTCCTGCCTCAGCCTCCTGAGTAGCTGGGAATACAGGCATTGACCACCACACCCAGCTAATTTTTGTATTTTTAGTAGAGACGGGGTTTCGCCATGTTGGCCAGGCAGGTCTCGAACTCCTGACCTCAGGTAACCCACCTGCCTTGGCCCCCCAAAGTGCTGGGATTACAGGTGGGAGCCGCTGCACCCCGCCACTTGGCTAATTTTTTTTAAATGTTTTTGCAGAGACAGAGTCTTGCTATATTGCCCAGGCTTGTCTGGAACTCCTGGGCTCAAGCAATCCTCCCATCTCGGCCTCCCAAAGTACTAGGATTACAGGCATGAGCCACCGCACCTGGCCCTTGATTTATCTTTCTTTTTTTTCTTTTTTCTCTTTTTTCTTTTTTTGAGATGGAGTTTCACTCTTGTTGCCCAGACTGGAGTGTAATAGTGTGATCTCGGCTCACTGCAACCTCTGCCTCCCGGGTTCAGGCGATTCTCCTGCCTCAGCCTCCCTAGTAGCTGGGATTACAGGCATGCGCCACCACGCCTGGCTAATTTTTTGTATTTTTAGTAAAGACGGGGTTTCTCCATGTTGATCAGGCTGGTCTCGAACTCCTGACCTCAGGTGATCAGCCTGACTCGGCCTCCCAAAGTGCTGGGATTGCAGGCGTGAGTCATTGTGCCCAGCTGATTTATCTTTCTATCTTTCTCCATCTGTTTGAGACTCTCTCGCTCTCTATATTAAGTTGTTAAATCTCAGTCAATCTTTATTTCACTGTGTCTCTCCATCTCTATATGTCTCTGTTATTCTGTTTCTCTGTCTCTGTTCTCACCTCTGTCGCTCCCCTCACCCCACAGTCTGTCTCACACACACCAGGAGCTCCATAAATATTTGTTCTCAGCCACACTCTGACCACGCCTCTTTCTCTTATGTGTCTCTCCATCTCCGAGTGGCTCTGCTCATCACATCCCTGGATTTTATAACCATATGCTGGTGGGCCTGCCCTCCCCGCGTGCACATACACTTGCCTGGGATAAGCTTCTTCTGCCTGCTTATCTCCTGCGGGAATTGGAAATGCTAGTTTTCTCCCTACCTCCCCAAGACCCCCGCCAATATCGTTCCCAGGAACAAGATGAGGCATCTGGCCTCAGCCCCCAGCTTCATCCTCGATGCTGGACTTCCATCTTCCCTCACATGCTTGACTCCTTGCCCTCCTCCCACCTCCCCTCTCCCAACTGCTCTCTACACCCCCTGGGAAATGGGCTGGATGCCGAGCTGGGGGAGTGGCTCTGTCCTGGGGGCCCTCGCCAGATGGTGTCCCTAGGTGCCAGAGCGTGGAGCTGTCCCTTGCTGGGGCCTTTAATAAGCACAAACCTTCCACCCTCCACCTTGGCTGTTTTCCTTCTCTGCATGCTCCTGGGACCTTGGGCTCTCCATCTTTCCATGTCCGTAGCCCCAGAGAGCCAGGAAGGGGAAGCGGCGTCAAGTGCCTGGAAAAACAGCCCCATGACTTGAGTTCCTCCCTAAGACTCAGGAGTTCCAGCCCCATGTCCATCCTATTTCAAAATCCAGGCACTAGATAAGCCACACAGAAGCCGGGAGTGTAGGCCCCCAGATCCCTCCCCTCTCAGACCCTGGGGTCTCAGTCCCTTCTCTCCAAGGACTCGGGAATTTGGGCCTCTGATCCTCCTGGCCACACTACCCACCCCCGCACCTCCCCATACACACACACACACACACACACACACACACACACACACACACACACACACATACACACAGGACTTAGGACAGATGTTCACGGTCTGATTTCCAAATCCTCCTGGGCCTGTGTGGGGGTGGGGAGAGATTGGCAGATAGATCCACCGACTCTTAAGACTTAAGACCAGATATTCTGACCCCTGTCACCCTCTTCCAAGTGCACCATGCACTTGAGTGCACCTTGAGTCTCCAGCCTCTCAAGGAACCGGGAGATCAGGCCATCAGCGTCTCAGCCAGCAAAGGCCTGAACCACCAGTCCCTTATAACCCTGTAAGTCCAACCCCCACTCCCAACCCCACTCCCCCATTTAGGGACACGGAGTCTGAGCCTAAGAACAGTGGAGAATCTGAATGTGGACCCTCCAGTTCTTACAGGTCCAGGAATGTCAGATCAGGGTCCCAGCCCCCCAGCCCTCCTTCAGGCTGCTCGGGGTCCCTCCCACCTGCTCGGCCAGCTGCGCAGCGTGGGAACGCCCCAGCTGGGCTGCATGGAGCCGTCAGGACAAGCTGCGCGGTTCCCAGCCTCCCTGCCTGCCCCGGCCCGGCACCGCCGCCTCCCAGCCGTCGCCGGGCAACCAGGCCGAGGGGCCCGGCCGGCCGAGTGGGGAGAGGGGTTGGGCTGGGACTGCGGGGTCCTGGGAAAGGAGGGGCCGAGGGCCTGGATTCCTGGGTCTTAGGACGTGCTGTAGTTTGCAGCAATAACAAGGGAACAGAGGGATATTTTGAGGAGGGGTTTTGAGGCTGGGGGAGTCGAGGTAGGGGTCCCAACTGTCCCCCAGGTATCGGTGTGCCCTCTTCCCGACACGCAGGCCCGGGGGAGCCCCGGACCCCGCATCCCCCAGGGCGCGGAAACTGGCGAGGCCCCAGGAGCTCCCATTTATAGCTCAGTTTCCACTGAGCGCAGTCCCTCTAGGACCTGGGCTGAGCAAGTTTCTTCCACTCTCTCCCTTCCCTCCTCCTCACCCCTTGCCTGCCCCTCAACCCCGGCAGGGCGCAGGTGTCCAACCCAGCCGGGACCCCCTCCCTCCTCGAACCCAGGTGTTCCGGCTCCCAGACCCCAATTGAGCTGGGGGCGCCCACCCGCCGGGGGATCCCGCCCTGCGTCCCCCATTCATCCGCGTCTCAGCCGCGGGAGTTTCTCAACGGGAAGAGGGCGGAGCTCCCGGGGGGCGGACCCGGGCGGGGCGAGCGGGATCGGGCCCTCTTGGGGTCTCCCAGAGACCCAGGCCGCGGAACTGGCAGGCGTTTCAGAGCGTCAGAGGCTGCGGATGAGCAGACTTGGAGGACTCCAGGCCAGAGACTAGGCTGGGCGAAGAGTCGAGCGTGAAGGGGGCTCCGGGCCAGGGTGACAGGAGGCGTGCTTGAGAGGAAGAAGTTGACGGGAAGGCCAGTGCGACGGCAAATCTCGTGAACCTTGGGGGACGAATGCTCAGGATGCGGGTCCCCGCCCTCCTCGTCCTCCTCTTCTGCTTCAGAGGGAGAGCAGGTACCGCACGAGGGGAGCGGAGGAATATGGGGTGGGGGTGGGGAGTTGCTTGCGGGCTGCCTCTTCACTAGCGAGAAGGGAGCTGGGGGCTGGGACTCCTGGGTCCTGAATGAGGAGGCCCCTGAAGGTGCTAAGCTCAGCCCTGCTGCCCCGAACTCTCCTAGGCCCGTCGCCCCATTTCCTGCAACAGCCAGAGGACCTGGTGGTGCTGCTGGGGGAGGAAGCCCGGCTGCCGTGTGCTCTGGGCGCCTACTGGGGGCTAGTTCAGTGGACTAAGAGTGGGCTGGCCCTAGGGGGCCAAAGGGACCTACCAGGTAAGAGTGTTCTCTCCACGCTGGGACGGGCTGGCTAGGGGGAGAGTTGCTGGGCTCGGCTGTACCTGCAGTTTCTATTTTGACATTTTCAAGTTTGGGAAATTGATGGGCTCGGGTAAACATTTAGGAGTCCTGATTTTTGAGCTGCTTCTTTGGGGGTGACCCACGGAGTTTGGGAATTATTATGTTATTGCAAAATAGTACATAGGCCAGGTGCAGTGGCTCACGCCTGTAATCCCAACGCTTTGGGAGGTTGAGGCCAGAGGATCGCTTGAAACCAGGAGTTTGAGACCAGCCTGGGCAACATAACAAGACCTTATCTCTACACAAATGTATATATATATTTTAAACAAATTAGCCGGGTATGGTGGTGTGCATCTATAGTCCCAGTTACTCAGGAGGCTTAGGTGGTAGGATTGCTTGAGCCTAGGAGTTCAAGGCTGCAGTGAGCCATGATCAAGCCACTGCACTTCAGGCAATGGTGAGACCCTGTCTCAAAAAAAAAAAAAAAAGAGAACATAAATGCAAAAAAGTACAGTAAATATAAATGGAAGATTTACCAAATAAAATAGACACACACAGCCAATACCCAAGTCCATTGCTAGCTCCCCAGAAGACCCCGTGTTCCTTTCCCCTATCATAGCCCCCTCCCCCTCACTCCAGAAGTAGTATCTAACCTAATTTTTATGGCAATCATTTTCTTGCTTTCCTTCCTGACTTTATTACCCCTAAGTTTGCAGTGACTCTGGGTTGGGAGGGAGTTAGAGTCTCTCTGGGCCCAGTACACACTTTTTAATAGTGTCTTACCACCAAATGTGTGGGCCAGTTTTCTGGTGGAGGATGTCTGGGGATGGAGGCCTGAGGCCAGGATTTCAGAACCATGGTGTGCTGACTGCCTTCTCCCTGACTCCAGGGTGGTCCCGGTACTGGATATCAGGGAATGCAGCCAATGGCCAGCATGACCTCCACATTAGGCCCGTGGAGCTAGAGGATGAAGCATCATATGAATGTCAGGCTACACAAGCAGGCCTCCGCTCCAGACCAGCCCAACTGCACGTGCTGGGTAAGGACCTCGCCCACTTGTCCCCTGGGAGCCCAAGAGGGCAGCCCGTACTAGCTGTGAGTAGCAGAGCCCAGGGAGCCCAGGGGCATGGTCAATTGGAGCTGAGAAGATCAGGATCCATCTCTGACCCCAAATCCACCTTGCAGTCCCCCCAGAAGCCCCCCAGGTGCTGGGCGGCCCCTCTGTGTCTCTGGTTGCTGGAGTTCCTGCGAACCTGACATGTCGGAGCCGTGGGGATGCCCGCCCTACCCCTGAATTGCTGTGGTTCCGAGATGGGGTCCTGTTGGATGGAGCCACCTTCCATCAGGTCAGGTCCAAATTCCTGTGCTAGCCTTTGCCCATTGAGGGAAACTTGGGTTACACTCTGACCACAGGCTCATCCAGAAGAGAAGAAGACATGGGAGGGCAGAGGTTCATGGGTTTGGACTCTTGAAATATGATGCAGGGTAAAGATTCTAGGGCCAGACTACCTGGGTTCAAATTATGTCTCAGCCACTTGCTAGTTGATTGATCTTGAGTAAGTTAGTTAACCTCTCTGTGCCTCAGTTGCCTTATCTATACAATCAGGATAATAGTAGCATGCATGTCATAGGGTATTGTGAGAATTAAATAAATAAATACCTATAAATGCCCAGAAGAGTGACCAATACATAGTGAGCACTATATAAGTAAGGCAAGCTTGTCCAACCTGCGGCCCATGGGCTGCATGCAGCCCAGGATGGCTTTGAATGTGGCCCACCACAAATTCATAAACTTTCTTAAAACATTATGAGACTTTTTTGTAATTTTTTAGCTCATCAGCTATCATTAGTGTTAGTATGTGTGGCCTAAGACAATTCTTCTTCCAATGTGGCCCAGGAAAGCCAAAAGATTGGACACCCCTGATGGGTAGATGGCATTATTATTCTTATCCTTCCCTCCAGACCCTGCTGAAGGAAGGGACCCCTGGGTCAGTGGAGAGCACCTTAACCCTGACCCCTTTCAGCCATGATGATGGAGCCACCTTTGTCTGCCGGGCCCGGAGCCAGGCCCTGCCCACAGGAAGAGACACAGCTATCACACTGAGCCTGCAGTGTGAGTGCAGCTGGCCCTGGGAAAGAGGGGTGTGGGGCCCTGACTCCTGGGTATGAGGAAGGAGGGGACTGTGGCCCTTGGGGAATGAGGAAACTGGAGCCTGGACTCCTGGATCTAAGATAGCAGGAGAGGGCTGGGTATGGTAGCTCACGCCTGTACTCACAGAACTTTGGGAGGTCGAGGCAGGCGGATCATCTAAGATCAGGAGTTCGAGACCAGTCTGGCTAACATGTCGAAACCCCGTCTCTACTAAAAATACAAAAATTTGCCGGGCGTGGTAGCACACACTTGTAATTCCAGCTACCTGGGAGGCTGAGGCAGGAGAATCACTTGTACCCGGGAGGCAGATGTTGCGGTGAGCCGAGATCATGCCACTCAGCAGCAGAGTGAGACTCCGAGCAGGAGAGGACAGACAGCTGGGGTCCCTGGGGAAAGAGAAAGCTGGGCCTTGACTCTCACATCGGGGAGACTAGGAGAGGGCAGAAGGCTGGCACATTGAGGTAACTGGGGAAATTGGGAACTGAAAGCCCAGACTCCTGGCTCAAAGGGAGAAGGGGATTAGGGGCCCAGACTCCTGGGATGGAGGAACCAGGGACTGGACACCTAGGCCAGTGACGGAGGTGTTCCTGGTCCTTGCCCATCTGACCATTGTCCCACCCTCACAGACCCCCCAGAGGTGACTCTGTCTGCTTCGCCACACACTGTGCAGGAGGGAGAGAAGGTCATTTTCCTGTGCCAGGCCACAGCCCAGCCTCCTGTCACAGGCTACAGGTGAGGACGAAGACCCACCTCTCCCCAGCCCCAAGAGTGAGCTTGGGAAGGGCTGGGACCTGAGTAGGTGTGCCAGAGAGGCCAGGACAACGTTAACAGCGCCACCATTTCCTCAGGTGGGCAAAAGGGGGCTCTCCGGTGCTCGGGGCCCGCGGGCCAAGGTTAGAGGTCGTGGCAGACGCCTCGTTCCTGACTGAGCCCGTGTCCTGCGAGGTCAGCAACGCCGTGGGTAGCGCCAACCGCAGTACTGCGCTGGATGTGCTGTGTGAGCTGGGGCCGGCCTGTGGGTGTGGTCAAAGGTGGCCGTGGCTTTCAGGGCTGTTGAGGGTCGGGGCCTGGAGGGGCGGGGCCGGGAGAGCGAGCGTGGGGTATTAGGAGGAGGAGAGTGTGGAGCTGGGGCATATTCTTGCGCCCTAGAGGGTGTGGTGTTTCTGTGGGGCTGGCTGATCCCAGGTCAGTGGCTGCATTCCGCCCCGGCCATGTGACCCCTAGTCTCTTTCGTCCAGTTGGGCCGATTCTGCAGGCAAAGCCGGAGCCCGTGTCCGTGGACGTGGGGGAAGACGCTTCCTTCAGCTGCGCCTGGCGCGGGAACCCGCTTCCACGGGTAACCTGGACCCGCCGCGGTGGCGCGCAGGTACAGCCCTAAATCTGAGGCGGTGGCTGGAGGGGGACCAGGCTTCCTTACAAATCCGGCTTCTGACGCCCCTTCCCTGTCGCAGGTGCTGGGCTCTGGAGCCACACTGCGTCTTCCGTCGGTGGGGCCCGAGGACGCAGGCGACTATGTGTGCAGAGCTGAGGCTGGGCTATCGGGCCTGCGGGGCGGCGCCGCGGAGGCTCGGCTGACTGTGAACGGTGAGAAGGCGGGGCTTCCTAGGGGACCTGGCCCGTCCTGGGATAGGGAGCGGACAGAGGGGGCAAGGGCTAATGCAGTGGGAGTGGCCTGGAAGGAGCTTTACACCCAGCGGGGGCTGGAGACCGGACCTATTGAAGGCGAGGCTTTTAGGAGAATCGGAGTTTGGAGGCGGCGTGGCCTGATTGATTGAGGTTAGCGGAGAGTGCGCTGGACAGACCCGGCTTTGTTACAGCCTTTGGGGAGGGCAAGACCTCTCCTCTGAGTGACCTACAGTCTCCATCCCAGCTCCCCCAGTAGTGACCGCCCTGCACTCTGCGCCTGCCTTCCTGAGGGGCCCTGCTCGCCTCCAGTGTCTGGTTTTCGCCTCTCCCGCCCCAGATGCCGTGGTAAGGAAATGTCACTCCTCCCGTGACCCATCCAGCCGTGATCCCTGACCTCCCACCTGGCCCCCCGAAACTACTGTGACCATTTCTGACTTCCCAGACATCCCTCCTGCTTCTTCCTCCCCTCCTCAGTCTCCTCCGTGTCCTCCCTCTTTTGTGCCCCCAGGTCTGGTCTTGGGATGAGGGCTTCCTGGAGGCGGGGTCGCAGGGCCGGTTCCTGGTGGAGACATTCCCTGCCCCAGAGAGCCGCGGGGGACTGGGTCCGGGCCTGATCTCTGTGCTACACATTTCGGGGACCCAGGAGTCTGACTTTAGCAGGAGCTTTAACTGCAGTGCCCGGAACCGGCTGGGCGAGGGAGGTGCCCAGGCCAGCCTGGGCCGTAGAGGTGAGACCCCAGCCCGAAGACCCCAAATCTGGAGAGTCTAAACCCCACAAACGCAGGGATCCCCCAGCCGAGGGCTGCAAAACCTCATACCCTCAAATGCAGAGGAGACCTCCAAACCTCGGGAGTCTCAAAACTGTGGGCTCATTGATTCCCAAGACACCCCTCAACCACAAATGCCTTCACATTCTGAATCCTAAACTGAGAGACTCCTCACACCTAGGGGCCCCAAAAAGGGAAACTCCAATGATTGCAAAGCAAATTGCAAAGTAAAGGACCCCTCAAATTCTAAGACTCCCTAAAGCCAGGGAGTTTAAACTCACTCTCAAACTTGGGGAACCCCAAATTCAAGGGCCTTTGAATCTTCAAATGTGCGACCTTTTGAACCCAGGAATCCCAAACTCAATCCCTGAGCCCCCGCTTCCTGGTTCCCCCTCAGCCTTCTCAGGATGTCCCCTCTGCTCCCTGCAGACTTGCTGCCCACTGTGCGGATAGTGGCCGGAGTGGCCGCTGCCACCACAACTCTCCTTATGGTCATCACTGGGGTGGCCCTCTGCTGCTGGCGCCACAGCAAGGGTTAGTGCCTGAGCCCCGCCCCGGCTCCCGAGGCCCCAGCCCCACACGCGCCCTGCCTGCCCAGTGACCTGACCTGGCCTTGGGCCTTGGCTCCAGTCCCATTTCCAGCTCTGCACAGGGCTTAGCTCTCCTTCACGTTCTGGTTCCCTCCTTAAGCCCTAACTAGGCCTTCCCAGGGTCACACTCCTCGGTGGGAATGATTCTTATTGGTTTCCAACAGCCCTACCCAATCAGCCTCATTGGTTCCCAGTCCTCTCTCTTCCCGCTTATTGGTCTGCACACATTGTGACCCCGCCCATCGCTTAACTCCACCGGTCGCTGTTTGTCAGCCTCAGCCTCTTTCTCCGAGCAAAAGAACCTGATGCGAATCCCTGGCAGCAGCGACGGCTCCAGTTCACGAGGTCCTGAAGAAGAGGAGACAGGCAGCCGCGAGGACCGGGTAGGATGCCAGGGTCCCCAGACCTGACTGTGCCTCCAGACCTAAATAATAGCCCAGTCCCAAGAGGGTCCCCAAATTCAAATAGGACTCTAAGGCCAGGCATGGTGCCTGACGTTGGTAATACCACTTTGGGAGGTGGAGACACAAGGATCACTTAAGGCCAGGAATTCAAAGCCAGCCTGGACAGCATAGCAGGACCCCATCTCTACAAAAATACAAACTAAAATAAAATAAAAAATGAACCGGGTATGGTGGCATACACCTATAGTCCCAGCTACTCAGGACACTGAGGTGGGAGGATCCCTTGAGCACAGGAGGTAAAGGCTGCAGTGAGCTATGATTGCACCATGCACTCCAGCCTGGGCTACAGAGCAAGACCCTGTCTCCATTTTTTTTTTTTTTTTTTATGTAGGAGGGCTCTAGTCTTTTTTTTTTTGGCAGAATTTCACTCTGTCACCCAGGCTGGAGTACAGTGCTGCGATCTCGGCTCACTGCAACCTCTGCCTCCCTGGTTCAAGTGATTCTCTTGCCTCAGCCTCCTGAGTAGCTGCGATTACAGGCGCCCACCACCACGCCTGACTGATTTTGTATTTTTAGTAGAGATTGGGTTTCACCATGTTGGCCAGGCTGGTCTCAAACTCCTGACCTCAGGTGATCCACCCGCCTCGACCTCCCAAAGTGCTAGGATTACAGGCATGAGCCTCCACGCCCGGCCTGAGGGCTCAAGTCTTTTTTTTTCTTTCTTTCTTTTTTTTGAGACGGAGTCTTGGTCTGTAGCCCAGGCTGGAGTGCAGTGGCGCGAACTCGACTCACTGCAAGCTCCACCTCCCGGGTTCACACCATTCTCCTGCCTCAGCCTCCAGAGTAGCTGGGACTACAGGCACCCGCCACCATGTCCAGCTAATTTTTTTGTATTTTTAGTAGAGACGAGGTGTATACCGTGTTAGCCAGGATGGTCTGGATCTCCTGACCTCGTGATCCGCTCGTCTCGGCCTCCCAAAGTGCTGGGATTACAGGCGTGAGCCACCGCGCCCGGCCAAGGGCTCTAGTCTTAACAGTGACCCCACACCCAAATGTCACCCAAGTCCATGCCCCTGACCCAATTATTCCCTAGGCCCAGTATGTCCCCACAGCCCGTTTTTGTTGTTGTTGTTGTTGTTGTTGTTGTTTTTGAGATAGAGTCTTGCTCTGTCGTCCAAGCTGGAATGCAGTGGTGCAATCCAGACTCACTGCACCCTCCACCTCCCAGTTCAAGTGATTCTCGTTCCTTAGCCTCCTGAGTAGCTGAAATTACAGGTGCCTGCCACCATGCCTGCCTATTTTTTGCATTTTTAGTAGAGACAGAGTTTCGGCATGTTAGCCAGGCTGGTCTCAAACTTCTGGCCTCAAGTGATACTCCTGCTGCGGCCTCCCAAAGTGCTGGGATTACATGCATGAGCCACTGTGCTGGCTTCTTACAGCCCTTTTATTGTCCTGAGTGCAGTCCCCAGCTCTTGGGTGCTCTTACTCCCTCCTGCCTGGCCTCCACTGGCTGGCTGAAGGTCCTTGGGGTCTGGCATTGGGGCGGGGGGATCCTCTGACTATTCCCTCTCACTAAGTTCCCTACCCCAGGGCCCCATTGTGCACACTGACCACAGTGATCTGGTTCTGGAGGAGGAAGGGACTCTGGAGACCAAGGTGAGTGTTGAGAGGGGTGGGGCTCCCTTCACTGTTGGGAGAGGCGGGGCTCCCTTCATTGTGTTTCCGTCTCTCTCCCACGCCTGTCCCCTCCTTTTTCCTTCTGTTGTCCTCAGAGTTGGGACTCAGCTCCCCACCCCACTCCTCCTGCCCCCTGGGCCATCTCACTCAGCTCCCAGCCTCAGTTTGCCTGTCTGCAGACTCTTCCCACACATCTGTCCCAGCCCTAGCCTCCATCTGGAGCCCCAGACCAGGGCTCACCCTGCCTGTGCTCTCCTCATCACGGTCAAGCCCCCTTTCAGCCACCAGGTCCTACACTGGCCCCACATCTCCCCAGACTGGTTCTTCCTCTGGGGTCCTACCTCAGGACAGCCACATTGACTCCAGGCCATCCCCAGGCCAGAGCACTTCTCTCTCTCTCTCTCTCCTGCGTACCTAGCACATGCCATTCTCTCTCTTCTTTTTTTTTTTTTTTTTTTTGAGACGGAGTCTCATTCTGTTGCCCAGGCTGGAGTGCAGTGGTGCAATCTCAGCTCACTGCAACCTCTGCCTCCTGGGTTCAAGCCATTCTCCTGCCTCAGGCTCCCTAATAGCTGGCTAATTTTTCTTGTATTTTTAGTAGAGATGGAGTTTCACCATGTTGGCCAGGCTGATCTGGAACTCCTGACCTCAAGTGATCCGCTCGCCCCAGCCTCCCAAAGTGCTGGGATTACAGGCGTGAGCCACTGTGCCCAGCCGACATGCCATTCTCTTGGCCTGAAACACTCCTACCTTCCTTCCCATGTCTACCTAATTCCTTCCTTTAGTCCTCCAGTCTCAGCTCAGACATTTCTTGTTCTAGGAAGCCCATGCTTCCGTCATGACAGCTCGATCATTTTGCCTGTGTTCCACCCATCACAGCCATGACCACTCTGATCTGGGCTTCCTTATCCCACCCACTATGCTGAGGGCTCTACCATCACAGCCCCTGTCATTGCCTATGCCTTTCCCAGGCACAGCCCTGACCCCTCTGGGTACTGTCTCATGATCTGTCATTTTTCCTTTGGTGTGGGATTCTGTGAGGACAGGGTCCAGTTCTATCCTAGTGACATGCCTTGTAGCAGCAACACAGGGTGTGACACTGAATCAAAGCCTAGAGGCTGTTGGGCAGGTGAGTGTCTCTCTCCTGTTCCCTCTGCACCTTCCACACCGACACCCCTCAGCAGGCCTATATCCCTCCGTCTCTACCTTTCTCTGCCTATGTCCTATCCATTTGCCTCTTATCACTGTTCCTCTGTCTCACTTTCTCTCTCTCCCAGTCCATGTGTGTCTCTGTGTCTCTGCCCACTCCTGTCTCTTTTTGTCTCTCTCAAGGTCTGGTCTATTTCAGTGTGTCTCTCCATCAGTGACCCTCATCCCCCCTGCACGCTCACAGACTTTACTGAGTCCCATTTGTCCCCTCAGGACCCAACCAACGGTTACTACAAGGTCCGAGGAGTCAGTGTGAGCCTGAGCCTTGGCGAAGCCCCTGGAGGAGGTCTCTTCCTGCCACCACCCTCCCCCCTTGGGCCCCCAGGGACCCCTACCTTCTATGACTTCAACCCACACCTGGGCATGGTCCCCCCCTGCAGACTTTACAGAGCCAGGGCAGGCTATCTCACCACACCCCACCCTCGAGCTTTCACCAGCTACATCAAACCCACATCCTTTGGGCCCCCAGATCTGGCCCCCGGGACTCCCCCCTTCCCATATGCTGCCTTCCCCACACCTAGCCACCCGCGTCTCCAGACTCACGTGTGACATCTTTCCAATGGAAGAGTCCTGGGATCTCCAACTTGCCATAATGGATTGTTCTGATTTCTGAGGAGCCAGGACAAGTTGGCGACCTTACTCCTCCAAAACTGAACACAAGGGGAGGGAAAGATCATTACATTTGTCAGGAGCATTTGTATACAGTCAGCTCAGCCAAAGGAGATGCCCCAAGTGGGAGCAACATGGCCACCCAATATGCCCACCTATTCCCCGGTGTAAAAGAGATTCAAGATGGCAGGTAGGCCCTTTGAGGAGAGATGGGGACAGGGCAGTGGGTGTTGGGAGTTTGGGGCCGGGATGGAAGTTGTTTCTAGCCACTGAAAGAAGATATTTCAAGATGACCATCTGCATTGAGAGGAAAGGTAGCATAGGATAGATGAAGATGAAGAGCATACCAGGCCCCACCCTGGCTCTCCCTGAGGGGAACTTTGCTCGGCCAATGGAAATGCAGCCAAGATGGCCATATACTCCCTAGGAACCCAAGATGGCCACCATCTTGATTTTACTTTCCTTAAAGACTCAGAAAGACTTGGACCCAAGGAGTGGGGATACAGTGAGAATTACCACTGTTGGGGCAAAATATTGGGATAAAAATATTTATGTTTAATAATAAAAAAAAGTCAAAGAGGCAAGTGTGTCTTAGGGAGTCTACTGGCATTATCACTCTCCACCAAGGAAGGGGTCCCTTAGACCTGTCCCAAGGTCCCTCCTCTACCCTAGCCTATGAGGTGGCTGTAGGAGTAAAACTGTGAGCCACCTCTCAGCCTCTTGCTACCTGCAAAGCACTCTAGGCTCTTTTTTTTTTTTTCTTGAGACAAGATCTGGCTCTATGGCCCACATTGGAGTGCAGTGGCATGATCTCAGCCCACTGCTACCTCTGCATCCTGGGCTCAAGCCATCCTTCCACCTCAGCCTCCCAAGTAGCTGGGACTACAGGTGCATGCCACCACACCCAGCTAATTTTTGTATTTGTTTGTAGACAGGGTTTCACCATGTTGGCCAGGCTGGTCTCAAACTCCTGACCTCAAGTGATCCGCCCACCTAGGCCTCCCAATGTGCTGGGATTACAGGCATGAGCCACTGTGCCCAGCCATGGGCTCTTTTAATATACATCTTCACACACACACACACACACACACACACGCACACACACACATGAGTTGCAAACAGAAAAGACACACACATAGGCATGTATGCACAGACACACGCATAGATGTCCACACAGTTGCACACAAGTGACAGGGCTGCCCCAGGGGTCCTGGGGAAGACTGAATTCTAACTCTCATTAGAGGAGACAAACAAGTGAGCCCTGAAGTGGAGCAGGGAAGGGGAGACTATGGGTAGGAAAATGGCAATCCCCTGGTCCTTACAGCAAGCGTGGAGATCCAGACCCTAATCCTGAGGTGCTGCATCCACAGTGGGCATGGTGCTGGTGCCTGCTTGGATGATCCTTAAAGAAAGGTCCTGGGGGCTTTGGTTCATGGATCCTTGAGCTAGGAGTTAAAGGTCCAGGCCCCTGGGACCCTTGGGAAGCAGAGCAAGAAGAGTGAACTCCTGGGTCTGAAGGAGAATGGGCTGGGGGCTTGGTCTCTGGTCCTGAGAGAGAAGGTGCCCAGACTTCTGGATCTGAAAGAGGAAGGGACTAGGTCTCAACTGCTGCCTTCTTGACTGGGGACATTTTGGAGGCCTGTATTCCTGAGCCCTCAACAGAGGAATGTACTAGGGGATGGGGGTCTCTGATGCTTGCATCCTTGGAAAAGGACAAAACTGTGAGTGTCTGGGTCTAAAGAGGGTGAGAGTCCTGCGGGAGGACTCAAAATCCACAACGGGCGGAGCCCATAGCCGGACTCCTGGCTGGGCCCTTCATGGGGCGGGACGCCTGGAATCTCGAGGGGCGGGGGCCTGGCGCAGGCTCCCGCCCGGGGTTCCCGAGCTGCTCCACTCTGCGCGAAGCCGCCACGCTATTGTCCTGACCAGGAAGGCGGGGCCGGCGCGGGGCGGGGCTGGCGGCGCCGGCGCAGCCCGGGGGCGGCGGGAGGAGGAGGTGGCGGCGGTGGCGCTGGGAGCTCCTGTCACCGCTGGGGCCGGGCCGGGCGGGAGTGCAGGGGACGTGAGGGCGCAAGGGCCGGGACATGGGGCCCGCCAGCCCCGCTGCTCGCGGTCTAAGTCGCCGCCCGGGCCAGCCGCCGCTGCCGCTGCTGCTGCCACTATTGCTGCTGCTTCTGCGCGCGCAGCCCGCCATCGGGAGCCTGGCCGGTGGGAGCCCCGGCGCGGCCGAGGTGAGGCCGGGCCGGGTCCTGGGGGATGGGGGAAGGGGCGGGACCGGGTCTCTGGACGCCGGCGCGGACATGTCCAGGGCAGAAAGCGCGGTCTTTCCAGCCAGGTGGTCAGCCCCCAGGCGCCCCCAATCACATTTATGAACCCAGGGTTCCAGGCCCCAGCTCCCCCATCATGCGACGTCCCAGCCCCCTCCCATCTCGAGCATAGGAACTGGTCTATTCAGAGCCCCTGGTCCCAGAAGTCCAGCCCCCTCTCCAGACCCAGGTGACTCGGCCCCAACCCCCTCCCGCCTGGACATAGGACCCACCAAGCAGCGAGGCATTTAGATCCAATAATCCAGACCCCTTGTATTCTCTGGACCCATATGGAGGCCCTTGCAGCCTCCCAGGACCCAGGAGTCCAGTCCTTCAGTCACCACCCACCCCAACCAGATGTAGCTCTCCAGTCCTCAAGGACCTGGTGTCCAGGACTGTAGGCCCCTGAAGCCAGGCCTTGTCAGCTTTGCATCCTGCAACGGGAGCCTGAGCAAGGGATGGAGGGAGGAGGGGCCAGAACTCCTGGGTTCTGGCCTCCTCCTCCGCGATTCAGGTTTAACCCCTTCGGGCTCCAGAGCGGCTGCGCTGGGGTGGGGGCGGAGTCTGTCTCCGCGGCAACAAGGCAGAAAGAATCCCGGGGGACCCAGGTCGCCATAGCAACGGGAGCGCTGGGGCGCCCCCGCCCTACGGGAGCTGTTTCCCAGGGAACGGTGCCTCCATGGAGGCGGTGTGCGGTGCTTGGGGGAGGGGGCTGGTGCTGGGGGTCTCGGTCCTAGGGAGCAAAGAACCAGGGGACCCTCATGCCAACGCCCCCCGAGCCCTCACTGTCCTTTCCACTTCCATCCAGGCCCCGGGGTCGGCCCAGGTGGCTGGACTATGCGGGCGCCTAACCCTTCACCGGGACCTGCGCACCGGCCGCTGGGAACCAGACCCACAGCGCTCTCGACGCTGTCTCCGGGACCCGCAGCGCGTGCTGGAGTACTGCAGACAGGTGGGCGGGGCCGAACGGGAGAGGCGGGGCCGCCCATAGAAAGCTAGACTTGAAAAAGGCGTGGTCCAGGGTGCTGCGCGATCTAAGGCGTGGAGGCTGGGGGGCGTGGCCAATAAAGAGGCGCAACTATGCTAGGGGCAGGGGACCTGTTTTGAGATACTAAGTCAGGAAAAGGGGAGAGCCGCGAGATAGCCAGAGAGGAAGTGGAATTTAGGAATCTGGTGGTCTTTGTAAAGAGTAGAGGTGTAGGGGGGAGTGGCGAAAGGATAGGCGGGGCTAAGACAGAAAGAGACCTTAAGGACCAGCAAGATGGGGAAAGGGGTGGAGCCCAATGAGAGCGCGGAGAGCTGGGGGGGCGTGGCCATGAAAAGACAAATTTATAACGGGAAGGGAGAGTTTTGGAGAGGCGGAATAGAGGAAAAGGCGGGGCCTAAAGGAGGGTGAGACCTTTGGGGAGACGAATCTGACTGCGGGGAGGGGTGACCAGAGAGGTGGGCTTAGAGGGACCTTCAGAAAGAAACAGCACAGGAAAAGAGATAGGGCTTAAAGATGACGGGACTTTTAAGGGAAAACTGCTAGTGGGCGTGGCCAATGAGCACAAGGAGCTTGGATATCTAAGGCTGGTGCTAGGGAGAAGCAGGGCCTAGGGAAGCGATGTCCTCATGAATACTAGAGCCTTGAAAACGGACCTGGCCGGGCGCGGTGGCTCACGCCTGTAATCGCAGCACTTGGGGAGGCCGAGGCAGGCGGATCACCTGAGGTCAGAAGTTCGAGACCAGCCTGGCCAACACGGCGAAACTCCGTCTCTACTAAAAATACAAAAATTAGCCTGGCATGGTGGTGCGTGCCTGTAATCCCAGCTACTCAGGAGGCTGAGACAGGAGAATCGCTTGAACCTGGGAGGAGGAGGTTGCAGTGAGCCGAGATTGTACCATTCCACTCCAGCCTGGGCGACAAGAGCAAATCTCCGTCTCAAAGAAAGAAAGAAAGAGGGAGAAAGAAAGAGAAAAGGGACCTGACTACTGGAGAGGGGTGGCTGGCAGGGGCGGGGCAGTGGGCTGATTGCCCCCATCTGATCCCCCCAGATGTACCCGGAGCTGCAGATTGCACGTGTGGAGCAGGCTACGCAGGCCATCCCCATGGAGCGCTGGTGCGGGGGTTCCCGGAGCGGCAGCTGCGCCCACCCCCACCACCAGGTTGTGCCCTTCCGCTGCCTGCGTGAGTCCCAGGCGGGGAGAGGGGAACTGAGGTGGGAGTTTCTGAGGGGCAAGGTTCTGAGCCCCTCTCTCAGGCCTACATTAAGGGGCTGGGTGCTTGTGTCCTAAGTGGGGCAGAGAAGCCTCTGAGGATAAAATATCTGGATTCTGAGGAGGGTGGGGTTGGTGGCTATAGGAGGATCTCACCCTGGTGTCCCGTGCTTCCCCAGCTGGTGAATTTGTGAGTGAGGCCCTGCTGGTGCCTGAAGGCTGCCGGTTCTTGCACCAGGAGCGCATGGACCAATGTGAGAGTTCAACCCGGAGGCATCAGGAGGCACAGGAGGTCAGGACGTTGGCCCACCCGTCCCCAGCCCCCACAACCCAGGAACTGGGACCTCTAACACCCTCCGCCACCAGAACCGAGGAGTCTGGGCCACCAGCATCCTCTTCGCACTTGGGATCTAAGAATTTCATCCCCCAACCCCTTCCTCTAGAAGCAGGAATCCAGGCTCCCAGCCTCATCAACCCCCAACCCTGGCAGCCCAGTTCCCCATCTACCCCCTCCCATCCCACAATCCTGGCATCTGGGCCCACTCTTCCTACAGGCCTGCAGCTCCCAGGGCCTCATCCTGCACGGCTCGGGCATGCTCTTACCCTGTGGCTCGGATCGGTTCCGTGGTGTGGAGTATGTGTGCTGTCCCCCTCCAGGGACCCCCGACCCATCTGGGACAGCAGTTGGGTGAGTGGGAGGGAACCCTCCATGCCCATCTCAAGGTTCCTGAGGCAGGGGATGGAAGCCTGGGAGCCCAGGCCTGGGTTCTTACTGCCTGGGTCCTCTCCTGCTCCCTCAGTGACCCCTCCACCCGGTCCTGGCCCCCGGGGAGCAGAGTAGAGGGGGCTGAGGACGAGGAAGAGGAGGAATCCTTCCCACAGCCAGTAGATGATTACTTCGTGGAGCCTCCGCAGGCTGAAGAGGAAGAGGAAACGGTCCCACCCCCAAGCTCCCATACACTTGCAGTGGTCGGCAAAGGTGAGGCAGTCTCTGAACCCCTGGGGCCTCTCCACCATAGAGGGAGAAAGATCTGGGGGAGTCTTGCTGGGGGGTGTCTTTGGGAGGGGCCTATAGGGGAAAGGCCCAACTGAGGAGAAAAGACGAGAGTATCTTTGGATAAAATAGAAGTAGAAGGGCTAACCTGCCAAGGGAGGGGGTGGTTTGGGGGTACTTGGGAGTAGAGGGGCCATTGGGTAGGTCTTGAGGATCATTTCAGGAAAGCTTGGAAGATGGTGTAATGGATTCCTAAGCTTTGCAAGAACAGGCCCAGTCCAGAACTACATCTCCCATAATGCCAGGCAGCAGCGGTGGCTAAACTGGGTGCATGATGGTCTCCAGTGCACTCTAGGAAATGTGGTTCTCTAGGTAGAAAAGGCGACCTGGAGGTGGGCTGCAGACTGACCTCCTGATCCCTGGTCTTGCAGTCACTCCCACCCCGAGGCCCACAGACGGTGTGGATATTTACTTTGGCATGCCTGGGGAAATCAGTGAGCACGAGGGGTTCCTGAGGGCCAAGATGGACCTGGAGGAGCGTAGGATGCGCCAGATTAATGAGGTGATAATACTGGGGGCCCCAGGACCCCCTACAGTACAGAGCTCCCTAAATACCAGGAAATTCCTCCAGGACACATTGATACTACCTCCAAAGGCTCCCTAAGCCCCTTTGACCTTGAGCTCTCAACACCACCCCCTAAGATGGCCAGAGATCCATGGCCCTTCTAGAATCCCACTGAGACGCTACCAGGTTCTCTGGAAACTCTGGTCTATGGTACTCTTTCACTTTATTGGTTTTTTTTTTTTTCTTTTGTTGTTGTTGTTGTGACGGAGTTTCGCTCTTAACACCCAGGCTGGAGTGCAATGGTGCGATCTCGGCCCACTGCAACCTCTGCCTCCCGGGCTCCAGCGATTCCCCTTCCTCAGTCTCCTGAGTAGCTGGGATTACAGGCACCCACCACCACGCCCGGCTAATTTTTGTATTTTTAGTAGAGACAGGGTTTCACCATGTTGGCCAGGATGGTCTTGAACTCCCGGCGGGAGGAGATCCACCCGCCTCGGCCTCCCAAAGTGCTGGGATTACAGGCATGAGCCACCACGCCTGGCCTCTCTTTCACTTTAAACTCCTTCTGGATCTTCCCTCTTGGGAACCCAGGAGCCAGCGAGACTTAAGGGATCTGGGGCCTTTAAATCTTTTTTTTTTTTTTTTTTTGAGACAGAGTTTCGCTCTGTTGCCCAGGCTAGAGTGCAGTGACGTGATCTCCCACTCACTGCAAGCTCCACCTCCTGGGTTCACGCCATTCTCCTGCCTCAGCCTCCCGAGTAGCTGGGACTACTGGTACCCACCACAGCGCCCAGATAATTTTTTCTGTTTTCAGTAGAGACAGGGTTTCACCATGTTAGCCAGGATGGCCTCAATCTCCTGACCTTGTGATCCACCCACCTCGGCCTCCCAAAGTGCTGGGATTACAGGCATGAGCCACTGCGCCCAGCCATGGGGCTTCTAAAATCTTAAAGAGGGGTTGGGGGACTTGCCAGGTGGATCAGGGTGGATTCTGGGATCCTGAAGCTCCCCTCCCTATGCAGGTGATGCGTGAATGGGCCATGGCAGACAACCAGTCCAAGAACCTGCCTAAAGCCGACAGACAGGCCCTGAATGAGGTAGGACAGCCCCAGTGGGTCCTACTCATGCCTGTCCACCACCTGGAGCACACTCAGTTTCACCTGGCTCTGGCTGTGCCCTGCCCATCCAGTTCCACCCCTTCCCACCTATCTCAGCCTTTCCTGGCCCCATGCCTACATGCAGCTCTGCCCCTCTTAGCCGTCATCTGACCTGACACTGCTCTCCTCCCCAGATTGGCCATATTCGGCCCCATCTACAGACTTGACTTGCCTCTCAGGGCTGGCTCTGGAGTCCTGTCCCAAGCCAGGGCCTCTGCAGATGCAGCCAGGGCCTTCTTGGTCTCTCTTTGATGCATTTATGTCTCTATCAGGCCCCGCCCCCTGATTCTGGCTCTGCTGGGCCAATCTCACCTTTATTAACCTGACCTACCCCATGGAGACCCCACTCATGTTAGCCCCCATTCCAGCTCTTTGTCCCACCCCTATCGTGTCATTTATACACAGCCTGTCTCCAGTTTGACCCTGCCCAGGCCAGGAGCCCTGCAAGGCTTTGTCCCTTTCACCTTAACATTGGTCAGTTCTGCTCCCAGATTGCTCCCACTCAATCTTACAGTTTACATCCTCACATTGGCTCCCAGTGGGCCTAGTCCCACCTCCACTCTGCCTGGCCCTGTAGCCCACCCCTTCCAGTCCATAACCTTTGGTTCTGCCCAGGCCTGGACCCCTGGAACGCCCCCCAACCCCATGTAGCCCTGCCTTTCCAGGCTCTCTTTGACCAGGCTTTGACCCATCTTCTCCTCTCCTGACCCTGTGCCCACCCGCTCCCCAGCACTTCCAGTCCATTCTGCAGACTCTGGAGGAGCAGGTGTCTGGTGAGCGACAGCGCCTGGTGGAAACCCACGCCACCCGCGTCATCGCCCTTATCAACGACCAGCGCCGGGCTGCCTTGGAGGGCTTCCTGGCAGCCCTGCAGGCAGATCCGCCTCAGGTGCGGGGACCGTGGGGGCAGAGAGCAGAGGGTGAGAAGGGTCAGGGCGGGCTTGGGCATCCTGTGTCCCTTCCACAGGCGGAGCGTGTCCTGTTGGCCCTGCGGCGCTACCTGCGTGCGGAGCAGAAGGAACAGAGGCACACGCTGCGCCACTACCAGCATGTGGCCGCCGTGGATCCCGAGAAGGCACAGCAGATGCGCTTCCAGGTGCTCACATCCTTCCAGCTCCCAAATGCGCCGCTATTCCTCAGACGCCCGCGCCTCAGGCTCTTCTCTTGTCCCTTAGACCCTCTTTCTGTCTCTTGGACCCCTTCCTATCCCCTGAACACCGCTTCTCTGCCCCTTCCCAGTCTCTCAGCTCAGCTTCCTGACCCTGAAACATGGACCCTCACATGCTGTGTCTTTGACCCCTGCTTCTTGGCCCTTGGATTCCTACTCCCCCCGCCGTCGATCCTATGTTCTGTCCCTTGGATTTTCACTGCCTTTCCCAGAATCGTCTTTTTTTTTTTTTTTTTTTTGAGACAGGTTCTTGCTCTGTCGCCCAGGCAGGAGAGCAGTGTGCGATCTTGGCTCATTGCAACTTCCACCTCCTGGGTTCAAGCAATTCTCCTGCCTCAGCCTCTCGAGTAGCTGGGATTACAGGAGCCTGCCACCACACTGGGCTAATTTTTTTTTTTTTTTTTGACAGAGTCTCGCTCTGTTTCCCAGGCTGGAGTGCAGTGACATGATCTGGGCTCACTGCAACCTCCGCCTACTGGGTTCAAGCTATTCTCCTGCCTCAGCCTCCTGAGTAGCTGGGACTACAGGCGGGTGTCACCACATCTGGCTGATTTTTGTATTTTTAGTAGAGACAGGGTTTCACCATACTGGTCAGGCTGGTCTTGAACTCGACCTCAGGTGATCCACCCTTGGCCTCCTAAAGTACTCGGATTACAGGTGTGAGCCACCACGCCCGGCCCCAGCTAATTTTTGTATTTTTGGTAGACACGGGTTTCAGCATGTTGGCCAGGCTGGTCTTGAACTCCTGACCTCAGGTGATCTGCCTGCCTTGGCCTCCCAAAGTGCTGGGATTACAGGCGTGAGCCACCATGCCCAGCCAGAAACCCCAATAACTTTTGCACCAATCTAATATTTTTAGCAGAGACAGGGTTTTGCCATGTTGCCCAGGCTGGTCTCGAACTCCTGACCTCAGGTGATCTGCCCACCTCGGCCTCCCAAAGTGCTGGGATTACAGGCGTGAGCCACCATGCCCGGCCAGAAACCCCAATAACTTGCACCAATCTAATATTTTTAGCAGAGACAGGGTTTTGCCATGTTGCCCAGGCTAGTCTCAAACTCCTGACCTCAGGTGATCTGCCTACCTCGGCCTCCCAAAGTGCTGGGATTACAGGCATGAGCCACCGCGCCCGGTCGAGAATCTCCTTCTTGTTCCTTGAACCCTCTTCCTGTCCCTCAACCTCCTTTCTCCATAACTTCACTTGTTTTCCCTGGAACCCCTGTTCTGTGCGCTCAAATTTGAATTCCCCTTTCCTGGATGTTTTCTTCCTGTCTATGAAACTCCATTCTGTGCTCTTGAACTCCAAATCTTGCCTTGAACCATGTCATTTCTATATGACCCTCCAATCCTCAATCTCTGTCTCTGGAATCCCCTCAAACCCCACTTTCTGTTCCTTGGACTTTATTCTTCAATTTCCTTCTCCTATGGCCCAGTTCCTAACCCTTGTACCACACATCCTGTCCATTGCATGTGCCGCTTTTCCTCAGTCGCTATTGAATTCCTCCTTCATACTGCTTCAGTTTCCTCATCTCCAGCCTGCATTGCGCAGTTCATCCTTCATGTCCACTCACCCACAGGTGCATACCCACCTTCAAGTGATTGAGGAGAGGGTGAATCAGAGCCTGGGCCTGCTTGACCAGAACCCCCACCTGGCTCAGGAGCTGCGGCCCCAAATCCGTGAGTGTCTATTACCCTGGCTCCCATTACAGATCTCTGAGGGCAGATCTTGACTCCTAAATGTTGGGCCCCCCCAATTTCATTTATTCCTCTATAACAAACAGCCCAGACCTTAGCAGTGAAAATCAACAATGATTTTTCTTTGTTCATGATTCTGCCATCCGGTCTGCGCTCAGCAGAGTGGTTCTTTCAGTGGTCTTGCCAGTGGTCAAGCATGCAGCTGTATTTAGCTAGCAGATCATCTAGGGGCTGGGAGTCTAGCACAAATGGACCTTTCTCTCTCTCCAAGGAAGCGCAAGGCCTCTCTTCTCCGTGGAGCTTCTCCATGTGGTCTCATCAGCAGGGTAGCTAGATTCCCTACATGGTGGTTTATGCTCTCTAAGACATCACAGTGGAAGTTGCTAGGTCTTAAGGCTTGGGCCCACATTCTATTTGTTAAAGCAAGTTACAAATTCAGTCCAGATTCAAGGGAAGGAACCTATATGCATACCGGAAAGTGTGACCTATTGCAGCCCCCACATCTATTGTGTCTTTCTCCTGGATATCTCACACATAACCCTGATTCTCCTAGTATTTAAGAAAGCTATCATCTTGAGGCGCGGTGGCTCACGCCTATAATCCCAGCACTTTAGGAGGCCGAGGCGGGTGGATCACTTGAGGTCAGGAGTTCGAGACCAGCCTGGCCAACATGGTGAAACCCCGTCTTTACTAAAAATACAAAAATCAGCCGGGCATGATGTCGCTTGCCTGTAATCCCAGCTACTTAGGAGGCTGAGGCAAGAGAATTGCTTGAACCCGGGAGGTGGAGGTTGCAGTGAGCTGAGATCGCATCATTGCACTCCAGCTGGGCAACAAGAGTGAGACTCTGTCTCAAAAAAAAAAAAACAAAAAAAAAACATAATCTTGAAACTTCAGCCTCCATCCTTCCTGCCAGCAGTGCCTCCATCCAGCTTCCCACTTTCTCAGATCACACTTCTGGCTACCCCACACTTGGGGCTGACTCTGCTGTCTGCATGATCTCCCACTTGCTCTACTGGTAGGGTGCCCTCCACTCACCCCTATGCTCACTACCTCAGCCACCTTTCTGCATGTCCCCCTCAGAGGAACTCCTCCACTCTGAACACCTGGGTCCCAGTGAATTGGAAGCCCCTGCCCCTGGGGGCAGCAGCGAGGACAAGGGTGGGCTGCAGCCTCCAGATTCCAAGGATGGTGAGTGAGCCCACATATAGATGACCCCAGACATTAGGGAACAGGCCCCAGCCTAATTTGTAATCCCCTAGAGTCTGAGGGTGTCTTCACCACCACAGTGACTGGGAGAGGATGAGGAGGAACGTCTAAGGTTGCAGGGGCCTCTGTAGGATCCCCAATCCTCCTTCTTAGTCCCTGGAAGGATGTTTCTCCACCTTTCTTTGCTGATACCCTCCTCTCTTCACTGTTCCACTCCCTTGCTTCCTCTGGCTGCCAGCAGACACCCCCATGACCCTTCCAAAAGGTGAGTGTCTCACAGTTAACCCCAGCCTCCAAATCCCACTGAATCCCTGAACCCAGAAGGAAACAGGGTCCATCCATTGGGAACCTCAGACCCCCTGGGGTAGAGTTTGATGTACTTTCCAGCCCCCTCCTCTGGACCCTAAAGAATGAGATAGGGCCAGGCGCTGGTGACTCACACCCGTAATCCTAGCACTTTCAGAGGCTGAGGCAGGAGGATCCCTTGAGGCCACGAGTTCTAGACCAGCCTGGGCAACATAATGAGACCCTGTACCTACAAATAATTTAAAAATTACCTGGGTGTGGTGGGGCATGTCTGTAGTCCCAGCTGCTCAGGAGGCTGACGTAGAAGGATCACTGGAGCCCAGGAAGTTGAGGCTGCAGTGAGCTGAGATCATGCCACTGCACTCCAGCCTGGGTGACAGAGTGAGACTCTGTCTAAAGAAAAAAAAAAAGAATGAGATCAGACTTGGGGGTAGGGTCCACAGAACAAGATGCTGCATCCCCTGAGAAAGAGAAGATGAACCCGCTGGAACAGTATGAGCGAAAGGTAAGTTAGTCAGAACTGTGGGCTCCCTAAGGGGAACAAGATCGGGGCCTATATGGCTGGGTACGAGGGAGGAGATGCTGGGGGCTTGGATTCCTTGTCCTGAGGGAAGAGGGAGCTGAGGACGTGGAATTGAGATCCTAGAAAATGAGAGGGCTGGGGGACGCTCTCTTGGGCCCTTGGGTAGGAAGAAGCCAGTGCCAGGCTTCTGGGTTCCTGACACCTCCTGCTCCCCCAGGTGAATGCGTCTGTTCCAAGGGGTTTCCCTTTCCACTCATCGGAGATTCAGAGGGATGAGCTGGTAAGAGGAGGAACAGCCGGGTACCTAGGGGAAGAGACCAGAGGTCAGCGGCCAGGCTGTGATTCCCAAAGCCACACAGGACCCTCAAAGAAGCCCTCTGCCCCATCTCCTCTCCCTGCAGGCACCAGCTGGGACAGGGGTGTCCCGTGAGGCTGTGTCGGGTCTGCTGATCATGGGAGCGGGCGGAGGCTCCCTCATCGTCCTCTCCATGCTGCTCCTGCGCAGGAAGAAGCCCTACGGGGCTATCAGCCATGGCGTGGTGGAGGTGAGAACCATGGCGTGGTGGAGGTGTGGGAAGAGTTCCTGAGCCCGGGTGTGGGCGGCCTGAGAGACTTGCGGGCAGTCCCGCCCCCGCACCACACTGTCCTTTCCCTCCCCTGCTCGTTGCAGGTGGACCCCATGCTGACCCTGGAGGAGCAGCAGCTCCGCGAACTGCAGCGGCACGGCTATGAGAACCCCACTTACCGCTTCCTGGAGGAACGACCCTGACCCGGCCCCCTTCACCCCTTCAGCCGAGCCCAGACCTCCCCTCTTCCTGGAGCCCCAGAACCCCAACTCCCAGCCTAGGGCAGCAGGGAGTCTTGAAGTGATCATTTCACACCCTTTTGTGAGACGGCTGGAAATTCTTATTTCCCCTTTCCAATTCCAAAATTCCATCCCTAAGAATTCCCAGATAGTCCCAGCAGCCTCCCCACGTGGCACCTCCTCACCTTAATTTATTTTTTAAGTTTATTTATGGCTCTTTAAGGTGACCGCCACCTTGGTCCTAGTGTCTATTCCCTGGAATTCACCCTCTCATGTTTCCCTACTAACATCCCAATAAAGTCCTCTTCCCTACCAGGCCAGTCTGAGTCTCTGTGGGAGAATTAGTCTGTAACCACAGCTGGACGCGGTGTCATCGCCGCCCAGGCCGCCTTGGCCTCTTTAAACGGGATGACGGAGCTTTAAATCTGGGCGGGTCCTGCGGGAAGGGCTGGCGCGCCGGGGGCGGGGCTCAGAGGCCAGGGATAGGCGCCTGTCCTGGAGCTGTCCGCGGTGCTGAACTGGCCGCGCCTTCCAACTGTCAGTTGGGTACCAGTGTGGACCCCAAGGAGGCTGGGCTCCAGCGAGTTTCCCCTGCCATCTGTTCAGCCTCACACACAATCACATGCAGCGCCCACCCCAATCTTCGAGAGTCCTGTAAGAGATTATGAATCGTGAACCACCGTTCCCATTCCCCAAAGTCTTCATTCCTTCTCGGGGAGTCTATAGAAACCCTCCTGGAGTGTGGAAATTCCAGTCACGTGTCCCAGAAAGGGATATATGATATCTGCACGTGCCTACTGAACTTCGTTTTATTTTCTCCCCCTACTGCCCGTATAAATGCAGAAGAATTTCTTTTTCTTTCTTTTCTTTCCCCACCTCCCTTTTTTTAAGACAGGGTCTAACACTGTCACTTAGGCTGGAGTGCAGTGGTGCAATCATAGCTTACTGCAGCTTCCAACTCTTGGGCTTAAGTGACCCTCCTGCCTCAGCCTCCCGAGTAGCTGGAACTATAGGCACGTACCGCCACCCCCGGATAATTTTTTTAAAAAAATTTTAGGCCAGGTGCGGTGGCTCACGCCTGTAATCTCAGCACTTTGGGAGGCTGAGGCGGGCGGATCACCTGAGGTCAGGAGTTCGAGACCAGCCTGGCCAACATGATGAAACCCTATCTCTACTAAAAATACAAAATTAGCCGGGCCTGGTGGCGTATGCCTGTAATCCCAGCTACTTGGGGGCTGAGGCAGAAGAATCGCTTGAACCCAGGAGGCGGAGGTTGCAGTGAGCCAAGATTGCGCCACTGCACTCCAGCCTGAGCAACAAGAGCGAAACTCCATCTCAAAAAAAAAAAAATTTAGAGATGGGGTCTTGCTATGTTGCCCAGGCTGCTCTCCAAGTCCTGGCCTCAAGTGATCCTCCCACCTCAGCCTCCTGAGTAGCTGGGATTACAGGCGTGCAGCACTGTGCCCAGTATTGGAATTTATACCCTCACATGTCCCATTATGCTGGCTCGGGTTAGCCCTCTACATATACAGTTATCTGTCCCAAGAGGGTTAGGAGGATTTAAAGGGTTAATATTCGTGGAGCTGTTATAACTGCACCTGCCACTTAGCAAGTATTTGTTAAATAAATTTTAAAGTATTAAGGTAGCAAACACTCATATGGTGTTCACCCTGTGCCAGGCACTACTCTGAGGGCTTTACATGCACTGGCACACTTAACCATTACTCCTGTGAAAGGAAAATAAATCCTGGGGGCCCCAAATCACTAAGTTAAAGGGAAAAGTCAAGCTGGGAACTGCTTAGGGCAAACCTGCCTCCCTTTCTATTCAAGGTCATCCCTGTACTCACTGAGAGAGGCATATTCTGATTGCCTCCTTTGGAAAAGCTAACCAGAAACTCAAAAGGATGCAACCATTTGTCTCTCACCTACCTGTGACCTGGAAGCCCCCTCCCTGCTTTGTGTTGTCCTGCCTTTCCAGACAGAACCAATGTACATCTTAACATATGTTGATTGATGTCTCATATCTCCCTGAAATGTATAAAACCAAGTTGTACCCCGAACACCTTGGGCACATGTCGTCAGGACCTTCTAAGGCTGTGTCATGGGTGCATATCCTCAACCTTGGCAAAATAAACTTTCTGAATTAATTGAGACCTGACTCAGATATTCGGAGTTCACATTTCCATCTAATGGAGTCAGTATTATGACTATTCCTATCTATAGATTAGGAACTGAGGCTGAGAGTCGTTACATCACATGCTCTATGTCATCATCCAGGAAAAGTCAGAGCTAAGAATTCAATCCAAGAAGCCTGGCTCCAGCATCCACTCTCCTGGCCACTTTGCTAACCTGTTTAATACTCCAAGGTTGTCCAATATGGTGCTCCGATTGTGCGCTTCAAAATTCCACGTGGCTGGGCACAGTGGCACGCTGCTCTAGTCCCAGCTACCCGGGAGGCTGAGGCAAGAGGATTGCTTGAGCCCAGGGCTTCTGGACTGGAGTGCACTGTGCCACTTGGGTGTCCACACTAAGTTTGGCATCAATATGATGACCTCCTGGGAATGGGAACCGACCTAGGAAACATAGGTCAACACTCTCATGCTGATCAGTAGTGGGATAGCACCTGTGAATAGCCACTGCGCTTCAGCCTGGGCAACATAGAGGGACCCTGTCTAAAAATAAAAATAAAAATAAAAAATAAATAAATAAATAAATAAATAAATAAATAAATAAAATCCAAGTGATACCATTCACCTCCCAGACTTTGTAGATTTGCTTTTTTACCACAGCTTCCCAGGAGATGGCAGTAAAGTGTCATGTTCTAATGTCAGTATCTTGCATGATTTTCTGACAGATGGTTTGGGGAGGGAGCATCTATTTCTAATTCTCCCAAAGGGCCTATGAGCTAGCTGTGGTTCTTCATAATATATAACTGTAAATATAGGTCGTGTATATTGAATATACACCTGGTAGATGTTAGGAGAAGACGCTTCATGGTGCAAGTTGGATGCAATGCCAGTCTCTGTAGAGAACTCAGTTTGCACCATCACTCTGATACCGGTTATATCTTTGGTTATACTCGGATGAGCCCAGTGGAAATCTATCACTAACGCCACAGGCACCACAGGGGTTGAAAGCCGCCTTTGTATTTTCACAACCAAGAGTGATCAACAGGCTAACAACAGGTAAGGAGCTCCAAGCAGGTGAAACAGGAAAAGTAAGGCGGTTTTGCTCAATAGGGTCAGTGTGTAAAGTAAAGTTTAATGGTAATACTTAGAGTATTTAATTTTAAAATGTTGTTATTCAAATTCCAGCAGGAAAAATAATTTTGCTGTTATTTATCTGATGTTCTTGCACTCCTAAGTCATTCTTTTCCCACTGAAGATGATCTTGGTAATACTGTTTTTTTGTTTTGTTTTGTTTTGGTTTTGGGTTTTTGAGACAGAGTCTTGTCAGGCTGGAGTGCAGTGGTGTGATCTTGGCTCATAGCAACCTCCACTTCCCAGGTTCAAATGGTTCTCCCACCTCAGCCTCCCGAGTAACTGGGATTACAGGCGCCCGCCACCATGCCTGGCTAATTTTTGTATTTTTAATAGAGACGGGGTTTCACCATGTTGGCCAGGCTGGTCTTAAACTCCTGACCTCAAATGATCCACCTGCCTTGGCCTTCCAAAGTGTTGGGATTACAGGCGTGAGCCACCGGGTCCGGCCAATTTTTCTTATAATAATTCAGTTTCTACCATGTGCGTGGCTCATGCCTGTAATCCCAGCAATTTGTGAGACTGAGGTGGAAGGATCGCTTGAGTCTAGGAGCTCAAGACCAGTCTGGGCAACATAGTGAGACACAGTCTTTACAAAAAAAAAATTAGTCAGGCATGGTGATGAGTGCCTGTAGTTCCAGCTACTCGGGAGGCTGAAGTGGGAGAATTGTTTGAGCCTAAGAGGTCGAGGCTGTAGAGAGCCAAAGAAGACAGATTGAGACCCGGTCTCAAAATAATAATAATAATAATAATATATGGACAGGTGCAGAAGCTCATGCATGTAATCCCAGCACTTTGGGAGGCCGAGGTGGGAGTATCCCTTGAGCCCAGGAGTTCGAGACCAGCCTGGGCAACATAGTGAGACCCTGTATCTACAAAAATAGAAACGAAAAAATTAGCTGGGTGTGGTGGCATACACCTGTGGTCCTAGCTTCTCAAGAGGCTGAGGCAGAAGGATCTCTTGAGTCCAGGCAGGAGGTGGAGGCTGCAGTGAGCTGACATTGCACCACTGTACTCCAGCCTGAGCAAGAGTGAGACCCTGTTCTTATTTAAAAAAAAAAAAAAAAAAAAACACACAAAGTTTCTGAGGGACATTTTATCATGTTAGTGGGGTGGGTGTGTGCACATGTGTGTATTGATATGCATCTTAGTCTGGGCTAAGAATACCATGAGCTGGGTGGCTTAAACAACACACATTTATTTCTCACAAGTGCTAGAGGCTGAGAAGTCCAAGATCAAGGTGCCAGCAGCTCCAAAGTCTGGAGGACTCTCTTCCTGGTTTGCAGATGGTTTGTTTTGTTTTGTTTTTTGACAAGGTCTTGTTCTGTCACCTGGCTGGAGTGCACTGGTGCAATCACAGCTCACTGCAGCCTTGATCTCCCAGGCTGAGGCAATTCTCCTGCCTTACTCTCTCGAGTAGCTGGGACCACAGGTGTGCACCACTACACCTGGCTATTTTGTTTTTTTTGAGTAGAGACAGGATTTCACCATGCTGCCCACGCTGTTCTCAAACTCCTGAGCTCAAGCTATCCTCCCATCCTGGCCTCCCAAAATGCTGGGATTACAGGTGTGAGCCAGTGTGCCCTGCCCAAGATGGCCATCCTCTTACTGCATCTTCATATGGCAGAGAGTAGAGAGCAGAGAAGCAAGCTCTCTCCTGTCTCCTTCTTTTTTTTTTTTTTTTGAGATGGAGTTTCACTCTTGTTGCCCAGGATGGAGTGCAATGGCATGATCTCGGGTCACCGCAATCTCCACCTCCCAGGTTCAAGTGATTCTCCTGCCTCAGCCTCCTGAGTAGCTGGGATTACAGGCATGCACCACCATGCCTGGCTAATATGTATTTTTTAGTAGAGACGGGGTTTCTCCATGTTGGTCAGGCTGGTCTCGAACTCCAGACCTCAGATGATCCACCCGCCTCGGCCTCCCAAAGTGCTGGGATTACAGGCATGAGCCACCACGCCCGGACTCTCCCATCTCTTCTAACAAGGACATTAGTCCCATTCATGAGGGCTCCACCCTCATGACCTAACTACCTCCCAAAGGCCCATCTTCAAATACTACCCCACTGGGGCTTATGGTTTCAACAAATGAATTTTAGAGGGACACAAACATGCACTCCATAACAATACAAATTGAGATATACATCTTATATGTCAACAAAACCTCAGATGCCATCAGTGATAAAAAATAGCATTATTTTAGGTACCACAAAAGGAAAAAAAAGGCAAAATATAAACTATGTCACACAATTGACTATAAGATGATCCCAATTAAGTTCTTCTGTATTTTTTATTTTATTATTATTATTTATTTACTTACTTTAGAGACAGTGTCTTGCTGCCTCCCACGCTGGAGTGCAGTGCTGCAATCATGGTTCACTGCGGCATCAAACTCCTGGCCTCAAGTGATCCTCCTGCCTCAGCCTCCAAAGTAGCTGGGACTACAGGCACCCGCCACCATGCCCAGCTAATTTTTGTATTTTTAGTAGAGACAGGGTTTCACCATGTTGACCAGGCTGGTCTCCAACTCCTGACCTCAAGTAATCCGCCCTCCTTGGCCTCCCAAATTGCTGGGATTACAGGAGTGAGGCACCTCGCCCAGTCCCCAGATAACTCTGTCTCCCAATATTGAGACCCTTGTGTAATGCCTCCCACACTGATCTGGGATCAATGACATGTCAACAAGTATGATACAAGCAGGGACTTGTCTCCTTGGATCTCTCTTTCTTGGAACCACTGAGCCACCACCTGAAGTTAAGAGATCCACCTGCCCTCCTGGACTGCATGGAAAGACTCTTGGGCCACTCCTGGAAGCTCCATTATCTCAGCTGAGCTATCAGGCATGTGAGTGAAGGTGTTGTGGATTTCCAGGCCAGTTGGGCCTCAGGTTGATTGCAGCCACATGAGGAACCAAAGGGAGACAGCAGAACAGCCAGCTGAACCCGGCGTAGATTTCAGTCAGAAACAATTAAGAGGGGCTGGGCGCGGTAGCTCACACCTGTAATCCCAGCACTTTGGTAGGCCGAGGTGGGTGGATCACTTGAGGTCAGGAGTTCGAGACAAGCCTGGCCAACATGCTGGAACCCCAATCTCTACTAAACAAATACAAAAATTAGCTAGACGTGGTGGTGGGTGCCTGTAATCCCAGCTACTTGGGAGGCAGAGGCAGGAGAGTCGCTTGAACCTGGAAGGCGGAGGTTGCAGTGAGCAGAGATCGCGCCACTGCACTCCAATCTGGTGAGACTGAGACTCCTTCTCAAAAAAGAAAAAAGAAAAGAAATAATTAAAAGGGTGTTGGTTTAAGCCTTAAGTTTTGGGGTGGAGACATTGGCTGGAGCCCCGGAATGTGCTAACATGTACATTCGGTCTGTGGTCCATGAAAGGTTCCTAGCTATGGGGGCTGTGATGGGTCCAAGGGCTTTCTGGGATGGGGGCTCTTTGTGTGATTATATTGCAGAGGCCAGAGCAGAGGCTGTGGAGCGGGTATGAGAATGGGGTTTGGGTTTTTTTTTTTTTTTGAGACGGAATTTTGTTTTGTTGCCCAGGGTGGAGAAAAGTGGTGGGATTTTAGGTTAATGGAAGTTCCGCCTCCTGGATTTAAGGAATTTTCCTGCTTTAGCCTCCCAAGTAGGTGGGAAAACAGGTGCCCGCCACCATGCCTAGCTAATTTTTTTTTTTTTTGGTTTGTATTTTTAGTAGAGATAGGGTTTCACCGTGTTAGCCAGGATGGTCTCAATCTCCTGACCGCATGATCCGCCCGCCTCGGCCTCCCAAAATGCTGGGATTACAGGTGTGAGTCACTGCGCCTGGCCAATTTTTTTGTATTTTTAGTAGAGACAAGGTTTCATCATGTTGGCCAGGCTGGTCTCAAACTCCCGACCTCAGGTAGTCCACCCGCCTCCGCCTCCCAAAGTGCAGGGATTATAGGCATAAGCCACTGCGCCCAGCCTTGGGGGTTTTTTTGTATCTTTTTTTGAGACAGAGTCTTGCTCTGTCGCCCAGGTTGGAGTGCAGTGGCGCAATCTCAGCTCACTGCAACCTCTGCCTCCCAGGTTCAAGCGAGTCTCATGCTTCAGCCTTCTGAGTAGCTGGGATTACAGGCGCACGCCACCACGCCTGGCTAATTTTTGTATTTTTAGTAGAGATGGGTTTTTGCCATGTTGGCCAGGCTGGTCTCAAACTCCTGACCTCAGGTGATCTGCTCGCCTCGGCCTCACAAAGTGCTGCAATTTTAAGTGTGAGTCACTGCGCCTGGCTGAGAATGGGGTTTTGTGGAATTCTTAGTTTGGGTTTCTCCAAAAGCAGCTATGGAGGGAAGGATTGGAGGGAAAGTTCATTTGGAAGGGATGGAGAACATTGGTAGGGGAGACAGGAAGAGACACAGAGAAGAAAGAGCAGCCAATAAAGGGTATTTTATCAAGCCCAGACCACTGTGGGGAACTGGGGATTCATCTGCTGGGGAACTCTGGAGCCCGCATAGGCCATGCACTTCCAAGTTAGCCCAACAGACAGGTGGGGGACTATCTCCTATCAGTAACTGGCTGAGGGCTGCTGGAGTGGGAAGTGGACACGAACCCCCTGGCTTTCAACACTTGCCATGCTCATACCTGGGGCAGAGCCGCACCAGTGGTTTGAGATTGCCCAAAGGCAAATATTCTGGGGCTGACACCCAGGCTGGTCTCAAACTCCTGGCCTCAAGTGATCCTCACACCTTGGCCTCCTAAAGGCCAGTCCCTCTTGTGTCGCCAGGGTGAGGGTGACAGGATATGGACTTGGCACCCATGGTGGCTGCTACATCCTCCCCCCTCAGGCACATTCATCCCAATATGACCCCTCAGCGGGCATCACAGCCACTCCCCTGCACCAGTGCCCCCAGAGATCAGACAACAGTGGTTCTAGTCCAAATTGAGTTTAAATTTTTTTTTTTTTTTTTTTTTGAGACAGAGTCTCTCTTTGTCACCTAGGCTGGAGTGCAGTGGCACAATCTCGGCTCACTGCAACCTCCGCCTCCTGGGTTCAATCAATTCTTCTGCCTCAGCCTCCCAAGTAGCTGGGACTACAGGCGCATGCCACCATGTCCAGCCAATTGTTTTTGTATTTTTAGTGGAGACAGGGTTTCACCATGTTGGCCAGGCTGGTCTCAAACTCCTCACCTCAAGTGATCCGCCCGCCTCGGCCTCCCAGAGTGTTAGGATTACAGGCATGAGCCACCAAATCTGGCCCAAATTGAGTTTAATAAAGAGCTTGAGTGATGCTCAGATTAGGGAGGGAGTGACCGGGAATGCTGGGGTCTGGAACTGGGGGCCCAGCTGAGCTCTGAATCAGAGAGCAGTGAGACCTAAGGGTCCCTGATCTCAGAGGGTCCCTCCTGTCTCAGGGTGAGGACCTGAAGGGTGTGGGTCCCGGGGAGGGTGAGGAGGCCATTGTAGGAGATTTACTGAGATGGTATCGGGATGCCCCAAGCACCACGTAGGGGGATTACATCTGGGTTTCTGGGAACGAAGAGCTGAGTTAGGGGAGAGAACCCGAAAGATCTCAGTGGGGAAAGGACTAGGGGTGCAGGGTGTTTCACAGAAACAATCAAGGGGCCTCGATTTCACAGAAATCATCAAGAGGGCTCCTTGTGGGTAGAAGAGGGGTATCACAGCACCCCAAATATTGGGGCCTGTTCACCCCTCTGCAGCCATTCTGGGGTTTTAATGTAAAACCCCAATGGCAGGATATTCCACATACATTATCATGGGTTTGCAACATTAGCATACGCTGGCTGTCCCGCAGGACGGTGGGGACTGGAAAATCAGTCCAGGGTCTGGGTTTGAGTCCTAAGAGGACAGGCCTGGCGGCGCCACACGGCTCCTCTTCAACAGCTGCCGGAGCTGTAGACAAGGCAAAGGAGGGAGAGAAGTCTGTCAGGTTGGAAGGAGAGGTGGGGAAGGCACGCCATGCAGAGGGAGGGGCTAGAGAAGAGAGGTTGAGTGGGTCCCTTTGGATTTGAAGATCAGAGGTCCAGAGTCAAGATTTTGGAAGAGCCAGGTGCAGTGGCTCACGCCTGTAATCCCAGCACTTTGTGGGGCTAAGGTGGGCAAATCACCTGAGGTCAGGAGTTCAAGACCAGCCCAGCCAACATGGCGAAACCCCGCCTCTACCAGAGATACAAAAATTAGCCGGGCATGGTGGCACGTGTGCCTTTAGTCCCAGCTTGGGAGGCTGAGGTGGGAGAATCACTTGAACCTGGGAGGTGGAGCTTGCGGTGAGCTAAAATTGCACCACTGCACTCCAGCCTGGGTGACAAAGCAAGACTCCGCCTCCAAAAAAAAAAAAAAGATTTGGGAAGGAGGCCGGGAGTGATGGTTCCTGTGATCCCAACACTTTGGGAGGCCAAGGCGGGAGGATCAATTGAGGCCAGGAGTTTGAGATCAACCTGGACAACATAGTGTGACCCCATCTCTTAAAAAAAAAAAAAAACAAAATTAGCTGGGTGTGGTGGTGACTGCCTGTAGTACCAGCTACTGGAGAGGCTGAGGTGGGAGGATCCCTTGAGCCCAGGAGCTCGAGGCTGCAGTGAGCTATGATCATGCCACTGCACTCCAGCCTAGGCAACAGAGCAAGACGCTGCCTCAAAATAAATAAATAAACAAACAAACAAATAAAAATAAAGATGTGGGAAGAAGGTCAAGGCCTGGGTTCGTACACTGAGAAAGGGTCAGGAAGCAGAACTTCAGTGAAGGGAAAGGGGCTGCTGGCTGGGGGTTCCCACCTGGGGGTGAGGAATGAGAGGGAATTGAAGGGAACAGGTAAGAGGTCAAAGGTCACATCTGAGGTCAGGACCCAAGGTTAGGGGCAGGGGGTAGGAGGTCACACTTGGGGGGATCAAAGGTCACACCTTGAGGTCAAGCAAGATTCAGGGTTGGAAGTACAGGTCACACTGTGAGGTCAGGGTTGGGGTAGAGATCAGAGAAGTCACCATTCTGGGGTAAAGGATGAAACACTGAGGTCAGAGGTCACATTATAGAGTCAGGGTTGCCTGAGGGCTGAAGTCACCTTCCGAGATTAGAAGTCATTCTCTGAAAGCGAGCATTGGGTGGGGCAGGGAGGTCATCCCGCGCCCGCGAGCTCAGAGGCCACTCTACAGGCAGGCTCAGTGCTTACTTACCCCCTCAGGGCCCGGCCCGGGCCGCAGCAGGTGAACGGGCTGCTCATTCTCCAGGTTGCGCAGTGTGGGGTCCGCCCCAGCTGCCAACAGGTGCCGCACGATGGCCTCCTGGGCCGGCCCAGGGGGCAGGGCAGCCGCCATGTGGAGGGCTGTGTTCCCGTGGGCCTGGAAAAGTAAGGGGAGGGCTGGTGGGGATCTGGGCTCAGCTGGCCCAGGCCTCTAAACTGCACTTCAATTTCTGCCTTGTCTACGTCCTACACTTGTCCTTTCACATCCCAGACCTCCCCCGGCCACAGCCACGCTGCATGCATCCCTGTGTCCACGGACTACATGTTCTGGGGCAATCTGTGTCTGCTTCCTATACTTTCCCCTGCAGATCCCACACATCGTCCCCTCCACGTCCACAGCCCCCAGGACCCCTAACATCCCACTGCCCCCCCTACCGTACCCCACACAATCTGCACTTCCCAGCCCCAGCTCCCACCTTCATGTTGACAAAGGTCCGCAGGTCTCCCCGGGGCAGCTCCAGCAGCAGCTGAACCAGAGTGGGGTTGGCAGCCTGCACGGCCAAGTGCAGAACTGTCTTGTTGCTCTTGATCTCCTGAGGGGAAGGGAATGGCAGAGGTCAGGGCCAGCCTCACACCTAGGTGCCCTCCCACAGAATCCAGGAGTCTTTAAAGACCCTGACCCTTGGCGGAGTGCGGTGGTTCACGCCTGTAATCCTAGCACTTTGGGAAGCTGAAGAAGGAGGATCACTTGAGGCCAGGAGCTGCAGACCAGCCTGGACAACACAGCAAGACCTCATCTCTACAAAAAATAGAAAAATTAGCCAGGCGTGGTGGTGCGCACCTGTAGTCCCAGCTGCTTGGGAGGCTGAGGCAGGAGGTTCATTTGAGCCTAGGAGTTCACGGCTGCAGTGGGCCATGACCACACCACTGCACTCCAGCATGGGTGACAGAGTGACACTCTATCTCAAAATTAATAAATAAATAAATAAGATGCTGGCCCTCTTCTGCGAGCCCCACCAAGAGTGCCTTATTCAGTTGTATGTCTTGTGCACCGCACAACACCACGTCTCAGGGTGTACCATTCACACCATACACCTTCCAGAACTGTACATTTCTCATGACAATTTTCCCACCAGTGTCTGAGAAAGAGACTCCTTTTCCAGTTCTTCAAAGCAACTGCCTTGGCTACCTGCCCTCCATTCAACACATTAAATTGCATCCCGACCCACACAGACTGTACTTTATCTACAAGCACAGGAGTTGGCAGCATTAATCAGTGGACTAGCTAATATTGCAATACTGCACCACAATATTGAGCTGTTCCCATCATATTTGGGGGAAAATAAAAGACATTTTCTAAAATGAAACCTTTTTATGTGTCTTTAAGGAGTTTGTAACGATAATGAATGTTAAACATTTTATGTGCTGATAACAGGGCAAAACCACCTAGTTTGCTCGTCCAAAAAATGATGAAGACAAAACCAAAGCTCTAGATTAAGAGTGATTTGAAAAGACGTAACATCATAATATGTGTGCTTATTTGGATCTTGATTTTTTTTAATGAAAAAAATTATCATTTTACAGCCAAAAGGAAATTTGAATACAGCCAGGATATTTGGTATTACAAGAAAATCTTTAATTTTTTAAAGACAGAGCAATGATACTGAGGTTTAAAAAGTTCTTTTTTTTCGAAGGGCACAGGGGCTCATGCCTGTAATCCCAGCACTTTGGGAGGCCAAGGAGGGCGGATCACTTGAGGTCAAGAGTTCGAGACCAGCCTGGCCAACATGGTGAAACCGTCTCTACTAAAAATACAAAAATTAGCCAGGCGTGGTGGCACATGCCTATAATCCCAGCTACTTGGGAGGCTGAGACACAGGAATAGCTTGAACCCGGGAGGCAGAGGTTGCAGTGAGCCAAAATCACACCATTGCAATCCAGCCTGGGCAACAGAGTGAGACTCCGTCTCAAAAAAAAAAAGCTATGTTTTTTGTTTGTTTTTTGAGACAGGGTCTCGCTCTGTTGCCCAGGCTGGAGTGCAGTGGTGTGACCAAGGCTCACTGTAGCCTCAACCTACTGGGCTCGAGTGATCCTCCCACCTTAGCCTCCCCAAGCACTGGGATTACAGGGAAAGAGTTCTTATCTTTTATTATTGTTGTTGTTGTTGTTGAGAGACAGGGTCTTGCTCTGTCACCCAGGCTGGAGTGTGGTGGCAAAATCATGGCTCACTGCAGCCTTGACCTCCCCAGGTTCAGGTGATCCTCCCACCTCAGCCTCCTGAGTACCTGGGACCACAGGCATGTGCCATCAAGCCCAGCTAATTTTTGTATTTTTTTTAGAGATGGGGTCTCCCTATGTTGCCCAGGTTGGTCTCGAATTCCTGAGCTCGAGCAGTCCGCCCACCTGAGCCTCCCAAAGTGCTTGGATTACAGGCATGAGCCACCGCACCCAGCCATCTTTCTTATTTTTAAAAAACTTATTATTATTACTAAAAATACAAAAATTAGTGGGGTGTGATAGCACATGCCTATAGTCCCAGCTACTCGGGAGGCTGAGGCAGGAGAATCACTTGAACCTGGGAGGTTGCAGTGAACCAAGACTGTGCCACTGCACTCCAACCTGGGCGACAGAGCGAGACTCCATCTCAAAAAAAAAAAAAAAATTATTTGTCCTTTTTTCAGAGAAATACTCCCTGATTTCTGAGTTCTCCCAGAACCCTACCACACAGTTAATTCTTCCTCTTCATCATTTCTTGCTCAACTTAAATGTAATTTCCTCAGAATGACCTTCATTGTGAGCCCCGCATCCAATATAAAGCCAATCTTTTTATTGTCTAAGAGCTCCTTCTACATTCCCAAGGCAGCTCTCATCCCAATTTGTAATTATGTTCAGTTCTTTGTTTACTTATCATCTCCTCTCTTTTCCATTAAATTTTAATGTCTAAAAGTACAAGAAAGTGGTCTTTTCTTATTAAAACATTATAGGTAGCTGGGCACAGCAGCTCACGCCTGTAATCCCAGCACTTGGGAGGCCAAGGCTGGGGGATCACTTGGGCCCAGGAGTTCGAGACCAGCCTGGGCAACATAGTGAGACCCCCCCTCTCTACAAAAAATATAAAACAATTAGCCGGGTGAGGTGGCTCATGCCTGTAGTCCCAGCTACTTAGGAGGCTGAGGTGGAAGGAATGTTTGAGGTCAGGAAGTCGAGGCTGCAGTGATTCGTGATCGCACCACAGCACTCCAGCCTGGGTGACAAAGCCAGACTCTGTCTCTAAAAAACAAACAAACAAAAAGCAACTTTATGCCCCATCACTAGCACACTGGTAGCTACATCATATGTGTCCAAAATTCTGAGTGAAGAAACGAATGAATTACCAAAGTATCAATTTCACCTTCTCTGTATTGCCCAAATGATCACTTAGCTCTACTTTGCAACCATTAAGAGCCTAGATTACCATCATTCATTTCCTAACCCCGCTAATAATGCCTTATCTTGTCTCTACTCAGTCATGCCCGTCCTTCTTACAGTCCATCCCCACCATCTAGCTAATTCTGCTAAACACCATTATTCTTTAAAGATACACAAATATTTTTGAAAAAAATACATGTTGGAATTTGCTTAAAAATCACATGAAAGTGAGAGGCCACGCACAGTGGCTCACGCCTGTAATCCCAGCACTTTGGGAGGCCGAGGCGGGTGGATCACGAGGTCAGGAGATCGAGACCATCCTGGCTAACACGGTGAAACTGCGTCTCTACTAAAAATGCAAAAATTTAGCCGGGCGTGGTGGCGGGTGCCTATAGTCCCAGCTACTCAGGAGGCTGAGGCAGGAGAATGGTGTGAACCCGGGAGGCGGAGCTTACAGTGAGCCGAGATCGCACCACTGCACTCCAGCCTGGGTGACAGAGCGAGAGCCATCTCAAAAAAAAAAAAAAAATCACTTGAAAGTGAGAGAGTGGATGGGGCAGGACTGGCCATGAGTGGCTGGTTATTGATGTTGGACATATGGAGTTCATTCCACTATTTTCTATATTTTATTGGTGTTCAACATTCTTTAACTAAAAAAACATTTTTCGGCTGGGCGCAGTGGCTTATGCCTGTAATCCCAGCACTTTGGGAGGCCAAGGCGGGCGGCTCACCTGAGGTCAGGAGTTTGAGAGAACAGCCTGGCCAACATAGGGAAACCCCGTCTCCATTAAAAATACAAAAAAATTAGCCAAGCGTGGTGGTGCATGCCTGTAGTCCCAGTTACTCAGGAGGCTGAGGCAGGAGCATGGCTTGAACCCGGGAGGCAGAGGTTGCAGTAAGCCGAGATCATGCCACTGCACTCCAGCCTGGGTGACAGAGTGAGATTCCATCTCAATAAATAAATAAACATTTTTTGTGGATGTTTAATTCTCTCAGCCAGCCTATGAAGGAGCTACTGTCACAGGAAAGGAACAGAACATAATTAAAAGCTAGGTTCTAAAGTCAGACTACCTGGGTTCTAATTCTCTCTCTGACAGTCACAAGCTATAAGATTTTTCAGGCTGGGTGCAGTGGCTCACAACTGTAATCCCAGCACTTTCAGAGGCAGAGGTGGAAGGATTGCTTGAGCTCAGGAGTTTGAGACCAACCTGGCCAACATAGTTAGACCCCACCTTACAAAAAAGTTGCCACGCATGGTGGTGCATGCCTGTGATCACAGCTACTTGGGAGGCTGAGGTGGGAGGATCACTTAAGTGCACAAGGTCAAGGCTGCAATAAGCTGTGATCATGCCACTGCACTCCAGCCTGAGTGACAGAGTGAGACCCTGTCTCAAAGAGATTTTTGAGGCCAGGTGCAGTGGCTCACGCTTGCAATCCCAGCATTTTGGGAAGCCGAGGCAGGAAGATCACCTGAGGTCGGGAGTTCGAGACCAGCCTGACCAACATGGAGAAACCCTGTCTCTACTAAAAATACAAAATTAGCTGGACGTGGTGGTGGGAACCTGTAATCCCAGTTACTCGGGAGGCTGAGGCAGGAGAATCGCTTGAACCCAGGAGGCGGAGGTTGTGGTGAGCCGAGATCACACCATTGCACTCCAGCCTGGGCAACAAGAGCAAAACTCCATCTCAAAAAGAAAAAAAAAAAGATTTTTGATTTCCCATGCCTGTTTCCTTTTCAGTAAAATAGAGAAAATAGAGTACACATGTCAAAGGGTGTTTGTGAGGTTTCAATAAGCTAATCTATGAAACTCAGTGCTTGATGAATGAATAGTAAGTGCTTGATAACATACCCTAAGGTCAGTAATATTATTCCCAGTTAACAACTAGGGGCCAGGCACAGTGGCTCACGCCTGTAATCGCAGCACTTTGGGAGGCCAAGGTGGGAGGATCATTTGAGGTCAGGAGTTTGAGACCAGCCTGGCCAACACAATGAAAGCCCACTTCTACTAAAATACAAAAAAAAAAAAAAAAAAATAGCCAGGCATGGTGGCGTGCGCCTATAGTCCCAGCTACTCAGGAGGCTAAGACAGGAGAATCACTTGAACCTGGGAGGCAGAGTTTGCCATGAGATGAGATTGCACCACTGCACTCTAGCCTGGGCGACAGAGTGAGACCCTGTCTCAAAAACAAAAAAACAAACAAACAAAAAAACCCTGCTGGGCGCGGTGGCTCACGCCTGTAATCACAGCACTTTGGGAGGCCAAGGCAGGTGGATCACCTGAGGTCGGGAGTTCGAGACCAGCAAGACCAATGTGGAGAAAGCCTGTCTCTACTAAAAATACAAAAAAATTAGCCAGGCGTGGTGACTCATGCCTGTAATCCCAGCTACTCAGGAGGCTGAGGCAGGAGAATCACTTGAACCCGGGATGCAGAGGTTGCGGTGAGCCAAGATCACACCATTGCACTCCAGCCAGGGCAACAAGAGCAAAACTCCATCTCAAAACAAACAAAGAAACAAACAAAAAACCCCTAAGGCACAGAGAAGTGAAGTAACATGTTCAAGGGCACGCAGCAAGGAAGAGGCAAAGTCAGCATTTGCCTGGAGCTCCCGGACATCCAAGTGGCCCCATTCCACACAATCTCCCAGGGTCTGACCGCCCACATCCCCGCTCACCTGGCTGGTGTGATTAGCACCCATTTGCAGCAACATGTGGACACAATCCAGCCTGTCTCGGGCCTGTGTGCTCAGCACCCGGGGACAGAGGTCGGAAGGGCGCATAGCAACGTTAAGGGCCAGGATGGCCGTGTGGAGCGGGGTGAGGCCTGCAGAATGGAGACAGTGAGGGACCCGCATCTGCACCCACCTCGCCCAGCCACACCAACCACACCAGCCCTGCCCACACCCAACTTACCCTCGAAGTCTCTGGCTTCCAGGTCAACCTGGACCCCAGAGTTAAGCACAGCCTGGGAGGAAGAGAAGGCAGACTGCTGGGTAAGGGTATCCCCTGGCCTCCTGGCCCTGGAAGCCAAAATCTGGGCAACCAGTCTACCCCCCAGACAAACCCCTGCCTGCCAGCTGGCCATACCAAGAGAACTCCTGGGAGCCCGTAGGTAGCGGCCACGTGCAAGACCGAACGTCCCTGATGGTCAGCGGCATTGGGCTCTGCTCCCAGGTTCAACAGATCCTCCACAATCAGGGGCTGGTTGGCAGCAGCCGCCACCAGGAGAGGGGTCTGCAGGCCACAGGAGAAGTCAGGTTGGGCTCCTGGTTCCCTCCCGTCAGAAAACCAGGCTCCCAGCCCCATCCCCCCTCAGCCCCAGGAGCTCACCCCCCATTCCCCTCTTCTCTAGGATCCAGGGGTCCAGGCCCCAGGCTCCTTCCTCCCCTGAACCCAGGAGAGTTCAGGCCCCAAGCCTCACCTTGCCCTTATGCTCACGAATGTCAAGACGCCGGTACACCTGGAGCACCTCAGCCGCAGCATATGCCGCCCAGCGCAGCCCCCGAGCCGCAAACAGGTGAAGGAGCCTGAGGACAGGTGGGGGACAGCCGTGAGAACAGCCCCCACCAAGCCAAGAGTCTGCAGACAACCCTATCCCTTATACTCACGTGTCCCCCTCCTCATCCTGGGCCAGCAGCTGCTGTGGCCCCAAAGCCAGCATGTGAGCTCGGGCCACCTCCAGCGATGGTCCAGGGACCACAGCGGGGAACTGTGGGGGTCCTGAAGGGGGTGCAGAAACTCTCCAGGGTCCAGCCTGTGGCAGAGAAGATCCTACATAGAACTGGGTGTCTGGGGGGTCCTGGAGGGTGCAGGTGGTGGGGAGACCCAGTCAGCTGAGAATTCCTCCATCCCAAGCCACCACACACACATCTGCATGCAGAGCCCCTGGGTATCCCATCTATGCCAAGTGACCTTGGACCTTTAGGCCTCAGTTTTGCCCACCTGGAAAAGGGTATTTTTTTTTTTCGGTGACAGAGTCTTGCTCTGTCACCCAGGCTGGAGTGCAGCAGTGCAATCTCTACTCACTGCAATCTCTACCTCCTGGGTTCAAGCAATTCCCCTGCCTCAGCCTCCCGAGTAGCTAGGATTACAGGCGTGCGCCACTACACCCAGCTAATTTTTTTATTTTTGGTTTCACCATGTTGGCCAAGCTGGTCTCAAACGCCTGACCTCAAGTGATCCGCCTGCCTCAGCCTCCCAAAGTGCTGGGATTACAGGTGTGAGCCACCACGCCCGGCCTGGAAAAGGGAATCGTAACTGAGCTCCAGACATCTCAGAATACTGCAGGAGTGCAACTGCGAATTTTTAGGGGCCCTTCAGCATCCTGTACCCACTCTGTATCTCACCTCCATGCCCTGGGGAAATGGGCACGGCTGCCCTGGGTCCGAGGGTGGGTAGAAGTCAGGAGGCAGGAAATTTTCGGCAGCAGAAGCAGGGCAAGAGTAGGGGCTGTCAGTGTAGGCAGCATGCGTGTTGGGGTCCCAGTCTGGAAAGCCCAGGCTGCTAGGTCCAGAACCCACAGTCTCCGAGTGTGCTGGGAAGGGAGGGTGGCCTGCGTGTAAGAGGAGGGGCAGGGGCAGGTCTGGTTACCAGAGTTGGGGACGTCACATCCAGGGCTAGAGGGCCTGGCGTCTCCCAAGGTACTGAGAGTTAGTACTTCTGGGACACCAAGCTCCCGGGACCTGGATTCCTGGGACACTGAGGAATTGAGGGCCTGGACTCCTGGGGCACTAAAAAGGCTGAGCCTGGGCCCTGGGGCTCCGTAGGACTATGTGCATAGACTACTGGACTCAAGAGAACCTAGGAAATCAGACTGCTACTGAGTTCCAGCAAGAATGAGGGCCTACCAGCCTAGGCAACATAGCCAGACCCCGTTTCTACAAAAATTTAAAAAATTAGCCAAGCAAGGTGGCATCGCCTGTGGTCCCAGCTACTTGGGAGGCTGAGGCGGGAGGATCACTTGAGCCCAGAAGGTTGAGGCTGCAGTGAGCCAGATAGCGCCACTGCACTCCAGTGCCAGGGCAACAGAGTGAGATCCTGTCTCAGAAAAAAAAAAAAAAGGGAAGAATGAGGGCCTGACTCCCAGGTGTCCCAAAGTTCTGAGAGCTGCGATGTCTGAGTCCCTTAGGGAAGGGGGATGGGGAGGCCGGGAGCTGAGAGAACTTACCAGTCACAGCCTCATTCACAGATGGGGTCAGGGGCTGCTCTGGGGGAGGGAGAAATTGTCCCTGTAGAGACAAAAGCAAAAAGGAACCCAGGTGACTTTATCTGGCAGATTCCTCCGGGTCTGTCTCGGATCTATAAGACATTTCGGTCAGGACCACCCCTCTCATCAGCCCCGAGGGCCCGGCAAGCCGCTGAGTCCCTACGGGACAGCACGGGGCCTCCGGAGAGCTGTGGCTCCCTGGCCTCACCTGCACCCCGCCAGCGTCGGGCTGCTGCTGCTGGCGGCGCCTCTGCTCTTCCAGAAGCTTCTTCACGGTTTGCGTTGGGCAGTGGCTGCGCTCACCCCTGCTCACTGTGCGGGAGAGGAGAGGGGGAAGTCATCAAGGGTCCTTAAGTCACCTAAATGCCGCGGGGGTGGCGCGCGGGGAGTGGGTTTGGGCACCCTCCTCGCCCTCCCGCGCGGAAAAACTGGCACATAGATGCCGCCTGACTCCTCCAAAGCCATTAGAAGATTTGGGGTGGGGCATCCGCCTCCGCCGTTTCCTTCCTTTTGCTCCGCACTTTCCCTCTGACCCAACTTTCCACCACCGTCGCGGAAAGTGAGGAAGGGGGAGGAGGGCACCCCTCTGCAGCAACCACCCCACTTCCGTAAAAAAATTCCACCCCCAGATATCCAAGTTTTGAAGTCAGCGGGTTGGTGGGGGGCCGGCGCCAGGCGTCACTCCCTAGACTCACATCCAGGTTCCCAACATTTTTTTCCCTAGAACCTGACCCGGAAATCAGGAGTCCCCAGCGCCCCTCCTCGAGAAGTCAAAGGCCTCACCCCGGGCCGGGAGCGGTGGCTCACGCCTGTAATCCCAACACTTTGAGAGGCCAAGGGGGGCGGATCACCTGAGGTCAGGTGGCCAACATGGTGAAACCCCGTCTCTACTAAAAATATAAAAATTAGCCGGGCGTGGTGGCAGGCGGCTGTATATCCCAGGTGAGGCAGGGGAAACACTTGAACCCGGGAGGCGGAGGTTGAGGTTGCAGTAAGCGGAGATCGCGCTACTGCACTCCAGCCTGGGCGACAGAGAGAGACTCCATTAAAAAAAAAAAAAAAAAAAAAAAAAGGCCCATCCATACAGTCTCTTTTTCAGGCCCCAGGAATCTGGACCCTCAGTTCCTTCCTCTCTAGGACCTGGGAGCCCCAGTTCCCAAACTCCTTCCCACGACTCAGAAAGACAGAACCCTCACCCTTCCGAGCCTGGGTTCCGGCGGAGGAAGGGTTAAGTGGGGATTGCGCGGGGCGGGGGCGGGAGGAGGTGGCTCGGAAACAGCCCCGACGCGGCGCGCTGACGCCACGGCGCTCACGCAAGGGAATCTTCCATCCTCCCCTTCCCCCCAAGTCCTGTGCCCCAGGTGTCCTGCTCCGAGGCGGGGCGCGCGGCCGATCGTGGCGCTCGTGGAATCCCCGCGCAAGGGGAATTCCTGCTCAGCCCCGCACGGGTGGCCATCCGGAAATCCCAGGGCGGGGCAGAGGCAGGGTCACCGCCAGCGTAGACCCTGAGGCCAGGCTCCGGACCCTTCCCCACCGAGACCCACGCCGATTTTAAGCAACCACGCCCCCCCCCCCCCCCCCCGCACTCAGCCTAGTCCCTGCTTCTAGGGGTAGGAGTCTCGGTTGCCAGCAACCCCTAGCACCTCCAAGGACCCAGAGATCCAGCCTCCCAAGCCTCCCAGCCCTTGCACCCTCGGGGCCCTGCGATCCTGGATCCCCAGGCCCCTGCACCCCCAGGACCCAGAAGTCTGGGATCCCAGCCGCCCCTCTGTCACGATCCACGATCCCCTCCTCCTCCAAACACCTAGGGCCCTCACTCTCGGGATAAAGGACTGACGCTTCAGCTCCGTCCCTCAGGGCCTCGGGAGTCTTTCGATCCTCAGTCCCTCACTCTCTTAGGGGGCCGAACGCGTCCTGCCCGCGCCCATTACCTCGGGGATTCCGTGGCGTGGATTGCGGGCCCCCAGGGCCGCGGCCTCGGCGCTGCGCCAGCCTCGCTGTTTCCCCCGCGGAGCCGCCGCCGGGTCCCCGATCTTGGGTCCGGTACCCGCGAGTTTTTAAACTAGGGGTTATGGCACCGCCCAGTCCTGGGCAGGGCCCGCCCACAGGCCTGGGAGTCCCCGGGTCGCGCTCCGGCGAACGCAGTCCCTGAATGGGCGCGGCGGACTTGGGAGGCGGACTACTCAGTCCCCCCGGGAAGGAGGGAGCTGGGGTCCAGATCTTTGCTCTGAAGGAGCCTAGGGCACCGGGCTCCAAGAGGAGGGAGAAACCGGGGGGCCTGGATTTCTTTTCTTTTCTTTTTCTTTTTTTTCTTTTCTTTTTTTTTTTTTTTTTTTTTTGTTGTTGTTTTTGAGAAGGAGTCTCTGTCGCCCAGGCTGGAGTGCAATGGTGCGATCTCTGCAAACTCCGCCTCCTGAATTAAAGCGATTCTCCTGCCTCAGCCTCCCGAGTAGCTGACACTACAGGTGCTGGACACCATGCCTGGCTAATTTTTGTATTTTTAGGAGAGATGGGGTTTCACCGTGTTGGCCAGGCTGGTCTCGAACTCCTGGCCTCAGGTGACCCGCCTGCCTTGGCCTCCCAAAGTGCTGGGATTACAGGCTTGAGCCATGGTGCCTGGCTGGGGCCTGGATTTCTGGGTCTGTGTCTAAGGGGGTGCTGGAGGCTTTGTCTCCTGGGTCCTGCCCATGGGGGTAGGGGTAGGAGTGGGGATGGAGATGGGGTGGGGGCAGGGAGAATATTACTGGGTCCAGAGGGAGGCAGGACTGGGGGTCTAGACTCCCAGAGGAAGGGTCTGTGGGTAAGGGTATAGGGTGTGGCTCAATTTCTCCCTCTCCCCTACATCACCCTTTTTAGAGGTCTGGTTTCATTTACTCATTCATCATTTAAAATAATTTATTGCAGCAGAGGAGGCATTTTGCTGTGTATTGTGAACTAAGCAGGCAGGAATTCCCAGCCCTGGAGCTGGCATTCCAGTGGGAGGCCACTCTCAGTTTCACTTGGTGACCTTTCACAGCACTGACCATGTTGGCCCTATTTCTCCCCTGCTTGCTTGCTTTTCTATTTTATTTTATTATTACATTTTTATTGTTAGAGAGAGGGTCTCATTCTGTCGCCCAGGCTGGAGTGCAGTGGCAAAGTGGTGAGATCTCGGCTCACTGCAACCTCCACTTGCCTCAGTCTCCCAAGTAGCTGGGATTACAGGAGCCTGACACCATGCCCGGGTAATTTTTGTATTTTTGTAGAGACGGGGTTTCACCATATTGGCTTGAACTCCTGATCTCAGGTGATCCCCCCACCTTGGCCTCCCAAAGTGCTGGGATTACAGGCATGAGCCACTGCGGTGGCCTCTCCCCTGCTTTCAAGATGCCATGCTCTCAGGGGTCCCCTCCCTCTTTCTCCATTTCCCTGGCAAAGTTCCTCCTCTTCCCCCATTCAGTGTGTGTTGTGATAGGGGCAGAATCCTGTCTGCACTCACTTCCTTGGTGATCTCACCCAGTCTTGTGGCTTTAAGTACCATCCATAAGCCATCAACCCCCAAATTTACATCTCCAGACCAGCCTTATCCCCTGAACTCCTAAATGCAGTGAGGTTATTCAGCATCTCCACAGGGAGATTGTCAGGCATTTCCAACCCTGTATGCCCAAACCTCGTCACTTTCCCCGCAAACCCACTTCCCTACCTTTCATCTCTGCCAGCAGACACTCCCATCTTCTCAGCGTTTCATGCCAGAAGGCTTGGCTGTCTAGGATCCCTCTCAAACACACCCACATTCATTTAATCAGCAAATTTTCTTGGCCCTACCTCCAAAATATTTCCAGATCTCCCTAGCCTGCACACCCTTGCCACCTGTCATTCCCACTTGGACCAGGCCAGCAGCCTCCCTGGTCTCTCTGACCCTCCCCCTGAGTTCGTTCACCAAAGGCAGTAACGGAGACACCCCCTCAACACACACAGGAAGCAGATGGCCTTGACACCAGCAGGGTGACATCCGCTATTGCTACTTCTCTGCTCCCCCACAGTTCCTCTGGACTTCTCTGGACCACAGTCCTCTGCCAGACCCCTGCCAGACCCCAGTCCACCATGATCCATCTGGGTCACATCCTCTTCCTGCTTTTGCTCCCAGGTGAAGCCAGTGGTTACAGGGGATGGTAGGCAGAGCGTTTGTGAGATGGGTGCTTGGGTGACGTCTGCAGGGACGGGTGATGAAAGTGGGGTTCTTCTCCCTGCACCCCTTCCCTTCTGGGAGATCCATTCTGCTTCAGGGCCTGGGTCCTTGGGGGCGGAAGGGGGTGAGACAGGGAGTTCTGGAGGGGCTGCCTGTTAGCGTCCCCTTCTCATGGCTGGGTCTCTGCTGCCACTTCCAATTTCTTGTCACTCTCCATGTCTCTGGGAGTCCCCTTCCCATGTGGTCCTGTTCCATCTCTCCAGCCTGGAGATTACTTCTCAGGACACTACCTTTCCTTCTCTACACCCTATTTTTTGGTTTGTTTATTTTGAGATGGGGTCTTGCTCTGTTGTCCAGGCTGGAGTGCAGTGGCACAATCACGGCTCACGGCAGCCTTGACTTCCTGGGCTCAGGTGATCCTCCCAGCTCAGCCTCCCGAGTAACTGGGATTACAGGTGTGAACCAACACTTCCAGCTAATTTTTGTATTTCTTGTAGAGACGAGGTCTCACTATGTTGCCCAGGCTGGTCTCGAACTCCTGGGCTCAAGCGATCTTCCTGCCTCGGCCTCCCAAAGTGCTGGGATGACAGGCGTGAGCCACGGTGCCAGGCTGAGCATTCTGTTTTGTGGACCTTCTCTCCACCCTCATCCACCTTCTTTCTCTTTCCACAGTGGCTGCAGCTCAGACGACTCCAGGAGAGAGATCATCACTCCCTGCCTTTTACCCTGGCACTTCAGGTATCACTTCCACCCCAGAAGCTTGGCCAGAGGCTCCCAGAACACCCCAGTGGTTCTCCAGGTCACCATCCCACCTCCCGTCCCCAAATCAGAGGATCCGTGTCCTTCTCCGAGTCCCAGAATCAGCGACCCCCAGCCTGTGTTCAGGAGCACCCCGTGTGCCCGCCGCACAGCCCCGAGGGTCCTGGGACACCCCAGCCTCTCTGCATCTGTCTCCCGTTTCATTCCCCAAGCGCAACTCCAAGGAACCTGGGACCCGCCCCCTCGCAGGGGACTTCCTCTCTGCCTGTGGCCAAAGCACAGCCCCAGGACGCAGAGCTTGAGTTGTCTCCCTGTTCCGGCCCCCACTCTCCAGGCTCTTGTTCCGGATGTGGGTCCCTCTCTCTGCCGCTCCTGGCAGGCCTCGTGGCTGCTGATGCGGTGGCATCGCTGCTCATCGTGGGGGCGGTGTTCCTGTGCGCACGCCCACGCCGCAGCCCCGCCCAAGGTGAGGGCGGAGATGGGCGGGGCCTGGAAGGTGTATAGTGTCCCTAGGGAGGGGGTCCCAGGGAGGGGGCCCTTGGGGAAGCCCTGGAGGAGGTGCTGGGGAAACCCTGGGGGAGGTGCCTGGGGGAACCCCTGAGGAAACCCCTGAAGCAGGGGGTCCCCAGGGAAGTGGAGATATGGGTGGTCAAGCTTCATGCTTTCTCTCCCCTATCCCCAGAAGATGGCAAAGTCTACATCAACATGCCAGGCAGGGGCTGACCCTCCTGCAGCTTGGACCTTTGACTTCTGACCCTCTCATCCTGGATGGTGTGTGGTGGCACAGGAACCCCCGCCCCAACTTTTGGATTGTAATAAAACAATTGAAACACCTGTAGTCGTATTCTTTCTCAAAGAACCCCAGAGTTCCCAAAGCCTCCCTCCCATGAACTGTTTCTGGATCCAAGGCCCCCTCAGAACCCCCACATGTCCCCATCCCATCAGCCCAAGGATCTGGCATAATGTTTTTGTGCTTCATGTTTATTTTAGGAGAGTATTGGGGAGCGGTCTGGTCTCTCAGGGATGGCACTCTGTGGGTCTGTATCGCGGTAGGAGTTGGAATGAGGTGCAGGGTGGGCTTCAGGAATGGCTGGATCCAGGTATCATGTTGCTGACTGTCATGATTCGGGCTCATTTGTAATACGGCCTCTGTGTGTTGAGGTCGCTGTAGACATCCGACCTCTGACCCTGGAGCTCCTAAAGGAATGGGGGCCATCAGTGGAAGGGACCCACCAAATAAAATCCAGCCTTCTCCCAGTGGCCTGCAAGGCCCCTGGCAGCTTCTTCAGCCTTATAGCCATGAAAGAGATCCGGATTTTATTCAAGTACATTCAATGTTCCCCCTTCTCCTCTGCCTCATCAGTGTGCCCCAGCCTCAGGGTCCCTGCGTGTGCTGTTTCCTCTGCCTAAAACTCTGTTCCCCTAGATCCCCTCTCCCTTCAAGTCTCAGCTCACGTCACCTCCTCAGAGAGGCATTTCTCAATTTCCCCTCTGTAGTTTCTTCCCCCCACACTCCAGCCACTGTAAAAAAAAAAAAAAAAGCCTGTTTATTTCCTTTACTGTGCCTCCCAAAATTATTTTATTTGTTCATTTGCTTTAAGTTTGTCTTAACTAGGATATAAACTCTGTCACTGTGTCCCCAGCATTTAGCACTTATAGGTGCTAGACACATCCACAGAGGGAATAAATACATCCGGGTAATGCTTTGCCCTAAAATTTCACTGCCACCAGTAACTGGAAGGGCCCCTCGGTCTTCTGGATATCACAGAGCCAAACCTGAGATTCTTAGACTTCACAAAGAAACTTTATCCACAAGTGAGGTGAATAGGCAAAGCTGGTTGCAGACAATATATCAGACTTCACACAGCAGTGTTCACACTTGGGGTAGGGGGAGGATCTATGTGGCCCCCAGGGGCAGGCCTCAGACAGAAACCCTAAAATCATATATGATGACTAGTCTGGGCGTGCATTCTTCAGGGGAGAGGTCTTAGAGAATCTCATGACCCCCTAAAGGGTTAAAAAGGAACATTGACAGAGAGGGGGATAGATGACTAGATTCTCTTGTATACTCTATAGTTTTTAAAAAGAGCTTCAGCCAGGCATGGTGACTCATGCCTATAATCCCAGCACTTTGGGAGACCGAGGTAACAGGATCTCTTGAGCCCAGGAGTTTGAGACCAGCCTGGGCAACATAGTGAGAACCTATCTCTACTTTAAAAAAAAAAAAAAAATTAAGGCCGGGCGCGGTGGCTCACACCTCTAATCCCAGCACTTTGGGAGGGAAAGGTGGGCGGATCACGAGGTCAGGAGATTGAGACCAGCCTGGCCAACATAGTGAAACCCCATCTCTACTAAAAATACAAAAATTAGCCGGGTGTGGTGGCATGCACCTGTAGTTCCAGCTACTCGGGAGGCTCAGGCAAGAGAATCGCTTGAACCTGGGAGGTGGAGGTTGCAGTGAGCTGAGACCACACCATTGCACTCCAGCCTGGGTGACAGAATGAGACTCCATCTCAAAAAAAAAAAAAAATTAAAGTAGAGAAAGAAAAAAGAGCTTCAAGAATACTCAACCAGCATGGTTGCTTGAGCCTGTAATCCCAAGATTTTCGGAGGCTGAGGCGGGAGGATCACTTGAGACTGGGAGTTTGAGACCAGCTGGGGCAACATAGTGAGACCCCTGTCTTTTTTTTTTTTTTGAGATGGAGTCTCACTCTGTCGCCCAGGCTCACTGCAACCTCCGCCCCCTGGGTTCAAGCGATTCTCTTGCCTCAGCCTCCTGAGAAGCTGGAATTACAGGCGCATGACACCATGCCCAGCTAATTTTTGTATTTTTAGTAGAGATGGGGTTTCACCATCCTGGCCTGGCTGGTCTTGAACTCCTGACCTCGTGATCCACCCACCTTGGCCTCCCAAAGTGCTGGGATTACAGGTGTGTGCCACCATGCCTGGCCAAAAAAAAATTTTTTTTAATTATAAAGAACATTTACACTGCTCTCAGATTATATGCACAATTTTGTATTTTTTGTGTAGATTTTTCTGGGAGTCTAGATTTTCTTAGTTTCTCAAAGGGATGAAGGGTCCTCAAACCCAAAAAAGAGATTCTAGGACTCCTCTCTTTAGAGTTACCAAGGTAGGGCTGAATGACATTCTCTGCCCTACTGAGAGCGTCTCCCAGAAATCAGTCGTCCTAGGGCTGGGTTTCTTCCAGAAAATTCCTGGCCTGACTTCTGGCAAGGCCTGTGTTTACACTTACAAAGGCAAAGCCACCCTTTTTTTTTTCTTTTTAACTCTTCACGCTTTTTTTTTTTTGACAGAGTTTTCCTCTTGTTGCCCAGGCTGGAGTGCAATTGCGTGATCTTGGCTCACTGCAACCTCCGCCTCCTGGGTCAAAGGATTCTCCTGCCTCAGCCTCCCAAGTAGCTGGGATTACAGGCATGCGTTACCACGCCCAGCTAATTTTGTATTTTTAGTAGAGACAGGGTTTCACCATGTTGGTCTCGAACTCCTGACCTCAAGTGATCCACCCGCCTCTGTCTCCCAAAGTGCTGGGATTACAGGTTTGAGTCACCGTGCCCAGCCCCTCTTCACACATTTTAAGCTGACCATAAGCTTGTGGTTGATCATTCGGCCCAGTTTTGGACAGATGTCCCATGTGCCTTCAAGGTTTGGGGGTGCTTTAGGCAGAGTGGCTTTGAGGTCCCTCTGATGGCATGAAGGAGTATCTGGGGCAGATATCCCTGGCAGGAGTGAAATGTGAGGAGGACAGTCTGGTTTTCTCACCTGATAAGGCGACTCGGTCTCAGTGATACGCTGTTTCCGGGTCGCTGCTGGAGGTGAGGGGTGTTGTGGGGTGCAGAGACAGGCAGAGTGGTGAGTTGAGGGTGTTTTGTCATTCCAAATCAGCACCTCCATTACCATCCCTTTGGATGTTTGAGATCTGGGAGTTTACCCAGCCCCCCACCCCCATCTAGGCAAGTCCTCAGGATGTCCCCTGCTAGCCCCACTCACCCTCCGCAGCCCCTCGCCCCCGAGGGACCAGCCGGCCCAGGAAGTACACGGCCAGGGCAATGAGCACTGTCAGCACCAGGTCTCCCATCACGATCCCTGCCAGCACGCCCGGGCTCACCGTAGAGCAACTGCAATCTGCAGCACAGGGGTCAGGGGAGGTCAGTGTGTGCTGGGAACTGTGGGGAGGGGGGTCAGCGGCAGGGAGGTTTGGAAAGGGTGTGGGAGAGACGGAGACAGGGAGGTCTCTGGGAGGTAGAGAGAGGGACTGCTGGGTCTAGGCCTACCGCTCTGGGCCTGGGCCTGGACAGGACGGAGACCTGAGGAGGAAAAAGAAGGTAAACTGAGGCACAGAGTTATGACGGGGGTGGGGGAGGCAAGTTTAGAAGCCAGGGAAGGTGGATCCTGACAGCCAAGAGGTTAGCAAGGGGGAGAGCGTGTCTGGCGGGACTCAGGGGGCTGGCGTCTGGGCCACCGGACTATGTGCGTTACTTCTGCACAACTTGTCCTGTGGCAACACACTTAGATGTCTCTTCTCCCCTGCTTGTAGCGGACGACAAAACTTGGGGGCTTGGGCTCTGGGAGAAACCCACAGGCTTTGGGAGGTTGGGGACCTGCTCCCATCCCAACACCCACTTTTGGTTCTCTCGTTCCACCCCACTCCCTGCCCTGCCCCAAGCTGAGCCCAGGGACCCGGGAGGCAGCCACGGAAGCCCCTAACTCACCACTTACAGCCAGCAGGAGAGGCAGGAGCAGGAGCCTGCTGCAGGGTTCAAGTCCCCCCATGAAGCCGGATGCTGCTGGACACCACAGTGTAAGGGCCGGTGGGATGTGGCGCAGCGTCCAGGCAAGTGAAGGAGGAAGTCTGAGGCGGGTGGTGGCAGAAGGGAGGAGGAGACAGGGGAGGAGAGACAGAAACAAAACCCAAGAAAGAATCAGGCCCAGACACCCAGGGGCCATGCCACAGGCCCCCAGCAACTAGACGTGAAGGGCAAAGGGTACGTGAAGCACAAACTTCACCTCCGTCCCCAGTCAGGGGTCAGACATCGTTTTAACAGGAGGGTCAGTGTCATGACCTTCCTCTGGCTGATTGAAACCAGCTCTGCCTCTTCCTGGCTGGTCAACCTTGAGTGCAATGGCACGGTCTCGGCTCACTGCAACCTCTGCCTCCCGGGTTCAAGTGATTCTCCTGCCTCAGCCTCCCAAGTAGCTGGGATTATAGGCGCCTGCCACCATGCCCGGCTAATTTTTTGTATTTTTTTTTCTTTTTTTTTTAGTAGAGACAGGGTTTCACCATGTTGGCCAGCTGGTCTCAAACTCCTGACCTCAGGTGATCCACCCACCTTGGCCTCCCGAAGTGCTAGGATTGCAAGTGTGAGCCACCGCACCCAGCTCCAACCTCAGTTTCTTCATCTGTAAAATTGGGAGTAAAATGGGACCTACTTTTTAGAGTTGTGGGGATTAAATGAATTAAAGTTCCTAGACCAGGGTCTGACCCTTGTCAGCTTTTTAAAAGCATCAGCTATGATGATGATTATTTAATCATCAGAAACTTGTGCTGTTTAAAGGATATTAAAAGAGCCAGCAGCATGTGGGCACTAATGACATGCAGGCACTCTGTCCCAAGCGTTAAATCATTCAGTCCCCGCAATGCCCTTCTAGGGCACATGCTCTTATCATCCCCATTGTTCAGAGAGGTAGAGACGCTTGCCTAAGGCTGCACAGCAAATCAAGGTGGAAATGGAACCCAAGACCCAAAATCAGGTTTTTGACTAGGGAAGAGTCAGGGGGAAAAACAAAGATGAAAGATGGGGAAGGAGAAAACAGCGGCAAAGCTGAGAAAGGTGAGAGTAAGGCAGTGGCACAGACACAGAGGCACGGCTGGCGGCTTGGGGAGAGGCAGGTGGCTGGCTCTCCTGCTGAATGAGGAAGTGGCTGGGAGCAAGGCCCAAGGGAGGCCACCCCAAGGAGACGGGGACTTCTAGCCCCCAGCTGGAGCCTGGGGCTGGGGAAGGAGGAACCTGAGGTTAGGGTGCTGGAGGATGAGACAGCTGCAGGAAGCCCCCCTCCCCCATCCACACGTCACACCCACCGCTCCTTGGGCCTGGGCTTAGGAGAAAAAAGGGGAAACTGGATTCTGGTCACAGGGCAGATGCCCAGTGGCCTGTGGGGGAAGGGAGGAGAGGAGATTTGGAGCCTGGAGGAGGGTCAGGTCCCAGCTCAGCCCACGGTCACCACTGTTCAGGCCTGGCTGAGTCCCCTCCCTTAAAAACCCAAGCCTCTCCCATTGTGTCTAGAGCGAGCATGGAGGGAACAGACCCTGTAGGTCCTCCCGGGCACACCAGGCCACCCAATGTGTTGGAGCAGAGTGGGCGAGGGGGCAGTCAGAGACCAGAGCAGGGCTCTGAGCCAGGAGGGCCCTGACCTGACTCAGGGGTTCACAGGTTCCCTCCGGCCGCAGGTGGGGAGCAGACTGTGGAGGCAGGGACTGGAGCAGGGAGGCCAGGCTGCTGGGATATTTGTGAGGATATTGTGAGGTCTATTAGAATAATGCCTGGTTGAGTTCAAGACCAGCCCGGCCAGCATGGTGAAACCCCATCTCTACTAAAAATTAGGCTGGGCACGGTGGCTTATGCCTGTAATCCCAGCACTTTGGGAGGCTGAGGCGGGCGGATCACGAGGTCAGGAGATCGAGACCATCCTGGCCAACATGGTGAAACCCGGTCTCTACTAAAAATACAAAAAATTACCTGGGCATGGTGGTGGGCACCTGTAGTCCCAGCTACTCAGAAGGCTGAGGCAAGACAATACCTTGAACCTGGAAGGTGGAGGTTACAGTGAGCTGAGATCGCGCCACTGCACTCCAGCCTGGGCGACACAGCAAGACTCTGTCTCAAAATAATGATAATAATAATAAAGGGCCAAGCGCGGTGGATCACGCCTGTAATCCAACACTTTGGAAGACCGAGGTGGGCGGATCCCCTGAGGTCGGCAGTTCGAGACCAGCCTGACCAATATGGAGAAACTCGGTCTTTACTAAAAAATACAAAATTAGCCTGGCGTGGTGGCGCGTGCCTGTAATTCCAGCTACTCAGGAGCCTGAGGCAGGAGAATCGCTTGAACCCAGGAGGCAGAGGTTGCAGTGAGCAGAGATTGCGCCATTGCACTCCAGCCTGGGCAACAAAAGCGAAACTCAGTCTCAAAATAATAATAATAATAATAATAATAATAATAATAATAATAATAATAATAAACTTTCACTCCTGCTCTAAAACTTACCTTGGTTTCTCACTCTGCCTTATGTCCCTTGGTCAAATTCTTTTTTGAGGAGGCAAGGATTGAGGTTGCTGCAGACCCCTATGGATTCACTGCTGCGAACATACTTCGGTACCGTGTGACTTGGATATGTTCCATGCTAAAAATTAGTATGTCCAGTCTCGAGTTCTCAGCTTAGCTTGATAAAAATCCTCCCTCAGCCAGGTGCAGTGGCTCACACCTGTAATCCCAGGCGTGATTTTGGATTTTGGGACTTTAGGAGGCCAAGGAGGGTGGATCACCTGAGGTCAGGAGTTTGAGACCAGCCTGGCCAACATGGTGAAACCCTGTCTCTACTAAAAATACAAAAACTAGCCAGACATGGTGGCAGGCGCCTGTAATACCAGCTACTTGGGAGGCTGAGGCAGGAGAATCGCTTGAACCTGGGAGGCAGAGGTTGCAGTGAGCCAAGATCATGCCATTGCACTCCAGCCTGGATGACAAGAGTGAGACTTTGACTCAGAAAAAAAAAAAAAATCCTCCCTCAGTCCTTCAGCATCAGCCTCCTAGTCTCATCCTCCCCACTTCAGCCAGGCCTGGGCTGTCCCCAGAAGATATTCCCCAAGCACCATCCAGTCATACGGATGTGGCCATAGGGGCTGGAATCAGGGTCCTAGAGCGCCACCTTTAGTTGCTGAGATGTGGGAAAGTCCAAGGGGTCCCCAAAGAATGGACTCGGGTGGTAGCAGACATCTGTGGGCTATGTGGGCTCTTTACTAACCAGAAGTGGAATGTTTCAACATTTTAGCAACCAATACAACTGTGCTGATGCAGACCACAGGTGGCAGGTCTGGGCTGGCCTCTGGGCTAGAGGACGGATAAAACACTCTCTTTGGCCAGGCATAGTGGCTCACACCTGTAATCCCACCACTTTGGGAGACTGAGGCGGGTGGATCACTTGAGGTCAGGAGTTTGAGACCATCCTGGCCAACATGGTGAAACCCCGTCCCTGCTAAAAAATACAAAAATTAGCCAGGCGTGGTGGTACACATCTGTAATCCCAGCTACTCAGGAGGCTAAGGCAGGAGAATCGCTTGAACCTGGGAGGCAGAGGTTGCAGTGAGCCGAGATCGCACCACTGCACTCAAGCCTGGGCAACAGAGCAAGACTCCGTCTCAAAATAAACAAAACAAAACAAAACAAAAAAACCCTCCCTCTTTGGATGAAGGAAGAAGCTGAGATTCAGGGCACCCAGCAACAAGGCGCTGCCCCAAGACACTGCCAGACTCCTGGAAGCTGAGCTGAGGGCCTCCACACAAGATCAAGAGGTGAGTGTCTCACCCTCTCTGGGCAGCAGGCCAAGAGTTGGGGAAGCCAACGCTGACTTTCCCAGAAACCAGGTAGTGTGTTGGCCTGTGACCAGCTCACTTCTGTGGAAGCTACAGTCCCTCCCCACTCTCCCAGCTTCCACACTGGCCCCTCCACAGCCTGTCCTCCTCAAAGCAGCTGGAAGCTTTGTAAAACATCAGATGAATAGAGGCCAAGGCAGAAGGATCGCTTGAGGCCAGGAGTTCAAAACCAGCCTGGGCAACATAACGAGACCCTGTCTCTAATTCTTTTTTTTTTTTTTGAGATGGAGTTTTGCTCTTGTCGCCCAGGCTGGAGTGCAGTGGCGCGATCTCCGCTCACTGCAACCTCCACCTCCCGGGTTCAAGCAATTCTCCTGCCTCAGCCTGCCGAGTAGCTGGGATTACAGGCATACGCCACCATGCTTGGCTAATTTTGTATTTTTAGTAGAGATGGGGTTTCTCCATGTTGGTCAGGCTGGTCTCGAACTCGCAACCTCAGGTGATCCACCTGCCTCCGCCTCGCAAAGTGCTGGGATTACAGGCGTGAGCCACCGTGCCCAGCTCTAATTATATTTTTAAAAATAGGCTGGGCATGGTGGCTCACGCCTGTCATGCCAACACTTTGGGACACCAAGGCAGGCATATTACTTGACCTCAGGATTTCAAGACCAGCCTGGGAGCCAGGCGTGATGGCTCAAGCTTGTAAATCCCAGCACTTTGGGAAGCTGAGGCAGGTGAATTGCTTGAGCCCAGAAGTTTGAGACCAGCCTGAGCAACAGGGCAAAATCCCAGCTCTACAAAAAATACAAAAATTAGCCCAGCATGGTGGCACCTACCTGTAGTCCTAGCTACTAGGGAGGCTGAGGTGGGAGGATCACCTGAGCCTGGGGAGGCAGAAGCTACAGTGAGCTTTGATTGTGCCACAGCAGTCCAGCCTGGGCCACAGAGTGAGACCCTGTCTCAAAAAAGAAAAAAATTAATTAATTTAATTTAAAAATCAGACAAATAGCCTAATTTTTAAGTGACCAAAACATTTGAACAGACACTTCACTAAAGATGAGACGTGAAGGCCGGGCGTGGTGGCTCACTCCTGTAATCCCAGCACTTTAGGAGGCCAAGGTGGGCGGATCACCTGAGGTAAGGAGTTCGAGACCAGCCCAGCAAATATGGTGAAACCACATCTCTGTTAAAAACACAAAAATTATCTGGGCGTGGTGGCAGTTTCCTATAATTCCATCTACTCAGGAGGCTGAAGCAGGAGAATCCCTTGAACCCAGGAGACAGAGGTTTCAGTAAGCCGAGATCGCACCGCTGCACTCCAGCCTGGGCAACAGAGCAAGACTCCATCAAAAAAAAAAAAAAAAAGCCAGCGTGGTGGCTCACGCCTGTAATCCCAACACTTTGGAAGGCCAAGGCGGGCAGATCACCTGAGGTCAGGAGTTCAAGACCAGCCTGGCCAATATGGTGAAACCCCATCTCTACTAAAAATACAAAAATTAGCCAGGCACGGTGGCAGGCATCTGTAATCCCAGCTGCTTGGGAGGCTGAGGCAGGAGAATCACCTGAACCTTGGAGGCAAAGGTTGTAGTGAGCTGAGATCAAGCCATTGCACTCCAGCCTGGACGACAAAAGTGAGACTCCATCTCAAAAAAAAAAAAAGAAGAAGAAGAAGAAGAGACATGAATGGCCAGGAAGCCTGTGAAAAAGTGCTCAGCACTATTAGTCATTAGGGAAATATAAACGAAACCTCAGTGAAATGTCACTGCACGCCCACTTAAATGACTAAAATTAAAAAGACTGACCCTATCGAGTGTCAGCAGAAATGTGGAGCAGTTGGAAATCTCAGACACTGCCGGTGGAAATGAAAAATAGAGCAACCGCTTTGGAAAATAGTCGGTTGTTTCCTTTAAACATTCTGCAGTAGCTCACACCTGTCATCTCAGTGCCTTAGGGGACTAAGGTGAGAGGATCTCTTGAGGCCAGAAGTTCAAGATCAGCCTGAGAAACATAGCAAGATACCATATTTACAAAAATTGTTCTTTTTTTTGAGACAGAGTCTCATTCTGTTACCCAGGCTGGAGTGCAGTGGCACGATCTCAGCTCACTGCAACCTCCGCCTCCTGGGTTCAAGCAATTTTCATGCCTCAGCCTCCTGAGTAGCTGGGATTACAGGCACCCACCACCACGCCCGGATAGTTTTTTGTATTTTTAGTACAGGTGGGCTTTCACCATGTTGGTCAGGTTGTTCTCAAAGTCCTGACCTCTGGTGATCCACCCTCCTCAGCCCCCCAAAGTGCTGGAATTAGAGGCGTGAGCAACTGTGCCTGGCCTAATTTTTCTATTTTTCATACAGATGGGCTTTCACCATGTTGGTCAGGCTGATCTCGAACTCCTGACCTCAACTGATCCGCCTGCCTCAGCCTCACAAAGTGCTGAGATTACAGGCGTGAGCCACTCTGCCTGGCCCAAATTTTTTTTTTTTTTTTTTTTTTTTTTTTGAGATGGAGTCTCTCTCTGCCGCCCAGGCTGGAGTGCAGTGGCTCGATCTCGGCTCATTGCAGCCTCCCCGTCCCAGATTCAAGCGATTCTCCTGCCTCAGCCTCCCAAGTAGCTGGGATTACAGGCATGAGCCACCACACCTGGCTAATTTTTGTATTTTTTTAGTAGGGACAGGGTTTCGCCATGTTGGCCAGGCTGTTCTCACACTCCTGGCCTCAAGCGATCCTCCCACCTCAGCCTCCTAAAGTTCTGAGATTACAGGCATCAGCCACCATGCCTGGCCCCCAAAATTGTTTTAAATTAGCTAGGCGTGGTGGAGCACACTTGTGGTCCCAGCTACTCAGGAGTCTGAAGCAGGAAGGTTGCCTGAACCCAGGGATTGGAGGTTGCAGTGAGCTATCGTGGCACTACTGCACTCCAGCCTGGGTGACAGAAGGAGACCCTGTTTCAAGAGAAAGAAAAAAGGAAGGAAGAAGGAAGGGAGGGAGAGAGAGAGAAAGAAAGAAGGAAAGAAAAGAAAGAAGAAAGAAAGAGAGACAAAAAGAAAGAAAAGAAAAGAAAAAAAAGAGGCTGGGGGCGGTGGCTCACGCCTGTAATCCCAGCACTTTGGGAGGCTGAGGTGGGCAGATCACAAGGTCAGGAGATCCAGACTATCCTGGCTAACACGGTGAAACCCTGTCTCTACTAAAAATACAAAAATATTAGCCAGGCATGGTGGTGGGTGCCTGTAGTCCCAGCTACTCGGGAGGCTGAGGCAGGAGAATGGCGTGAACCCAGGAGGCGGAGCTTGCAGTGAGCCGAGATTGCGCCACTGCACTCCAGCCTAGGCAACAGAGTGAGACTCCATCTCAAAAAAAAAAAAAAAAAAAGAAGGGGATGTGTGATGTGTTCAATGACATTAGGGAACCCACTGAATCTCTAGGAGGTCCAAGAAATCAGTCCCTGAGCTACACAGATCAGATCCTACTCCTGCCTTGGGGAGCAAACACCTCAGCTCCACTGCTAAAGTGATCTGGGACCTTCTGTGAAGGCTTCTGTCATTTGCATCAGACACTGGGGGAAGTTTGGCAATTTCTAAGAAATTTAAACATAAACACACCATACAACCCAACACTCCCACTCCTAGGTATTTACCAAAGAGAAGTGAAAACGTGAGTTTATACAAAAACCAGTACCATATATTAATAGTGGCTTTGTTCATAATTGCCCCAAACTGGAAACAACCGAATGGTTCTTCACTGGATGAATGGATAAACAAGTTGTTTATCCATTTTTTTGAGATCCACACGGTGGGATACTACTCAGCAATAAAAAGGAATGAACTATTTTTACTTATCTTTTTATTGGAGAAAGGGTCTTGCTCTGTTACGCAGGCTGGAGTGCAGTGGTGCAATCATGGCTCACTACAGCCTCAACTTATTGGGCTCAAGCGATCCTCCCACTTTAGCCTCCCAAGTAGCTGGGACTATAGGTGCGCATCACCATGCCCAGCTAATTTTTATATTTTTCATAGAGATGATGTTTTGCCATGTTGCCTGGGCTGGTCTTGAACTCCTGGCCTCAAGCGATCCTCCCACCTCATTCTCCCAAAGCCCTGGAATTACAGGTATGAGTCACTGCACCTGGCCTCACCAATATTTTTTTCTCCCCTTCTTCTTCTATAGGTGTGAGCCACCACGTCTGTTTTTTTTTTTTGTTTTTTTTTTTTTTTTGAGATGAAGTTTTGCTCTTGTTGCCCAGGCTGGAGTGCAATGGTGCAACCTTGGCTCACTGCAACTTCTGCCTCCTGGGTTCAAGCGATTCTCCTGCTTCAGCCTCCTGAGTAGCTGGGATTACAGGCATGCACCACCATGCCCAGCTAATTTTTGTATTTTTAGTAGAGACGGGGTTTCATCATATTGGTCAGGCTGGTCTCTAATTCCTGACCTCAGGTGATTTGCCAGCCTCGGCCTCCCAAAGTGTTGGGATTACAGGCGTGAGCCACCACTCCCGACATCCTAATTTTTATTTTTATTTTTTTAGAGATGTGATCTCACTCTGTCACTGAGGCTGTAGTGTACTAGCAGGAACATAGCTCACTGCAGCCTCAACCTCCCAGGCTCAAATAATTTTCCCACCTCAGCTCTGCAAGTAGCAGGGACTACTGGCAGGCACCGCCATGCCAGCTAATTTTTAAATTTTTTTGTAGAGATAGTGTTTCACCACCTTGCCCAGGCTGGTCTCAAACTCCTGAGCTCAGGCAATCCACCTGCCTTGGCCTCCTAAGGTGCTGGGATTACAGGTGTGAACCCCCTTGCCCAGCCACCCCTTCCTCTACTGAAACAGAATTTGTAGTTGGGCATGAGATTCCCTAGCCAAGAAGATGTCTCTCATCCTCTTTGGAGCCTGTTGGGGCCATGTATCTGTTTTCTGGCAAACGGAACTTGGGAAGAAATGATGCGGGCAACTTCCAGATTGTGTCCCTAAAGTCAGAGTATGCCCTCTCCTTTTCTGCTCTTCCTATTGGCTGGAATGTGGCCCTTATTCTGGCTGTGGGCACCCACTTTAACCACAACAGCTAACATTTTGAAGGCTTTTTAAGTAGAATCCAAGTAATGCTTGATGGTTTCATCAATTGTGGTTCATCCATAACATAAATAGAGTCATGGCCAGGCATGGTGGCTCATGCCTATAATCCCAGCACTTTGGGGGGCTGAATCAGGAACCTCAATTGTGGCCAGGAGATCAAGACCAGTCCGGGCAACATAGCGAGACCTTGTCTACGAAAACAAACAAACAAACAAACAAACAAACACATCAGCCGAGTGTGGTGGTACATGCCTGTAGTTTCAGCTACTTGGGAGGCTGAGATAGGAGGATCACCTGAGCCCAGGAGGTTGAGGCTATGGTGAGTCATGATTTGATTGGGCCACTGCACTCCAGCCTGGGCAACAAGGACAGAGCAAGACTCTGTCTCAAGGGGAAAAAAAAAAAAATTAAGAACTTGCCACAGTGGCTCATCCCTGTAATCCCAGCACTTTGTGGGGCCAAGGCAGGAGGATTGCTTGAGGTCAGGAGGTGTAGACCGGCCTGAGCAACATAGAGAGACACTCTCTCTACAAAAAAAATTAAAAATTAGCCGAGCGTGGTGGCACACACCTGTAGTCTGAGCTACTTGGGGGGCTGAGGTGGGAAGATCACTTGAGCCCTGGAGGTCGAGGCTACAGTGAGCCGAGATCACGCCACTGCACTCCAGCCTGGGTGACAGAGCGAGACTCTGTCTCCCAAAAAAAAGAATTAATGGCCGGGCGCGGTGGCTCAAGCCTGTAATCCCAGCACTTTGGGAGGCCGAGGTGGGCAGATCACAAGGTCAGGAGATCAAGACCATCCTGGCTAACACGGTGAAACCCTGTCTCTACTAAAAATACACAAAAAAATTAGCCAGGCGTGGTGGCGGGCGCCTGTAGTCCCAGCTACTCGGGAGGCTGAGGCAGGAGAATGGCGTGAACCCAGGAGGCGGAGCTTGCAGTGAGCGGAGATATAGCGCCACTGCACTCCAGCCTGGGCGACAGAGTGAGACTCCGTCTCAAAAAAAAAAAAAAAAAAAAAAGAATTAACATTCACCAAAAGATATCTTAGAATGATAATGTGGCTATATATTTAGATCTATATTTTAAAAGGTCATTATTACTTAGCGATATGTACTTCCTACAAATTTGGGAGGTGAAATAATAAGACGTCTGGAAAGTGTTAAAAGCAATCCAATAAAGAAGAAGTAGGTTCAGGTAGAGAGGGAATAAGATTAGCACGAATTGACAATTATTAAAGCTGGCAATAAGTCTATGGGAATTCATTATACGATTCTCTCTACTTTTGTGTATGTTTGAGATTTTTTATTAAAAAAAAGATAACCATTAGAAAATGGTTACAGAGTAGGAGAAGAAATTTGTAACACATAATGCAATGAATCTGAACATATCCTGCACACATAAATAACTCCTTAAAAACAAACAGCAAACCCCAGAAGAAAAATTGGCAAACTCAAGTAGACACTTAATTAATTAATTTAATTTATTTTATTTTATTTTTTGGAGACAGTCTCACTCTGTCACCCAAGCCGGAATGAAGTGGTGCAATCTTGGCTCATTGCAACCTCCACCTCCCAGGTTCAAGCGATTCTGCTGCCTCAGTGTCCCGAATAGCTAGAATTACAGGCACATGCCACCACACCCGGTTAATCTTTGTATTTTTAGTAGAGACGGGGTTTCGCCATGTTGACCAGGTTGTTCTCAAACTCCTGAGCTCAGGCAATTGGCCCACCTTGGCCTCCCAAAGTGCTTGGATTACAGGCATGAGCCACTGCATCTGGCCAATTGATTTATTTATTTGAAACAGGGTCTCACTCTGTTACCCAGGCTGGAGTAGAGTGGCAGAATCCTAGCTCACTGCAGCCTCAACCTCCCTGGCCTAAGCCATCCTCCCACCTCAGCCTCCCAAGTAACTAAGACCATAAGTATGGGCTACTATGCCTGGCTAATTTTTAAATTTTTTTAGAAACAGGGTCTTGCCCAGGCTGGTCTCAAACTCCTGGGCTCAAGGCGTCCTCTGGCCTTGGCCTCCCAAATTTCGGGGATTGCAGGCATGAGCCACTTCAAGCAAGCACTTCAGAAAAGAGGAACTCTAAATGGCAATAAAGGTGTGAAAAGGTGCTCATCCTCAGAAGGAGAACAAACATTAAAACAATGTAAGGCCTGGTGCAGTGGCTCACGCCTGCAATACCAGCACTTTGGCAGGCGGAGGTGGAAGGATCACCTGAGGTCAGTAGTTCAAGACCAGCCTGGCCAACATGGCAAAACCCCGTCTCTACTAAAAATACAAACATAGCCGGCATGGTGGCACATGCCTGTAATCCCAGTTACGAGGCCGAGGTAGGAGAATTGCCTGAACCCGGTAGGCAAAGGTTGCAGTGAGCCAAGATTGCAACACTGCAGTCCAGAGTGGGCGACAAGAGTCAGACTCCATCTCTAAAAACAAACAAGACTAGTAGCGCAAAACCGCTCCACACCTTTCCCTCTACCCCTAGAAATGTCGAAATTTTCAAAATCCGACACTACCAGATGTGGTGAAATGTGGAGCCACAGAAAATCTCATACACCTCTGAAGGAGGCAGAGGGGTTGAACCACTTTGAAAAACAGTTTGGCACTTTACTTCCCAGAGACCCAACTTCCGCCCCTATCTGTATCTGAGAGAGATGGGTGCAATAGATGCCAGGAGCCTTGTGTAAGGATAGTCACCCTATTTGTAAGGCCACCCTATTTGTAAGGCTTTTCAAAAGAAACAACCCAAATGCCCATCGCAGGAGAAAGGATACATACCTTGGGGCATATCACACAATGGAATACCGTGTAACCATGGGAATACATACCCTAGATCCATTTGCCACAACATGGACTTATCTCTCAAAGATAATGTTGAGTGGAAGAAGAAAGAAGCCGCGGGCACGGTGGTTCACGCCTGTAATCCCACCACTTTGGGAGGCCGAGGCGGGTGGATCACGAGGTCAGGAGATCGAGACCATCCTGGCTAACACGGTGAAACCCCGTCTCCACTAAAAATACAAAAAATTAGCTGGGCGTGGTGGCGGGCACCTGTAGTCCCAGCTACCCGGGAGGCTGAGGCAGGATAATGGCGTGAACCCGGGAGGCGGAGCTTGCAGTGAGCTGAGATCGCACCACTGCACTCCAGCCTGGGCAACAGAGCGAGACTCTGTCTCAAAAAAAAAAAAAACCCGCATACAAGAGTATATACAATATGGTTCCTCCTTACATAGAGTTAAAAAATAGTCCAAATTAGACTACACTGTTTTAGGAAGCATACATGTAAGGCAACATTATTATTATTATTATTATTATTATTATTATTATTGAGACGGTCTCGCCCTATTGCCCAGGCTGGAGTGCAGTGGCCCGATCTCGGCTCACTGCAAGCTCCGCCTCCCGGGTTGATGCCATTCTCCTGCCTCAGCCTCCTGAGTAGCTGAGACTACAAGCGCCCGCCACCACGCCCGGCTAATATTTTTTGTATTTTTAGTAGAAACAAGGTTTCACCGTGTTAGCCAGGATGGTCTTGATCTCCCGACCTCGTGATCCGCCTGCCTCAGCCTCCGAGAGTGCTGGGATTACAGGCGTGAGCCACGGCGCCTGGCCTATTATTATTATTATTATTATTATTATTATTATTGTTGTTATTATTGTAGACAGGGTCTGGCTCTGTCACCCAGGCTGGAGTGCAATGGCACAATCACTGCAGCCTCAAACTCCCAGGTTCCAGCAATCCTCCCACCTCAGCCTCCTGGGTAGCTGGTACTACAGGTGCATGCCACCACTTCTGGGTAATTTTTTTTTTTATTTTTTGTAGAGATGAGGTTCTTACTATGTTGCCCAGGCTGGTCTTGAACTTCTGTCCTCAAGGGATCTTCTTGCTTCAGCCTCCCCAAGTACTGGAGTAACAGGCGTGAGTCACCTCGCCCTGCCAATAGGTGGCAAAATAATTAAGAAAATCAGAAGTGTTCCATCAGAACCAACATGGTGGTTGCCTTTCAGGGGACAGTACACTTTGTAAATAAAAAGGAACAAAAGAGGAATGTTCTAGAATACATCAATTACATTTATTTATTTATTTATTTGTTTATTTATTTATTTATTTTTAAGACAGGGTCCCCCTCTGTCACCCAGGCTGGAGTGTGATGGCACAATCTCAGCTCACTGCAGCCTCGACCTCTGGGGCTCAAGTGATCATCCCACCTCAGCTTTCCAAGTAGCTGGGACTACAGGCGCATGCTACCACACCCAGCTAATTTTTTGTATTTTCGGTAGAGACGGGGTTTCGTCACGTTGCCCAGGCTGGTCTCGAACTCCTGAGCTCAGGTGATCCGCCCACCTCTGACTTCTCTCTTCATGTGGAAGTAGATGCCTGAATAATTTTACTCAATGATTCACTGTGCTGTGCATTTGTCTTCATCTATAGGCATTTTGTATGTCACAACAGATAAAGTTTAAAAGATCTAGCCAGGCATGGTGGCTCATGCCTGTGATCCCAGCACTTTGGGAAGCTGAGGCGGGAGGGTCACTTAAGCCCACAAGTTCAAGACCAGCCTGGGCAACATAGCGAGACCCTGTCTCTACAAAAAAATTTAAAAATTAGCCAAGCATGGTGATGTGCACCTGAGATATCAGCTACACAGGAGGCTGAGGCAGGAGGATCCCTTGAGCCCAAGAGGCTGAGGCTGCAGTGAGCCATGTTTGTGCCACTGCACTCCAATCTGGGTGACAGAGTGAGACCCTGTCTAAAAAAAAAAAACACTATGCAAAAATTAGCCAAGCTTGGTGGTGTGCACCTGTAATCCCAGCTACTTGGGAGGCTGACGCAGGAGAATCGCTTGAACCTGGGAGGTGGAGGTTGCAATGAGCCAAGATTGTGCCATTGCACTCCAGCCTGGGCAACAGCAGAGACTCCGTCTCAAAAAAAAAAAAAAAAAAAAAAAAACTAACTAATAATGCTTGCTCATTATAAAAAATTTGAAAAATGCAGCAAAATAAAAAAGAAAAAGAAAATTCACCCACTTCTAAGAGACAGCTTCTATTAATGTTTAATTATATTTCCTGTCTTTTACTGGGCATATTTGTATGTATTCTGACCATCCTGTATATAGAAATTTGCATCCTGACCATACTCTATATGCAAATTTGCATCTGGCACATTTTTGCAAACAATTTTTATTAACTTGGAATGAACAGCTGTATTTCCTTCAACTACTCAAATATGACCTGACCTCACTATTGTACACCACCTTTTTGCTCTGGAAAGTAACCAAAGAGATGATCCTCACAGTCCTTAGGGCAGAATAAATTATGTTTTTTCTTTTTTTTTTCTTTTTTCTTTTTTTTCACTCTGTTGCCCACGCTGGAGTGCAGTGGCGCGATCTTGGCTCACTGCAACCTCTCACTCCCAGGTTCAAGTGATTCTTCTGCCTCAGTCTCCCCAGTAGCTGAGGTTATAGGCGTGTGCCACCACACCCGCCTAATTTTTGTATTTTTAGTAGAGACCGGGTTTCGCCATGTTGCCCGGGCTGATCTCAAAGTCCCGGACTCAGGTGATCCACCTGCCTCAGCCTCCCGAAAGTGCTGGAATTGCAGGTGTGAGTCACCACACCTGGCCAGGGCACAATACATTTTTTGTTTTGTTTTATTTTTTGTTTTTTGAGACGCAGTATCGCTCTGTTGGCCAGGCTGGAGTGCAATGGTGTGATCTTGGCTCACTGCAACCTCCGCCTCCCAAGTTCAAACGATCCTCCTGCCTCAGCCCCGCTAGTAGCTGGGATTACAGGCACGCACCACTATGTCTGGCTAATTTTTGTATTTTTAGTAGAGACAGGGTTTCGCCATGTTGGCCAGGCTGGTCTTGAATTCCTGATGTCAAGTGATCCACCCACCGCGGCCTCCCAAAGTGCTGGGATTACAAGCGTGAGCCACCGCAACTGGCTTTTTTTTTTTTTTTTTTTTTTTTTGAGACAGAGTCTCGCTCCGTCACCAGGCTGGAGTGCAGTGGCACAATCTCGGCTCACTGCAACCTCCAACTCCCAGGTACAAGTGATCCTCCTGCCTCAGTCTCCCGAGTAGCTGGGATTACAGGTGCCCACCACCACGCCCAGCTAATTTTTGTATTTTTAGTAGAGACGGGGTTTCACCATGTTGGCCAGGATGGTCTTGATCTCTTGACCTTGTGATCTGCCCACCTCGGCCTCCCTAAGTCCTGGGATTACAGGCGTGAGCCACCGTGCCTAGCCCAGAATAAATTAAACATTAAAGCTTAGATTTCATTTCTCAGTTCACTTGTATTTAGAAAGAGCTGTGGGGGCGAATCTGTTTCCCTTTTCCTCTTCCCCCTGCCTGGGAGCCATCCTGGATCTTTCAGGCCAGTGCTTTCCCAGGGATAGTAGCACAAAAGTGGAAGCCACCTGGATCTCTGACTCCGTGAAGCCTTCACACCAATTCTGCATTCTTTATGTTTGGTCAATTTGTAGGAGAGAAATAAAGTTCGATTTTGCTTAAGCCACTATTATCAATTTCAGCTACTTGTATTTCTTGTCTAACAAACAGTGCTCATGAAACATGATCCATTTCTCATATTCCTGAATCTCTTTAGAAACACCAGTCTTGAGGCTGGGTTCAGTGGAAGGCCAAGGCAAGAGAATCACTTGAGGCCAAGAGTTCAAGACCAGCCTGGGCAATATAACATCTCTACATACATGAAATAAAAAAAATACGACGTGAGTGGATCATCTGGGGTCAGGAGTTCGAAACCAGCCTGGTCAATGTGGTGAAACCCCGTCTCTACCAAAAATACAAAAATTAGCTGGGCATGGTGGCACACACCAGTAATCCCAGCTACTCAGGACGCTGAAGTGGGAGAATTGCTTGAACCTGGGAAGTGGAGGTTGCAGTAAGCGGAGATTGCGCCACTGCACTCCAGCCTGGGTGACAGAGTGAGACCCTGTCTCAAAAAAAATACTTAAATAAATAATTTATGGCGTCATAAAAATCCTTGTAATGAAATCTTTTCCTACTTGCTGGAGTACTTCCAGGAAGTAAATTCCTAGAAGTAGAAATAATGGAACAACAGATATGCGCATTTTCAGGCTTTGGATGCAGGCTGCCCAGTTCTTCCGAAAGGTCATCCTCGTTTGCAGCCAGCAATGGGAGTGGGGTCTCCCATGTCGCTGTGCTCTCCTTGGCTATAGGGAACCAGATTTCTGATATCTTTGCTGATTTGACGGCAAAGAGGAGGGTTTCAGTACTTCAAGTTCAGTTATTACTGGTGGTAAACTTGGCTTTGATCAATTTCAGCTATTTGTATTTCTTTTGTGATCTGTCTTTTCCTCTCATTTGCCCATTTCTCTTTTGGCTGATTGGCTTCTCATATTAAATTTATTAATGTTTTCATTACCTTAAGGATGTTAACTATTTTTTTCTTTTGTGATCTGTCTTTTCCTCTCATTTGCCCATTTCTCTTTTGGCTGATTGGCTTCTCATATTAAATTTATTAATGTTTTCATTACCTTAAGGATGTTAACTATTTTTTTCTTTTGTGATCTGTCTTTTCCTCTCATTTGCCCATTTCTCTTTTGGCTGATTGCCTTCTCATATTAAATTTATTAATGTTTTCATTACCTTAAGGATGTTAACTATTTTTCTTGTTTTCCTTTAAAAAAATTTTTTTTTAAAGAGACACAGTCTCACCCTATCATCCAGGCTGGAGTGCAATGACAGATCACAGCTTGCTGTAATCTCCTGGGCACAAGAGATCTTCCTGCCCCAGCCCCCCGAGTAGCTGGGACTACAAGCATGCACCACCACACCTGGCTAATTTTCGTATTTTTTATTAGAGACAGGATTTCACCATGTTGCCCAGGCTGGTCTTGAACTCCTGAGCTCAAGGGATCCTCTTGCCTTGGCTTCCCAAAATGCTGGAATAACAGGTGTGAGCCACCACACCCAGCCTCTTCCCACATTTTACTCTAGTCCATCTGGAATTTATTTTCATTTATCAGTCTCCAAATTAATATTTGTACCTCAAATGGCTAAGACAGAAATCCAACTGCTGTGACATTATGCTTCTGTTCTATAATGCATTCTTGCTCTTCTGCTCTGTCTTTGGCCAGTCATTCTGGTACATTACCCATCAAGATTGTTCTTACACTGAAACACACTTTAAATTATGTGAGCTTCATGATGTTACTATCTTGTAACCAGGCTCTATCCACAGCACCTAGAGCCTGGCACATGGCAGGATCTCAAGAAATATCTGGCAAAAGAATGAATTACTGAATGAATAAGTGGGAAAATAAATGAATAAATACAATATGCAGCTGAGCGTGGTGGCTCACACCTGTAATCCCAGCACTTTGGGAGGCCAAGGCAGGAGGATTGCTCAGCCAGTTCTGGCCCCACTCAACAGCCCAGCTGAGCTCGAAACCAACAGCCAGTGACATTGCCAACCATGGACATCAGCCACCTTGGACATCAGCCTGGTTGAACTTTCACATGACTCCAGCTCCCTCCAACATCTAACTTCACCACATGAGTAACACCAAGCAAGAACCACCCTGCTGAGCCCTTCCTAAATTCCTGACCCAAAAACTCAGAGGGAAACTAAAATAAGCCACTTCACTTGGGGATAATTTGTTACGCAGCAATAGATAACTGAAACACTGGGTTTGCAAACTCAACCCTCACTCTAACCCTACAGCATCCAGATGTTTAATGTAAACAGTGAGTTGGGCCTGGTGCAGGTGAGCAGGTGCGGTGGGAGCCCTGAGGCACTGGGGAACCTGTGCTGCACTGCCCTGAGCTGTATGTCTCCCCAGATTTGTTCCTTGCCCTCCCCTTTCTTCCCCCATCCTAGGCTGCTATTTCCAGTCTTCCCTCCAGCTGGGGTTGAATCAATGGGAAGCTCAGGTAGGAGGCTGGAGGACCAGAACAAGCAGCCAGGGTCATTCCACTCCCCAAGGGTCATTCTCCTCCTTCTCCTGGTAGTTATGCCTCCTCTAGAGCCCCAGCTCCTGCCAGCCAGACAATCCCACTGTGTTCCCAGCTTCTACTAGGAAACCTTATCTCTGGGCTCCGGTGACACCACCTCCTCCCTTTGTTCCTCCAACTTACGGTGGAGGCAGCTTCCCTCTGCTGCTAATTTCCAGTTTCTTCACTGACTCCCACTGGGCCCCTCAGCTCCTCCTTCCCTACTTAACCATCTCCATCTCCAGGTGTTCATGTCCCCCTGTGTTTTTGTCATTGTTGTTGTTGTTTATTTATTTATTTATTACAGACAGTTTCGTTCAGTTACCCAGGTTGGAGTGCAGTGGTGCAATCATAGCTCACTGCAGCTTCTAACTGCTAGGTTCAAGTGATCCTCCTGCCTCAGCCTTCTGAGTAGCTGGGACTATAGGCACAGGCCACCACACCCAGGTATTTCTATTTATTTTATTTATTTATTTATTCATTTTGTAGAGACAGGATTTCACTATGTTGCCCCGGCTGGTCTCCAACTCCTGGCCTCGAGTGATCCTCCCACCTCAGCCTCCCAAAGTGCTGGGATTACAGGCATGAGCCACCGCGCCCAGGCTGCAAATCCCAATGAAGAGGAAGAACAGGATGCGGGACATGCCATGCAGAGAATGAAAGGTGGGTGCTGTGTGAACGTGGGTACAAGGAAGTTAGGCTTTCACTGGGGTGGCACAATGGCAGCTCTGAGGCAAAGGCATCAGAGCAAAAGAGAAGGAAAAGAGGGAGCCTGCCCTGCAAAGATCTGGGAGAACCGTGCTCCCAGAAGAGGAATGGCTATCACAAAGACCCAAGGCAGGAAAGAGCTGGGAGTGCCTGAGGAACAGGGAGAAGGTTGAGCAAAAAGAGCAGCAACATGGGGCAAAAAGAGCAGGATCATGGGGAGATGATACGAGGATGGAGAAGTTGCTGTGGTCACAGGAGCCATGGGCAGGAGTTTGTGCAACCAGTTTGTCCATTACCCGATGCACACAGCAAATCAAGACAGCCAGTTGCAGCTGAGAAAGAGGATTAGTTGTAGGGTCAACAAATAACAACATGGGAGAGAAGCTCAAATTCATCTCCCTCAGGAATCTGGAGCAAGGATTTTTTTTTTTTTTTTTTTTTTTTGAGATGGAGTCTCACTCTGTCGCCAAGGCTGGAGTGCAGTGGCGCCATCTCAGCTCACTGCAAGCTCCGCTTCCTGGGTTCACGCCATTCTCCTGCCTCAGCCTCCCGAGCAGCTGGGACCACAGGCGCCTGCCACCACGCCCGGCTAATTTTTTTGTATCTTTAGTAGAGACGGGGTTTCACCGTGTTAGCCAGGATGGTCTCCATCTCCTGACATTGTGATCTGCCCGTCTCGGCCTCCCAAAGTGCTGGGATCACAGGCGTGAGCCACCACGTGGGGCAAGGATTTTTAAGGATTTGGGGGTGAGACAAAGTGTGGATATCATTGTTGGAAGACTGCCGGGTGAAGTTTAGGGACATGGAGAGGAAGAAGCAGTATTCTCATACTACTGGCAGTCCTCTGTGGGGGTCTTCACATTGGTTGCTGGAATTTGGGGGTCTGATAAACAACTCAAGTGATCTTTTTTAAAAAAGCCTTAAGATTCTAATGTCAGAGATCCTGCCTGTGGGAACAATGGAGATGCAAGTCAATTAAATGATCTTATGACCCTAATGTCAGACATCCTATCTATAGGCCAGGCACAGTGGCTCACCCCTGTAATCCCAGCACTTTGGGAGGCCGAGGCAGGTGGATCACCTGAGGTCAGGAGTTTGAGACCAGCCTGGACAACATGGTGAAACCCCGTCTCTACTAAAAATACAAAAATTAGCTGGGCGTGGTGGCAGATGCCTGTAATGTCAGCTACTCAGAAGGCTGAGGCAGGAGAATCGCTTGAACCCGGGAACGAGAGGTTGTAGTGAGCTGACATCATGCCACTGCGCTCCAGCCTAGGCAACAAGAGCAAAACTCTGTCAGAAAGAAAGGAGAGGAGAGGAGAGGAGAGGAGAGGAGAGGAGAGGAGAGGAGAGGAGAGGAAAGGAAGAGAAAGAAAGAAATCCTATCTATAGGAACAATGGGGGTCTAGTACCACCTGACTTTTAGCAACAAGGAAGTGGACCAAAGTGCAACCTGATTATGTTTAATTATAACTACATTTCTGGGGCTCGATGGCTCACGCCTGTAATCCCAGCACTTTGGGAGGCTGAGGCGGGCGGATCTTTTGAGGTCAGGAGTTTGAGACCAGCCTGGCCAACATGGTGAAACCCCGTCTCTACTAAAAATACAAAAATTAGCCAGGCGTGGTGGTGGGCACCTGTAATCCCAGCTACTCGGGAGGCTGAGGCAGGAGGATCACTTGTACCTGGGAGTTGGAGGTTGCAGTAAGCGGAGATTGCACTACTGCACTTCAGCCTGGGTGACAGAGTGAGACTCAAAAAAAAAAAAAAAGACAGACAGGCATGGTCGGCTTGTTAACATGCAGACTGCTGGGTCCCCCAGAGATTCTGGTTCAGTAGATCTAGAACAACAGAGAATTTGAATTTCTGACAAATTGTCATGTGATGCTAATGCTGCTGGCAGAGGTCACACTTTGAAAACCACTGGTCTAGAAAAACACCTTTTTTTTTTTTGAGACAGGGTCTTGTTGTCTCACCCACGCTGCAGTGCAGTGGTGCAGTCACGGCTCACTGTAGCCTCAATCTCCCGGGCTCAAGTGATCATCCTGCTTCACCCTTCTGAGTAGCTGGGACTACAGGGTGCACCATCCCACCTGGCTAATTTTTTAAAGATTTTTTTTTTAATATGTGGGGTCTCACTAAGTTGCCCAGGCTGGTGTCAAATTCCCAGACTCAAGCGATCCTCCTGTCTGAGACTCCCAAAGTGCTAGGATCACAGCTGTGAGCCACTGTGTCCAGCCACAAGTGAAAGTAAGTTAATAAAATATGTCACTTGAATTTAATTATTTTGCTAATAATTAATAGATATGCTGGGCATGGTGGCTCACATCTGTAATCCCTGCACTTTGGGATGCCGAGCCGGGTGGATCACCTGAGGCTGGGAGTTTGAGACCAGCCTGACCAACATGGAGAAACCTCGTCTCTACTAAAAATACAGAAAATTAGCCGGGCGTGGTGGCACATGCCTGTAATCCCAGCTATTCGGGAGGCTGAGGCAGAAGAATCGCTTGAACCCAGGAGGCGGAGGTTGCGGTGAGCCGAGATTGTGCCATTGCACTCCAGCCTGGGCAACAAGAGTGAAACTCTGTCTCAAAATAATAATAATAACAATAATAAATAGATAATATTTATATAAACATATCCAAAATACTATTTCAACATGTTATCAATATTTTATAAATGACTGAGCTACTTTTTTTTTTTTCTTTTTATTTGAGACCGAGTTTCTCTGTAGCCCAGGCTGGAGTGCAGTGGCATGATCTCAGCTCACTGCAACCTCTGCCTCCCGGGTTCAAGTTATTCTCCTGCCTCAGCCTCCTGAGTAGCTGGGATTACAGGTACATGCCATCACACCCAGCTAATTTTTGTATTTTCAGTAGAGTCAGGGTTTCACCATGTTGGCCAGGCTAGTCTCGAACTCCTGACCTCAAACGATCCACCCGCTTTGGCCTCCCAAAGTGCTAGGATCACAGGCATGAGCCGCCCCACCCGGCTTACATTCTTTTTTCCTATTAAGTCTTCGAAATCCCTGTGTATATTTTATATTTGCAACACATCACAATTAGGACTTGTCTTCAATAGCCACATGTGTGACTAGTGGCTACCATACTGGACAGCACAGGACAGGCCTGGAATGGTGGCCACTGTTGCGGGGATAGTGAGTTGAAGGTGGAGACTTGCCTCTTGAATTTAGCAACGAGGATGAGCTTTGGCAATAAAAAGTTTCATTTTTGTGAAATGGAGAGAGAGAGAGTATATGAACACTTCCTTCCTGAAGTTTGGGTGTGGTTTTAACACCAATAGAGAGATCTGGCTAACAAAACTCAAAACCAACACCAGATATTAGCAGCACAAAAAAAGACAACCACATATTATGTCCCTTCTGATAGGAGATCTTAATATTATCCCTGAAGTATACTTAACCCCAAACTGAATGTGTATCTGACTCAGCCTCTAGATCTACCAGTTTGCAAGACATACAGAGGATGGCAGAACATATTAAAGGACACCAAGAGGGGAAACCAGTCAAATCAGACTGAGAAGAGATTATTTATAGGTGGATAGTGTCAAAAAGAAAGGAAAAAATTAAAATTTGTAAAAAACAAAAAAAAAAATCACACTTTGGGAGGCCGAGGCAGGAGGATCGCTTGAGCTGAAGAGTTTGAGACCAGCCTGGGCAACACAGTGAGACCCTGTCTCTATTAAAAAAAAAAAAAGTATAAAATTTTGGCCAGGTGCGGTGGCTCACACCTGTAATCCTAGCACTTTGGGAGGTCAAGGCCAGAGAATCACCTGAGGTCAGGAGTTCGAGACCAGCCTGGCCAACATGGTGAAACCCTGGTGCAGTGGCCCATGCCTGTAATCCCAGCTACTCAGGAGGCTGAGGCAGGGGAATCGCTTGAACCTGGGAGGTGGAGGTTGCAGTGAGTTGAGATCGTGCTATTGCACTCCAGCCTGGGTGACAAAAGAGAGATTCCATCTTAAAAAAAAAAAAAAGTATAAAATTAAAAAATTAGACTGAGATGAATGAGAGGGAGAGGGAACAGTTATAAAATAGAAGACTTAAAGAGGTAACAAACAAATACAATGTACAATGCAGGCACCCTGGTCGGATTCTAATTTGAACAAGCCAACAGTTTAAAGACATTTCTATGACATTTAGGGAAATTTGGAGACAGGATGAATGTTAAGACACTACTAAGGATTTGTTGGTTTTTTAGGTGCGATAAAAATGTTATAGTAATGTTTTTTTAAGAACCTTATATTTTAGAGATACATAATGGATGAAATCATGTGATGTCTGGGATTTGCTTTAAACTAACTTTGGGGGAGGTGGAATAAATAAAACAAGATTGGCCATATGTTGATAATTGTTGAAGCTGGGTGATGGGTACTTAGAGGATCATTACATTATTCTATTTCTGTGTACGACTGAACATTAATAAGGCTTTAAAAGGGGGACTGCTGTGAAAAAGAGAAAAAAGTAGGGAAATTGTGTGTTTTTTCCCCCCAGGATCGAAGCGCCTTTAACAGGCTCCACAGCTGACAAGGACGTTGGGATGCAAGAGAGTGAGAAGGCGCCAGGGTGGCTGCAGGGCACATTCAATAGTCGGTCTAGCTCTTGCTCCCGCGGCTGCCTTCTCTGCAGCTCTGGAGGCTGCAGCTTCTGGTCCTGGACCGGGACTTAGGTCCACACCCACGTGCTGACGTCGGGCAGGCTCAGCGGCCTCCCGCGCCTGCGCAGCACCGCCCTTTTCGGGCGCGGCGCCCAGTCCCTACACCCCACAATCCCCCGCGCCGTTCCGGAGGCGCGCTAGGAGTGGGTGTGGCCTCTGCCTCCACATTGGAACAAGGTGAGGCAGAGGGTGTCGCGTGGTCTTCTGGGAAATGTAGTTCGTCTGCCAGGCCGGAACCACCGCTCAACCGGCTCGCGAGACTATGCACCCCACAATGCGCCGCGCGCGCAGCGGCTAAGCGATGCGTTGCTGCCTCCACGTGGTGGCTGAGTGATCATGCTCCGGTTTGGGAATGGGGCCCAGAAGGGTAGGGTTAGGGGCGGGGACGGTGCTGGGGATGCTGAGGGTCGCCCTGGAAACCTCTGGGAAGATTTTCCAGAGGGTAAGTCCCCTGAACCTGGCCCACGAAAGGGTAGTAGTAATGAAGAAATTGGAGGTGGGGCCCGCTATGAGGACCGAATGACAGAGCAGCACCTGTTGGCTGCATATGATAATCAGGCTACTGTTACACCTAAGACTCACACAGTAGGCACTTCCTAGGCCACTTACCGCTCCCTGCGCTTCAGGTATCTTAGCCCATTCAATCCTCCCAGCCACCATTCGAGATATTATCAGCCCTCCTTTCTAGGAGTGAAGCTGAAGCCCAGAAACGCGAATCACTTGCTCAAAGTTATTCAACATGTCAGTGGCAGAGCTGGGATTTGAACTAGGCTGTCGGGCTACCAAGTCTGGGCTCTTCTTCATAGGAATATCTCATCACCCTATTCAGTTATCCTAAAATTGTAATTAGCACATGAATCAAGTCAAGATGGTCATTAACATGTGAATCTCTTTGAGTCGCTGATTACCAGCGCTTGTTCCTGCCCAAATTTGTGACTTAGACCTGCTTCAGGACAAAGTTGACAATCAACATAGATTTATAGTTAGCACATGAATCAGCACAGGTTTCTGTTCACAGGGATCAGATTTCTGATTAGCACTTGAATCAGCAGTGGTTTGTGTCAACAGCTGGAGTCTTTAGGTTCCTGATTTGCACAGGGATCTCCATCCAGGGATTATTTTCTTGCCTAAATAGGCCTGTTCCTTTATGTCCAGGTGACCTTCTCTTCAAATGTTGTCCCAGCTGGGTGCAGTGGCTCACGCCTGTAATCCCAACACTTTGGGAGGCTGAGGCGGGAAGATTGCTTGGGTCTGGGAGTTTGAGACCAACCTGGGCAACATAGCGAGACCCCGTGTCTCCATGAAAAATAAAACAATTAGCCTGGCATGGTGGCATGCTCCTGTAGTCCCAGCTACTTGAGAGGCTGAGGTGGGAGGATCCCTTCAGCCCAGGAGTTTGAGGCTGCAGGGAGCTATGATCATGCCACTGCATGGCAGCCTCAGCGACAAAGCAAGACCATTTCTCTTAAAGAAAAAAAAAAAAGGGCGGGCACAGTGGTTCATGCCTGTAATCCCAGCACTGTAATCCCAGGTTGAGGTGGGCGGATCAACTGAGGTCAGGAGTTCGAGACCAGTCTGGCCAACATGGTGAAAACCCATCTGTACTAAAAATTTTTTTAAAAATGGCCAGGCACAGTGGCTCACGCCTGTAATCCCAGCACTTTGGGAGGCTGGGGTGGGTGGATCATCTGAGGTCAGGAGTTTGAGACCAGCCTGGCCTACATGGTGAAACCCCATCTCTACTAAAAATACAAAAATTAGCAGGGCATGGTGGCACGTGCCTGTAATCCCAGCTACTCGGGAGGCTGAGGCAGAAGAATCGCTTGAATCCGGGTGGCGGAGGTTGTAGTGAGCCAAGATCATGCCACTGCACTCCAGCCTGGGTGACAGAGCGAGACTCCGTCTCAAAATAAAAATCAGCCAAGCGTGGTGGTGCATGCCTGTAATCCCAGCTACTCAGGAGGCTGAGGCAGGAGAATAGCTTGAACCCAAGAGGTGGAGGTTGCAGTGAGCCGAGATCATGCCACTGCACTCCAGCCTGGGCGACAGAGCAGGACTCTGTCTTTAAAAAAAAAAGAGATGGGGGCTGGGCGCAGTGGCTCACACCTGTAATCCCAGCACTTTGGGAGGCCGAGGTGGGGGTATCACCTGAGGTCAGGAGTTCAAGACCAGCCTTGCCAACATGGTGAAACCCCATCTCTACTAAAAATACAAAAATTAGCCGGGCATGGTGGCACATGCCTGTAATCCCAGCTACTCGGGAGGCTGAGGCAGAAGAATCGCTTGAATCCGGGCGGCGGAGGTTGTAGTGAGCAAAGATCACGCCACTGCACTCCAGCCTGGGTGACAGAGTGAGACTCCGTCTCAAAATAAAAATCAGCCAAGCGTGGTGGTGCATGCCTGTAATCCCAGCTACTCGGGAGGCTGAGGCAGGAGAATAGCTTGAACCCAGGAGGTGGAGATTGCAGTGAGCCGAGATCATGCCACTGCACTCCAGCCTGGGCGACAGAGCAGGACTCTGTCTTAAAAAAAAAGAGATGGGGGCTGGGCGCAGTGGCTCACACCTGTAATCCCAGCACTTTGGGAGGCCGAGGTGGGGGGTATCACCTGAGGTCAGGAGTTCAAGACCAGCCTTGCCAACATGGCGAAACCCCATCTCTACTAAAAATACAAAAATTAGCTAGGCATGGTGGTAGGTGCCTGTTATCCCAGCTACTTGGGAGGCTGAGGCAGGAGAATCACTTGAACCAAGGAGGCAGAGGTTGCAGTGAGCCAAGATTATGCCACTGCACTACAACCTGGGCAACAAAGTAAGACTCTGTCTAAAAAAATAAATAAATAAATAGGCCGGACACTGTGGCTCACGCCTGTAATCCCAGCACTTTAGGAGGCCGAGGCGGGCAGATCACGAGGTCAGGAGATCAAGACCATCCTGGCTAACATGGTGAAACCCTGTCTCTAATAAAAATACCAAAAAAATTAGCTGGGCATGGTGGCAGACGCCTCTAGTCCCAGCTACTCGGGAGGCTGAGGCAGGAGAATGGCGTGAACCCGGGAGGTGGAGCTTGCGGTGAGCCAAGATCACACCACTGCACTCCAGCCTGGGCAACAGAGCTAGACTCTGTCTCAAAAATAAATAAATAAATAAAATAATAATAAAATGGGGTTATTTGTTTTTTGCTTGTTGCATTGTTTAAGTCCCTTATAGACTGAATTCCTCTTTATGTCTCTAAATACATTTGTCTCTTTGGTACACATCTGCGGTGCTACATGCCCTCAACCCACCAGGTTTTAGCATAGCTGTTGTGGTAGACAGTTCCGTGTGCAGTGCAGATAGCCCTGGTTCAGCCCAGCTGTTCTCAAAATGTGGTCCCTGACCAGGTGTAGTGGCTCACACCTGTAATCACAACACTTTGGGAGGCCTGGGAGGGAGGATTGCCTGAGGCCAAGAGTTCAAGACCAGCCTGGGCAGCATATTGAGACCCTGTCTCTACAAGAAATTTTAAAAATTAGCTGGATATGGCGATGCATGCCTGTAGTCTCAGTTACTCTGGAGCCTGAGGTGGGAGGATTGCTTGAGCCCAGGAATTTGAGGTTGCAGTCAATTATGATTGCACCAATGTACTGGGTGACAAAGCAAGACCCTGTCTCAAAAAAAAAAGTATGGTCTTTGAAAAGTCACATTAGCATCACCTGGGTACTCGTTAAAAATGCAAATGTTTGGGTCCCACCTCAGACCCACTGAACCAGAAACTCTGAGGTTGGGACCTGGAGATCTATGGTGCCCCCGGGTGATCCTGGTGGGCTGCACTGCAAGGACACCTGGCCTGGCTCCTGCAAGGCAAGGCATCCCTCTCTGCTTTTCTTTCTTTCTTTCTTTCTTTTAAAGACAGAGTCTCACTCTGTCACCCAGGCTGGAGTGCAATGGCTGGATCTCAGATCACTACAATCTCCACCTCCCGGGTTCAAGCAATTCTCTTGCCTCAGCCTCCCGAGTAGCTGGGATTACGGGCGTCCGCCACCACACCCGGCTAATTTTTGTATTTTTAGTAGAGACGGGGTTTCTCCATGTTGGCCAGGCTGGTCTCCAACGCCTGATCTCAAAAGATCCGCCCGCCTTGGCCTCCCAACGAGCCGGGATTACAGGCGTGAGCCACCGCCCCCGGCTGTCAGTGTGTCTTGAGGTCTTTCCCTAATCCCAGATGGCACAAGTTTTCCCTCTTGCAGGCAGAGAAAGGAGCCTTGGGAAGGAGCCCCTCTGGCCTGAAAGATCAAGCCTATTGCTGGGCATGGCCAGGTAAGGAAACTCCAACCGTGGAAAGGACATTCCAGGGAGGTGGTGCTGAGATAAGGGGGGCAGAAAGAGACAGGTTTGGGGGGCCAGTGGCTCTGGAATGAAGCGCTACACTCAAGGCTAGGAATAGTTACTGAATGCACATACACACATACCATTCTCACAGCCCAGGTGCTGCGTCTTAGAGCGTGTGAGTGTGTATGTGTGTGTCTGTGTGTGCGCGCGCACGCACGTCTCTATCTCTGTTTCTGTCTTTCTCTGACTTGTCCTTATCTCTTGTCTCTCCATCACTCTCTGTGTCTCGCTGTCTCTGTGCATTTCCATGTCTCGAATATGTGTGTGTTTCAATCTGTCTCTCTGCCTCTTTCCATTTTCTCCTCTCTATCCATCAATCTAAGCCTGCCCATCTTTTTGTCTGCCTTTCTGTATCTCCGTTCTTCTCTGTCTCTCTGTCTCAGTCTCTCTGTATCCAGGGATTCTCTTTCCCAGCAGCGCCAGTGCGACTCCATGGGAGGTGGGGCCGGGGCGCGTCTTTGAGAGAAGGGGCGGGTGCCTACGCCTTTAAGCGCGGGTGCGCGCGGAGCCTGCGCCTTTAAGCGCCGGTGCGCGCGCTGCCCTGGGTTGCCGGCGAGGAGGCCGCGGGAGCGCCTGGACCCGGCCCGCCCAGCCCGGCCCCCGCCCGGCCCCCGCCTCGGCCCCGGCGGGGGAGGGGTCTCTGAGCGCGGCCCCTCCCCCCTGCGCCCCCGCCTGCGCTGCGGTGCCCCCATCCCGCGTGTCCCAGTCTGTCTGACCGTCCCTCCGCTCCCAGGCCTCGCCCCACCCGGCCCTGGGGCTGCCCGGTCGCCCCCCTCCCCACCGCAGCCGGTCCCCTCCCTCCCAGTCAGCCTCCGCCGCAGCCCAGGAAGCCAGCCGGGACGCCGCCGCCCCGGACCCCGCGCCCTAACCTCCACCTCGGGGGCCTGCACCCCCAGATTGAATCGGGAATTCCGGAAACCCGAGCCTGGAACCCTGATCTGGGACCAGCACCCCGAGATCCGGCCGTGGAACCCCAAGATCTGGAGCCTGAACCCCAGTATATGGGGCTGGAATCTCAACATCGGTCACTGGGACCTCAATATTTGGAGCCGGAACCCCACAATTTGGAACACAGACCCCAATATTTGGAGCAGAACCCCAAGATTTGACATCTAAAACCTCAAGCCTGGAGCTGAACTCTGAATTCTGGGCCTGGGACCTTGAAATCTGGGACTGGATTTCCAGTACTGTACCCTGGAACCCACTCTTGGGGACCTGAACCCTGGGATTCAGGCCTCAAATTCCAAGATCTGGACTGTGGGATTCCAAGGGGCCTGAACCCGAGTTTGGGCCTGAAGTCCTTGCTGCAGACCTGAGTGCTTAAATCTGGGGCTTGAGACCTCCCAATCTTGACTCAGCACCCCAATATCTGAATGCAGAACCCCGGGATCGGATCTCAGACTCTAAACCCCACCGTTTGGCTGCTTAGCATCCCAAGACTGGACCTGGGAGACCCTGACCCTGAACAACCCAAACTGGACCCGTAAAACTGGACCCTAGAGGCCCAATATTTAGGGGTCTGGAACCCCGAGTATTAAGGTCTGGAGACTCCGTTGCCACAGATTTGAGCCGAGTCAGGACACAGTCCCTCTACAGAAGCCTTGGGGACAGGAAAAGCATGACCAGATGCTCCCTCCAGAGCCCTGACCTCTGACTCCCCTGGAGCTAGGACTCTGCTCCCTGGGGCTGCTTCTAGCTCAGGTAAGGCTGCTGAAACCTCAAGGTGGGGACGGGCTGGGAGGAGCATTGTGGCTGCGGGTTACGGTACCAGGTACCCTTTGACACTCTTGGGGTTTCTCCAGAAAAAAAGACATTCCCCCATGGGTCTGCCTTCAGCTCCTGCTCTGCTCCAAACACTCTCTGGACACTGGCCATCCTTGCCCCTCTCTGACCTTCCCTGCCTCAGTTGATGGGACCTCCAGGTCTCTGACCCCTGCAACCCTTACAGCCTTTCGCTGTCTATCCGGTCCGACCGTCTCCGCCACCTCTCTTGTCCACCACTCCTCTCTCTGGGCTCCTTTCTCCACCTGTCCTCTCAATGGCCATCTCTGTTCCCTTTTTCTCTCTCTGATCATCTTTGTGACACCCCTGTCCACAGGTCCTCTCTCCAGTCGCCTCTGCCTGCTGCTTCTCAGTGACCATCGCTGACATCTGTGTCCACTGTGCCTCTCTCTAATCATCATTCACCAGCTCTCTTGCTCCTTCTCCACCCCTGAATCTAAGCCTAGGTCTGTGACCGTCCCCATCCATCTTTGACATTGCTGTCCACCACTCTTCTCTCCAGCAGCCTCTGTCCATCTCTCCTCTCTAGCTTCCTCTGGCCACCTTTCCCTTTCTCTGGCCATCTCTCCCACTGCTCTTGCCCTCCTCCCACCCCTGACCCTAACTCCCAGTCTGCAACTGTCTGACCATCTCTGGCCACCTCTCCTCTCTCTCTCACTCACTGATGCCCTCTGATCATCTCTGGCCACCTCTTCTCTCTCTCTCACTCATTGATGCCCTCTTGATCATCTCTGGCCACCTCTTCTCTCTTTCTCACTCACTGATGCCCTCTTGATCATCTCTGCCCACCTCTTTTCTCTCGCTCGCTGATGCCCTCTGATCATCTCTGGCCACCTCTTCTCTCTCTCTCACTCACTGATGCCCTCTGATAATCTCTGGCCACCTCTCCTCTCTCACTTGCTGATGCCCTCTGATCATCTCGAACATCTCTGCTGCCTTTCCTCTCTCCGATGACCTCTCCCCGCACCATCCTCCTGAGCAGCTGTCCTGGGCTCCCACTGACTCTGCCATGTCTGTCCTTTTCCTCCTCTCTGACCACCTTGCTGGCTTTGGGCCGTTTCTGACCACGTGTCTCTGACATGGTCATCTCCCCCAGATCTGAGCCCAACCCATGCCCTCCCTTCTCTTTGTCCACTGCTCATCTTCCTGACCATCTGTAACCCCTTCTCTTCTCTGGTCATATCTGACCACTTCTGATCATTGTTGCCACCCTGGCTGCCCCGTCTCCCCATGGCCAGCTTTTACCATCTCTGACCACGTCTAAAGCCCTCTGGTTTTCCTGCCACTCACCCAGACCAGCTGTCATTTCTCTGACCATTTCTTTACTTTTTTCTTTTGGAGAGACAGAGTCACGCTCTGTTGCCCAGGCTGGAGTGTGGTGGCGCAATCATAGCTCACTGCAGCCTCAAATTCTTGGGCTCAAATTGATCCTCCCACCTCAGTGTCCCATGTAGCTAGGACCACAGGTGGGCGCCACCATGCCTAGCTAATTTTTAAAAATTTTTGTATAATAGATACACGGTCTCACTTTGTTGCCCAGGCTGGTCTTGAACTCCTGGCCTCAAGCCATCCTCCTGCCTCAGCCTCCCCAAATGCTGGGATTACATGTGTGAGCCACCGCGCCTGGCCTTCCTCTGGCTTTTGGTCACATCTGACGGTCTTTGACCAGCCCTTCTGCCCTCAGCCCACTGTGACCTTCTCTCCTGGTCTCAGACCACCCCCAGCCCCTGCAGAACCCCTCTTCTGCCCTCACGCCTCCCCTCTTCTCCGCAGGACACCCCTGCCCGCGATGGCCATCCTCCCGTTGCTCCTGTGCCTGCTGCCGCTGGCCCCTGCCTCATCCCCACCCCAGTCAGCCACACCCAGCCCATGTCCCCGCCGCTGCCGCTGCCAGACACAGTCGCTGCCCCTAAGCGTGCTGTGCCCAGGGGCAGGCCTCCTGTTCGTGCCACCCTCGCTGGACCGCCGGGCAGCCGAGCTGCGGCTGGCAGACAACTTCATCGCCTCCGTGCGCCGCCGCGACCTGGCCAACATGACAGGCCTGCTGCATCTGAGCCTGTCGCGGAACACCATCCGCCACGTGGCTGCCGGCGCCTTCGCCGACCTGCGGGCCCTGCGTGCCCTGCACCTGGATGGCAACCGGCTGACCTCACTGGGCGAGGGCCAGCTGCGCGGCCTGGTCAACTTGCGCCACCTCATCCTCAGCAACAACCAGCTGGCAGCGCTGGCGGCCGGCGCCCTGGATGATTGTGCCGAGACACTGGAGGACCTCGACCTCTCCTACAACAACCTCGAGCAGCTGCCCTGGGAGGCCCTGGGCCGCCTGGGCAACGTCAACACGTTGGGCCTCGACCACAACCTGCTGGCTTCTGTGCCCGCCGGCGCTTTTTCCCGCCTGCACAAGCTGGCCCGGCTGGACATGACCTCCAACCGCCTGACCACAATCCCACCCGACCCACTCTTCTCCCGCCTGCCCCTGCTCGCCAGGCCCCGGGGCTCGCCCGCCTCTGCCCTGGTGCTGGCCTTTGGCGGGAACCCCCTGCACTGCAACTGCGAGCTGGTGTGGCTGCGTCGCCTGGCGCGGGAGGACGACCTCGAGGCCTGCGCGTCCCCACCTGCTCTGGGCGGCCGCTACTTCTGGGCGGTGGGCGAGGAGGAGTTTGTCTGCGAGCCGCCCGTGGTGACTCACCGCTCACCACCTCTGGCTGTGCCCGCAGGTCGGCCGGCTGCCCTGCGCTGCCGGGCAGTGGGGGACCCAGAGCCCCGTGTGCGTTGGGTGTCACCCCAGGGCCGGCTGCTAGGCAACTCAAGCCGTGCCCGCGCCTTCCCCAATGGGACGCTGGAGCTGCTGGTCACCGAGCCGGGTGATGGTGGCATCTTCACCTGCATTGCGGCCAATGCAGCTGGCGAGGCCACAGCTGCTGTGGAGCTGACTGTGGGTCCCCCACCACCTCCTCAGCTAGCCAACAGCACCAGCTGTGACCCCCCGCGGGACGGGGATCCTGATGCTCTCACCCCACCCTCCGCTGCCTCTGCTTCTGCCAAGGTGGCCGACACTGGGCCCCCTACCGACCGTGGCGTCCAGGTGACTGAGCACGGGGCCACAGCTGCTCTTGTCCAGTGGCCGGATCAGCGGCCTATCCCGGGCATCCGCATGTACCAGATCCAGTACAACAGCTCGGCTGATGACATCCTCGTCTACAGGTGCAGGGTCCAGGCACTGGGGTAGCTTGGGTGGGGGAGTGAGGCAAGGGGAGGGTTGAGGGTACACCTACTAATACCCTACACCGAAGCACAACTGATAAGTGATGCTGGAAGGTTCCAAAAGAAATCAGAGAGCAAAAGTAAAAGAAATCAGGCAGCAAGGATAACAAGACTCTGGCAGAAAGGGTCAATGAAATCTGACAGCAGTGATAAAAAGAAGTCAGACAAGAAGGACGAAGTAAATGAGACAGCAAATGTTAAAATATATCAGGCTACAGGGCTAAAAAAGATCAAGCAATAAGGATAAACGAAATCAGGCTGCATGAGTAAAAAGAAATTAGGCAGCAAGAATAAATAGTAGTAGCAAACATAAAAAGGAAACCAGGCAGCGGGAGGAGAAAGTAATCAGGGCAGAAGAATAAAATGTTAATGGGCAAGGGTGGGTGGGGAAGATAAGGGGATAAAAATAAATTTAAGTTGTAAAGATAAAGAGAGAAACACCAGGTTTTCCAGATGACAGGACTAGATACTAGCTGGGCTGCAGGAAGAAAAGGAGATCAAACAGGAAAGCACAGGGAGCCCAGAAACAATGAAATAAGCAGCTCTGTTAGAAAAAGAAATCAGACCAGAGGTTAGAAGGAAATTGCAGGGAGGAGGTTCGATAGAGACTGGGCTTCGGTGTGTGTGGTGTGAACTATTCCATGTTTCAAGTTCTAATATAGTGACATCCAGATTTTTTTTTTTTTGAGACAGGGTCTCACTTTGTCGCCCAGGCTGGAGTGCAGTGGTGCAATCTCGGCTCACTACAACCTCCACTTCCCGGGTTCAAGCGATTCTTGTGCCTCAGCCTCTCGAGTAGCTGGGATTACAGACGTGCACCAGCACGCCCAGCTAATGTTTGCATTTTATTTTTAGTGGAGACGGGGTTTTGCCATGTTGGCCAGGCTGGTCTAGAAGTCCTGACCTCAGGTGATCCACCTGCCTCAGCCTCCCAAAGTGCTGGGATTACAGGCGTGAACCACCACACCCAGTGTAGATTTTTTCTTTTCTTTTTTTTTTTGAGACGGAGTCTCACTCTGTTGCCCAGGCTGGAGTGCAGTGGCACAATCTTGACTCACTGCAAGCTCCGCCTCCCAGGTTCATGCCATTCTCCTGCCTCAGCCTCCCGAGTAGCTGGGACTACAGGCGCCCGTCACCATGCCCGGCTAATTTTTTGTATTTCTAGTAGAGATGGGGTTTCACCATGTTAGCCAGGATGGTCTCGATCTCCTGACATCGTGATCCACCCGCCTCGGCCTCCCAAAGTGCTAGGATTACAGGCCTGAGCCACCGCGCCCGACAGATTTTTTATTTTCTAAATCAAATCAAACCTAGTTCAAGTTCCTTTTGCCAGGTAAACAGAAATATCCAGTTTGCCACACTTGTGGGGGATTCTCTTCTCTCTCCTGTTGTTGCAAACACAGAACCTGGGGTTTACACACTCCAAGAGGTGGCTCAGTCCAACTTGTTCCCCCAAGCTGGAGAGCACTCAGCACATCTGCAGTGACCGCATGTGGTCAGCAGTGGTGGCTGCTGACCTAGGTGCTGTTGACACCTCTTACCAAAGTCCAACCTTGCATGGATGGACTGCGGCTGTGGGTGAGTCCCTGTCCTCACGGCCAGGCTGGGCCAAGGGTGCAGCCCCAAGGCTGACTGTAAAGACTGGACCTCCCCAGGGTTGAGGACTGTTCCTTGGGGACCTAGTAGTACCTGGATGTCCTTTCCCTCCCTTGGGGCCAACACCTCAAGAAAAGGCCACTTGATTTCCATTTCAGTCCTGGCAACCCACTGAGCTCATTCTACTCCCTTTCTCAGACATGACTCGGAAGATTGCACGGAAGTCCTGCCCCTGAAAATCACACAAGTCGGCCAGGCGCGGTGGCTTAACCCCTATAATCCCAGCACTTTGGGAGGCCGAGGCAGGTGGATCACCAGGTCAGGAGTTTGAGACCATCCTGGCTAACACGGTGAAACCTCGTCTCTACTAAAAATACAAAAAATTAGCTGAGTGTGGTGGCACGCGCCTGTAGTCCCAGCTACTCAGGAGGCTGAGGCAGGAGAATTGCTTGAACCTGGGAGGCGGAGGTTGCAGTGAGCCGAGGCTGTGCCACTGCACTCCAGCCTGGGTGACAGAGTGAGACTCCGTCTCAAAAAAAAAAAAAAAAAGTCACACAAGTCCTGGCCACCTTGCCAGGTGGGGAATGGGATGAATGCTGTCCTAGACAGTCACCCTGCCCCAGGCGGCCACGGAGTTCCCTGTACCTCTCTCATTAGAATAGCCTAGGAATAAAACAGGTGATAAGTCAACTCTCCAACAGGGTGCCCAACTACAAAAGAAACTATAGTGAAATTGGGTGGTAAGGATTAAAAGGAAACAAGAAAGAAAAAGATAAATAGAAACCAGCCAACAGAGATAAAAGAGAAGCAGGTGACAGAGCCGGAAAGAAATAAGGCAACAGGGAGAAAAAGAAAGCAGTAGTGACGGAGGCACATTAGTTTAATGAAAAGGGAATCAGACGACAGGACTCATTGGAAAACAGGCTATCAATACAGTCATCATAATAAGGCAATAGGGCTAGGGGGACATTTATTGGCAGGTTACAAGGAAATCGGGCAACAGGGGTACAGGGAGATCAGGTGGTTTGATTGGAGAGAATCCTAGCTGTACACTAGAGGAAAATCAGGCAGCTGGAAAAGGGAAATTTGGCATAGGCTGCAGGAAATAGGGGAACCAGAGGGAAATTGGCAAGCGTCTGGAGGAGACTGGGAGGTAAAATGTGGGGGAAATTGGATGGGGGTGGCTAGAAGACAAAAGGATTAAATTAGATGGAAATTGGACAGGGTTAGAGCAGAATTGGGTGGTGAACTGGAGAGATGACTGGCAGTGGGACCAGAGTGAAATCAGGCAGAGGATTGGGGCAAAATTGGGCAGGGAGGCTAGAGCGGAGCTGGGCTGCAGGCTGGAGGGAAATTGAGTGGGCAGTGCAAAAGGGAAATTGGGCAGTTGGGTATAAAATGAAACCGGCAAGGTGTGGTGGCTCACGCCTGTAATCCCAACACTTAAGGAGGCCAAGGCAGGAGGCTGGACTGCCTTGAGGCCAGGAGTTTGAGACCAGCCTGGGCAATATAGCAAGAGCCTGTCTCTACAAAAAATTTAAAAATTAGCTGGGCATGGTAGTGCACACCTGTAGTTCCTGCTACTCAGGAGGCTGAGGCCGGAGGATGGCTTGAGTCCAGGAGTCAGAGGCTGCAGTGAGCTGTGATCATGCCACTGCACTCCAGCTTGGGCAACAGAGCAAGACCCTGTCTATAAGAAAACAGAAAGAAAGAAAGAAAAGAAACAGGATGGATTGGAAGAACTCACGTGGTGAGCTGTTAGAGAAATTGGGTGGTGGGACTAGAGTGAAAATGGGCAGCAGGCTATGAGGACGTGTGAGAGGGTGGGCTAGAGTGAAATTGGCCAACAGACTGGAGGGGTATCAGTCAGGTGGCTGAATGGGATGTCAGACCAAAGGGAATTGGGATGTTGGTGAGAGGGAGCTCATTGGGTAGAATGAAATGAAGGAGTGGACTGGTGGGAAGTCTAGCCCCGCAGGGAGTTTGGTGGGGGAAGCACAGGTTGGGGGCTGGGCAGCCTGAGACCTGACCCCCACCTGCCTGCCCTGCAGGATGATCCCGGCGGAGAGCCGCTCGTTCCTGCTGACGGACCTGGCGTCAGGCCGGACCTACGATCTGTGCGTGCTCGCCGTGTATGAGGACAGCGCCACGGGGCTCACGGCCACGCGGCCTGTGGGCTGCGCCCGCTTCTCCACCGAACCTGCGCTGCGGCCATGCGGGGCGCCGCACGCTCCCTTCCTGGGCGGCACGATGATCATCGCGCTGGGCGGCGTCATCGTAGCCTCGGTACTGGTCTTCATCTTCGTGCTGCTAATGCGCTACAAGGTGCACGGCGGCCAGCCCCCCGGCAAGGCCAAGATTCCCGCGCCTGTTAGCAGCGTTTGCTCCCAGACCAACGGCGCCCTGGGCCCCACGCCCACGCCCGCCCCGCCCGCCCCGGAGCCCGCGGCGCTCAGGGCCCACACCGTGGTCCAGCTGGACTGCGAGCCCTGGGGGCCCGGCCACGAACCTGTGGGACCCTAGCCAGGCGCCCCCCCCTCTAAGGGTCCTCTGGCCCCACGGACAGCAGGACCCGGACACCCTGTGGGACCTGGCCTCAAACTCACCAAATCGCTCATGGTTTTTAAAACTCTGATGGGGAGGGTGTCGGGGACACCGGGGCAAAACAAGAAAGTCCTATTTTTCCAAGCTTGGGCGAAGACCCTTGCCCTCGTCTCTGTCTATGGGGGTTGGGGGACGGAGCAGGGGTCTGGAGCTGGGGAATGCCTCCTTTGGGGAGACACCCCCTCCCCGCCCAGTTCAGTCTGAGGACCCCGGAGGAGGCTGAGGATGGCGATCCATTCAGACAATAGATGTTCCCTGCGTGTCGGCTCTGAGCATGCCCTGGGTTGGGGGATGCTGTGGTGATCCAGATAGCCCTGAGCCCTGCCCGCAGGGGCCTAAAGTCAAATGGGAGACAGACACATCCCCAGACAGTGATAGCACAGAGTGACCAGGGATGTGGGGATGAGGGAAGCCTGGGGGATTGTGACAGTCCAGAAGAGGTACCCTTGCTCAGCCCCAGGTGTGGTCAGGGAGGGCTTCCTGGAGGAGGACACATGTGATCTGAGAATGACATATGAAGGAGATAACTGGGCAAAGAGCAGAAGGAAAGCTCTTTCAGGCAGAGGGCACAGCACAAGCAAGGTGGTGGTGTGCCCTGGGCACTGGGGGTGCTATGGTAGAGGTGAGGCAGGAGGGTTGAGCAGGGTCTAGGACCTCCAGGCTGAGGAGCTCAGACTCTGGCCTGATGATACCAGGGAGCCATGGAGGGTTGTATGCAAGGGAGGAATGGGGTCAGTTTGGGGCTTCAGGAAGATCCTTCTAGTGCTATGAGTAGGGTGGACCCAAGGGGAAGACTGAAGCTGGGAGCCCCAGGGGAAGCTGGGGCAGGGACCTGGGTGGGTGAGGACGAAGTTGGACCAGCTGGGCTAGGGAACAAGAAAAGGGAGTGGGTTGACAGAGACACTCGGGAAACTGTGGGAAGCTGAGGCGGTGGGTTATGGAGCTGCGGGGCCATGGGGTGGGGCAGGAAGATGGTGGGGACTGCCCTCATATAGGACCAGGGAGGAGGAGCAGGTTTGGGAAAGATGATATGGCCAGTGGGGAACTTGGTAGGTGTAGGGGGCCCTGAGGATGTCCAGGATGTGGCATTCAGGAGGGTGCAGGACCCCTGGTCTGAGGCTGAAGCTGGAAATAGAAATGAGGGCTTTGTCAGCAGAGATGGGAACTGACGCTGCTGGGGTTAAGACGGCTTCTTGTGGGGGATGATTCCAAGTCCCCACTATGGGACATTTTTTCTTTTTTCTTTTTTTTTTTTACAGATGGGGTCTCACTATATTGCCCAGGCTGATCCCAAACTGGCCTCAAGTGATCCTCCCGTCTCAGCCTCCTGAATTGCTGGGATTACAGGCATGAGCCACTGCCCCTGGCTAGGGACTTTCCATATTTAAGGGTGACGCAAAGAAAAACCTAACCAAGACTAAACAGGACCAGCAGGCAGAGGGACAGGGGGAAGAAGACCAAGCAATTCAGACCCAAGAAACTCTTGTGTTCAATGATATAAATAAAGGCTGCGGTGACCCCCCAGAGAGCAGTGTTAGGGGGTCAGTTGGGGCAGATGGCAGATTCAGCTGATTTGAGAGGAGGGGGTAAGAAAATGTAGCTAGAGGGTGCAGCCCCTGTCAACCTGTGGGCCTGGAGTCCCATGTCTTTGCAGGGTGGGTCCTTACTCTGTCTTGGGCAGCCCTAGGCCCCATGAGACACCAAGCCTGGAGGTTTGCAGAACCAAACCCCGGTCTAGGAGATGTTGAGCCTCCTTGGAGATCCAGGAACGGGGTTGGCAGTAAGAGGAATAGCACCCCCTGAACTCAGGGCTTCACTAATGATGTCCCCAGAGGCAGGAGAGTGGAGGGAAGCTGGGTCCTGTCACCTGGAGGGACACTGGTGTGAGGGCATGGTAAAGAGAGCCCAAGACTGAACTGGCCCTTTTCATGACCTGGGGCACATGATTGTGACCTCGTGGGATGACATATCCTAGATTCTGCCACAGCTTTTCTGGGGGGTCTAGGCCTTGAACATGTTATGCCATGAGTCATGGGACCAGCCTGAGTCCTGGGGGACCTCGTCTGACCACACCCTACTCCCCAAGTCCCCAGCAGTATCATGAGATCCTTCTTGTTGTTTGTTAGCCTTGGACAGCTGAAGTCAGGTGACGTCATCAAGAAGAGTGAGGGCATGAGTCCTGGGGAAAGGGGCCTAGGAGCAGGGGCATAGTGTTTCGAGACTGTGGTCCCAGCTACTCGAGAGGCTAAGGTGGGAGGATTGCTTGAGCCCAGGAGTTCGAGGCTGCAGTGAGCTAGGATTGCGCCACTGCACTGAGCCCAGGAGTTCGAGGCTGCAGTGAGCTAGGATTGCGCCACTGCACTCCAGCCTGGGCCACAGAACGACACCCTGTCTCCAAAAAAACAGAAAAGGAGCCTAGGAAGTGAGGATGCTGGGGGCCTAGTGCTGGCTACAATTACCAGTTGCTCCCATGAGGGGGAGCCAGAGGGCACTGTTCGTGTGTGTGTGTGTGTGTGTGTGTGTGTGTGTGTGTGTGTGTCGAAGTCTCTTGTCGCCTAGGCTGGAGTGCAATGGCGCGATCTCCGCTCACTGCAACCCCCGCCTCCTGGGTTGAAGCGATTCTCCTGCCTCAGCCTCTTGAGTAGCTGGGATTACAGGCGCCTGCCACCACGCCCGACTAATTTTTTTATTTCTCCACGTTGGCCAGGATGGTCTTGATCTCCTGACCTCGTGATCTGCCCGTCTCAGCCTCCCAAAGTGCTGGGATTACAGGCGTGAGCCACCGCGTCCGGCCCTAAACCCACATTTTTAAATGTGAGCAATCCTTGCTGTGTGCAGTGTGCTGGGGATTCATTGCGGAACAAATACAGCACAGGTGCTGCCTTCGCGGCGCTCACTATTTGGTGGGGACACAAATGTTTTCTGAGTTTTGTTTTTTTTTTTTTTTTAGACACAGTCTCAATGTCACCCAGGCTGTAGTGCAGTGGTGCAATCATGGCTCACTGCAGCCTCCACCTCCCAGCCTCAAGTGATCCTCCCACCTCAGCCTCCCAAGTAGCTGGGATTACAGGCATGTGCCACCACACCCAGCTAATTTTTGTATTTTTGTAGAGATGGGGGTCTCACTGTGTTCCCATACTGGTCTTGAGCTCCTGACCTCAAGTGGTCCTCCCACCTTGGCCTCCCACAGTGCTGGGATTACAGATCTGACCGTAGATGTTATATAATCACACCAGCAAGTGTAAGCATCTGCAGTGACCAAGGGGCGCCATGCAGGAGACACATACAGAAGTGCGCGACCCTGTAACCAGGGGCCCTGACCCAACAAGAGAGATTGAGGAAGGCTTCCTGGAGGAGGGGAGGCCTGGCGGAGACCTGAAGGATGCGCAGGTTGGAGTTAACCATGAAAGGGGTGGGAAGGGTATTCCGTGCAAATGGAAGAGCCTGTGCTGAGGGAAGCATGAGTGAAAGAGCTGAGGCCAGGGGGCTGAAGTAGGGGAGGGAAGGGAAGAGAGTGACCTTGGGTTGAGGCTGGAAAGCAGGAAGGGAGCCGATGACGCAGGACCCCGTAGGCTGCTGGGAGGAGTGTGGATTGTCCTCTAAGTGGCATGAGAAGCCATTGAAGGGTTTTTTGGTTTTTTTTTTTTTTGAGACGGAGTCTCGCTGTCGCCCAGGCTAGAGTGCAGTGGCACAATCTTGGCTCACTGCAACCTCCGCTACCCGGGTTCAAGTGATTCTTCTGCCTCAGCTTCCCGAGTAGCTGAGATTACAGGTGCCCTGCCACGACGCCCAGCTAATTTTTGTATTTTTAGTAGAGACTTCTTCACCATGTTGGCCAGGCTGGTCTCGAACTCCTGACCTCATGATCTACCTGCCTCGGCCTCTTAAAGTGTTGGGATTACAGGCGGCATGAGCCACCCCGCCTGGCCCATTGAAGGGTTTTGAGGTCTAATGAGAGTAGCAGTCCCTGATCTCAAGGAAGCTCTGTGGGGAGGAGGATACTGCAATAGTCCAAGCAGAAGGGTGATCCGGACCAAGTTGGGGCCTGAAGTGGTTGAAGAGAGATTTGAGACGACCTTACTAGAGGCCTCTGCCCCCCACCCAGCAGACAGTGTGCCCTACTGTACAGCTACCCAGTTCTGCAGCAAGATTGCAGAGATGGGAAGAAGAGTTGTAAGACACTGGGCTCTGATATCCACAGCTCCACCCCTTAGATGGGGGAGGGACTTCTGTGTAGCATGGGAATGACGGACCTTTTCCAGGCTCAAGTAGCAGGCAGACAGTGGATGGAGGCTGAGAGGCAGTGGGTGGTCAGGGGGAATGTGGACACAGGAAATGCAGGGCTGGAAGGGGGACACACACTTGGTAGTAGCTTATTACAAATATGGAAGCAGGAAGGATGGGAGGAGGGCAGACTGGTCCCTCTAGCATGGGTCCCCCATGTTCCCCCACAGCATGCCTGGACCACCCCCACCCGCCTGCAGAAACACACAATCACATGTGTCTAGGATTTAAAGTTAAAATTTTGCTTGTCAGCTAGGCACAGTGGCTCATGCCTGTAATCCCAGTGCTTTGAGAGGCCACCCTCAGGGAGGATTGCTTGAGCCCAGGAGTTCAAGACCAGCCTGTTTTCAACTCCGTGGACCCTGTGAGGCACACTTCACTCTCCCCAGCCCTCTGGATAAAACAGTAGTTCCTTAGGAACTTTAACTTCCCCCAAAATGCTGTGGCCTCCCAGGCAACATAGCCATACCCCATCTCTACAAATAATAATAATAATTAGCTTGTCCAACTGCCTAGCTAAGTCCATCAATTTCCTGAGCTCAGGGAGTACAACTACTTCTACTGTCAATTCCTCATCAATTCCTCATCTGCTTTTGGCCCCACACATTTTTTAGACCAAAGCTCCGGCTGCTGGAGCATTATCTTGAAGTGACTGTAGACCCAATACCAGGATTCTGCCCTGTCTGTGTACTGCCAGATCCAACCCATGTGTCTTGGGGTGGCTAAATCTGACAAAGGCCCTGAGTGTCTGGGGACACCTGTGATCTCCTGCAAGGCTGAGGCTAATGCCACGCTTTTGCAGCTCTTTGCATGGGCACATATGTGAGAGAATCAGATAAAAGGTGTTCCCAAAAAGGATGTTTGTGTTCAGGGTGGAACCTGACGCCTGCCTCCTGCCTTTGGGTCCTCCCTGATGGCTGTGCCCTCTCATACCTCGCAAAAGCAAAGATAGGTATCAGTGCTGCCTGTCGTCCTGACCTGTGCGGAGTGACGTTGGGAACATTGTGGTGACCAACACAGCCCTAGCCCTTGCCCTCAGAGTTCCAGTTCAAGGCTGGGAGCAGTGGCTCATGCCTGTAATCCCAACACTTTGGGAGGCCGAGGCAGGTGGGTCACTTGAGGTCAGGAGTTCGCAACCAGCCTGGCCGACATGGTGAAACCCCAACTCTACTAAAAATACAAAAATTATCCGGGTGTGATGGCAGGCACCTATAATCCCAGCTACCTGGGAGGCTGAGGCAGGAGAATCACTTGAACCCGGGAGGCAGAGGTTGCAGTGAGCCAAGATTGGGCCACTGTAGTCTAGCCTGGGCAACAGAGCGAGACTCCGTCCCAAAACAAACCAACAAAAAAGAGTTCTATTTCCAGTGGAGGAAATAGATAATCACAAAACAATGGCATCCCAGAGTGGTCGGGGATGGGGAAAGAACAGGCAAGAATGATCAGGGCTTTTGCAGAAGCCCAGGGGACTCCCAGAGCCAGAGGGTTCTACACTTGATCTTAGCCAAAAGGCCAAGAAGCAATCTGAAGTTTCTAACTGGGCCTGGGATGGGAGGTGGGGAGACAGTCCAAGATTTCCTGAGGCAGGGCCAGCTTTATGGCAGTGTGACTGTGGGGTTGCACCATGCCCCAAACTTAGAAGTACCCTATGCTTGCTTTAATGCCCTAGTGTCACTATCTTGAAATTAATAATTTTTGAACAAGGGCCCCACATTTTGATTTTGCACTGCGCCCTGCAAATTATGTAGCCAGTCCTGCCCGGAGGAGCGAACACTTGAGGGATTTACAGAGAGAGCCGAGGCAGAGAGGGTCTTCCCAGGAGAGAGAGCATTGGGTACAAAAGCCAAGAGAGGGCCAGGCGCAGTGGCTCATGCCTGTAATCCCAGCACTTTGGGAGGCTGAAGCGGGCGAATCACCTGAGGTCAGGAGTTCAAAACCAGCCTGGCAAACATGGCGAAAACCCGTCTCTACTAAAAATACAAAGAATTACCTGGACGTGGTGTCAGGAACCTGTAATCCCAGCTACTTGGGAGGCTGAGGCAGGAGAATCGCTTGAACTTGGAAGGCAGAGGTTGCAGTGAGCCCAGATCCTGCCACCGCACACTAGCCTGGGTGACAGAGTGAGATTCCGTCTCAAAAAAAAAAAAAAAGAAAAAAGAGAGGACTGCACACTCAAAGAATGAGCCAGAGTTCAGTGTGGCTGGCGCACCATGGGAGAAGGGCGCACTGTGGGGCCATGGAGGGTGGAGGGTGATAAGGTGGAGGGACAGGGTCAGGTTTGCACTTTAGAAAAATCCATCTGGCAGCTGGGCGCAGTAACTCACACCTGTAATCCCAGCACTTTGGGAGGCCAAGACGGGCGGATCACCTGAGGTCGGGAGTTCGAGACCAGCCTGACCAACATGGAGAAACCCTGTCTCTACTAAAAACACAAAATTAGCTGGGCGTGGTGGCACATACCTGTAATCCCAGCTACTCGGGAGGCTGAGGCAGGAGAATCGCTTGAACCCAGGAGGCGGAGGTTGCGGTGAGCCAAGATTGCACCATTGCACTCCAACCTGGGCAACAAGAATGAAACTCCATCTCAAAAAAAAAAAAAAAAAGAAAGAAAGAAAGATCCATCTAGCTACCATGGGGAGGGTGGATGGGGGCACAAGGCCAGGGAGAAGATGGGGGACTCAGCTGCCTGTGGAAGGAGCTGGGAGTGTGGGTGATTCTGAGGAGGAGAGGCCAGCATGGGCACGTTTACCAGAACCTTGGGTAATAGACATCCCAGTGCAGGAGACGAGCTGGGAGACCCCAAAACCACGGGATGAACCCAGAGCCTCATTTTCACTTGCAAATGTTTACCGTGGGTGGCGGGGGATGCAGAAGGGTAGGTTACAGAATGTCACTCACTGGTAAGTACTTGAAAATCTTTTTATATGAAAACTCGCATGGATAGACTGATGGAGGTGAATGCAAAATTGGCAAGAATTTCGAGTATAAAATGTGAGATTTCAAAGGACTTTCTTCTGGATATGTTCTGGCTTCAACTCCATAGACCCCCGGGGTGCACTTCACTCTCCCCAGCCCTCTGGGTAAAACAGCAGTTCCTTGGGAACTTCCTCTTCAGCTTCCCCTAAATGCTGTGGCCTCGGGGAGCTGGGAATGAGCCCCTTCCTGCCTCTGTACTCACATTCAGGGACATCGACCCCTAACACCTGTTTTTCTTCTCTGTTGGCAACCTTCATATTTCTTTTCTTTTCTTTCTTTTTTTTTTTTTTTTTTTTTGAGATGAAGTCTTGCTGTGTTGTCCAGGCTGGATTGCAATGGCGAGATCTCGGCTCACCACAACCTCCGCCTCCCTGGTTCAAGTGATTCTCATGCCTCAGCCTCCCGAGTAGGTGGGACTGCAGACGTGTGCCACCAAGCCTGGCTAATTTTTGTATTTTTAGTAGAGACGGGGTTTCACCATGCTGGCCAGGCTGGTCTCAAACTCCTGACCTTGTGATCCTCCCGCCTCAGCCTCCCAAAGTGTTGCAATTACAGGCCTGAGCCACCTCACCAGGCTACAACCTCCATATTTCCATCCTCAACCCCAGCATCTCTCCTAAGTCCAGACCTGGCTTACCTCAGTTTCCCGGACCCCTCTTCCTGGACATCCCCTGGGGCCCCTCACACCCACTGGATCCCACACCCACCTCGGCTTCTTCTCGGACCTATGCCTCCTTCTAGGTCCTGTCTGGGAGAGCAACCCCCATGCAGCCTCCTGAATGTCCCCCACCTCCCCTTCCTCCCTGCCCCGGCCCCATCCTGGGCTAGTTCTGGCCTCACCCATCTGGGTCCTTGCACTGGGCTCCTGGCCTCAGTCTCTTCTCTGGTCCAGGATCTTCCTAAAGCCAAACCCTCCTCTGTATAGGCACCCCCATGGCTCCCCAGGGTTCCTGGGACAGTCTGAGCTCCTCAGCCTCTAGCATCCCAGCCCTTCCCACGCCATCCCTCTTCCCCAGCTCTGTTTCTAGCACATATGTTTGTTCCCCACCTCAGGCAGGAAGGAAACACTAACCACATCCTCTGCTTGTGATGAAGGAGGATCTTAAGCAAGTGACAGATGAAGCTATTGAAGGAAAGTGGGTTCCAGCTGGGCGTGGTGGCTCATGCCTGTAATCCCTGCACTTTGGGAGGCCGAGTTGGATAGATCACTTGAGGCCAGGAGTTCGAGACCAGCCTGGCCAACATGGTGAAACCCTGTCTCTACTAAAAATACAAAAATTACTTGGGCGTGGTGGCACGTGCCTGTGGTTCCAGCTACCCCGGAGGCTGAGGCAGGAGAATCGCTTGAACCCAGGAGGCGGAGGTTGTAGTGAGCCGAGATCGCCCCATTGCACTCCAGCCTGGGCAACAGAGTGAGACTCTGTCTCAAGAGAAAAAAAAAGAAAGAACATGGGTTCCTTCTTGAATGCTCCCCTTATTCCTCCCACCAAAGGTAACGTTCTGGGGGAGAAGGAGGCCTGGGTGCAGCTACTAGCATCTGGGGGAGAGGCAGTTGGTAACTGTACCCAGGGTCCCTTGCTTCTCCATTTCTGGAGATCCATCCTTGCCCTCCTCTCCGAGATCCTCCTAGAAGGCTGTAGCTCCATTGTTCTCAGCTTCTGGGAAGCCGAGAGGACGTTCTGGGAAGAAGAAAGTGATGTATAGGCCATTGTTTTCTCACGGGAACCTCTGTCCCCAAATCCTCCAGACCTCCACATCCAGGCACCTGGTGCCCTCTCCTGCCTCTGTCTCTGGTCACTTCCACAATCCAGGAGCCCAGGCGTCTAGCTTCCTCCTTCCTCAGGAGTTCAGGTCTGCAGTCCCCTCCTTCCTCAGGCACAGAAGCCCCATCTCCACTCCCCTCCATCCTCAGAACACAGGCTCCCGGCCCCCTTCCTAGGATCCTCAAGTTCAAATGAGACTGAAAACTTCTCTCTCGGCCAGGCGTGGTGGCTCACGCCTGTAATCCCAGCACTTTGGGAGGCCGAGGCGGGCAGATCGCGAGGTCAGGAGATCAAGACCATCCTGGCTAACACGGTGAAACCCTGTCTCTACTAAAAATACAAAAAAATTAGCCGGGCCTGGTGACGGGCGCCTGTAGTCCCAGCTACTCCGGAGGCTGAGGCAGGAGAATGGCCTGAACCCGGGAGGCGGAGCTTGCAGTGCGCGGAGATTGCACTACTGCACTCCAGCCTGGGCCACAGAGCGAGACTCCGTCTCAAAAAATAAAAATAAAAAAAACTTCTCTCTCAGCAGGCTCAGGAGTCCTCCCCCTCCCCGCACTGGCCCTGCCACCTCTTTTCTAATTTATCTATTTATTTTTTATTTTTTTTGAGGCAGAGTCTCGCTATGTCACCCAGGCTGGAGTGCAGTGGCACAATCTCAGCTCACTGCAACCTCTGCCAGGTTCAAGCAATTCTCCTGCCTCAGCCTTCCAAGTAGCTGGGACTACAGGCACCCGCTACCACGCCAGGCTAATTTTTTTGTATTTTTAGTAGAGATGGGGTTTCACCGTCTTAGCCAGGATAGTCTCGATCTCCTGATCTCGTGATCCACCCGCCTCGGCCTCCCAAAGTGCTAGGATTACAGGCGTGAGCACCGCGCCTGGCCTTACTTTTTTATTTTTAGAGACTGGGCCTCACTCTGTCACCCAGGCCAGAGTCCAGTGGCACCATCTCAGTTCAGTGCAGCCTTGATCTCCCTGGGTCAAGCAATCCTCCCACCTCAGCCTCCCAAGTAGCTGGGACCACAGGTGTGTGCCACCACACCCGGCTGTGCCCCTCTTGTCTTAGGATGGTCTTCAGGTCTCAGCTTCTCCACCTTGCCCCTTCAATCCCTTATTCTGTCTGAGAAACTTACATCCCTCACTCTCTCCAAATACAACCACTTCCTCAATATTCAAAGGGCTTCTTCCGATGCTGGGCACGGTGGCTCACGCCTGTAATCACAGCACTTTGGGAGGCTGAGGAGGAGGGTGGATCACCTGAAGTCAGGAGTTCGAGACTAGCCTGGCCAACATGTGAAACCCCGTCTCTACTAAAAATACAAAAATTAGCTGAGCATGGTGGCACCTGCCTGTAGTCTCAGCTACTTGGAAAGCTGAGGCAGGAGAATTGCTTGAACCCAGGAGGCGGAGGTTGCAGTCAGCCAGGATTATGCCACTGCACTCCAGCCTGGGCAACAGAGCGAGATTCCATCTCAAAAAAAAAAGGTCCTGGCGTGGTGGCTCACACCTATATTCCTAGCACTTTGGGAGGCCGAGGTGGGCAGATCACCTGAGGTCAGGAGTTCGAGACCAGCCTGACCAATATGGAGAAACCCCATCTCTACTAAAAATACAAAATTAGCCAGGCATCGTGATGCATGCCTGTAATTCCAGCTACTCGGGAGGCTGAGGCAGGAGAATCGTTTGAACCCGGGAGGCAGAGGTTGGGGTGAGCCGAGATTGCACCATTGCACACTCCAGCCTGGTCAACAAGAGCGAAACTCCGTCTAAAAAAAAAAAAAAAAAAAAAAAGGCTTTCCTGGAATAAATTACTTTCTTGTCTGTCTTTGGTCTTTTTTTTTTTTCAGCTTTATTGAGATACAATTCAATGGATTTGAGTATATTCAGAGTCATGCAACCTAACACCACAAGCTAACTGCAGGATATTTTCATCACCCTGAAAAGAAACCCTACACCCATTAACAGTTAATCCATTCCACCTACAGCCAGCCTAGGCAACCACTAATCTTTCTGCCTATTCTGGACACTTCATATGAATGGAATCATCACGTGATCTTTTGTGACTGGCTTCTTTCACTTAACGTTTTCAAGGTTTATCCATGTTTAGCATATATCAGTATATCAGTCCTTCTTTCTTTTCACTGCCAAATAATGTTTATGGGCCTAGGGGTAGAATTGCTAAATCACGCGGCAGCTGTGTTTCATTAGTTTGAGGAACTGACAGTCTGTTTCCTGAAGTGGCTGCACCATTTTACATTCCCACCAACAATGTATGAGGGTTCCAATTTCTGCACATCTTCACCAACACTTGTTATTATTTCTCTTTTTAATTACAGCCATTCTAGTGAATGTGAAGTGATATCTCATAGTTTTTTGTTTGCTTGTTTGTTGTTGTTGTTGTTGTTTGGAGACAGAGTCTCACTCTGTCATCCAGGCTGGAGTGCAGTAGGCACAATCACAGCTCACTGCAACCTCCACTTCCTGGGTTCAAGTGATTCTCCTGCCTCAGCCTCCCGAGTAGCTGAGGCTACAGGCATGCACCACCACACCTGGTTAATTTTTGCATTTTTAGTAGAGATGAGGTTTCACCATGTTGGCCAGGCTGGTCTCTAACTCCTGATCTCAAATGATCCACCTACCTTGGCCTCCTAAAGTACTGGGATTACAAACGCGAGCCATTGTGCCCGGCCTCATAGTAGTTTTGATTTACACTTCCCTAATGATTGTGTCCAGCAGCTTTTCATGTGCGAACTGGCCATTTGTTAGTGGGTTTTGCTTCTTTTAAAAACTGCTGAGCCATCCATAAACATTTTCAAAATGCAGGGTATGTTTTTCAGTGTTAAGGCAACTGTTTTGATGTGTTTTCCTTTGCTCTCTATCACCAAATACTGTACATACAAATAGTAAGACTGGGCTTTGTGTTGTCCATTGTTAATCCTAAATGCAACAAAACACATGGAGACTTTGAAAATCCTTCAGAATAATGCTATAGTTAAGATTTTGCTAAAGCAAGTGTTTTTTCTAACTCCTTGAGCTGCATATTGCCTTGAGTAATCATCATCCGAATTGTATCCTCTTCGGTGGCACTTTTGTTTCTTTTGAATTCTTCCCTTGCCCAATCCTTCAGGTATTTGCGATCAGAATCATTTGGAACTTGCTGAATTGTTTGGAAAATCCTTCTGTAGAGGAGAAGAACTTGTTGCCTTCTGATGAACTGCTTTAACATTAGTGTTGCTGGGGTAAGCGGGAAGTGGCCATGTCTGCCAGCAGTCCGCCGGAGCCTCAGCTGGTCTTTTTCCTTCTCTCTTTCTCCATTCCTTACCCTATCTGTCCCTCTCCCCTCGTCCATCTCTTCATCTCACCATAACCCTTTTTTTTTTTTTTGAAACGGAGTTTTGCTCAGGCTGGAGTGCAAAATCTCAGCTCACTGCAACCTCCACCTCCCCGGTTCAAGCAATTCTCCTGCCTCACTCTCCAGAGTAGCTGGAGTAGCTGGGATTACAGGTGCACGCCACCACGCCTGGCTAATTTTTGTGTCCTTAGTAGAGATGGGGTTTTACCATGTTGGCCAGGCTAGTCTCAAACTCCTGACCTCAGATGATCCACTTGCCTCGGCCTTCCTAAATGCTGGGATTACAGGCGTGAGCCACTGTGCCTGGCCTTCACCGTAACTTTTGTGTATCTTTCCCTCTCCCACATTTACTCTCTATGCCGATCTCTGTCCCCACCTCCCCATAGCTGTCTTTCCTTTCTCTGTCCCCTCCTTTCTCCACCCAGCACCCCCATACTTAGGCCTCTGTATGATCAGTGGCACCAGGTCAGGCTGGAGCCAGTACTAATGGGTACATTTGTGTGTAGACCCAGGGTGGGTGCTGAGGGCCAGGCCCAGGCACCTAGGACTATAAATGCCCCTGCAATGTGGTTGGCCTCAGCCCTGCTCTGGCAGGTGACCCCCGGGCCCTGGGCTCTGAGGCTGAGCCCTTCTCTGAGGTCTCCCTTGTGCCCCGTACTGCCCCTGCAGTGGGAGGCCTGGAGGGAAGGCTGGCAGGAGGAACCACACTAACCAGTCTATCTCCCTCTACCCCCAGCTGTGCCTCGGTGCCTTGGGTTTCCTACAGGGTGAGTGCCCCAGAAGGAACACAGAAAGCTGGTGAGTTGGTCTGGATTTGCAGCAGAGTGTGGGGTAGGGAGGGGCTGGTTGTGCTGGCTCAGGTTGGGAGGCTGTCTGGCATGGCTCTGTGACAGGGGATTGGCCACAGTGGAACTTCTTGGGACAGGGCCCTGGCCAGCTGGACAAGGGGCTATTTGGGCAGACTGTGTGCCAGGAGATTGGCAAAACTGGTTCTGAGGAGGCTGGGCGGGCCTTTTGGGGACAGATGGTGCAAAAGAAGCAAGTTTAAGCTAATATTGATATAGCTGACTTCATGCCATGGCTTTGACATCAAGCTCCCCATCATTCTGTGAAGTGTGCACCGATACCCCCTTTACAGACACAGCAGCTTAAGCCCCAAGAAAGGAGGTGACTTGCCCAAGTTCACTTGGCTAGAAAGTGGCCGAGTCGGCTGGGCAAGGTGGCTCACGCCTGTAAGTAATCCCAGCACTTTGGGAGGCCAAGGTGGGAGGATCGCGTGAGCCTGGGAGACCAGCTTGGGCAACAGATTGAGTCTCCTCTCTAAAACAGAAAAAGAAAAGGAAGGAAGGGAGGGAGAGAGGGAGGGAGAGAAGGAGGGAGGGAGAGAGGGAGAGAAAGTGGCAGAGTCAGAATTAGAATCTGACGCATTTAGCTTCCAAATCCACCGGATTATTCTTGACTGCCTCCTCTGGGCTCCTGGTTCCCTCAAGCCCGACGGACGTCTGTGTTTTATGTTTCCAGGGCTGCCGCTTCATCACGGCTTTCTCGGAAAACGGGGGCGCTGAGAAGCCCAACTTCCAGCTATATATGTCGCCACCGCCCACAGGGCCCCCGACGGCGATGCTGGTGACAGCGCTCCCTGCGTGGGCGCCACTCTCCCCGTGCTCCCCGCGCCTGCAGCCAGGCACGACGGTGTGGGTGTGCCCGCCCGGGGCAGAGGAGCTGCAGGGCTCGCGGCAGGCGGCGCTGTGCAAGCAGCGACGTCGCGGCCCGAGGAAGTGGAGGCGGTGAACGCGCGTGGGCGCGCCTCCCGGGACACGGCGCTGGCTCTGCGGCGCTACCTGCTGGGCACTCCCTAATCGATGGTGACGCCGTCGCTGCCGCCCGGCGACCGGCACAAGGAGTTTGCGGTGGTGGCGGGCGCTGGGCCCACGCTCTTGAGGCGCCTCAAGCCCCCTAAGCCTGTTCTGCTGGACCGCGTAGGCCACCCTGCCCGCTGGCCCCATCCATTGAGCCTTGAAGGCTTCCAGAGGCGCTGCAGTTGCAGAGAGCAGGAGACCTATCCGGCACCCGCGTCGTGGCCGCCCATCCTGTCGCGCTGCTGGCTGGCCTCAGTTGTCTGCAAGCGAGAAGCAAGGCCTGTGGCCACGCGTTTGGACGACCGCCGCCCCAGGGTCGCTGGAGTGGTCTCCACACGGTGCCCCACTTTGCCCCAGAGCGTCCCGGGCGCCGAGACTGCGTGTTCCTGGAGGCTAGTGGCCCGGGTAGCCTGTGCTCCTGGTGCTGCGACGCCGACCGGGCGTGCGTGGGCTCTGCGCCCTGGCACGGTGCTGCGCTCTGTGGTGGACCAGTGCACTCTCTGGCTTTGCGCTCTTCGGCTGGCGTGCAGGTGTTTTTCCCCCCGAGGCCGCCGCGGCCCGCGGGGGTTGACACCTACGATCCCTCCTTCGCGCTTATGCCCTGGTGGGCGCGTTCAGCTGCAGCTTCGCAAGCATGGTGCAGCCAAACTTTTCCAACGTGGAATTTGCACCTGCCCCGGTGCTCCCGGACTGCCTGCTGGGCCCGAGCCGCGTCATGAGCAGCATTCTGACCAAAGGCTGGTCCCGGCTCAGGGCTTCGCCTGGACTGAGGTGGCCTAGGGGCGCAGGTGCAGGGCAGTGCAAGACCTGTAGAGAGGCGGGGCGCCCATGGGCATGTTTAGCTTCGGCATCGCCCAAGGCGCAGGCTTCGGGACCCAGGCCGTAGGGCAGCCGGCGGCAGATGAGCAGCCCTGAGGGCCCAAGGGTTTGGGGAGGTGAACCGGCAATGGGATTCGTGGATATTAGGATTGGAGAAAATCATAACACTACATTCCATTGCTTATATAACAAGAGAGGTAGTTTTTTTTGTTTTTGTTTTTGTTTTTGTTTGGTGGTTTTTTTTTGTTGTTGTTGTTTGTTTTGGTTTGGTTTTGCTTTGCACCCCACCCGACCCTCAATTTTTGTATTTTTACTAGAGACTGGGTATCAGCATGTTGGCCAGGCTGGTCTTGAGCTCCTGACCTTAGGTGATCCACCCGCCTCGGCTTCCCAAAGAGCTGGGATTACAGGCCTGAGCCACTGCGCCCGGCCCAGAGAGGTAGTTTTAAAATACAAGTCTGTCCCTCCTCCACTCAAAATCTCCTTGGCAATTATCCCATCTCCCAGCAAAAGCAGTCCTTACAGTGGTTTAAGAGTTCCTACATGATGTGTTCCCAGCACACTGCTCATCTCATCTCTCTCCCTTGCCTCACTGTACTCCAGCCACACTGGTTGCCTTACTTTCTTCTTCCTACCCCAGGGCCTTTGCACTGGCTGTCCCCATGATATCCCTGTGGATCACTCTCTCCCCTCCTTCAAGCCTTTGCTCAAATGTCACCTCTCCACTGAGGCCAACCTGACTGCCCAATTTAAAATTGCAATCCCCAGGCCAGACATGGTGGTTCACGCCTGTAATTCCCACCACTTTGGGATGCCGAGGTGGGTGAATCACTTGACAAGGTCAGGTGTTCAAGACCAGCCTGGTCAACATGGAGAAACCTCATCTCTACCAAAAAATATAAAAATTAGCCAGGCGTGGTGGCACGTGCCTGTAATCCCAGCTACTCGGGAGGCTGAGGCAGAAGAATCACTTGAACCCGGGAGGCAGAGGTTGCAGTGAGCAGAGATGGTGCCACTGCATTCCAGCCTAGGCGACAGAATGAGACTCCGTCTCAAAAATAAAATAAAATTGTAATCCCCCACCCCCAACATTACCTAGCCCTTTCCCAGAATTTTTTCACAGAATATATCACTTTCTGTATAATTACTTTTTCTATTATCTGTCTACAACACATACATTCCTTAAGGGCAATGATTTTTTTTAACCGTTTAATAACCTTTAAAAAAAAAAAAGAAAACTGAGGCAGAGTCTCCCTACGTTGCCCAGGCTGATTTTGAACTCCTGGGCTCAAGGGATCCTCCTGCCTCAGCCCCACCAAAATGCTGGAATTTCAGGTGTGAGCCACCGTGTTTGGCCTGTTGTCAAGTTTTTGTTTGTTTGTTTGTTGTTATTTTGTGATGGAGTTTTGCTCTTGTTGCTCAGGCTGGAGTGCAATGGCATAATCTCGGTTCACTGCAACCTACGCCTCCCAGGTCCAAGCAATTCTCCTGCCTCAGCCCCCCAAGTAGCTGGGGTTACAGGCATGTGTCAACATGCCTGGCTAATTTTTTGTATTTAGTAGAGATGGGGCTTCACCATGTTAGTCAGGCTAGTCTCGAACTCCTAACCTCAGGTGATCCACCTGCCTCAGCCTCCCAAAGTGCTGGGATTACAGGCGTGAGCCACTGTGCCCGGTCTGGCATGTTGTAAGTTTTAAGATACACAGTTAACTGAACAATTTAAAGTTTCCAACCTGAATGAATTTTCACATATGTTCATCTGTGTAGCCCTCACTTAAATGAAGCTATTAGAACACTTCTATCACCCCACATAGCTTCATGAGGTCAGATTCTTACAAAAAGATTTTGTGCACTATTAAATCTCCAGCACCTGTGACAGTGCCCAGCTCTCAGCAAACATTTGTGGAAGGAATAGTAATGGTTGTAATTTGTTAAATGTGCACCACATCATATGCCAGGCACTGGGCTCATAGAGGCAATTATTGCCCAAGGTCATACCTTTTTATTACAGTGTAAAATGTGAACAGTGGGGTGGGAGAAGGGATAAAATAATAATAGCTAGTACTGAGTGCATAACTCTGTGCATTATTTCTTTTTACCTTCCCGCTTGTCTTTGAGGTTGACTATCTAATAATATTGTGGGTTTTTTTGTTCTTTTTTTTTTTTTTTTTTTTTTTTTTTTCTGAGAAGGAGTCTCCCTCTGTCGCCCAGGCTGGAGTGCAGTGGCACTATCTCGGCTCACTGCAACCTCAGCCTCCCAGGTTCAAGCGATTCTCCCGCCTCAGCCTCCCGAGTAGCTGGGATTACAGGTGCATGCCACTACGCCCGGCTAATTTTTTTAGTTTTAGTATAAACAGGGTTTTGCCATGTTAACCAGGCTGGTCTCGAACTCCTGACCTCAGGTGATCCACCCACCTTGGCCTCCCAAAGTGCTGGAATTACAAGCATGAGCCACTGCGCCTGGCCTGTTTTTTGTTTTTGTTTTTTCTTTTCTTTTTTAAGATAGAGTCTCACTTTCTTACCTAGGCTGGAGTGCAGTGGCATGATCTAGGCTTACTGCAACCTCCGTCTCCCAGGTTCAAGCGATTCTTGTGCCTCAGCCTCCTGAGTAGCTGGGATTACAGATGCGCAGCACCACCACGCCTGGCTAATATTTTTGTTTGTTTTTTTTTTTTTTTTTTTTAGTAGAGACAGGGTTTCACCACGTTGGCCAGGCTGGTCTCGAACTTCTGACCTCAGATGATCTGTCCACCTCAGCCTCCCAAAGTGCTGGGATTATAGGTGTGAGCCACTGTGCCCGGCCAATTTATTTTGTTTTGTTTGAGACAGGGTCCTTTTCTTTCACCCAGGCTGCTGTGCAGTGGCGCAACCGTGGTTCACTACAGCCTTGACCTCTGGGCTCAAATGATCCTCTAGCCTCAGCCTCCCAAGTACCTGGGACTACAGGCGTGCACCACCATGCCTAGCTAATTTTTATTTTTTGTACAGACAGGGTCTTGCTATATTGCCCAGGCTGGCCTCAAATTCCTGGGATCAAGCAATTCACCTGCCTCAGCCTCCCAGACTGTTGGGATTACAAGTGAAAACCACCACCCTCAGCCTATAATAATATTGTAACGATTGCTTTTCCCTGGGGAGAGGGGCCGAGACCAGAGCTCAAGTCTCTTGCCAAGCTCACACAGCTAGAAAGTGGCAGTGTCTGGATTTGAACCCAGGTCTGTCTGTGTCCACAGTGCAAGCTTTTAACCACCTTTTTGGTTGTGGGGGGTGTTGTTTTGTTTTGTGTTTTGTACCACCTTGCAAAGACTTATAAAGTAGTCTAGACTTATGTGCTAAGTGGCAAGTGCTTTTATAAATAATGTACATACATTATATAATGTTCTCTTTACAGTCATCCTGGAGATGGGTCTTTTTGTTATCCTCATTTCATAGAGAAGACAGTTGAAGGTTTAAGCCATGAAATCACTGCCCAAGGCCACATGCTGAACAGATGTCAGCTTTGAACCCCAAGCCTGCTTGGGCTGCTGGGAAACAGGCATGTTGTCTCAGAGGGCACCGCGCTCGGCGAAGACTCAGCGAGACTGGACGCTGACCATGGTTCTGAACACACTGTGCTGCGGGACCTGGGCTTTTCCTGTAACCCTGAAATCCCATTCAACCTCTTACGGTCCTGAGAAACAACGGAAGACCAGGGAGATGAGAGAAAAGTGAGGGAATGCTGAGAGAGAGAGGCTGGGTTTCTTAGAAATGAAGACAAGGACTTCAATTCATTTATTTATAACAGCTCAGAGCTGGACTCTGGAGCCAAGAGTCCTGGATGCAAATCCTGCTCCAAGCTGTGTGATTCTGCATAAGTCAATTCATTTCTCTGACTATCTACTTCCCCTCTATTAAAGGTGGATAATAGTATGAACATCATAAGGTTGTTGTGGCATTTTAAATTAAATTATTTATTATTCCTATTATTATTTAATAGAAATAGAGATGGGGTCTTGCTATGTTGCCAGGCTGGTCTCAAACTCCTGGGCTTAAGCAATCCACCCACCTTGACCTACCAACACACTTGGATTACAGGCATGAGCCACTGCACCTGGCTCTAATTTTTTATGTTTATTTATTTATTATTATTATTATTTTTGATATGGAGTCTCACTCTGTCGCCCAGGCTGTAGTGCAGTGGCGCAACCTCGGCTCACTGCAACCTCCGCCTCCCAGGTTCAAGCAATCTTTCCACTTCAGCTTCTCTAGTAGCTGGAACTACAGGTGCCTGCCATCACTCCTGGCTAATTTTTGTATTCTCAGTAGGGATGGGGTTTCATCATATTGGCCAGGCTGGTCTTGAACGCCTGACCTCAAGTAACCCACCTGCCTCAGCCTCCCAAAGTGCTGGGATCACAGGCATGAGCAACCGCGCCTGGCCTTATTTTTATTCATTTATTTATTTATTTATTTATTTATTTATTTATTTATTTTGAGATGGAGTTTCATTCTTGTTGCCCAGGCTGGAGTGCAATGGCAAGATCTTGGCTCACTACACCTCCACCTCCCAGGTTCAAGTGATTCTCCTGCCTCAACCTCCCAAGTAGCTGGGACTACAGGCACAGGCCAGCACACCCACCTAATTTTTGTATTTTTAGTAGAAATGGGGTTTCCACATGTTAGCCAGGATGGTCTTGAACTCCTGACCTCAGGTGATCTGCCCATCTCGGCCTTCTAGAGTGCTGGGATTATAGGCATGAGCCACCACACCCAGCCTTTTTTTTTTAATTAAAAAAAAAAAGTAGAGATGGGGCCTCACCATCTTGCCCAGGCTGGTCTTGAACTCCTGGGCTTGAGTGATCCTCCTGTCTTGACCTCAGAAAGTGCTGGGAGTACAGGCGTGAGCCACTGCACCCTGCCAGCGTTTTTTAAATGACTTCATAGAACACTGTCTGGCATGCAGTAAATATTTGCCAGTATTACTTTGCAGCAATTTTTTTTTCATTTTCTTCAGGCTAGGCCTGTTCTAGGCACTGCAGATGCAACAGTGAACAACACAGACAACATCCCTGCCCTCAGGGAGCTGACACTCTAGCTCAGTCCATACGAAAACTCTATATTCCATCTTTTTTTTTCTATATTCCATTGTGATAGAAAATATGCAAAGTTCTACAGAACACAAGATTATTCTTAAAAGTTCACTTTGGGGTCAGGTGTGGCGGCTCATGCCTGTAATCCCAGCACTTTCGGAGGCCGAGGTGGGCAGATCACCGGAGGTCAGAGTTCGAGACCAACCTGAGCAACATGGCAAAACCTCATTTCTACTAAAAATACAAAAATCAGCCAGATGTGGTGGTGCATGTCTGTAATCCCAGCTACTTAGGAGGCTGAGGCATGAGAATCTCTTGAACCCGGGAGGTGGAGTCTGCAGTGAGCTGAGATCACACCACTGCACTCCAGCCTGGGTGACAGAGTGAGACTCTGTCTCAAAAAAAAAAAAAAAGTTCACTTTGTAGGTGGCTAGCTTCGTGCACTGATAGCAATGAATAAATAACATCCCTTCCTGGGAAGAAGGAAGGAATATATGTCTCCAGTTCCCCACAGCATACACACATGCGCACGCACACACGCGCACACACACACACACACACTCTCACATCCTACCCTCAAGTCTGCTTAATGTGGCAAGTTGAAGTCCTCGATGGCCAGAATCAATGCACCATACATTTGCACTGGCATAGAGATGCTCACATAATTGAATCTGGCTGTCTTCAGATGCAGCCTGTGCTCTCGAGCTCCCTACAGACCTATTCTACACCCAGGCCGTGCTGATCATTTTGTCCCTCAGTCCCACTCTTTTCTTTCTGCTGATACATACAGACCCAGTTTATTTTAAATTGGGAACACTGATAGCTTCTGAATGTTGAGTTTCCAGTGCCAGGGACCCTGGAGGCCCGGGGTATGAAGGCAGGTCGGGGATGAGGCTAAATTCCAGGATCCAATTATATTGCATCCTTCCCTCATCTCATCTCTAAATATTTTGACTGAGGAGGAAGTGAGCCCTTTCATAGAGTCCCATCCCCTCCTAGTCTTCCCTGGTGATGCCACTCCAGTTCCAGGTCTCCTGTGAGGGCCATACATGCTCTGATGGGACCACATGTCAGCTTGTGAAGCACAGACTTAAGTGTGTGGCTGGGCACAGTGGCTCACACTTGTAATCCCAGCACTTTGGAAGGCAGAGATGGGTGGATCACTTAAGCTCAGGAGTTGGAGACCACCATGGGCAAAATGGCAAAACCCTGACTCTACAAGAAATACAAAAATTAGCCAGGTGGCATGCACCTGTAGTCCCAGCTACTTAGGAGGCTGAGGTGGGAAGATGGCTTGAGTCCAGGAGGTGGAGGTTGCAGTGAGCTGAGATCGCACCACTGCACCTCAGCCTGGGCAACAGAGCCAGACCCTGCCTCAAAATAAAAAAGAAAAAGAAAAAAGAAAAAAACAAAAAACAAAAAAGTAATTTAAAATCTAAATAAATAAATAAATGAAAAAGGCCTAAATGTGTGCCCACCACTCAGGTCACATGTGAGTCTGAGACCTTGTCCAGTTCCAAGATGGCAGGACTCCAAAACACCGTCCATCTTCAGCTCTAAGACCATGGCAGTGGCTGCATCAGGACCAAACAACACACCTGAAGCTGAGCCAAGGCTTGTGCCTGTGCTCCTGGGGGGACCTGAGCCTGAACCTGTGGCCATGGCTCATCTGGGGCTTGCACAAGTGACCGTAAATGAACCCTGCCCTGAACCTGTAGCTGCAGCCGCACCAGTGCCTCGACTTGTGACTGTGAAAGAACCACTTCCTGCAACTCTGGCTGTAGCTGAACCAGCACCTATACCACCTACCAAACCCATAGCTAACCATTGTCTACAACCATGTCCAAAACCAAGACAGTATCTGTGTCTGGGTCAGAACTGTCTCATGGCCAAGCTGGGGCTCAAGGTGGTGACAGTGACTAAACCAAGCTTAAAGACTCTGGCTGTGGCAAAATTAGGACTTGACTGTAGCAAAGGACAAGGGGCCATCACAGGGGCTACCACCTGAGCCTCTGGGCTACCATACATCTAGACTTTTTTTCTTTCTTTCTTTCTTTTTTTTTTTTTTTTGAGAAGGAGTTTTGCTCTTGTTGCCCAGGCTGGAGTGCAATGGCACGATCTCGGCTCATTGCAACCTCTACCTCCCGGGTAGAGGTTCAAGCTTGAAGGTTCTACCTTCAAGCGATTCTCCTGCCTCAGCCTCCTGAGTAGCTGGGATTACAGGCATGTGCCATTACACCAGGCTAATTTTGTATTTTTAGTAGAGATGGGGTTTCTCCATGTTGGACAGGCTGGTCTTGAACTCCCAACCTCAGGTGATCCGCCCACCTCAGCCTTCCAAAATGCTGGGATTACAGGCATGAGCCACCGCACCCGGCCTGATTTCTTTTTTTTTTTAAAGACAGGGTCGGGCCTGGCGCAGTGGCTCATGTCTGTAATCCCAGCACTTTGGGAGGCCGAGATGGGCGGATCACAAGGTTAGCAGTTTGAGACCAGCTGGCCAATAATGGTGAAACCCCGTTTCTACTAAAAATACAAAAAAATTAGCCAGGCATGGTGGCGGGTCCCTGTAATCCCAGCTACTTGGGAGGCTGAGGCAAGAGAATTGCTTGAATTCGGGAGGTGGAGGTTGCAGTGAGCCGAGATTGCACCACTGCACTTCCAGCCTGGACGACAGAGCAAGACTCCATCTAAAAAAAAAAAAAAAAAAAAAAAAAGACAGGGTCTTGCCGTCACCCACACTGGAGTTCAATGTCACAGTCTCAGCTCCCTGTAGCCTCTGTCTCCCAAGCTCAAGCAATTCGCTTGCCTCAACCTCCCGAGTACCTGGGATTACAGGTGTGCACCACCACGCCTGGCTAATTTCTGTATTTTTAGAGACGGGGTGTCACCATGTTGGCCAGGCTGGTCCAAACTCCTGGCCTCAAGCGATCTGCTCACCTCAGCCTCCTAAAGTGCCGGGATCACAGACGTGAGCCGTCGTGCCTGGCCAGTATACATCTAGATTTTCAATGACCACTTGTTCCCCATGCCTGGGATCTGCACCTACATGCTGAGCTGATGCCCCTAGTCCCTCCTCAGCAGCCTCCCTGCCTCCTAACTGTGGGTCTCCTGTCCTGAAGGGAGGCAGCCCATGTGCTTTGTCACAGGGTGCATCTTTGGTATTACCATCACTGCTGTCAAGCACAAGTGTGGCCCTATCCAGATAAGAATCACAGTGTATGGGATCTTGGGAGACCCCATCCTTCTCTGTTCATCAATTTTGGGAGCTTTTTTTCTTTTTCGAGACAGGGTCTTGTTTAGTCACCCAGGCTGGAGTGCAATGGTGCCATCATAGCTCACTGTAGCCTCAATCTCCTGGGCTCAAGTGATCCTCCCACCTCAGCCTCCCAAGTAGCTAGGACCACAGGCACACACTACCATGCCTGGCTCTTTAAATTGTTTTGAAGAGACAGGGTCTCGCTATATTGTCCAGGCTGGTCTCAAACTCCTGGCCTCAAGCAATCTTCTGTCCTCGGCCTCCCAAAGCACTAGAATCACAGGCATGTGAGCCACCATGCCTGGCAGGTCATTTTTGTCACCTCTAAAATAGAAGCAATGATATAGGCTGGGGCGGTGGCTCACATCTGTAATCCTAGCGCTTTGGGAGGCTGAGGCAGGCGGATCACCTGAGGTCAGGAGTTCGAGACCAGCCTGGCCAACATGGTGAAACCCCGTCTCTACTAAAAATACAAAAATTAGCTGGGCCTGGTGGCGCTCACCTGTAGTTTCAGCTACTAGGGAGGCTGAGGTGGGAGGATCACTTGAACCCAAGAGGCAGAGGTTGCAGTGAGCAGAGTGTGCCAGTGCACTCCAGCCTGAGTGACAGAGCAAGACTGTCTCAAAGAAAAAAAAAATTGTTTACCGGGCATAGTGGCTCATGCCCATAATCCCAGCACTTTGGGAGGCCAAGGTGGGCGGATCACCTAAGGTCAGGAGTTCGAGACCAGCCTGGCCAACATGGTGAAATCCCATCCCTACTAAAAACACAAAAATTAGCTGGGCATGGTGGCGGGTGCCTGTAATCCCAGCTACTGGGGATGCTAAAGAAGGAGAATCACTTGAACCTGGGAGGCAGAAGTTGTAGTGAGCTGAGATCACGCCACCGAACTCCAGCCTGGGGGACACAGTGAGAGTCTGTCTCAAAAAAAAAAAAAAAAAAAAAAAAAAAAAAAAAAAGATGCAATTATACAGGTCCAAAGTCCCTTATCTAAAATGTCTGGGGCCAGGTGCATTTCAGATTTTGGAATTTAGAATGGTCAAACCAGGCAAATGCCACATATTATATAACACTCCCAGTGTGTGTTACATAATCACAAACATTAATATCTTTGCAGTGAAATGTCTGAATAGTCACACAAAGGAGGATAAATTAAGACTATAGCAGCCACACATGAGTTCAGGTTAGCTTTTGCTGATAATTGAGTTTTAACATCAAACACACAAAACATATTCAGTCTTCAGGTCTTTTGGTTGTTGTTGTTGTTGTTTGCTTTTGTAGATGGTAGATAAGGGATTGTGGCTCTCTAGCTCCTCCCTCAGCAGGTTCCTGTGAGGTGAGAATGAGTTAACACAGGAAAAGCACTTGGAACAGAGTCCAACTCATGGTAAGTGTCATATGAGGGGGTGTTTGCTGTGTTTATCATTTCCTGACACAGGCATATGAAGCTTCCAAATTCCCCGAGCTGTGAACATATCCTAGGACCACATGCAGCCACTAGCATGTCCCAAATCTCTCCTCCAGGAAGGTTTAGGGGCTCTGCTCTGGTTAGAAGGTTGTGGGGGCTAGAGTATGTTTAATCCGGGTTGCTGGCTGGGGGGACCTGATGAAGGTTATGATGTACTAGTGTACCCAGACCAAACCGAGGGTTGGGCTGCTTATTCTCACAGCCTAATAATGAGACACAAATAAACTGGGAAAGAAGAGAATTTTTATTTCTGTAACTGATTACAGGGAGAAGGCCTGGAAATTATCCCCAGATCAACTCAAAATTATAACGTTTTCCAGAGCTTATATACATTCTAGGCTATATTAGAAGAAATTAATCACTTATGTCTTTAGATGAATGCAAACTTACATGAGTAAATTTACTTCATCTAAATGGGTCCAGGTGCTGGGGTGATTACCCTTATCTTGTCTCCTGCTAAATTATGGAGGCTTGGGGAGTTCCTTTAGTCTCCAATAAAGCTTGTTTGTGAAGGTCTGGGGAGTTCCTTCAGACCCCCAATAAAGCTTGTATAATCTTAAATGGGAACTGTTAAGAATTCCTTCGTGAGGCTGGGCATGGTGGCTCATGCCTGTAATACCAGCACTTTGGGAGGCTGAGGCGGGAGGATCACCTGAGGTCGGGAGTTCGAGACCAGCCTGACCAACACAGAGAAATCCCATCTCTACTAAAAATACAAAATTAGCTGGGCATGGTGGCGCATGCCTGTAATCCCAGCTACTCGGGAAGCTGAGGCAAGAGAATTGCTTGAACCTGGGAGGTGGAGGTTGTGGTGAGCTGAGATCGCGCCATTGCACTCCAGCCTGGGCAACAAGAGTGAAACTCTGTCTCAAAAAAACAAAAAATAAAGGAATTCCTTCATGATCTTGTCATGCCTCAAGGGCCAGGAAAGGCCTGGCCTAAACTCTTGGTGAGCTTTTGTTACATTCCAGCCTTTGTATGGACGCTGGCTCTACCAGCGTTTTTTGTTTTGTTTCTTTTTTCTTTTTTGAGACGGAGTCTCACTCTCTTGTCCAGGCTGGAGCACAGTGGCGCCATCTCAACTCACTGCAACCTCCTCCTCCCAGATTCAACTCTCCCAGGTAGCTGGGATTACAGGTGTGCACCACCATGCCCAGCTAATTTTTTTTGTATTTTTAGTAGAGACGGGGCTTTACTATATTGGCCAGGCTGGTCTCGAACTCCCGACCTCAGATGATCCTCCTGCCTCAGCCTCCCAAAGTGCTGGGCTTACAGGCGTGAGCCACCGCTCCTGGCCTCTATCAGCTTTTAGTATTTAACCCAACCACAGTCAGTGCTAAAACAGTTGTTATGGAGGCCTGCGTTCATGAGATGTGGCTTGCCACACTAGGCCACCCCTCAGCACCACTATAGAAAAACAATGGTGGCCTGGGTTCAAATTCCGGTTTGGCACTTGATATCTATGTGACCTTGGATAAATTATTTAACCTCTCTGGGCCTCAATTTCTTCATATGTGAAATGAGAATGATGAAAAGATCTGATTCATAGGGCTGTAGTGAGGATTAAATGAGCTAATATATGGAAAGCACAGAAAATATGCAAAGCTAGGACCCGAGACGTGAAGCCATGATGCTGCATACCTGCCTCCACACCGCCTGGGAGTTTGCCCTGCCACTCAGGGGTCAGGATGCCCCCCAGTGCTCTTAAGGCTCCCCAGCATCCAGTAGCCCCCACCCCAGGTATCCAGAACCTTCAGATACTCAGGGCTCCAGACTTATACTCTCACCAACATGATCCCTCTTTTCCCAAGGACTTGACACTCCTGTGTTCCTTCCTCAATTAATTGGAATTTTAGAATTTTTTTTTTTTTTTTGAGACTGAGTCTCACTCTGTTGCCCAGGCTGGAGTGCAGTGGTGAGATCTTGGCTCACTGCAACCTCTGCCTCCCAGGTTCAAGCAATTGTCCTGCCTCAGCCTCCCAAGTAGCCTGGGACTACAGGCACATGCCACCACACTCGGATAATTTTTGTGTTTTTAGTAGACACGGGGTTTCACTATGTTGGCCAGGCTGGTCTGGAACTCTTGACCTCAGGTGATCCACCTGCCTCAGCCTCCCAAAGTGCTGGGATTACAGGCGTGAGCCACTGCGCCCTGCCAAGATTTGGGCAGGGACAAATAGCCAAACTATATCAGACACTAACAACATCCCTGTGGCTGCCAGTTGAGAACAGATTACAGGGCTTGTGAAGGAATGAGGCCTGGAGGAACAACAGTGAGGAGGCTGCTGCAGTAGTCCCGGCAGGAGACAATGGGGCTTGGACCAGGGTGGGGCAGTGAACGCAGGAGAAATGTGGGCTGGAAACCACCAAGTGAGGCAAAATAAGGAAATCATGGACTGGGAGAAAGGAGGTACCCCTTGATCTGGAAGGACAGGTGGAGGCTCTTGGTAATGGGGGAAGCCCTTGGGTCCTGTCTGAAGGCTCTCCTGTTTACTGGATGAGGTGGGCACACCTGGCTCCTTGGTAGGATTACTCATCTAGATTCCTGAGAAGAGGACTTGCAAGTATTGTGTTAGGACAAATCTGGATATTGAAATCAAGACTCCCAGTTTAAAAAAAAAAAAAAAGAAGGCCGGGCACAGTGGCTCACGCCTGTAATCCCAACACTTTGGGAGGCCAAGGCGGGCGGATCACGAGGTCAGGAGTTCAAAACCAGCCTGACCAACATGGTGAAACCCTGTCTCTACTAAAACTACAAAAATTAGCTTGGCATGGTAGTGCACGCCTGTAATCCCAGCTACTCAGGAGGCTGAGAGAGCAGAATTGCTTGAACCTGGGAGGTGGAGGTTGCAGTGAGCCAAGATCTCGCCACTGCATTCCAGCCTGGGAGACAGAGCGAGACTCTGTCTCAAAAAAAAAAAAAAAAAAAAAAAAGATTCCCGGATAGAGGCTGGGCATGGTGGCTCACATCTACAATCCCAGCACTTTAGGAGGCCAAGGTGGGCAGACTGCTTGAGCTCAGGAGTTCCAGACCAGCCTGGGCAACATGACGAAACCTCGTCTCTACTTAAACACACACACACACACACACACACACACACACACACACACACACACACACACACAGAAAGATTCTTGGTTAGCTGGGCACGGTGGCTCACACCTGTAATCACAGCACTTTGGGAGGCCAAGGTGGGCGGATCACAAGGTCAGGAGATCGAGACCATCCTGGCTAGCACAGTGAAACCCTGTCTCTACTAAAAATACAAAAAATTACGGGGCGTGGTGGCAGGCGCCTGTAGTCCCAGCTACTGGGGAGGCTGAGACAGGAGAATGGCGTGAACCCAGGAGACGGAGCTTGCAGTGAGCCGAGACTGTGCCACTGCACTCCAACCTGGGCGGCAGGGTGAGACTCTGTCTCGAAAAAAAAAAAAAGAAGAAGAAGAAGAAAAAGAAAGATTCTTGGTTAGTAGACGAGGGTGGGGCATCCTAGATCTGCAAAGGCCCCACTCTCAATATCCCAGAATCCAACCCCCTCAACCTCCTTATCCTCCACCCCTCCCCGATGCTCAGGAATTCAGCCCCTCTGAAGACCCCAGCTCTTGGTCACTCCTGCAGGGGAACCCACAGCAGCTGGGGCTGTCAGTTATCCTGGGCGACAGATGGCTATGGTTGTACTTCCACACCTCAGAACCATGGGCAGAGGCAGGTCTGGAGCAAGAACCGCCCACACTGCATCTCTTTTACAACCGGCAGCACACACGTCACTGCACGTGGCTGAAGGTTGCCACTCACACAAGGCAGACTGTGCAGTGACTTCATTCAGGCAGGACCATGACATGGGCAGTCCAGATCCACTGGTCTTCGTGCATTTGGGCCCCGCAGCCACCTGATACCCTGAGCCAAGCCTTAGTCCCCACAGGAGACTGGGGGCCCTGTGCTGTCCCTGTAGCCCCAAAGGGGCCCCTTAGCCACTGCCACCAAGTGTGACACCTACACCCTTCGAGGCCAGTGCCGTGCCTGGATATGCCCCTTCCCCAGCTCCCTGCCTACGCTTTGGGAGTGCTTCCATGTCTGTGTACACCCTGTCAGGCCTCAGTGTCAACACTGAGCCCTCGAGCTTCTGGGCTGGCTGCCGTGAGTGACCCTTCAAGGGAAAGGGTTATAGGCTGCTGGGTAAAGGGGATTCTGGGACTTAGGAATGACACTCCTTAGTTCTGGAGGCTGATTCCTGGGGCAAGGGTGTAGGGTCCCTGGAAGGGGACAGCCTCTGGGTCCTGGGGGCAAGACTGCTGAGTTGGGGGGTGCGGGGAAAATAATTCTAGGGCCCAGAGACAGGGCTCTTTGGGTCTGGGGCCAGGGCTTCTGGGTCCTGGGCATGGGAACAACTTGGCTATAGGGCTGGGACTGCTGGGTTCTCAAGTTCTAGAGACTAGAACACCTAGGTGGTGACAACTCCAGTATCTGGGGTGAGCGCTCTGAGTCCCAGAGCCAGACTTATTTATTTATTTAGACAGGATGTCACTCTGTTGTTTATTTAGACAGGGTATCACTCTGTTGCCAAGGCTGGAGTGCAGTGGTACTATCATAGCTCACTGCAGCCTCAACCTCCCAGGCTCAAGCCATCCTCCCTCCTCAGCTTCCCAAGTATCTGGGACCACGGGCATGTGCCACTATGCCCAGATAATTTTTTAATTTTTTTTGTAAAGATGAGGTCTTCCTATGTTGCCCAGGCTGGTCTCTAATTCCTGAGCTCAAGTGATCCTCCCACCTTGGCCTCCCAAAATGCTGGGATTACAGATGTGAGCCACTACGCCTGTCCCAGAGCCAGACTTCTATGTTCTGGGGAGTGGACTTCTGGTTTCTTAGCACAGAGACTTCTTTACTCTGTGAGGCAGGGATTGCTGGGTCTGTTGCCTGGAGAGCTCCATTCTAGAGGGTGAGGACCACAGGATGTTGGTAGGGATTCCTGGAAGCTGAGAGCAGGGACATTTGCACTATAGGGGTGGCCAAATGCTTGGGTCTTGGAAACCAGACCTGGGAGTCCTGGTGTGAATACCTTTCCCTTCCTGTCTTTCTCCATCCCCACTCCTGCCCCTGCAGCTATTGAGTGCCCCGAAAACAATCACTATGAGCCATGTGGCTTATCCTGTCCAGAGACCCCCCACAGGCAGGCCCACTGGGGGTTACCACTGCCCTGCGGGCATACTTGTGCCTGCGACACAGGCTGCTTCTTCCTTTTTTAAGAGACAGGGTCCTGCCAGGCGCGGTGGCTCATGCCCGTAATCCCAGCACTTTAGGAGGCTGAGGCAGGCGGATAATCTGAGGTCAGGAGTTCAAGACCAGCCTGACCAATATGATGAAACCCCATCTCTACTAAAAATACAAAAATTAGTTGGGTGTGGTGGCAGGTGCCTATAATCCCAGAATCTAGGGAGGCTGAGACAGGAGAATCGCTTGAACTCAGGAGGTGGAGATTGGAGTGAGCCGAGATTGTGCCACTGCACTCCAGCCTGGGCGACAGAGCAAGACTCTGTCAAAAACAAAATCCTAGAATCTCAAGGGCAAGCCCCAGTGTACCAGAAGTGTCAGACTCTGGGATCTTGGAACCCAGTTCTGAGCCAATAATTCCATTTCCTCATTCAACAACCATATATTGAGTATCTACTGTGTTCCAGGCACTATTTGAAGTGCTTCTTTAAGTATGTTAACTGAATTTCAGAACACACTCTCAGTCCAGGTCCTGGGCACCCCCATATAGGATCCAGGAGTTCTAAAGTCCCAATCCCCAATGTTTACAAACCCTCACAGCCCCCCAAATCCTAGATGCCAAACACAACTGCTGTGGACAACAACGATCAGAACCATGGACAGCAGTTCAGGCATTTGTAGCTGCTGTGGGCCCACCCCCTGCCCAGTACCAGTCATCACAGCACCCTGGAACCCCTGCCATTACTTAGAAAGTCCAGCATCCTTGGAATGCTTATAGACCAGCATCACCTATGAACCTCATTCATTTATTCATTCATGCATTAGTTCGACAAATATTTATTGAGCACCAACTATGAGCTGAGAACTGTTCTATTTTATACACGTGTGTGTGTGTGTGTGTGTGTGTATGTGTGTGTGTGTGTGTGTATGTATGTATTTGAGACAGTCTCACTCTTGCCCAGGCTAGAATGCAGTGGTGGGACCGCGGCTCACTGTAGCCTCAACCACTTGGACTTAAGCAATCCTCTCACCTCTTGCCCCTGTAGCCTCTCTAGTAGCTGGGACTACAGGTGCAAGTCAATATGTATGTTCATTTTTTGGAAAGACAGGGTCTTACTGTGTTGTCCAGGCTGGCCTCGAACTCCAGGATTCAAGCAATTGGCCCGCCTTGGCCTCCCAAGTTGCTGAGATTAAAGCATCACCTACTGCACCCAGCCTATTCTGCACATAAACTATATCAATTCTAATTGAGGAAAACTATAGTCCCAACCTCCAGAATCCATAATTCTTACCTCTCAAGATTTGTTGAAAAGGGTGGTCAGGATCATGAACAGCAGTCCAAGCATTTCTAGGTTTGTGGACAGACCCCCAGCCCCTCAACTGGCCCCCCAGAACCCCTGCTAAAAGCAGGGGTCCAGGCATCCTTGGTACTGACACTGGGCCCCCAAGCTCTAGCTTGACCTGCCCTCTCCCCGCAGGTGAATGGTGACTGCAAGAATCTGCACTTACAGGCTCCAGGCAACAGTGCACTCATCTTCTGCCAGGGCTGGGACACCATGGCCAGCTGCCCCTTTGGCCTGTGTGGGACCTACACCCCGGGATCCATGCAACACTGATGCTACCAGCAGCAATAGGGGCGGGGTTAGGTGCTGACTACACTGGGGGGTACCTGGATGCCCAGAGTTGAGGCAAGCACCAAGCTGCCTGAGGACATATTGGCTTGGGCCTGTGGCTGCTTGGTGGGCTGTCTGGGTGTCCAAATGCCTCTGGCAAGATGCCATCATGACCACCATCCTGTGCCACCCTGCCAACCACTAGCACCCTGGCCCACTTTGTTCACATCTATGGCATCCTCCTGGATGCCCTGGGGCCCCTCCAGCTGTGTCATGAGTTGCTGGCACCAGGTCCCTATTTCCAACACTGAGTGGTGGAGATGTGTCTGGGTGCTGGACCCTGCCGCATGCTCATCCGGGTTTGTTCATCTGGGGAGCCTGGCTCCACTCCCGACTGGAGTTCAGCTCCTCAGCTGTTGCCTATCCCAGGATGGCAGACCCTCACTGCCCCATTTAATCCCTGAGACCTTGTACTTCCCGTGATGCCGGCCTCACCCCCTCCCCACTCATTGTCCAGACTTGACCTCAACCATTGCCCATCCTAAAGTGTCAGCCCTACTCTGATTAAAGCCAGCCCCCACCTCATATGCTTCCCCAATCTCAGCCCTGATTATGGCCCAGCACTTCAGCCCTTATCTCTTCAGGGACTCAGAACCTGATCACGGCCCAGCCCCGAAGCCGTCACCCATCCCAGAGACCCATCACTGCCTGTGAACCACAGTTAGCCACCTGGGCTTTACTGATCTGAGGTTCCAGCTTCAGTTCTGTCTAAGCTGAGCTCTCCAGCCCCACCCCTGCAGGGCACCAGATGACAGATCCTAGCGCCCCCTGCATGGAGGGTGGGCCCACGGCAGCCACTTGCCCGCCATCTGGTGCTGCTGCCTGCCAAGGTTGGTGGCTTGCAAACCCTGCCACATCCCCTAGGAGGCCCCAGGCCTCTGCACAGCCTCAGGCAACTCCATGACCGCCCCTTTGGGAGCACCACATTTGGGCTCCTGGGTGTCTGCACGGTTTTGGGCTGCCTGTGGGGTGTGCAGCCCTTCGAGGTGGTGCTGGAGAGAGACCTGGGACTGTCCGGCCTCTGCCATGTGCTGCTGCTATGTGTGCATGGCCACTACTTTGGTGTGGACCTCGGTAACCAGGGACAGTCAAGAGAACCCTTGTCCTGTCATTTACCTCATTTTAGCAACTTTGCATCTCTGTTCCGGTGGACAGGATCTCTGTGTATGGCTCTCTGATGCCTTCCTTCCCTTCCCCTTGCCAACACCCTAATTTCCACTCTTCTCCTCCCTTCTCCCATCTGCACTTCTGTATCGCTCTCCTTCCCTTTCCCTTTCCTTATTTCTTTCTTTCTTTCTTTTTTTCTTGATGGAGTGTTACTCTGTTGCCCAGACCGGAGTGCAATGGCACTGCAACCTCCGCCTACTGGGATCAAGCAATTCTCCTGCTTCAGCCTCCTGAGTAGCTGGGATTACAGGTGTGCACCACGACACCCAGCTAAGTTTTATATTTTTAGTAGAGATGGGGTTTCACCACATTGGCCAGGTTGGTCTCAAACTCCTGGCCACAGCTCATCCACTGGCCTCCCAAAGTGCTGGGATTACAGGCATGAGCTGCCGTGCCTGGCCCTCATGGTCCACATTGGACCTTAACCCATCCTAAAGTGCCAGCCCTGCTCTGATTAAAGCCAGTCCCCTGCTGGCCGCACCTCCTGCTCCATGCAGCCCAGTCTCACTGTGTCTCCCCCACTCCCCTCCTCCCTCACTTCACCACGCCAGCACGCCCCACCACTCTCTCCTGCCCCAAGTCTTCATCTCCCCGTTCTTTCTCCTCCTCTTAGATCTGGAAGTGACCCCTCTCCCCAACAGCTGCCATTGGCTCCTCCCCAAACCCCTTCCCTGCCTGCCCCTCCCTCACCACCAACCCTTCCTCTCAGAATAGCCCCTCGTCCTCTTAGTCTCTCCAGACTCCTCCCTGGCTCTAGATCCCTCCCTTGTCCCTAATGCTAATCCCTGTTTCTCCCCACACCGCCCTGCCCACCCTACTACTCTCTCTCCTCCTCCCTTGGTCTCCACGCCCCTCCCCTGACTTCCTGCCGTGGTGCTGGTCGTACTCCACAATGCCCATCCTGAGTGTTGCCTACAACCCCCTCGCCTCGGCTCTCCCCTCCCCCACAGTCCCGTGTTTCTTCATACCTCACCCCCATGTTCCTTCTCACATGCATCTGATCCCCCTCCACTCTTCCCGCACCAGTCCTGGCACACCGCCTCCGACCTCTGATTCCCCGTGGCCTCCATGGCAACTGCAAAGGTAAGACAGCAGGTGGATGACTTGGCAGCTGCCGAGGCCCGAGCCCTGCGCCCCGCCGCATACTTGCCCAAGGTCAGTCTGTCCGGCAGCCACCGAGGACCCTGGCACAGACACGATGTGGTCCAGTGCCTGTAGCCTCTTGCCTAGCCAGGGACCCACTGGCACCCTGTCACACACACCTGTCACCAGACAGTCCTTCTTCCAGGCCTGCGTGGCCGAAGTGGACCACATCCCTGGAACCACAAAGTGCCCCATGCCTGCCTGTGAGCTGATGGCTGGTACCAGTGTGCTGTCCTGGAGGGCCTGGGCCTCTGCTGTGAGTCTCCACCCAAGAGCGGACAGAGCCAGCATGAGGCAGGGCCTGCAAGAGACCTGGGTCTGGTCTGTAGTGACTCCACAGGTACGGATTGAGGACCTACTAAGTGCTGGGCATAGGCTGGAGATAGAGCACCAACAGGATAGAGTCCTGCACATACCTTTTTTTTTTTTTTTTTTTTTGAGACATTCTTGCTCTGTCACCCAGGCTGGAGTGCAGTGACGCAATCTCGGCTCGCTGCAACCTCCACCTCCTGGGTTCAAGCGATTCTCCAGCCTCAGCCTCCCGAGTAGCTGGGACTACAGGCACTCACCACCACGTCCGGTTAATTTTTGTATTTTTAGTAGAGATGGGGTTTCACCATGGTGGCCAGGCTGGTCTCAAACTCCTGACCTCAGGTGATCTGCCTGCCTCAGCTTCCCAAAGTGCTGGGATTACAGGCGTGAGCCACCGCGCTCAGCTGAGTACTGCACATATTCTTGTGGGGAAGACAGATTTGATTTTCTTTCTTAGCTAACACTTACAGGGCACACAACCTACATCAGGGGCTACCTGAAGACAGCAGTTCTTAAAGCCCCCCAGCAGCATTAGCAACACCCAGAGCTTATTGAAAATGCAAAATCTGGCCAGGTGCAGTGGCTCACACCTGTAATCCCAACACTTTGGGAATTGCTTGAACCCAGGAGTTCAAGACCAGCCTGGGCAACATGGCAAGACCCTGTCTCTGCAAAAAAAGTTAAACAATTAGCCAGGTGTGGTGGCATGTGCCTGTGGTCCCAACCACAGCTCTGGAGGCTGAGTAGGGAGGATCACTGGAGCCCAGGATTTGGAGGCTGCAGTGAGTTATTATGGCAGTACTGCACTCCAGCCTGGGTGACAAAGTGAGACCCTGTCTCAAAAAAAAAAAGGGCCAGGCACAGTGGCTCACACTGTGATCCCAGCACTTTGGGAGGCAAAGGCGGGTGGATCACAGGGGGCCAGGAGTTTGAGACCAGCCTGGACAAAACCCCGTCCCTACTAGACGGGGCAAAAACCCGTCCCTACTAGAAAGACAAAAATTAGCCGGAGGCCGGGCATGGTGGCTCACACTTGTAATCCCAGCACTTTGGGAGGCAGAGGCGGGTGGATCATGAGGTCAGGAGATCGAGACCACGGTGAAACCCCGTCTCTACTAAAAATACAAAAAATTAGCCGGGAGTGGTGGCGGGTGCCTGTAGTTCCAGCTACTTGGGAGGCTGAGGCAGAAGAATGGCATGAACCCAGAGGCGGAGCTTGCAGTGAGCTGAGATTGCACCACTGCACTCCAGTCTGGGTGACAGAGCGAGACTCCATCTCAAAAAAAAAAAAAAAAAAAAAAAAAAAGAACGGCTGACCTTTACTGAGTACTCTCTCAGTTCTAAGCCCTGTTCTCCCTCAATCAATCCTCCCATTTACATTTTATGGATGAAGGAAACCAAGGCATGGATGGTTAAGGAATGTGCCCGATGTCACATGCCTAAAACATGGCATAGCTGGCATCTGAATATTTGTTCGTGGATTTAACAGATTCTCCCCAACTTGGAGTCTCTATATCCACGTCTCCTCCATGTGCCTCAAGGATTCCTGGCCCCACCCTGACTTACCCTTTTTGGGTCACCATCCTCCACTCCCCCCATCTCTTTTTGCCTCTAGGTTGAAGTGCTCGTTGAGGGAATCTGTCTGGCCTTTTGCTATAGATTGGCCTCTCGCCCCCGCGAAACACACACACTTTTTGTCCAGCTCTGACCTAACCATCTATGGCAAGAGGTAGGGTCATGTGAACACAATGTGGTCACTCTATCAGGAAGGATTCTTTTCTTTTCTTTTCTTTTCTTTTCTTTTCTTTTCTCTTCTCTTCTCTTCTCTTCTCTTCTCTTCTCTTCTTTTCTTTTCTTTTCTTTTCTTTTCTTTTCTTTTTTGAGACAGAGTCTTCCTCTGTTGCCCAGGCTGGAATTCAATGGTGTGATATCAGCTTACTGCAGCCTCAACCTCCTGGGCTCAAGCGATCCTCCCATCCTTGCCTCCCAAGTAGCTGGAACTACAGGCACACGCCACCATGTCCAGATAATTTTTGTACTTTTTGTAGTGATGGGCTTTTGCCATGTGGCCCAGGCTGGTCTTGAATTCCTGGGCTCAAGCGATCCACCTACCTCAGCCTCCCAAATTGCTGGGATTACAGGTATGATCCACTATGCACAGACCCTGGAGAAAATTTAACACCCTTTGCCATCGGTTCCTGCAAAGGTCCCAGGGTTGCCTCTGATAGGCTTTGCCTGGCCAATGATTGGGGCCCAGAGGCGTGAGAAATAAGCTGATTAGGCAGCCCTGGGTCCTGTACACATCACTGGATCCTGGATATGGAATCCCTTCAGTGCACATGCTGAAAGTACGGGCAGCTGCCAAAAAGAAGGTGCAAGTATTATTATTAGAAGGGTGAGGGACAGGCGTGGTGGCTCACTCCTGTAATCCCAACACTTTGGGAGGCTGAGGCGGGTGGATCACCCAAGGCCAGGAGTTCGAGACCAGCCTGGCAAACATGGTGAAACCCCATCTCTAGTAAAAATGTGAAAAACAACAACAACAACAACAAAACAGCTGGCGTGGTTGTGTGCACCTGTAATCCCAGTTACTTGGGAGGCTGAGGCAGAAGAATCGCATGAACCCAGGAGGAGGAGTTTGCAGTGAGCTGAGATCGAGCCACTGCACTCCAGCCTGGGTGACAGAGCAAGACTCCGTCTCAAAAAAAAAAAAAAAAAAAAGGGTGGGGAAGGCAAAAAAGGCATTCATTACTAGAGATCCCTGACAGGTTCCCCACACACCCATGATGCTGGGTGGGACCACATGTCTCCCTGTCAGCAGAGGCTGGGAATAGTAGGCAAGACCCCTCCAAAAAAAGAGCAAGGAAGCCATGTTTGTCATGTCCAGGGCACTTGAAAGTAGCTAGCACACTGCATGGTATGCAGACACTGCCCAGTCAATGCCGGTTGTTATTATTGCTGCTATAATTAATCCAAGGGGGAGGGTTGCTGGGAGGATGCTGTCTGGGGATGCTGGTTGAATAGAGGGTGGGTCCCTGGCTTGCCTGAGCCTCTCAAGCCACCTCTCCAAAGCCAGGCTGTGTTCCTGGCACAGCCACCACAGCCTGTGTGTGAACCCAGGTGTGCAAGAGGTGGTAGGGCTCCCCACTCCCCATGCTGAGGGCCACAAGTGTAAGGATGGAGTCTTCCCGGCTGGGGGTGACTGCATCCCTGTTCCTCCTTCTGCAATGGCCAGTACTTCCCTGCAAGCATTCTCTCCGGTCTTTGTTAACAGTCTTGCTTGGGTCATCCACTGATTCCCCGTACTTATCCTTACATGGGTCTTATCTCAGAACCCATAGCTGCACCCTCCCTCCATGACCACCTCACCATCCCCACACCACCCCCAACCCCCATTCCTCCCCAGCCTGGCCAGACCATCCTCATCAAGGTCCCTTCCTCCTCCTGTACCTGCTGGCTAGGAGAGGCTATGACCCATGTTCCCCTTCAGCTGCCCTAGAGGGCAGGTATGTGGCATCACAGATGGAGTCTTAGGCTGTCAATTCTGAGGTGTCCATGGCTGTGGCTTTGGTGCAGTTGTGTGGTTACAGAAGTGGAGTCAAAGATTGGGGCATGAGGCCAGGCATGGTGGCTTATGCCTGTAATACCAGCACTTTGGGAGGCCAAGGCAAGTGGATCACTTGAGGTCAGGAGTTCAAGACCAGCCTGGTCAACATGGTGAAACCCTGTCTCTACTAAAAATACAAAAATTGGTCAGATGTGGTCATGGGTGCCTGCAATCCCAACTATTCGGGAAGCTGAGACTGGAGAATCACTTGAACTCAGGAGGCAGAGGTTACAGTGAGCCGAGATCGTGCCATTGCACTCTAGTCTGGGTGAAAGAGCGAGTCTCTCTCTCTCTCACACACACACACACACACACACACACTCATGCGCATACACACACACACACACACACACACATATCGGGGCGTGACTTCTGGATCATGAGAAAGAAGGGACTGGGGACCTTGTCTTCATGGGTCCCTGATCCCTCTTCCTCTGACAGCCCCCCACCTCGACCCCTGCCCTGAGTCTTGTGACCCCACCACTTGTTTTCCCACCATTGTGTCCCAGCCACAGTCCCCAGTGCCCAGAATACTCCTGCTTTGTCGCACATGGCTCTGCATGCCCAGCCACATGTGCCAACCTCATCAGCCCCAGTGCACTGCAGCCACCCTGTACCGCTACTTTCAAAGCCTGACTAGCTGCCTGCTGCAGGAGGGCTGCTGCCCAGCCCTTGGGGTCCTGGTAACCAGGGTGCCCCAGTGCTGGCCTGACAAGTGCCAAGATCACTGCAAGGCCTCCACAGGTAGCTGGCACAGCTGCCTGTCAACCCAGTCCCTGTCCAGCCCCATTGTCCTGGAGGAATCACAGGTCTGCACTGCCATGGGAGCTGTCTGTTTCCACACATTTGGAGGAGCTCACTATGAATTCCTCATCTCTTGTGTCCACTGCCTGGTGCGTCTCTGTGGCGCAGCCCATGCCAACCTTGAGCCTTCAGCCTGGATCTGCTCCCACTTCTGTGGCCACACAGCTTCCCCAAGGCCCTGACCCTCTCACCCTGTGGCCCGAGGACATGAGCCCAAAAGACCTCAACCACAGTGAGGTGAGGCTCCAAAGGCCCCACACTGACCCACTCTTCCTCACTGTCCCATCTACTCCCCGGTCACCCATGATGACTACTCTTTTCCTACTGATGCTCCCTCTAGTAGTTCTGCCCCTGGCCCTTAAAGATGTCTACTCCAATTTCCTAGTGGCCCTAGTGGCACCAGTGGCTACTCACCACCTTCCCCTTGACTTGCTTGTTGACCCCTCCCCACGACTCTCCACTTGTCATTATTATTATTATTGAGACAGAGTCTCATGCTGCTGCCCAGGCTGGAGTGCGATAGTGTGATCTCAGCTCACTGCAACCTCCACCTCCCAGGTTCAAGTGATTCTCCTGCCTCAGCCTCCCAAGTAGCTGGGACTACAGGCACGTGCCACCACGCCTGGCTAATTTTTGTATTTTTGGTAGAGACGGGGTTTCACCATATAGCCCAGGTTGGTCTCTAACTCCTGATGTCAAGTTATCCACCTGCCTCAGCCTCCCAAAGTGCTGGAATTACAGGGGGCCACCATGCCTGGCATCCACTTGTCATTATTAACCGCCATTGAGATTCCACTTACCCTCCCATTGACTCTCCATTGAATCCTCAATAGTCATCCTATTAACTCCCTAATTGAATCCCCTCAACCCACAGGCTCAGCCTCATCTCTGCATTGACCCTCCCTGTCATTGGACATCCCATTAATTATTTCATTGAGTCATCCATTGCCCTCCCCCAGCTGATCCTACTACGTTTGTTTGTTTGTTTGTTTGTTGAGACAGAGTCTCTCTGTTGTCCAGGCTGGAGTCCAGTGGCGTGATCCCGGCTCACTGCAGCCTCAACCTTCTGAGCTCAAGCAATCCTCTCACCTCAGCCTCCTGAGTAGTTGGGACTATAAGCACACGCCACCACAACTGGCTACTTTTTAAAATTTTTTGTAGACAGGGGGTCTCGCTATGTTGCCCGGGCTGGTCTTGAACTCCTGGGCTCAAATGATCTTCCTGCCTTGGCCTCCCAAAGTGCTGGGATTAGAGGCATGAGCCACCATACCTGACCAATCCTACTGCTGTTATACTGACTTGCCCATTAATCCCATTTACTGTCCTATTGACCCCACCCGACACCGTCCCGACCTCCCACACTGATGCTTTCTGAGCAGTTTGTTGACCTTCCCAGTGATCCATTGACTGGCCTATTAATGTCCTCATTTACCCCCTGTGGACCTGCCCATCAAGCCCCCACCCCTGCCATCTACTGATTCTCTACTGAGCTTCCTATACTGGATATGACTAACTCCTGCACTGCATTCCCCTGCTTTTCTATTATCCCTCTAATTGAGCCTCTCTTTGACTCATCTTCTCACCCTGTTGAGTTTTCTATAGTGTCCCATTCATTCATTGGCACACCTTCTCCTAGAGCACTGTCCAAGTCTCACTAGGCCCTCATTGATCATAGAGGCATCCTTCCCAGTAGGATGTTGCCCATTAACCTTGAACTGCCATCCACAAACCCAGCAGCGTTTGTCAGTCACTGACTACCCTTCTGACTCCACCCCCATTTACTCTCCAGGGGAGCCCCCATTGTCGCCCAAAGCCACTAAGCCTCGGTCCTCAGTGATCCACGGAGTTGTCCATCCCTTCCTCCATTGCCCTTTTCTAGATCCTCCCCTTGCCCCCCGCTGCTGGCCCCTCTTCACTGACTCTTATCCATTCTCTTATTGCCCCTCATTGAACTTCCACTGACCTCTCATCAACTCTGGCCATCCAACCACTCTGCCATGGATCCCCCTTTGAATCCTATACTGACCCCCCATTGAGCCCCAAGCTTACCTCCCACCAAATCCTCCTATGATCCCTAATGACTCCCCCCATTAACCAGCCACTAAGGTTCTCTTTGACCCCTCTCTGATCCTTTCTGCTGACTCCCCCACTACTCAGTGACCATCTCCTGCTGCTGTTCAACCTGCCTGCATGCCCTCTGTGTAGGTAGACGGAATTTGGGAATCGCTGCCCTTCTCTTATGGCCACCACCTCCACACCCAACTTTGGGGCTGCCAGCTGTACATGGACACAGACTTTGGCCTCTTGCTATGACTGGGACAGCCTGGCACTTGTGATGCTGCCATGGCCATATGGACCCTACCTGTGTAGACTCTGGCCCCAGTGACCCTATTACATCCTTGCCCAATGCCCGGAAGGTTGCTAAGTTGCCAGGTTGCAGCCAGGTCTGTGGGCCCCTCTGCCCTGGATTTTGCCAGATGGCCGTGCATGCCCTATTCACCAGGAATGGGCAGTGAGTGTGGCTGGCAGTGGCGGTGGATCCCTTGGAGCCCGGCTATGCAGCACTGTGACCAGGCCCATTCCTCAGCAAGTGCCTGGCCCACTGTGTGCCACCAATACAGCGCCCACTGAACCATATACTGGGCCCTGGCTGCCTACACTGTGGCTTGCAGGGCTCTGGGAGTCTGCCTTCTGTCACGAGTGTGCTTTCGAGAGAGGGGTAAGCTCTGAAGAGCCCTGACATGGGCCACCAGGGGACGGTCGCGTCAGGACCAACAGAAGTTCAGGCCTGGGCAGTGGGGCTAGGCGAGGAAGGGTGGGTACTGGAGAACAGTTAGGACCAGATTAGATGCGGCAAGACAGGCAGGGGTATGACTTGATTTGATTGGTCTGGTTTGATTAACAAGGTCTTTTTAAAATTTTTAACAATTTTTATAGAGACAGGGGTCTCACTATGTTGCCCAAGCTTGCCTCGAATCCTTGGGCGCAAGCGGCTCTCCCTCCTCAGCCTCTTAAAGTGCTGGGATTACAGGCGTGAGCCACAGCGCCCGGCCTGATTAACAAGGTCTTTCTGTCTTTTATGCCTCTTTTTTCGGTGTCTCTATGTCTCCTCCGTGCCGCTGGCTCTCTGCATGTCTCTCTTTCTGGACCTCCCTCTGCCCCGCCCCTTCCCCTGTTCCCGTTCCCCTTCTCTCGGTTCCTCGTTGTTTCTTCCCCGGGCACACCCGTGCTGCTCTCTGCGGGCATCCTCCATCTCCGCCTCCCCCATCCGACCCTGGCTATGTCTCCCCCACCTCTCTCTGTCTCTGTCCCTGACCCTCCCACCCCCGCGGCCCGCCCCAGCTTTGCGGTGCCCGCTGCGTTCGCGCTGAGCTGCGCGCTACCTGGCCACATGCGCGGGTGACAGCCCTGCCGGGAGCGCTGAGTATGCGGCCAGGGCTTCCCGCTGAGCGGCGCCTCTGAGTGCCCGCAGCCGAATGCGGCTGCTTCCTTGCAGGCGGACACCCACCGCTGGGCACCGTCTGGTACCCTGCCCCTGCGGCCCCCGCCCCCGCGCTCCGCCCCTGTGCTCTCCCTTGCTGGCCCGCACCATTCCCGGGCTCAAAAAAATAAATTAAAAATTAGGCGGGGGGGGGGGGGGGTGGTGCGCGCCTGTGTTCCCAGCTGCTCAAGAGACTGAGGTAGGAAGATCCTTAAGCCCAGGAGGTCGAGGCTGCAGTGAGCCATGGTGGCGCCACTGCACTCCAGCCTAGGCAACAGAGCCAGACCTCGTCTCTAAAAGAATTAAATAAAATTAAAAAGTGTATGTCTTTAAAAGATAAGGGTGTTTAGGCCAGGCACGGTGGCTCACTCCAGTGATCCCAACCCTTTGGGAGGCCGAGGCGGGCAAATCACTTGAGGTCAGGAGTTCGAGGACAGCCTGGGCCAACATGGTGAAACCCTGTCTCTATTAAAAACACAAAAATTAGCCGGAAGTGGTGGTGCATGCCTGTAGTACCAGCTATTCAGGAGGCTGAGGCAGGAGAATTGCTTGAGCCCAGGAGGTGGAGGTTGCAGTGAGCCGAGATCGTGCCACTGCACTCCAGCCTGGGCAACAGAGCAAGAGTCTGTCTAAAAAAAATAAGAAAAAAGAAAAAAGACAAAAAAAAAGATAAGGGTGTTTAGCAGAGTCAGCTAGATGGTGGGGATGGAGTATAGGAAGGACAGGCATGACTGAGTAGAGACAAGATAAAGGGTTATGGCCTGGTGCGGTGGCCCACGCCTGTAATCCCAGCACTTTGGGAGGCCAAGGCAGGTGGATCACGAGGTCAGGCATTCAAGACCAGACTGGCCAAGATGGTGAAACCCCGTCTCTACTAAAAATACAAAAATTAGCTGGCCATGGTGGTGCGTGCCTGTAACCCCAGCTACTTGGGAGGCTGAGGCAGAGAACTGCTTGAACCTAGGAGGCGGAGGTTGCAGTGAGCCAAGATTGCGCCACTGCACTCCAGCCTAGGTGACAGAGTGAGACTCTGTCTCAAAAAAAAAAAAAAAAAAAAGGTAACAGGTTATTAGCAGGGTCGGGAAATGAATGATGGTAATCTAGACTCTTGATGGTTACAAAGCAGAGATAAGTGATCATTTAAGCAATAGAGAGAAGGTGGAATTGATACTTTGGTAAGTCATTCCTTTCCTCACCTAGAATGTTGAACACATATTACCAATGTGCTAGTGACTGGCTATGATGTTTTTTGTTTGGTTGGTTTTTGTTTTGTTTTGTTTTTGGAGACAGAATGTTACTCTGTCACCCAGGCTGGAGCATAGTCATGTGATCACAGCTCACTGCAGCCCCAAATTCCTGGGCTCAAGTGATCCCCCCGCTTCAGCTTCTGGAGTAGCTGTGACTACAGGCATGCCCCACCATGCCATCCTAATTTTTGTAGAGATGGGGTCTCAGTATGTTGCTCAGGCTGGTCTCAAACTTCTGGGCTCAAGGGATCCTCCTGCCTTAGCCTCCCAAAGTGCTGGGATTACAGATGTGAGCCAACATGCCCGGCCAATTTAGTGTTTTATTTAGTGCTTTTCATGTGCTCAGCACTGTTCTGAGGAATTTTCATGAACCATCTCATCTAATCCTTATTGCAACTGTATCAGTCAGCTAATGCTGCATAACAAACAACCTCAAAATCTTAGTGACTTAACCCCAGGCAGCTTCCTAACTCATGTGTCTGTGGGTTGGTTGGCATTGGCCGATCTTAGCAGGGGTCATGAAGCACTTACCATATGCCTAGCATAGGTACTCTTTTTTTTTTTTTTGAGATGGAGTCTCAGTCTGTCGCCCAGGCAGTGCAATGGCACCATCTTGGCTCACTGCAACCTCTGCCTCCCAGGTTCAAGCGATTCTTCTGCCTCAGCCTCCTGAGCAGCTGGGACTACAGGCCTGCACCACCACACCTGGCTAATTTTTGAGTTTTTAGTAGAGATGGGGTTTCTTCATGTTGGCCAAGATGGTCTCGAACTCCTGGCCTCAAGTGACCCGCCCACCTCAACCTCCCAAAGTGCTGGGATTACAGGCATGAGCCACCGCACCCAGCCTGAAGTAGGTACTCTTGTCCTTCCATGTTACAAACACAGAAACTGAAGTTCAGAAAGGCTAAGTCCCTTGTCCAAGTCTCACCCTCATTTGTGGCGCAATGAGGAGGGACATCCAGGTTTCAGGGAGGCATGGGAGCAGGTTCAGCCTCCTCAGCCCCAGTCCTGACCCCTTACCTCCCCTGCAGGTGGATGGTGAGCACTACTGGCTGCCCTGGGCACTGCCAGGGGGCTGGGGTTGGCCGCCTTGGAGGGCCACCATGCCATGGTGCACATGGCCTGTGGGCTGTATCTCATGTACACCTGGGGAAGCTCATGGTGCCTTCTGAATTCTAAGGCGAGCTGGCGGGGCTCCATGGGTCCTTTGGAGGCAATGTTGGCCTACTTGACCTGCCTCTGGATACCGTGTCCTGGTCCAAGGGCCTGATCACTATCCACTGCCCACTGACCCAGCCCAACCATGGCTTTCATGTCAGCTGCCCACATGACTTGCCCAGATCTTCAAAGCTCCCAAACTGTGTGGCCTCCTGCATGTGCCGGATGGCCCCTTTAACCACTGTGTGGCCCACATCAACAAGCCCTTCCTTAGTATATGCCTGCAGGATGCGTGTCATCCCAGTGGCCAGCACCGTGGTCTCTGTGACACTCTCACAGGCCATACTGCAGCAGCCAGGAGCCTGGGAACCCTGTGATGCCCTGGAGGGGCCCCAAGCATTGCCATAAGTGCTCTGGCTTGGTCTGGGGTGCAGGCAGGGCAGACTATGGGTTGGCTGGAAGAGCCCCTTCCCCTGGTGGGAGTCCAGGAAGAATTCCTAGCATAGGTGGAATTGGTGGAGGAGAATGTGTGGGAAGAGGATCCAAGGGAAAGGGAACTGCAGCTACAAAGGTGTGGAGGTGGGGAAATACCAATGGGAAGCCAGGCTGACTAGGGGCAGAGGCGATGAGATTGGAAAGAGGAATTTGAGGCTGGGCGCGATGGTTCCTGCCTGTAATCCCAGCACTTTGGGAGGCTGAGGTGGGTGGATCACCTGAGGTCAGGAGTTCAAAACCAGCCTGGCCAACATAGTAAAACAGTGTCTCTACTAAAAATACAAAAATTAGCCGGGTGTGGTGGCACACACCTGTAGTCCCAGCTACTTGAGAGGCTGAGGGTGGAGAATTGCTTGAACCTGGAGGTGGAGGTTGCAGTGAATGGAGATCACACCACTGCACTCGAGCCTGGGAGACAGAGGGAGACTCCATCTCAAAAAAAAAAAGAAGAAGAAGAAAGGAAGAAGGAAGAAGAAGGAAGAAGGGAAAAGAAGGAAGAAGAAGGAAGAAGGAAAAAGAAGGAAGAAGAAGAAGACGGAGGAGGAGAAGGACTAGGAGAAGGAGGAGGAAGGAGGAAGGAGGAAGAAGGAGGAAGAAGGAGGAAGAAGGAGGAAGAAGGAGGAAG